>NC_000019.10:31615874-32240874 GCF_000001405.40 Homo sapiens
TGAGCATAGATGGACGATCAGATTTCCAAGCTGTGGAAATTCACTCTGATCTGCTTCAGGCCTAAACATCATACCTCATCTCCCCTCCTTGAAGGAGACCTTTCCATAAGGGCTTAGAGACGTCCAAAACAAAGAATAGAAGGAAGACCTGCAAATCAAACACAAACAAACACTATGCTGGACCCCAAGCCAAATGCGTTCCATCTCAGCTAATGGAGCCAGAAATAATTTCTGTTAATTTCTCTGCCTCTTAGAAAGAGACATTTTCAATTCAGGTAAGATATTGCTGAGCTAAATGCCAAGATCTTAGTCTCAGACCATCGAGATCCAGATTGGTTTGTCAGAGAAATGTGAGTCATTTTCCGGGGGTGAGTGTTGAAAAGAATGTCAGGAAAGTGGCTGTACCAGCACAAACCTATTCACCTTTCCAACTACTCAATGCCCTTGCATTGTTTCTATAGATGATTTTCTGTTTAGGAAGCAGAGGTCTTGTTTATAATGATACAAAGTGATGAGTGAGTCCATAGTGATGAGGTTAATTAATTCAGGAGGTGTAGATACTCCAACTGGGTAATTCAAGATGAAAATATGGAGTTCGGCATGTGTGAGAAATAAAAGTCTTAATCTCCTTTATCACTCTGTTTTATATAGAAGTTTTATTAACATGTGCTAGGGAAAGAGGGCAGAGGATAAAACATCCACATGTCAGCCATTTTCTCTGAGAGACTGGCAGGGGTCTGGCCTGTAGATCTTCAGAGAATGATGTTGAATTATTACCCACCATTAGGAGGGAGTGTTCATTTCTCATTTGTCTGGGATAGAAAAGCTTCTTCCATAATACTGAGAGCTAATAGCTCCACAAAGAGTAGAGTTTGAGTTCCTAAATTACCAGGACTGGCTAGGAACCAAGTCTAAACTCGCCCAGCTTTCCACGTCTCACTTTCCATTTGAGCACGAGAGATACCAACCCCAGATCAGACGTCCCAGGGGACCAAGGAAAAATTAACCAGGCATCAGGCTGCTGATAAATATTACGTCCTCCTCAAATGGATCTATTAGGCAGAATTCTAAGGTTTTATCCAGAAGCTTGACATCATGTGAATCCATCCTCATCTTTTCATCCCTGTTGCTAACATGTTTCTGAAGTACTTTCAACCCAACTGAAGACTGTGTGCCCGCAAAATGAAGGGCTCACTTAAAAACCAGTGATTTTCCTTCTGCTCTGAAGGGGGTGCAGGCAGGTGCATCTCTGCTGCCCTGTCATTATCAGGCCTCTTGTTGGCCCTGCAGGCAACTGAGAATCCCCCACTAGGGGAGAGGAGGTGCCAAAGGCAGGCAGGAGGTGATTGGTTCAGGTATTGATCAATTCTTACTCACACATGACCTTTCACCTCCCTCAGAGCATGGCAGCCACAGCTAACGTCTGATATTCACATTTGTAATTAAACTGGAATATTAAACATCTGCATCCATGACAACCTGGGCGATGATCTCATTTGATCCCCCATGCCCAGCAGAGAGCAGCTCCCAGTGAGCTGGAGAGAGAGTGCACCAGGGATGCAGCAGCCACACAGCCTGCTGGGCAATCCAGGGGGTAGGAGGCTCCGTTGCCTTTGCCCAATCACACTGCACTGCCAATCTTCACTGCTTGGGACTGGCTGGAAGAATCTGGATGCATCTATGTCAATGCAGGAGGGAAACTGAGCCATAGCAATGAGCATTCACTAAGCATGCTGCATGCCCAAGAACCATGTTATTGGGCCCTGCAAGTGTCTCCTCACTCGGACCTCCTGGTTGTACAGATGAGGACAGGCCCAGGGACCCATGACCAATGGCTCAGTGATGGAAACCAGAGCTCCATGCTGAAGCAGAGCGTTTTATACCCCACAAAGCACCTCCTAATTCAGTGCTACAACTTCTCCACACAGCAGCCTCTAAGACATTGGTAGGGAAGGATCATAACTATTGGCGATAACAGACTAGAGGCTCAGCGGTTATGTCTCCCATTTAAGCCCTCTACAGGACACTCATAATTTTTAAAACTTTGCATATAACCAAAAGACAATGAAGTAGCAAGACAAGGTTTAGAAATAATGGTATATTTTATTTTTTATTTTTATTTATTTATTCTTTGGAGACAGAGTCTCACTCTGTTGCCCAGGCTGGAGCGCAGCGGCATGATCTCGGCTCCCTGCAACCTCCAGTTCCCGAGTTCAAGGGATTCTCCTGCCTCAACCTCCCGAGTAGCTGGGAGTACAGGCGCACACCACCATGCCCAGCTAATTTTTGTATTTCTAATAGAGACGGAGTTTCACCATGTTGGCCAGGCTGCTCTCAAACTCCTGACCTCAACTGATTCACCTGCCTCAGCTTCTCAAACTGCTGGGATTACAGGTGTGAGCCACTGCACCCAGCCTAGAAATTATGGTACATGTTAAATATTTACTTTTTACAAATTAATATCTTTAACACATAGATGTAATATTTTTGTGATAACTGGGATATTTATTAAATCTGTAATACATAAGTACATTACAGATAGTGTGGGCTGGTGATGGTCTCTTGCTTAAAATCAGCGTGACAAAACCATCTGCATCCGTGTGTAACTGCTCAGACTCAAGTGGAAGCTGAGCCAGACCTTTGTATGTGGAAAGCTCTGGTTCAAATAGCACCAGGTCTGAGGTCCCCTAACCCCCAGGCCTCTGAGTTTTCTGCCATTCCAGAGCGTTCAAGTGAGCAAATGTTCAGGTGGACAATTGTATGCCTGACAGTGACCATGGGGAGGGGACGTTTCTCTGTCTACGCACACAGCCTGGCCATCCTGTATAGTTAAACAGCTCTTGCCTTCTTCCCAAAGATGCAAGAGTTGATTGCTGGAGATTTGACTGACAGTTTATAAGGCATTCTTGGATGCATCAAGACCAAAGGCATCTATAAACATAATTCAATCACATCAATTTCCATTACTCTATGTGAAGGAGCACTCTTGGGGAAGGATGTGCTCCAAACTAGGTCATTGCTCTTCACACTCTGGAAGGTGACCCACAGGCAGCAGTGTATAGATCATTCATGACGGTCTTGGCAGGAGACCCTGAAGGAGCCTCTGAGGACATGAGCAAGAGGCAGACCAAGGACTCTTGCCTGGGAAGCTTTGCAAAGGACATCTCTAAAACTTACTGGAGATCAGTCACGTTGGCTTACTTCTGCAGTGCCAGCACTTTGGGAGGCCAAGGCAGGAGGATTGCTTGAGCCCAGGAGTTTGAGACCAGCCTGGGCAACATGGCAAAACCTTGTCTCTATAGAAAATACAAACATTGGGCTGGGCACGGTGGCTCATGCCTGTAATCCCAGCACTTTGGGAGGCTGAGGTGGGTGGATCACGAGGTCAGGAGGTCAAGACCATCCTGGCTAACATGGTGAAACCCCGTCTCTACTAAAAATACAAACAATTAGCTGGGCGTGGTGGCGGGCGCCTGTAATCCCAGCTACTCAGGAGGCTGAGGCAGGAGAATGGCGTGAACCTGGGAGGCAGAGTTTGCAGTGAGCTGAGATTGCGCCACTGCGCTCCAGCCTGGGCGATAGAGCCAGACTCCATCTCAAAAAGAGAAAGAAAAAGAAAATATAAACATTAGCCAATGTTGTGGTGCACACCTCTAGTCCTAGCTACTTGAGTGGCTGAGGTGGATCATTTGAACCTGGGAGGTTGAGGCTGCAGTGAGCTGAGATTGTGCCACTGCACTCCAGCCTGGGCAACAAAGTAAGACCCTCTCTCTCAAACAACCACCACAACAACAAACTTACTTGGCGGGGAGCAAGGGAAGATGACAGGGGTAGAAAAACATATGTTGTCTGGGCTGTCCAACACTCATTTTCCCCTTTCATGGTCACTCAATACATATATAGTCCTTGGGGAAGCACCTCTCCCTTTCTCTTGGTCCTCATCTTTTGTATGGGCTGTGTCTACTCTAGGCTTGGAGGGGGCCATTCAGAGCATTAACATGCCCCCTACATCACAGACGCACGAGTGTTCCCATCTCCAAGAACTTTTCCTCTAGTGCCTTGTTCCCAGCCAGTGACCCAGAGGACTAAGTCATGTTAATTTACACTAAAATGTTAGTGACTGAAGAGTTCCTTGTTGTACTTTAGACAGTACTTGATTGTCACAGGGTATTTGAAAGCCATGGACTTTGTTATCAGATCCTGTCCCAACTTCCCTTATAGTGGTTATTTGGCCTTGAACAGAACAAATTGTTTAACCTTTTTTGGCCATAGTCTACTCCTTTGTAAAATGAAGTTAGTAATATCTACCTCTTCTGTCCTTTTGTGATGCAGATATTTGTAAATAGCTCAGCACAGCATCTGGTCCACGGTAGCACCCAATAAATGACCAATGTATGATCAGGGTTGGAGTGGGCAGGAAGAGGCCTTCATGCATTCATGAGTGCTTGGTGTCTGCAGCAATACCTGCCAATGCTGGCTGTGGGCAGACCACCCCTGCGCCTCATTTGGGACCCTCACCAGGGTCAGGATTAATGTCACTTCTCTGCATGGTAGTTGGAGGTATATTTCTCCCCTGAAACCCCTTTGAACTTTCTGATTAGCACAGAGAATTGGCACTTGAGCTGGCACCTGGAGACCATGGCAAGGCAAGACCATGAAGGCAAGGTGGCAATGAAGTCAAACTGGTGCAGCAGAAAGAGCACTAGAGTGGGAGTGTGGAGTTCTGGCCAACTGCCTCCCTGTCTCCTGCTCCCTGAAGATGCTGGTCATGTCATTCTTTTCTGGTTCACTTTCCCCTCACATGGCTGAGATGAGGATCCTGGGGTTGTTTCATAAACTGAATAAGTTCTTGCTCACAGCCAGGTCAGGAAGGCTGCAGATCCAGACCCTCCTCTGCCATTGTTAGCTTCCAAGGGTAGCTCCAGCATGCTTTATTCATGAGCCCTCATGTTGATCCAGGAGTTTGCGGAGATGTGGAAATTAGGGAAAGAGGTAATAATCCACTCAGGTACTGTTAGGGACTGAATGTTTGTCTCCCTGTCAAATTCCTATGTTGAAATTCTAAGCCCAAGAGCAATGGTATTTGGAGGTGTGGCCTTTGGGAAGTAATTGAGGGTAGATTATGTCATGATGATAAGAGCCCTATGATGGGATTAGTGCCCTTATAAAAAGAGTAGGACATGGGATCTTTCTGTCTCTCTCTCTGCTTTCCACTATAGGAGGATCCAAGGAGAAGACAGCTGCCTATGAACCACTGGATCTGCCACTTCCTTGGTCTTGGACTTCTCAGCCTCCAGGACAGTGAGAAATAAATGTTTGTTGTTTAAGTCCCCAACTATGGCACTTTATTACAGCAGCTCAAACTGACCAAGACAGATGCACAGAATGAAATTCTCCAGGGGAACATGAATCATGTCCATCTGACCAGGAGCTAAGTCACAGTTCTGAAGCATAATTGGGAGGAGGAGGAGGAAAACACCTTTACCTACACTTAACCCTTCCTTTGGGGTTCATGAAAGGACATTTATTGCACATATCAGGTCTACATATAAGTGTGCATGTATACATTTATGTGCATGCATGCAGAGACACACATACACTTGCACACAAACACATATGACACCTATCTGCAGCATGCACAAACACACATATTCTCCCAGGCTATTGGAAGTCCTGCTATGAGAGTACCATAACCCTGAGTGTTCTCATTCATGTCCCAGATCTCTTTCCTACCCAGACTCTGGGCATCTGACACTAAGCCTTTCTTCAACTTCCAAATTCAATCTGCTACTCCAGGCTGCTCTGAAATAGTGGGTATGTATCAGTTAGTTCTTGCTGCATAACAAAATGCCCCAAAATATAGTGGCTTAGATGACAAGCAACCACCCAGCTCACTATCTGTGAGCCAGCAATGTGTGCTGGGCCCAGCAGAGTAGTTCTTCTAGACTAGGCTGGGCTCCCTCATGTGTCTGCAGTCAGCTGCCAAGTCACTGGAAGCCTGAATAGTCTAAGATAACCTCAGCTGGGATGGCACATCTCACTCTACATGGTTTCTCATCCTCCAGAAAGCCAGCCTGGGCTTGTCAATATGGAGTTCACAGCGTTCCAAAAGAAACAGAGCAGAGGCACGAAAGGCCTTTTGAAGCTGAGGCTGAGAAATGTATGTTGTTTTTCTCTGCTGCATTCTGTTGGCCAAAGCAAGGTACATGACTAGCTGAGATTCACACAGAGGGAGAGGGAGTCTACCTACTGGTGGAAAGAATGGCAAAGTCACATTGGAAAGAGAGAGGGGATGGGGGGCAATGCCATTTTTTCAAATAATTAATCACAGGAGAGATACAGCAAAGGGCCCTGGTGATGGCCTGTAGAATTACCAGGAGTCCCAACTAAGCCACACAGGGCCTGGGTTTCTTGCGGCTCCACCCTCACACCTTCCACCCCTTCCTTGCTGCAGTAACCCTGCTGTTTCCCCTAAACACGCGAAAACCATTTTGCTCTGCTACGTTTTTCACTGACAGTTGAGAATACTTTTTTTTACCCATTTATGGGTGCAAATTAATGAGATGACAACAGACTGAAACCAATGACAACTGCTAATCTGTAAGCAAAAACAAGGGATGAGGAGCCGAGAGCAGTGCAGCTGTTTTATTTTAATTGAGGAATGATTTTATGTTAGGAACACTCAATATTCACAGCAAATTAAAAATAATGAAGTGAATTGATACCAATGATTTTTTTTTTTTTTTTGCTTACTTTCCCTTTGTAAATCTATTTCTTCACACAAATTGACAGGTCTGATTGATACATACGCTATTATTCCTCATTAGTAGGCTGAATAAAATAATTCTTGATTAAATTTATTGCAATTTACCAATACAGCATAATGTTTGCAAGCTATAAAAGTCAATCAACAGGAAAGCAGAGGGAAGCCAATGATATTATTTCATTTTATATAACACATAAGTGGCCTCCCCGTCCTGGTGAAGGGAAGGCCATCACAAGACTCCCAAGTGGGCAACACACCTCAAAGAAGGGGCTCCAAACCCATGTTGGTTTTCATGATCATCAGCAGGGGCTTCAAGAGATCACCTCTCCCTCTGCTGCTGGCCTGGGCTCGAGCCATCCCTGCTCTCCTGGCCTACCCACCCTCAGCTGAGCCTTGCGCCACTTATGATTTTAAGCTGCAGTGACTTCCTGGGGACTGGGGTTGGCAATGAAACCTGTCACCTACACCCATCCCAATCTAGCTGAATATCAGAATAGAGGCTGCCTAGAGAGAGAATGAGAGAAGGAAGCCACACCATGGCCTCCTAGATCTTGTCTACTCAAGGCACCTATCTTAGGGCTTCTGAGTCAGATGGAGTCTTGAGTCCTGAGTCCAACTGTCCTGCTGTGAAGTAAGATCTCCTTGGAAGATCTGCCTCCCTCTTCTCAGATTTCACACCCTGCCAGCAGGAAGGATGCATCTGACTCCATGGATATGCTCTGTTTGGCCCACCAGGATTTAAACAAGTATATAAACCTTTCAAAACTTGGAGATTGCACATAAACCCCTGGTTTCCAGGTTTCTCTTGAAGATCAGGAATATCTGGCTCTGTGAAACCCCTTTCTGTGTGTAACTGAGCCAAGCAGCACCCCTTGGGTGAGAATGTGTTCTCTACTCCCCATTGTCTGTCATTCTGTTCCCTTCCTTGTTTTCTGTCACCTGCCTGTCCCGAAGGTATCTAAATCTGTGACTTCTGCAGTAGATGGGCTTTGAGTGCTTAGGGCTTTACCCTTTTTACTGCTGGATTGTCTCATGGTGACTGTGCACCTAGCTGGGGTGTAATCGGATTTAATAGGAGATATATAAACCTATAGCAACACCATAGAGGATGCCAGACTTGCTTAAATGCCTCCACTAGCGTCTCTCCTGTGCTGGAGGCTCTCATCCTCCTTCTCCAGTTCCCTATTCAAGCTTTTAAGTTTTTTACCCTGCAGAACCTCCTCCACCCTCATCAAACACATCCCTTCGGTGTCCCCTTTCCCATGATCCTGGTTGTTAGGCTATGAAGTAATGAATATCCTCTCTCTTCAAGGTCACAGTGATGGGGAAGTGCCTCCTGGACTCCTAGGTCCCCAAGTCTCCACTTAGAGCAGTTCTCCAATGGGGATAAAAACTAGGATGGGTATTTTGACTCGACAGACCTTTGCGGAGCCTTTCCAATCAGATCCTCTGGAACATAGTAGGTATGCAGTCAATGCTTTTGGACTTGAATTCTAAGACTACCTTCCTGATTGTCTCTGATAGTTCCTTATCCTTCTCAGTAGAGAATGTTTTTCTCAGGTCTCCACATCCTTTGGGGACTACAGGTACATCTGTCCTAGAAATCTCTCAGGCCAATGGCTGGGCTGGAAATTTATGAAACCATTGATCAAGGAAGGTTGTCCAGCCATGCATGCCTCTGGCTTGTGCAGATGACAATGAGCCTGTAATCCTGCAGGTCACTTGCTCCTGACTGCCTCACAATAATAAGAGGCCCTTCAGACTCCCTTATAGTAATAAGAGCTGCTAATAAGTTTGAAGGGCTTACTGTGGGCCAGGCCCTGTGCCAGGCACTGCCCATCTATCTTGTTCATCCTCACCACCACCTTTGAGGTGAGTCCTGTTATCACCATCCTTTAGGAGGCTGTGCCTAACTGAAATTTCTAAACTATGCCCTTCAAACTGATGCCAGTCTTGCCCCAATATTCATGGATGAGAATACATGACAGTCTATCAACAAATAATTATTGATCCCTCGATAAAGTGCAATACTATCCTGGGCACATTGATGGATAGAAAATTCATATGAGACACCTTCCCTGTCCTTCAAGAACTTATCATCTATTTAGGGAGATGAGTCTCTGTATTGGCAATAAGTCAAGTACAAAATTGTTTTATACAATGATAAAGGAGCTTAGAGAGGGGGAGGCTGGTAAAGTTTGGAGCAATGAAAGATGGTTCCTGAAAGAGCCAAGGCTTTAGCTGGGCTTAAAACATGGGGGAGAAGAAGCGCACCTCCTCCCCCACGTCCCTGGCACGATCTCCTGCAGCTCCTTCATTCCTACCCAGCCCTTCTTGGAAGGATGTTCACGGGGTCATCAGCCTCCTCCCATGCAGTCATGATAGGCAAAATTAGACCACCTGACAGAAGCTGTGAGGAGGCTGTTTGGCGTAAGTATGAGAGAAGGACTTTCTCAGAATCAGAACTACTTGTTCAGGTAAAAATGATGAGTTTCCCATCACTGGGGGGTTTGAACAAGTCTGTTGTCATCTGAGAGGTTGCAAAAGGGATTTGAACATGCCTCCAGGTCCCTTCTCCTGCGGCCCTGGCATTCCAGGGTTCTGTGAGGCACAGAGGCAGCAGAGATCCCCTCAGGGGGTGAGCACAAAAGACAGGGCTGATAAGGAGGTATCCCTGGGGCCAGAGAAGAGATCTCAGGCACAAGACAGCACATACACCGCCAAGTGCAGTGACAGCAGAGGGATGCAAGGCCCGGGAACATGGAGGATGCTCTGCTGGTGATTCCCAGGGCCAGTACAGAAGTGTGCATAGCTCTGCAAAGGCCTGAGCCCTGCTGGGGACTGCAAACAGGCCAGCGGGCTAGGCCTGAGGAGGGTGCTCCGATGCTGGGAAGGGGACTTCTCACAGACATTTCCACCTGAAATTCCACAGGAACAGGCACAAAGTACACAGCTCAAGTCCTCCCACCCCAGCCTCCTCCTCTTCCTCCTCCACTCTCTCCTCCTCCCCCTCCCCCTCATGTTTCTCTTTCTCTTCCTCCCCCTTCTCCATCCCTCGCCTCCTCCTCCTCCCCTTTCTTCTCTTCCTCCCCCTCCTCCTTTTCCTCTTCCTCCTCCCCCTCCTCCTCCTCTTCCCTCTCCTCTTTCTCTTCCTTATCCCCCTCTTCCTCCCCAACCTCCTCTTCTCCATCTCTCTCCTCCTCCTCCTCTTTCTTCTCTTCCTCCCCATCCCCCTTTTCTTCTTCCTCCTCCCTCTCCTCCATCCCCCTCTCCTCCACCACCTTTTCTTCCTCTCCCTCCTCCCTGCCTCCACTCCACTTCTCTATCTCTTCCTCCTCCCCCTTCACTTTTCTCCTCCCCCTCATCTTCTTCCCCTTCCTCCTCATCCTCCCCCTCCTTCTCCACCTTCTCTTCCTCTCCTTCCTCCCCATCTCCACTCTACTTCTTATCCATCTCTTCCTCCTCCTCCTCCCCCTTCACTTCTCTCCTCCTCCTCATCTTCCTTCTCCTCTTTATTCCCAGTTCCAGGGAAGAGCTCAACCATATAGACTCAAACTATAAACCTGGGAGACACCTCCACCTCCTTCATCTGGCACCACTGCACCATCCCATGCACCACCCTTCATAACACCCCTAACATTCACTAAGTTAGTCTTCTTTCCTCTGCCCTGTCCTGGATGTAGCTCAGGCCATCCGGCCGTCTCTCTCACAAGTGCCCTGTGCCATGCACACAGGGGACTGCATCTGTCTTTTCCACCACTGTGGCCTCAGCACCCAACAAAATGCCTGATACAATGCAACAATAATAATAATAATAATAATAACCATCATAGTACGGTCCCTTACATTAGAAACTTATGGACAGGCATTGTATAAACGTCTTATGTGTATAACTCGCATAACAATTCTCTAGAGTGAGTATTATTATTACCATTATTCACAACTGAGAAGAATGAGCCTCAGAGGAACCTTGCCTGAGGTCCCACAGCTAGTAAGTCCCAGCACCAGAACTGGAAATAGGTCAGCTCCATCTGACCCCAGAGTCTGGTTTCTTAATTCTTAGGCTGTGATGCCTCCATGGGAGCTTAGTGCAGATTTGCTGATTAAATGAATGGATCACTGCAACCTCTCAGCAGTCTCCTTGCCCCCAGCTGCGCTCCTTCCAGGTCATCCTCCATCCTGTAGCCACCACAGTAGGTCCTTAGGCATCAGTCTCTTTTCCTGCTTAAAATCTTCAATGGGCCTCAGGATGTAGCCCCTCCCTCCCTCTCCATCAGTGCCTCTCTTCACTGCTGGTCAGCTCTACTGAGCTGCTCTAATGTCCCCTGAATCTGCTCCGTGTTGCTTCATGTCTTGGGCCATTGCACAGGCTGACCTTGCTACGCTGAATGCCCCCTCCTCTGTTGCAACCCATCTGGAGCTCTCTGTGCAGACCTTACCTCCTCTTACCTGATCCTATCAGCCTAACCAAGATGCCTGTCTGTTGTGTCCCTGTGTTTCCTCGCACTTATCCAACAGGTCTGTCATGGCCAGGCACTCTCGCTCTCTGCTTCATTAAACTGCCAGTTCCTTGAGGTACAGGGGGCATTTTGCCCACTCTGGGCTCTCCATTGGCCAGCCCCATGGCTTACACATAAATGTCAGTGACCGCCATCAATGCCTCTTTGTGTTAATGAGCTGATCCAATAAAGATATCAGTGAACAAAGACACAAAAGGCACAATTTACATGGGCTGCAGGAATCCCCATCAGAGAAAACTCTTCACTCTTGGAGAGACAACATGACCATGTAGATGGATGATTTCAACCATTGGGGAGCATCATGATCGCCCAGTGGACTTTAATTAAAGCACAGAGTCCTGGACCCCACCCCAGAGTTTCTGAGTCAGTGGGTCTGTGAAAGGAACAGGGAAAGAGGAGTCTGGAAATGTGCATTTCTAGTAAGTTTCCAGGTGATTGTGATATTACAGACCCAGGAGCCACATTTCGAGAAACATTTCTTTTAGAAAATTCTAGCAAAGAACAGTAGTGTCCAGTAAGACTAGGATGAAATGCAGGAAGAGAAATGAAAACAGGCTTCTGTTCCCTCTCGAGGGTGTAATGTTGCAAACC
This sequence comes from Homo sapiens, assembly GCF_000001405.40. Lineage (NCBI taxonomy): Eukaryota > Metazoa > Chordata > Mammalia > Primates > Hominidae > Homo > Homo sapiens. The sequence continues at coordinate 31,627,752 of NC_000019.10, forward strand.
TTACTGTAAAGCCAGCAATCTGAACAAGAGCATTTAAGGGGCGGCCACACCCGGTCCAACGTCCGTGTTCAAGTGCATCCCGGCCTCTTGTAGAGGAAATCCTGGCTTCCTATGGACACACGCATATGGGAATAGCCACACTCAGGCCCAGGCTGCAGACACCAGACGTCTGAGTGCAGGGCACAGGTGTTCCTGAGATGCCCCGTACAATGGGTCACCAAAAGCTGACTGAGTAGCAATGCAAACAAAGAATGACCCCTCCTCGCCGGCCGACGGGAGCGGCTCCAGGCAAACCAATGGCATTCCCAAACAGCGTGAACAGGGAGGAAACAAACAGATTCATCTCTGAAATTTGATACCCGTTCCAGACACAAGTAGCAACAAACTTAGCGACAAAGCTGTCAAAATATGTTCCACAGCCTCATTGGCAAGAGATCTGGACACACGAAAGAAATTCAGCAAAACCACATCAGTTGCCAAACGGGGAGGTTTGACAGTGTGTTCGGGAATACATTTAGATCAAAACAGGAACACGTCCAAAGGAGCAAGTGTCTCCATAAATTATTATGGGATGATTAGAAATAATTAGTCAGTGATTTCAAAATATTACGTACATTTTTCAGTGGTATTGAGGGGACGTGTTATACAACGTGGGATTTTGTTTTTGCATTGGGGTTTTCTCTTTTTTTCTTATTGCTCTCTGGCAGTTTGTAAAAATGGGGGCCATGGAGGCAGTCTCACACCATGCAAATCCCTGGGGCTTAAAAGAATACGTTTTTAGGCAACCGGATTCCTTTGCAAAGCTTCCATTGGAAGTAACATAGCGGGGAAAGAGCCTTGTTCCTTTCTGGGCTTCTTTGTAAGAGTCAGTCTCTAGTTGCTGTCCCTGGGTTAGAGTTTGTTATCAATGGGGTGAGAGGATTTACATTTTCAAAGGCCTCTAAAGGTGCCTGGGCCAGCTCCTGATTCTATAAGGCTCAGAGAGGTGGAGGGAGGCACTCAAGCTCTTGGGAACCAGAACCAAGAGCCGGGAACCAGAACCAGGAACCAAGAACCAGAAGCAAGGCTGGACTCCCTGGCCTCCTGACTCCCAGACTGCTATCTTGGGTCAGCAGATAGCAAGAACCAGAAGGGTCCAGTGGCCTTAATGAAGAAACCCCACTCTAGGGAGAGTTCTGTGGGGCACGTCTGTTCCCAGTGCTCTGCCACATTGGGGGAAGATCTCTTGTCCAGGCCACAAAGAGACACCTGATGGTTCTGCCCCAAGAGCCTCCTGCCAGACCTAAAATAGCCACCCCAAACCTGGAACCCTAAGAGTTGACAATGCTCCTTCAAGATTTAGAATCCTGGGAAGGCAGGCCTAAAAGGGAGTATTCTTTTCTCCCCATTTTACAGTGGGGCAGGGAGAGTCCGGTGCTGGGTTCTGCACAGAGCAGAGTGAAAATCCCAGCCCTCCCAAGTCCCCATCCCCAAGGGGCTCAGGGGAACCCACTAAAGCACAGGCCACTGCCCCTGATGGCCCTAGCTTTTTCTGCCTTCTACTCAAGAGTTAAGACTTAACATCCTGCTAAGGGGTATTAACTTTTAAGTTGCCATAAAACCAAATAATTATATTTATCTATTTGTTTTAACTCTGGGCATGGCTAAGCATACATACGGTATATGTACACCTAAAAAGCCAGCAAGCACGCCTGCTGCAAGGGGCACTTTGCAAAATGAGGCATGAGGAAAAGAGTCAAATCTATGTCCCTCTTCTCAAGTTCCATTTGCAGGGAGAAGAAGAGAAAGGAGGAAAAAGAAAAGCAAGACTTTCCGCACAGAAGCAGGCCTTCACAGTTACGGCCTTTTACAAGATGATCCTGAGCTATGTTTCCTGTCTCTGAGGGAGGCACCAGCATATAAAATGGTAGTGAATTTGCATTACTTCCAATCCATCATTCTCTGGGTATGCAGGAAAAACCAGGGGACCCGCTGCAACAAAGCTCAGCCTTCGTGTTGACAGATTCTTATTTAAGTGACTATGAATACAACAATTCCACAAATAATTTGTCAAGTGTGTGGCTGAACTGGCTCTGAACCCTGATAAATACCGACTCTCCTTCCGCTACAAAAGCAGCGTGTTTCGTGTGCGGACACCGTGGAGCGGGCACAAGGATTTAACAATCAATGCTACTATATTTCTCTCTTCTTTGTGGCTTAGCAGAACAAAACACAGAAACAACTTTGAAGGGTGCCTTTTTTTTTTCCTCTGTGTTAAGTACCCAGGGCAGCAAGGCTTGGAGATCTACATCACAAGCTGCAGGCTGATGGACAAGGGGGTTTCTTGGCAGATGACGTGGATGGCCCCCTGCCCGCAGAGGCCTCTGGCTTCCGCTTTGAATAGGGTCACCCTAGGCCTCAGGCTTTCCAGGTAGCTGGCTTCAGCACTGCATCTGGCACCTTGTTTGTAGCCTGGGCCGTAAGGATGCAGAGACCATGCAGGACAGTGACAGTGCACGGTGGCCCTGCCGTCAGACCCACGGGTCTAGAAGTGCCTGGAAGAATGGGTGACACATCTCCTTGAACAAAACGTAAACCTAATCATCTTTGAAGACTGCAATATACACCTAAATGTCTCTTGCAGATGTAATTTAGGATGCATTATTAATTTATTTTTCATAAAGCTCCCCAGCTCCTGAGAGGGTGAGTGAGAGCACAGAGCCTCTCGGATGATAAGCCTCGTTTGTCAGGGAAAGGCGGGCACAGGCATAAAAACAATTTCCCTCCTAAAAACCCATCCAGGAGAAGGCACGGACTCTTTTCAGGGAACGAATCCTCTTGAAACTCGATTATTCCAGACGTTTTAATAAAGTGCCGACCTCTAATGGGACATGAACACTCCCGTGCCATTTGCAAAGTGAAGCAGTAACTTCCCCAGGCTGGATGGCCAGGAGTCAGGAGGGGTGCCTATGCATCAATTACGCATCAATTACAGGGAAACTTTTTGACTTTGGGACAGTGGTGCCTATAGAAATCATTAAGAAAGAATTAACTCATTCTAATACAAAACACTAATTATTTATTGTTTATAAAGTAATTTTAAATAACGCAAAGGCTCATGCAGTTGGGCCATCATGATTTTCCAGTCATTAACTTAACCAGAATTTGCATTTTGGGACTCTAGCCAGTGACTTACATGCAGTCCTTAAGTTATTTTTCAAACACCCTGTCCTATCTTAATCTATTCATCATTAATCACATTTGGTCACTTTACATAGAGAACACTATTCAGATGAAAGATAAAAGAAATACATTAATAAAACTAAAGCAAGTTGGAATACTTCAAAACATAAGGTAGGGGATGAATATGGTTATCAAAGCAATTTATACAGTGTGCACTTAGTGTTAAAGTGAGACTGTTAAAGTGGGGGAGCTGTTGCTTATTATTTAAAAGAGATGGTAAGGACGAGCTGGGCTTTTAGTGCATCAGACACCCTCTCTCACTGTTCAGAAATGAGAGGATGCATCTAAGAGGGTCTCAGGAGTGGCTTTGCCTTCCGCAGTTGAGGCAGGTCAAAAAAGCCGGGTGGTATCCAGGCACTTCTCCAACCCAAGATCCTGCCACCGGTAACTACAGGTTGGCCTGGTGAAGGCACAGCCCCTGGAACACTCAGAAGCCACTCTCCGGGCAGATCCATCCATGCTCCATGCTGTGACTCTGGTTTTCTTGGGGTTCACAGGGAGCTCACGCTGGCCCCCTTCAGTGGCACCAGCAGCAACTTGACTGGTCCTCTGGGACATAGGGAATGGTCTTCTGTGGGTTCCTGGACATTCTGGGCACAGTCTCCTTCTTGGAGCATGAACAAAGCTCATGGGACCCCGGCAGTCAACCCTGGTACATGCCTCATGGGCCACCGCCCAGACACCATCCCTCCCCAGGATGGCCTTCACCATCATCCCTGCCCAGGGGAGTGTGCTTGCTTCCCAGACCAAGGGAGGAGAAGAGAAAGGAGTGGGAAGGGAGACATGGGAGGAAAACCAATGCAGGGAGAGGATGAGGGGAGGAAAAAGCTATATCTGCTGCCACTTCCTTCCCGGGCAGAAGACCTCACAAATGAACCTGCAACATTCTGAGCCAGCCAGGGCCACGGCCTTATCTCCACACTCACAAGCAGTCCATGCTCCCCTGGGCAGAGCCCATGCCGAGGGCCACCCTGGGTGGAGAAAGTGTCTGGGTGGTGGCCCAGGGGCATGTACCAGGCTGGACCTGCCGGAATCCCATGAGAACTGGTCAGAGAAGTGTCATGCCCCTAGGGATTTCTGCTTCATCCTAGGTGAGAGCAGGGATCAGATCACAGTGGGGCCATGGGTTCTTTGCTGGACTCAGGGTCAGACTGACATCTTCAGAGGAGGAAAGTTGATTCCCTGCACAGCCTCAGAGCTGGGAGGGGAGGGGAGATGATTACCCCAAAGCCAGCTGGTGCTAATGCGGCAGCCAGCCACACTTCGGTAAGTAGATGTAAAGCTCAGTTTGGGAGCAAGCACTAGGGAACCCTGATGACCAGCATAGTTTTCATATTGGATATAAAACTAAGTGGGGCAGACAGGAGCCAAGGAGAGAGAACTTTGAGAATGTAATTAAAACGTTGTAAATATATTTTGTTTGTTTGTTTGTTTTTTGAGACAGTCTTGCTCTGTCTCCCAGGCTGGAGTGCAGTGGAGCAATCTCGGCTCACTGCAACCTCCACCTCCCAGGTTTGAGAGATTCTCCTGCCTCAGCCTCCCAAGTAGCTGGGACTACAGGTGCCCACCACCAAACCCAGATAATTTTTGTATTTTTAGTAGAGACGGAGTTTCGCCATGTAGGCCAGGCTGGTCTCGAACTCGTAACCTCAAGTGATCCGCCTGCCTCAGCCTCCCAAAGTGCTGGGATTACAGGCATGAGCCACCGCACCCGGACTGGGAAGCCATGGAAGATTTCAAAGCAGGAGAAAAGTGGTCCACAGTGCATGGATGGCTGCAGGTTTTCCATAAGTGTTCTACGGTGCGGCACCCGGGCTACGATCATCAACAAAGTTACTGTTGACAGAAAGGCAGCCCTGCACAGACAGGAGACTACGTCTGCTTGATTCACCTCTGTATTTTCAGCACCCCCAACAGCTCCTGGCGCATAGTAGGTCTAGTCTGCCTGCCTATTAACAGGATGCTAAATAAAACTAAATACAGTGGAATGGTTTTAATGATGCTAAGCACAGTTCACTGCTTCACACTGAAAGGCTTGGATCCAGATGTCTCCAACAGGCACAAGAATCCTGGAATAAACAGTTTGGATTGCTATCTCATACCCTTTGGGCCAGAATCATGATTATTTTCCTCATAACACATTTGGAAGCCCAGACATGTGCAGTGCTCTATGAGACTAAGCCATGGCCTAGGCCTTGCTGGGAGGAAGGGGCTGTCTATGCATCACAGCAGAAGCTGATGAAGGGACGTCCCACCGTGGCCCATAGGACCGTAGGCCATGGCTCACGGAATCGGGTGGTAGACGGCACTGGATGAGCATGCAGGGAATGTGGGCGTCAGGCCTTGGAACACTTAGGTCTTGCCTAAGCATCAGAATACAGGGTGTGCCAATGCTCTACAGTCACACTCTTTAAGGTTGTGTCATTGCTGTGAGACGGGAGGGAGAGAAGATGGAGCTGGGGAGGAGCTAGCCATGTCGGGGGCAAGACAGGGACCTGGGAAAAGAAGTCTAACTTTGAATAGGGCTGCTGACCTGGCAGGGGAGACAGGCCCTCTCAAGGGTCTAGCCTCTGATGGCCAACATGTACTGGTCAGCACAGCTCCTCTAATCCCTAGGGGACAATGTGATGCAAGTGTCCCCATGTCTGGCACCACAAGACCGGTCTGGGAGTGAGTTTGTAGTCAGAGCACCTGGGGTGCCATCTGAATAAAGAAGCGAAAGACCATGAAATTAAATATTTACTTCCATGGCATGCCCCATCTTACTGGACCTGTCACTCCACCAAAACAGAATTCAAAAGCAATAATGCCCTGCCCTTGTCTCGGAGAATGGTGGGCTGCCGTGTGGTGTTGAGATGCCATCACTCTGCAGTTTCACCTTGTCATTTGAGCTCAGGTCAAAGAATAGAATCATTTTATGCGTGCCTTTCAAAGTGTCTCCCCCAAGTTTCTTTCACGCAACAAAAATGCCTGCCAAAAGAAACTGGTTTCTGAAGTCCCAGTCAAAAAAGTAGTAATGTTCTATCCACACATTAATGATTCCAAAATTCTCCATTATGAACAATATTTATCAAAAACAGCCCACTATCAGATGAAAGATGTGCCTCATCTTTTCTTGTCAACTAAAACATTATTCACTGAAAGTTTCTTTCATATCTGTTTCAGGGGTTTCAGTGTCATTTTAAATTGCAAATCAATCATACATCTCGAAGCCCTAGTTCTGTAGGGGAGATTAACGCTCTGGCTAAAATTGTTTACAAAGCCATTTGTAAACCCTCTGCAGATGCAGATGAGGCAAGTTTACCAGTTTAACATTGTTGATCCCAGAGAAAGCCTTAAGCAATGACTTCAGAGGGCAAAAAAATTTGTTCATTTATCATTATTGTCATGGGCTTTCGCAAATGATAACAATTTGTCTTCATCCTATTTTTAGACAATGAGCCACAATAGAGTCCAGAAAGCCATTTTGCCAGATGGGAGAAGGTGCTTTCATTGCAAAATGTTGTCTTTTCTTTCTCTGCCCTATAAAATTGGCTTAAGTGAGAACCAAGGATATGTTTTAATGTCAGGATTCCCAGAAGACATAATGACATACAATAAAAGCATTGCCAGGCTCAGGAAGGATGTGGTTCAAATGCATTGAATACTATTTTCAATCTAAAAGAGTGACTTCTGGGGTAGATAGAAGCTTAGTAACAGTGTGGAAGATAGTTATGGGTTTTAGCATGCTTTCATCCTTTATTAATATTCCCCTTTTTTAAATGAAACACTGCAATAGGAAGCCCAATTACTTCTCATTAAGATGAATAAAAATGTTAGAATAAGCTGGACATAAAATAAACATTTAAAGTGATATATGGTTAATTCCTCCGAGCTCTGAACCACTAATCAGGAACTCTCTATGGAAGAGAAGATAAGAAAATCCAGTTTTCATTAGAAACGTTGCAGATTCTGTTGCATTTCCTCAAGCTCCTGGCTTGTTCACATCAGCTGGTTTCTGGCAGCGTCCTTGGAAGGAGGGCTGCTCTTATTTCTGGGTCTCTGGCAGCCTGGGTCTCTAGGAGTGGCCCCTTCCCCAAACAGCCCTTCCCACCACCCTGCTGGGATCGATGCATCGGCTCCCTCAGCCCTCCTGGGCTTTGTAAGCTTGTCATGGATAATCATTTTACGGTTAGTCTGCCTTTAGCACAAAGGAATATTTCACCTGTGTTTTCCCTCTATGGAGAACGATAAACAGACAAGCCTTACAAAGATCCTGTAGGAAAATGTCGACACCAGGGACATCCTATGTGGTCCTTTTTGGTTTGGATACAGGGCCAGAGGAACGTAAGACTTCATTTCTAGAAGGCTTTATTGTAGATCTGTTATTTTAGCAAGCAATACTATTGATTGAAAATACTACTGTTACTCACTGGATATACTTTGGAGAAACATGAGAGCTTTACCGAGCATTAATCCATCTAAAAGCGAATTTCCAAATAGTCTGCATGCACACACACGCGCACACACACACACACACACACACACACACACACACACACGCATCTCTGAGGTGCCCAAGAGCAGAGGCTCTCGTTTGGGGAGCAAAGGGAAGCTGATCCCTCAGATGGGTCGTTGGCATGTACAGTAGGGCAGTGACTGTGTGGAGCTGATGGCCTGCCGAGACTGGTTGCCTTCTTTAATTTAGCAAACTGGGTAATGGCCCCGTTTCCATGCTCTTCGTGCTGTCCGAATTGCAGATCCAGCTGGCAGAAGCAGCTCCTCCACCTGCCATTTCCTTAAAAGCAAACAAGGAGACAACTTTTCAGTGTCATCTCTATCTTCATCTTCCTTGTGGCTCTTTACTTCTGATCTTAATTGCAGTCCCATTCGCAATGCCCTCAGCCAGCTTGCCCCATCTGCATCAAACACACCTCGCTCGTTCCTTTCTCTGCCCTTCCTCTGAAAGCTGAATCTGCCTTCCAGACACCACTCTGTTCCCAGTTTTATGGAGGTCTCCCTAGTGACCCCAGTCTCAGGGACCCTCCTCGTCCACGTTCTCTACTGCCCGGCTTGTTAGCTCAATCAGAATAGGGACAGTTTTATTTCGTAATCAGGACTGGTTTTTATTGTTGTCATTTGTGTGATGTTTTTGTTATTGCTGATAGAACAGTATTTATGCATTTGGGATTGTATTAATGATTTTAAGAAAGGCTAGGACAAGACATGGTTCTATAAGTAAAATGCTTTTAAAAGTTTTATTTTGTGTGATAATTTAAATCATAGAAGCATTCATTTATTTGCCTATCTTTTTTCTTTTTTTTGAAACAGGGTCTCACTCTGTTGCTCCGTTGCCCAGGCCGGAGTACAATGGTGTGATCATAGCTCACTGCAGCCTCAAATTCCTGGGTTCACGCAATCCCCCTGCCTCAGCCTCCTTAGTAGCTGGGAATACAAGCATATGCCACCATGCATGGTTAATTAAAAAATAATAATAATTGTAGAGTCAGGGGTCTTGCTCTGTTACCCAGGCTGTTTTGAACTCCTGGCCTCAAGCATTCCTTTTGCCTGGGCATCCAAAAGTTCTGGGATGACAGGCATGTGGCACCATGCCTGGCCTATTTGCCTGTCCTCTTATTGCAAAGCCAAGTCTTCTTCTAGGCTTATGGGTCTGCTGATTGGTGTTTCAGGCACTCTTTCTTATATAAACCACAACCATAATACATAACCTACAAAATTATTACAGTATCTTCAAAGGGGATAAAAAAGATCCTCACAAGGCAAAATAAGTGTGAAATTCCTCCAGATTTTTGGGGCCAGTCTCTATCTCTTACATTTGCTTCTCACACCTAATTTTCTACCAGTCTGCATTGAATCTTTACAAAGCACCACATCTAGTTCTCATAGACACCACTACGTCCTTTACACTCTTATCACATCTGAGCAGCATATATATATAATATATATATATTATATATATAATATATATATTATATATATATATTATATATATAATATATATATATTATATATATATTATATATATATTATATATATATTATATATATATATATTTGTTGTTGTTGTTGTTGTTCTTTTTTGAGACAGAGTCTCACACTGTCAGCAGGGCTGGAGTGCAATGGCGTGATCTCGGCTCACTGCAACCTCCGCCTCCTGGGTTCAAGCGATTCTCCTGCCTCAGCTTCCCAAGTAGCTGGGATTACAGGCGCCTGCCACCAAGTCCAGCTAAATTTTTGTATTTTTAGTAGAGACAGGGTTTCACTATGTTGGCCAGGCTGGTCTCAAACTCCTGACCTCGTGATCCACCCACCTCAGCCTCCCAAAGTGCTGGGATTACAGGCGTGAGCCACTGTGCCCGGCCAATATTTTCTTATATGACATACTTACAATAACAAGTACAGTTGACAGATTCTGATTCTTGGTAAACATACAACGTGTGACTGGTGGGAACAGAAGTGTGCAGACATTCTAGAGTTTGGAATACTTATGGGAGCCCTAAATATCAGTTGCGATTTTACAGAAGGAACAGAGTGTATCTGTTATGTTGGTTAAGTTGAGCTAGTCTGTTGAGTTGGTTATGCATGGACCAAGCCAAGAATCTTGGTTGTGTTACACTTAGACCTGGGTTCAAATCCTGGCTCTGAGACATTGGAAAAGTTAGCTTCTAGATCTAAGCTTCAATTTTGGCTGGGTGCAGTGACTCACACCTATAATCCCAGCACCTTGGGAAGCTGAGGTGGGAAGATCACTTGAGGCCAGGAGTTCGAAACCAGCCTGGTCAACATAGCAACACCCCATCTCTACAAAAGAAAAATCAAACTTAAAACATTAGCCAGGAATGGTGGCCTGCAGTCCCAGCTACTTGCAAGGCTAAGGTGGGAGGATTTCTTGAGCCCAGGAAGTTGAGGCAGCAGCAAGCAGTCATCTCACCACTGCACTCCAGCTTGGGCGACCCAAGAGTGAGACCCTGTTTCAAAAAATAATCATCATCATAATAATAAGCTTCAATTTCCTCATCTGTAAAGTGAGGGCAGAAATGGCTCCATAGCATAGCAAAGTTGTCAAGAGATTAAGTTAGATGGTGCCTGTAAAGTGTTTAATACAAGATCTGGCACATGGGAGGTGTTCAAAATAAGTAAGCGCTGCGAGTACTGCTGCTGGTGGTTCCATTTTATTCTCAATGTGGTAAAATACACATAACGTAAAGTTTACCATCTTAACCATTTTTCAGCTTGCAGCTCAGTAGTGGTAAGTGAATTCATGTTGTGCAGCCAACCTCCAGAACGCTCTTCATCTTGCAAAACTGAAACTCAATACTGATTAAACAACACCTCTGCATTCTCTCCTGGTCCCCAGCCCCTAGCAACCCAATCACGCCCATTTTTGACCCTGTAACTATTGTTTCTGCCATCCTGCATTTCTTGTTACTCTGTGAGTCCCTCCCATTCAAGCCACCAGAGGCTCATTGCCTCAAAGAAGAGGTGGGCTAACAGAAAAGAGAAAAATAACTCTCTTAGGAGCTTTCACGTCTCAAGCCCAAGCCTGGAGGAGTAGAGAACAATATGATTGATCAGTGCAAGGTTTCCTCCTCCAGAGACTAAACGAATGCAGTGGAGGGAAGAAGAGGAAAAGGAAATAAAAAGCTTAGGTGCTGGTGGGTCCCCAAGAAGGGCCTGGTACTCAGCTATCCCTGGGATTGAGCCCGAGCAAGAAGATAAGAATATTTGCAGGCTACCCAAGCAGGAATGAGGCACTACCCAGCAAAGACACAACACTGGACAGAGTGATGACCTACTATGGGGACCACACCACCCTAGTCCTAAAGACACCTTGTCATTATGTAAGATTCCAGGAAAATCTAGAAAGCCCACAACGTGGCTAACATTGTTTTCATCAGAATGAAAAACTGAGGACCTGAATTAAAAATTTAGCTGAATCAGGCCAGATGCAGTGGCTTGTGCCTGTAATACCAGTGCTCTGGGAGGTGGTGGTGGGAGGATCACTTGAGGCTAGGAGTTCGAGACCAGCCTGGGCAACATAGCAAGACCCTGTCTCTAAAAACAAACAAATAAACAAACAAACAAGCAAACAAACAAAACAAAACAAAGCAAACATTATCCAGGTACAGTGGCATGCACCTGTAGTTCCAGCTACTCAGGAGGCTGAGGAAGGAGGATCATTTGTGCCCAGGAGGTGGAGGTTACAGTGAGCTATCATTATGCCACTGCACTCCAGCCTGGGCGACAGAACAAGACCCTGTTTCTAAAAAAAAAAAATTTTTAATTTACCTGAATAATAAGAAAAGCACTCAGAGATATTTTTTCTGCACTCCTGATCTTGAGCACTGGGGCTAAAAGCTGCTCTATTCCATACTCTGCCCCCTTTACTCGGGTCCTGGGATGCTAGTGACTACACTTCACACTGTCTCAGTCTACTGCCTTGCTCATACTTCAGGCCCAAGGGGAACAACATATTCCCACAGCTTATGTCTGATTGGACAACAGAGGTCATGTCCTTACCCATGAGCCACATCCTGTGGCCAGTGGGATGAGATCATTCTGATATGCCTCAGCTAGAGCCACATGCCCCATGATCAGAGCTGGTAAAGCATCAAAATCCCTTGAAGCACATGAGCTATATGAGAAAAGAGTAGGAACCAAAAATATAATTATTTATCTATTACCAAGAGAAGGAGGATTGAATGAATGCATTTGCTGTATTTCCACTTGGTGACTGAGTGTCCTGGTGGGTCTGTGCCTGTGAAGCTGTGTGCATGCATATTCATGCTTGTGTGTGCAGTGGGGTATGGGTGGGAGTAGGTAGGTAGGCAAAAGTCACCCAGGTATTGTCAGAAAGTGAGTTCAGGCTGGGGGCTGTGACTCTTGCCTTTAATCCTGACACCTTGGTTGCTGGGTGTCCAGGGGTCTGGACAGTCAACCACCAAGTGGAAATATAGCAAATTAATTTGCTTGTTAATATTAATAATAATATCAATAAATATTAGGCAAGGTTTTATTGAACATCCATTGGGTGCCAGGCAGTGAATCAAGCTAACACAAATCCCTTTCCTCAGGACTCTTACATGCAGGAAGAAGATATGGGTTCAAAGGGAGAAGACGGATCTGGCTGGAGGAAAATGAGCTGTGGCTAGAGGAAAGAAGGATCGGGAGAGAGAGAAGAGGGTTCCAGAGGGAAGAAAGAGGGCTCTGGAGGGAGGAAAATAGGCTCTGGAGGGAGGAAGAGGGCTCTGGAGGGAGGGAAAGTGGGCTCCGGAGAGATGGAAGTGGGCTCTGGAGGGAGGAAGAGGGCTCTGAAGGGAGGGAAAGTGGGCTCCGGAGGGAGGGAAGTGGGCTCTGGAGAGAGGGAAATGGGCGCTGGAGGGAGGGAAATGGGCTCTGGAGAGAAGGAAGTGGGATCTGGAGGGAGGGAAAAGGGCTCTGGAGGGAGGGAAATGGGCTCTGAAGGCAGGGAAGTGGGCTCTGGAGAGGGCGAAGTGGGAGCTGGAGGGAGGTAAATGGGAACTGGAGGGAGGGAAGTGGGCTCTGGAGGGAGGGAACTGAGCACTGGAGGGAGGGAAGTGGGCTCTGGAGGGAGGGAAATGGACGCTGGAGGGAGAGAAGTGGGCTCTGGAGGGAGGGAAATGGGTGCTGGAGGGAGGGAAGTGGGCTCTGGAGGGAGGGAAATGGGTGCTGGAGGGAGGGAAGTGGGCTCTGGAGGGAGGGAAGTGGGCTCTGGAAGGAGGGAAGATGGCTCTGAAGAGAGAGAAATGGGATCTAGTGGGAGGGAAATGGGCTCTGGCAGGAGGGAGGAGGTCTCTGGGGGGAGGGGAGAATGCTCTGGAGGAAGGAAATGGACTTTGGTGGGAGGGAAATGGGCCCTGGAAGGAGGGAAATGCTTCACTCAAATGTTTGTTCCCTTGGCCTCCTTCTTCTTCAGCAGGAATTACACGTGTTCCTGGCACCGGCCTGCCAAAGCACAGGCTCATTGTCTCCTCCTAAACACCAGGACAAGCTTCCAGAACCAAGCCTCGCCACCATAAGAGGCAACTGAGACCGTTTCCTAGAATGAAAGTGATCCGTATGTTAAAAATGCAATAAGCAAGTCAGCAGTTTTATTGATTTTTTTCTTCATACCTCCTTAACCAATTAGTTTGAAACAGTGTAAAATGGTCTATGTGACAGATTGCTCAACAGATCTCACTTTTTTCGGGAGTAAGACAGAGTCTCACTCTGTTGCCCAGGCTGGAGTGCAATGGCATAATCATAGCTCACTGCAGCCTCAAACTCCTGGGCTCAAGTGATCCTCCCACCTCAGCCTCTTGAGTAGCTGGGACTACAGTCGTGAACCACCATACCTGGATAATTTTTTATATTTTTGTAGAGATGGGGGTCTCACAATGTTGCCCAGGCTGACCTTGAACTCCTGGCCTCAACCAATCCTCCTGTCAAGGTGCTGGGATTATAGGCGAGAGCCACTGCACCCAGCCTGAACTGACTTTCAGACAATACCTGGGTGACTTTTGCCTACCTACCCACTCCCACACGTACCCCACTGCACACACAAGTGTGAATACACATGCACACAAGTGTACACACACAGATTGGCTGGGACCACCCAGGATTCAATCCTCCTTTTGGCAATAGATTCTGAATTATACTTGTAGTACTTATTCTTTCCCTATGTAGCTCATGTATGTCAATGGATTTTGATGCTTTTCCATCTCTGATCATGGGGCATGTGGCTCTAACCTAAGCATATCAGAATGATCTCATCCCTCTGGCCACAAGAACGTGGTTCGTGGGTAAGGACCTGACTTCAGTTGTCCAATCAGGCATAAGCTGTGGGAATATGCTCTTCTCTGCTAGGCATGAATGAGGAACCATGAGGCCTGAGCATGAGGCCAGGAGCAGTGTTAAGACCACAAGAGGCTGAGAGTAGGGCTGCTGAGAGTAGAGTGGTTTTCAGATAAGTTCTCTGATTCTTTAACATGCTCCCTTCAGAAGGTGGAGCTTAATGCCTCCGCCTTGAATGAGCTGGATTTGATAGCCTGCTTCTAATGGATAAGATGTGGTAAAAGTCATGCTATGCAACTTCCCAGACTTGGTCATAAAACCAAGAGCATCCACCTGGCTCTCTCTTACTCTTGGATCCTTTGTTCTGGAGAAGCCAGCTGCCATGTTGTGAGGAGGCCCATAGGGGAAGAACTGAGCTCCCCTCCCAGAAACCCTCAGCACCAATCTGCCTGCCATGTGAATGAGTTATCTTAGAAGCACATCTCCCCAGTTCATCCAGAGGATTGTAGAATCAACTGACACATCTTCACTGCACCCTCTTGGGAGATTTAGAGCCAGGAACACCAAGCTAAGCTTCTCCTGCATTCCTAACCCATAATAACTGTGAGATGCCAAAAGTGTTTTGTTGTAAGTAACTGAGTTTTTAGGTAATTTGTGACATAGCAGTAGATAATGAACACAGAAACCCATACCAAGACAAACAATCATTAAGTTGCTGGATCAACCCTCACCTGAAGTTCGCTTGATCCTTTAGACTTTTCAGTTAAGCAGGTCAAAAAAAGTTTCTTTCTTGTTTAAGCCAATTTGAGTTGGGTTTTCTGTTATTTTTCCTTGAAGGCATATTGGTAGATATATTTCCAATCCTTTCCTCTGGTCTCAGCCTTCTAAAGGGAGCTAAAAATACAGATTAGCTTATTTTATTTAATTTCAAATCCTTGTTTCAGTTGCTCCTGCTTGTAACTGTGGCATTTGCACGAATGGAAGCAGATGCTGTTGCAATCTCCATGCAGATAATTCCTTCTCTGGGTTAAGGATGTAATAAATGGAAAGGGGAAGATAATTTACACCTGAATATATAAAGAGTCTACAGGTAATAACCCTTAAATGTATCCTGTCTGTATATAGTGGTTGTTATTTTCCTGCCCAAAGCTGCCAAAGAGAAGGAGAGAGAAAAGATGTTAATTCTTACTTGACAGTGGGCCTTGTAGCATTCTTCAAACCAAAATGAAAAACACAGAGAACTATGTGATGGTTACAGGACTTACACGCCTGAAAACCCAGTGTTCCCTTTCTCTGTCCTTTGGAAGTAGTTTGTTTTGTTTGCTTGTTTGTTTCCTTGCTTGTTTGTTTTGCAATGCACCGAAGAGACAGTAGGACTTCCCTTTAAGAAAAAAAAATTTAAAAATGATTTGTGCATTTGTATGTAACAATGGGGAAATATCACAGCAAGATAGCATATGACTCATGTTATTGACAATGTTCAGAAGGATCTGGAAGAAAGAAATGAGGCTTATGGTAGGGTCTGGAATGCAATAAATCTAAGTTAAAAGGAGGTGCTGGATAAAATACATCTCCAAGAGCCTTTGGCTGTCTTCCTTCTCTGAACAAAACTAAGATTGGCCAATAACAATTACAGTACCTCATGTATCAACTGTGGATATTGTCCTACTGCATAGACATGGCCATGTGAAATCTATAGATCGAGGGTCTACTTACACCTGATAAGACTTGTCAGTAAATTATATCTTTATTATTGCTTCTAGGTTCCCTTCCTGGATTTTTAAAACTTGACTGCCTGGATTACTGGCTCTTTATTTAGGAAGAACTTTGAAATTTACTTATATGAATTTCATCAGAGATATCCTTAAGACTCATTGCATGTTTCAAACTAACTTATTTTGGGGGATGGATTAGGGTTGATGTTTGGATTTGGAGTCCTAAGAACTCAATATAGATCTCACTTTCCCCTTAATGCTAATATAACCCTGAGAAAGTTATTGAATCTCTCCAAACAATAGCCTTTCATCTGTAATATTAATTATTTTGTTTGTAATAATAAAAGTAGCGCACACTCTTATATAACTTACTATGTTTCAGACCCTGTTCTTACTATTTTCCATTTCTTAACTCATTTAATCACATCACCTAATGTAATTCTTTCATCCCAAAGCTCAGCACATATTAGATACTGCAATGACAGTATCCCCTTTCATTTAGAAATGAAATATTAAAAGGCATAATTAATAGACGGAGCACAAAATTATCTATTGTAACATTTCTCACACATCTTGGTGATGCTAGTCTAAAAAATATTTTTACACTTATACTCTGTGACCATTTTTTTCACTCTCTCCCACACACACAGGCACGCACACACACACACACACACACACGCATGCATGGTGAAAGAGCACGATTTGTGAAAATCAATGTATCATTGCCTTTTCTATAATGTCCATCTCTATCCAATCCACCTGGTGTCACTGGGGACATCAGAGAGACCCTGTGCTTCAAAGACAAATGCCATCTTAATTGGACAGGTCTCTTTTTAACATTTAACATTTCCTGTTGGACCTAGCTTACACTAGTCAATTTTTTTTTTTAATAAACAAGGGAAGGAAAAAAAAAACATGATCTAAAACCCACATCTCTAAGTTATCAGTGTTTGGTGCAAATGCGTTGATTCTAGCATTCACGCGGGTGCAATGCCATACATGGGTATCAGCCATATTAGACACAGGGCTCAGGGCTGTGTGCAACCTGCATCAGTGACTGAATATGAGTGACAACCCATGCAGCACTGTTAAACTACCACCTCACATCATTACCCACAATAATAGGGACTCAAATTGGTGGAGATGACCCAAGTTCTGCCTACTGAGACCCAAGTTCTCTGTGGAAACACTGAAAGATGTCTTGCTCTTGATGGCCAGTTTGATGCAAAATCCCTGAGGAAGTGGAATGCAACGTGCTACCTTCTCTTCAAATTAAACCCAGGCTCCAAAGCCACGTGGTGAACCCGCTACGAGGACAGCATGACTCAGGAAGAACCCTGCTTATGGACTTCGATAGCAGAGAGGCCTGGATTCAAATATCAGCTGTCACCTGCTCTTTTCTGAACCAATGTTTTTTTGTTAGGATTAGATGAGATGATACTGATGTACTCTGTAAACATAGAAGGCTTTCAGTAAATGGCAGAAGAAGCAAGAAAAGTAACAATAATATTTGCCTCTCCTTTCCTACCTCTTCCCTTGAGCTCCAAATTTATGCAGAACTCAACCTAATAAGTCAGACTCACCATCTAGACCTTAAACTTGCAAAAACCAGAAAGCTGGGTCATCACCACATCCTCTCCTCTCCATTCTCACCAATTGTGTAGCTAAATCAAGACCTTCACTGGACTACAGCTTTGGACTTTGCTTCAGAAGTCAGAATTTTCTTCCTTCTTCTAAATAGATACTGAAGCAAGATGAAGAACACAAAAAAATGTGCTTAAAAATATTTAGGGAAATTAAAAGATAAATGCAATGCAAGACTCCAAGATACATGTGAGGCTGTCAAAAGCAGCTGAGATTGAGGGGAAGCCACACAAGAGGACGTGAAAAGAGATGCAGCATGTGGCCTCAGGATCAAATGGTGCCATCTTTCAGGAAGGACAAGCAGAAAGATATTTTTTAAAGAAGGACTCAGGTGAGAGTCCTGAAGTGCAAGGTTATTCCTGTTTTCAACAATGGGACCAGGTAATAGAGCAAACTGCGCTTACGCTCAGAACATGGTTGGCCTGGCTTGGGACAAAATAGCAGAGTCAGCCATAGTTGCAGGAAGCAGTCTGTCTCTGAGGCAACAGAAAACAGAAAATATTTTTATTTATTTAAAAAATGTAGCTATATAAGTTGTACAATATGATGTTTTGATATGCATACATATAGTGAAATTATTACTACAGTCCCCAACTTATGATGGTTTGACTTACTACAGCTTTTGTCATGGTGCAATAGTGATTGGCAACCACAGGTTTTCAGATTTAAGCACCACTGGTTCTTTGACCAAAGATACTCTGCGCTGTATTTTCACGTGATGGGTTTATGAGAATGTAATCCCGTTGTATGTGGAGGATCACATGTGTACAGTCAACTAAATATCCCATCCATTGTCTCACGTAGTTACCTCTTTGTGCATGTGTATCATGAGAGCAACTGAAATAGACTCTCTTAGCAAATTTTCCAGTTTACAATTCAGTATTCTTAACTATAGTCCTCATGCTGTACATTAGATCTCTAGACTTAGGCTTCTTCCATAACCACAGCTCTGTACCCTCTGATGAACATCTCCCCATTTCCTCCCACCTGCTTGCCCATGGAAACCACCCTTCTGCTCTCTGTTTCTACATATTCAGCCTTTTTTTTTTTTGTCTTTTTGAGACGGAGTCTCGCTCTGCCGCCCAGGCTGGAGTGCAGTGGCTTGGTATCGGCTCACTGCAAGCTCTGCCTCCCGGGTTCACGCTATTCTCTTGCCTCAGCCTCCCGAGTAGCTGGGACTAGAGGCGCCCACCACTGCGCCCAGCTAATTTTTTGTATTTTTAGTGGAGACAGGGTTTCACCGTGTTAGCCAGGATGGTCTTGATCTCCTGACCTCGTGATCCACCTGCCTTGGCCTCCCAAAGTGACATATTCCACATATAAATGAAATCATGCAACATTGCTCTTTCTATGTCTGGCTTATTTCACTTAGCATAATGTCCTCCAGTTTATTCATATTGCTACAAATGGCAGGATTTCCATTTTAAGGCTAAATAATATTCCACTCTGTGTGTGTGTGTGTGTGTCACTTTTTTTAAATCCATTCCTCTGTCCATGGATAACTTAGGTTGATTCCTTATATTGGCTATTGTGAATAATGCTGCAATGAACATGGGAGGCCAGGTATCTCTGAGGCAGTGATTTTATTTTCTTTGGATGTGTACCCAGAAGTGAGATACCTGGATCATATGATGCTCCTATTTTTGAGAAGCCTTCATACTGTTTTGTATAATGACTGCAACCATCTACATTCCCATCAGCCTCATAATGGGGTACAAGGGTTCCCTTTTCTTCACACCCTTGCTGGCATTGTTACCTCTCATCGTTTTGACAACAGTTGTTCTAACAGGTGTGAGGTGATATCTCATTGCAGTTTTGATTTGCAACTCAGAAGGGAAAATCTGACACGTGAGATCTGAAAGGCTCCCCATCGCCCATCCCTTGGTCCTCCAAGGCCATGCCTTACCTCCACCTGGAATTTCTGCTAGTGCCTAGCAGGGAAAATTAAACACATCCAACTATGAGTCATAAAAGGAGTGGACATGATTCCTATAAAGAAATCTCGAAAGGAAAAATTGGAAAAGAGTCACAAAACTTAACAAAATGAAAAACGCTCACCAGAAATTATATTTCCATAGGGTAGGTAAGAACTATGACCGAATATGTGGTAATGACTTAAAAAATGGAAAATGATTACATCTATAGAGGAAGATTTTTAAAAAGAAACAATTATCTCATGTACATTAGCTTGGTGTTAAAGGATGTCATTCAAAAATGAAAAATCTAGTGATAAATCACACATATACATATAAGCAATGAGGTATTGCATTAGTCTGTTCTTGCATTGCTTTAAAGAAATACCTAAGACTGGGTACTTTATAAGGAAAAGTGATTTAATTGGTTCACAGCTCCACAGGCTGTATAGGAAGTATGGCAGCTTCTGCTTCTGGGGAAGGTGCAGGGTGCTTCCAATCATGGTGGAAGGCAAAAAGGGAGAGAGATGTCTCACATGGCCAGAGCAGGAGGAAGAGGGTGGGGGTGCCGCACAGTTTTAAAAAAAACAGATCTCGTGATAACTCTATACACAAACAGCACTAGAAGGATGATGCTAAACCATTCAGGAGAACCACCCCTCACCCTCCATGATCCAATCACCTTCCACCAGGCCCCACCTCCAGCACTGGGGATTATAATTCAACATGAGATTTGGGTGGGGACCCAGATCCAAACCATATCAGATATATACTAGCAAACTATTACAAACTAAAATTGGGTGATAGAAGGGAAAGGAAGAGAAAGAAAGGAAAAACAAATATGTTAATTGTATCATTAATTATGGCAGGGAATGAAGAAGAGATTGTCTAAAGAAATAAGAACTAAAAGTCTCATATAAAGTTATAATTGCAGATGTTATAACTAGTAAGAAATACAAACCTTTTTAAATATCAGGAGAATCAAAGCACATAAAATAAATGACATAGTAGAGGACTTTAAAAAACAAAAAATGTAATATACAATGATATCTCAGAACCTAGACCAAATATACATCATGGAAAATGTCAATGGGCTCAACTGATCTATCAGAAACATTTTCAGTTGTTTGTCCCACAAAGCAAAGCTGGCCTCAGCTGTAGTCCAAAGACACATTAGACCATTTGTTCAGCAAAGTTGAATATAAAGGGACGTTTAACGGATACCCAAATAGATGTAAACAAAAGGAAGCAGAGGCCATACTCTTCATATCTGAGAAGGTAGACTTCAGGATAAAAGCATGAAATGAGACATACAAGTGCACTTCATAATTCTAAAGGGGAGAGATTCACAGTGACGATACAAACATTCTGAATACCCACGCATCCGAAGCAACAAGAATGCAGCAGGAATTACAGGAGACTCGGGAGAAACCGGCAGTCATGCTCGTAGCAGGAGGCCACTCGCCACTCTCGCCCATGAGAGGCCAAGTGGACCCAGAATTAGAGTCTAGCAGTCCTCGATAACATAAGTACTAAGACAGACTGTGCTGAGTCATACAGACCACATACCTTGACAATAGATCACTTATTTTCATTTTCAAATGCCCATGAAAACATTTATAGAAGAACAGATCACATTCTAGGCTACAAAGAAACTCCAATACATATTTTAAAAATCAGAAAGGTGTAGATATTATTCTCTGATCATAATATAATAAAAACAGAAGTAAATAAGATCAGAAAATAAACAAAATCTTTTCCACCTGAAAATTTAAAAAAAAAAATTGCTCTTAGGTTAAAAAAAAAGCTCCTAGATTAAGGAAAAAACACAACCCGAAATTTAAGAATGTCTTTAAAATAATAGTGAAAATACTATATTTCAGAAACTATGAATACAGCTATAAAACACTCTGAAAAAAGTAATAAACTCAAAAATGTATATCAATTTTTAAAAGAGAGAATGAAAACAAATGAATTAGGCATATGACTTAACAAGTTAGAAATAAAACAAAATGATAAGGGAAAAATCAATAAAGATAAAAGCGGAAATTAATAAGATAGGAAACTAGAAATCCAGAAAACTAAAGAATAAATTCCCAAGCTGTTTCTTTAGAGTAAGGAGAAGAACAATAAGATAAGAAACCCAAAACAGGTATAAGCTTTGGCAAATTTTATTAACTTTTAAAAAAAATCAGCTGATCTGATAATGCTTAAACTATTCTAGGGCATTTTTTTTTAAAAAGGAAATTATCAAAGTCTTTTATTGAAACAAATACAACAATACACCCAAACCTGAAAGAGATTGGACCCTAAAAAATTAAAAAACAAAAAAAGTCTAATCTTATTATGTACATTGGTGCAAAAATCATCTGTGAAATTTAAACAAACCACATTCATTAGATCATCAAAAAACAATAAGCTATAAAAATGGGGTTTTATTTCAGAAATTTAACAATGGCAAAATAATACAAAAATCCACTAAATAAGTCAATCTGCTACTAGATTTAAGGAGAAAAACATATGATTATCTCAAACACGAACAAAAAGTACTTGTTAAAATTTAACAATTCTTGATTATATAAAGGAACAGCAAAAGTTCAATAAAATAAGACTAATAAATAAAGATTTCCTAGAAATGTATACAAAAGGAAATGGCCAAGTTGAAAGTGGGGGCCAGGAAAATTCACAGAAAAGAAAAAGTATATGATTCAAACATAAGAAAAAAAAGAAACTTCGCTTCACTCTAATGAGAGATCCCCCAAATTAAAGCTATCTTGAGCTGCCATTTTTCACCTATTGAATTGGCAAAAATCCAAAAGTTTGATAACACTCTGCTAGTGAGATTATGGGAAAACAGATACCATCTATTGCTGTTGGGAATATGAATTGGTGTAACCCCTGTGGAGGGCAAATCAGCACCATCTATCAAAATTACATATGTATATACCCTTTGACCCATCAATTATACATTTGGGAATTTATCCTCCAGTTCCACTTGCACACGTGTGAAATGATGTCTGTGCAAGGTTATTCATTAGTGTTGCTTGTAAGAGCAAAAATGCCAAACAACCTAAATGTCCATCTAGAGGAAACTGGTTAAATAAATTATGGTACATCCATACACTATAATACCACGAAGCTATTAAAAACATGAGGACACTTTCCATATATGGATATGGAAAGATTGCCACAACATACCATGAAGTTAAAACAAATAAACAAAAGCAATGCGTCAAACAGCATGTACGTTGAGATGCCTTTTGTGTAAAAGGAAAAAAAATATGTATTTGTGTTAGGTTGCAAGCAATTTTGTTGTCTTAAGAAATAATCCTTCAAATGTTGACTCCAACCCATTTTTTTCTGGTTGATCACCCACTGTTGGTTCCTCCAACTTGCACCCCGCTCTGACCATACAACCTATGTTCTAGTTACATGGAGCCATTTGACAGTCTCTGGATATCTTTGTGTATATTGTTTCTTCTGCCTAAAGCACCAAGGGGCCTGTGTCTGCCCCATGATCCAGTTCCAATAGCACCTCTGCACTGGGCACAGAGTGAGTGGCTCCCTTCTCCATAGTCACGTGCACATTCTTCGTTTTTGGATTGTACTGAGATTCTTTGCTCAGATATGTAACTCCCCACAAAAGACCTTCAGAAACCCAGGACCATGGTTCATGTATTTTACTTTCCTATGTGTCCCCATGACTTTTCCAGCCCAGATCACACATGCGATCAATATGCTTTAAATGATGAGGGGTTGTAAACAGCCTAATGTCCATTGGTGAATGAATGGATCAACAAAATATGGTATAGACATAATGGAATATTATTCAGCCACAGAATGGAAAGAAATGCTGGCACATGCTATAATATGGATGAAGCTTGAAGACATTCTATAA
Source organism: Homo sapiens (assembly GCF_000001405.40). Classification (NCBI taxonomy): domain Eukaryota; kingdom Metazoa; phylum Chordata; class Mammalia; order Primates; family Hominidae; genus Homo; species Homo sapiens. The sequence goes on from NC_000019.10 coordinate 31,650,937, forward strand.
ACTGGAATAAGCCAGACACAATAGGACAAATGTTGCAGGATCCCACTTCTATGAGGCACCTACAGCAGTCGAATTCATAGAGACACAGTGGAATGGTGGTTGCCAGGGGCTGGAGGAGGGGAAACAGGGAGTTACTGTTTAATGGGTACAGAGTTTCATTTTGAGGAGATGAAAAGGTTTTGGAGATGGATGGTGATGGATGGATGGTGATGATGATTGCCTAACAATGCTACTGAACAGTGCACTTAAAAATGATTAAAATGGTACATTTTATGTGATGTATATTTCATCACAATAAAAAGTATGACTTAAATGGGGTACCCAAAGAATCCTTAAGATCGAAAGTCTTTACCCTTGGTTAGGTGCCATGGCTCATGCCTATAATCCCTGCACTTTGGGCGGCTGAGGCAGGAGGAGGATTGCTTGAGCCCAGGAGTTTGAGACCAGCCTGCATAACGTAGCGAGACCTTGTCTCTATAAAAAATACAAAAATCAGCCTGGCATGGTGGCATGTGCCTGTTGTGCCAGGCACTAAGAGACTGATGTGTGAGGATTGCTTGAGCCTGGGGAAGTCGAGGCTGCAGCAGTGAGCTGTGATCTGCACCACTGCACTCCAGCCTGAGTGACAGAGGTCCTGTTTTTTTTTTGTTTTTTTTTTTTTTTTTAAAAAGACCCACATCCTCTCATCTTCTGCCAAAGAAGGAAAAAGAAAAGTCTTTATCCTGCAGAACATTTTTGTATCCTGTTCCTGAACATGGTAAATATTGTGCATTGCTTCCCTGTTCATCTGTCAAAATCAATTCTACCCTTAGAAAGCTCTCCTGGGACTTCATCGAAAGCTATAAATAAGCGGTCACTGAGGCCTTAGTAAATAGGCTGCACCATTCATTTGTCAATAAATATTGATGACCCCCTAGGTGGCAGACACCAGGTGCTGGGGATACAGAAGTGAAAAAGATGGGCATCTCTCCTCACCTCAAGGGGCTTACCCACAATGCTGAATCCACAGACCTCTTAAGTCACTTTCAAGACCCTTTGCCTCCAGGTCCTTCTGTCAAGGAGGTCACCCACTCCATGGCCCCCTCCTCTCCTCTACCCTCTGTAGCAGTGTTCGCATAGGATGCTGTGCGTCCGCTAATGTTCCACAGCAGAGAACCAATTCCCTTAAGTAAATAAAACACAAAAAGTTTATGAAATACATCGTCTGGGTAGAAAAGCAATGCTCATTTATATGTTTTATTTGTGAGTGGGTTATTGCTGGGGTAGAGAAGTGCTATTGATTTTTGTATGTTGATCTTGAATCCAGCAATCTTGCTAAACTCCATTATTAGTTCTAAATGTGTGTGTGTGTGTGTGTTTATTTCTTTGGTTATTCTGGGTAGATGATAATATCATTAGCAAATATGCCCGTTTTATCTCTTCCCTCCCAATCCTGATTTTTTTTTTCCTTCATCATGTTGGCCATGACCTTTTCAATAAAATTTCAAAAACAAACAATGATAAGGCATCCAAAAGGATCAATTTTATTATATTGAAATAAAAAAAACCTGTTCAAAGAAACCAGGAACAATGTTACTAAATGCTAGAACAAGAGAAGAGATTTGCCAAACCTAAAACAACAGGGGATTACTGTTTCTAGATCATGTAAGGAATTTCTGCATATCAACAAGGAGAAAATGTTAACCTAATGGAAAAATGGTCAGAGGATATGAATAAGTAATTCATAGAAGAGAAAACTTTAACAAGCACATTGGTGAGATGCTTACAATCATTAATCAGAGAAATGCAAATTAAAACAATAATAAATATTACTTTATACATATTAGACTGGCTGACTGGTAAGCCGAAGAATGCAACATGTTGAAGGGAGTGTGGGCATATACAATTGTAATTCACTGATTCAGGGAATGCGATTGGTACAGCAATTCTGGAGAAAATTGGGCAGCCTAGTCACATGTTTTTTTCTTGGCTTGGCTTTTTATTTACTTTTTCAATTTTATTTTACTTTAAGTTCTGGGAATACATGTGCAGAACATGCCGGTTTGTTACATAGGTATATATGTGCCATGGTGGTTTGCTGCACCTATCAATCCATCATCTAGGTTCTAAGACCAGCATGCATTACGTATTTCTCCTAATGCACTCTCTGTCTTTGCCCCCAACCCCCTGACAGGCCCAAGTGTGTGATGTTCCCCTCCCTGTGTCCATGTGTTCTCATTGTCCAGCTCCCACTTATGAATGAGAACATGCAGTGTTTGGTTTTCTGTTCCTGTGTTAGTTTGCTGAGAATGATGGCTTCCAGCTTCATCCATGTCCCTGCAAAGGACATGAACGCATTCTTTTTTATGGCCGCATAGTATTCCCTGGTGTATATGTGCCACATTTTCTTTATCCAGTCTATCATGGATGGGCATTTGGGTTGGTTCCAAGTCTTTGCTATTGTAAATAGTGCTGCAAAAATTTAGACCTAAAACCATAAAAACCCTAGAAGAAAACCTAGGCATTACCATTCAGGACATAGGCGTGGGCAAGGACTTCATGTCCAAAACACCAAAAGCAATGGCAACAAAAGCCAAAATTGACAAATGGGATCTAATTAAACTAAAGAGCTTCTGCACAGCAAAAGAAACTACCATCAGAGTGAACAGGCAACCTACAACATGGGAGAAAATTTTCGCAACCTACTCATCTGACAAAGGGCTAATATCCAGAATCTACAATGAACTCAAACAAATTTACAAGAAAAAAACAAACAACCCCATCAAAAAGTGGGCGAAGGACATGAACAGACACTTCTCAAAAGAAGACATTTATGCAGCCAAAAAACACATGAAGAAATGCTCATCATCACTGGCCATCAGAGAAATGCAAATCAAAACCACTATGAGATATCATCTCACACCAGTTAGAATGGCAATCATTAAAAAGTCAGGAAACAACAGGTGCTGGAGAGGATGTGGAGAAATAGGAACACTTTTACACTGTTGGTGGGACTGTAAACTAGTTCAACCATTGTGGAAGTCAGTGTGGCGATTCCTCAGGGATCTAGAACTAGAAATACCATTTGACCCAGCCATCCCATTACTGGGTATATACCCAAAGGACTATAAATCATGCTGCTATAAAGACACATGCACACGTATGTTTATTGCGGCACTATTCACAATAGCAAAGACTTGGAACCAACCCAAATGTCCAACAATGATAGACTGGATTAAGAAAATGTGGCACATATACACCATGGAATACTATGCAGCCATAAAAAATGATGAGTTCATGTCCTTTGTAGGGACATGGATGAAATTGGAAACCATCATTCTCAGTAAACTATCGCAAGAACAAAAAACCAAACACCGCATATTCTCACTCATAGGTGGGAATTGAACAATGAGATCACTTGGACACAGGAAGGGGAATATCACACTCTGGGGACTGTGGTGGGGTCAGGGGAGGGGGGAGGGATAGCATTGGGAGATATACCTAATGCTAGATGACACGTTAGTGGGTGCAGCACACCAGCATGGCACATGTATACATATGTAACTAACCTGCACAATGTGCACATGTACCCTAAAACTTAGAGTATAATAAAAAAAAAAATTAAAAAAAAAAAAAAAATTCGTGTGCATGTGTCTTTATAGTAGAATGATTATATAGTAGAATGATTTATAATCCTTTGGGTATATAACCAGTAATGGGATTGCTGGGTCAAATGGTATTTCTGGTTCTAGATCCTTGAGGAATTCCACAATGGTTGAACTAATTTACACTCCCACCAACAGTGTAAAAGTGTTCCTATTTCTCCACAGCCTTGCCAGCATCTGTTGTTTCCTGACTTTGTAATAATCTCCAATGTGACTGGCGTGAGATGGCACGTGCTCCTGTGCTTCTATCCCCCACGTTTCCACACATGGCCCTTAGTGGACACATAGTGAGAAGTTGATGGTAGCATGGTTTGACGTGCCAAATAGTTGGAGGCAGTTGGGTTGTCCATTATTGGTGTGTGGACAGACAAAATACCGTGGTTGCAAGCCATGGGTCAGATGCAGCAATTGAAAAAAAAAAATTCTAGACGTACAGATACCAAACTGGATGGGTCTTGAAAACATAGTGCCGAGTGAGAGAAAGTCAACAAAAGGTTATAATGTCTCAACCAATACTGTTTACATAAAATCAAGTTTCACGCATACAAATCAATTGTACACATTTTGCAAGAACACATGTAGACACAAAAAGCAAGTATAAGTCAAACATATCAAAACGGTTGCCTATTGGGAAAGGAAAAGGGGATAAAGTGAATGAATAAATACAACAAAAGCGGACCCTCGTACAGAGTGATGGTGGCAATGCCCCATGACAAAAGAGTGAGATTCTTTTCGTAAAAAAAGAAGAAAAACTAAAAAGACCTCTGCTGAGAGAACAAGGGCTTCCAGAGAGAAAGAATAGTAGTAATCAGTGTCTCCCATGCAAGCACTAACCAGGCCTGACCCTACTTAGCTTCTGAGATCAGGTGTGTTCAGGGTAGACACAACCCGCTGTCTCAAGAGTTGCATGGGGCTTCTAGCTCAGCCAAAGCACCATCACAAGATGTTCGACACTGCAAGAAGCCCACGAGGAGCGGCACCAACCACACAATATGGGGCTACAGTGAACTCCAAGGGAAGGCAAGACTGGGAAGAAAGACAAGCCTTTTTACCTGCTTCCCACCTGGGGCAGAAAATGAGGTGGTGGCACCCAAGAGGGAAGAGGGATAGGAGGAGGATGGGGAGTATCTCGTTAATCTCACCACCCACTGCCTTCCTTGTGCTATTTCGTGCACAAGGAGGGGCGTCTTGTCTACATATCTGGCCAGGCTCCAAGCCCTCTGTTGCCAGTGAGATACGTAAGTGTGCAGGAGGAGCAGACCTGGGGAGCGGAGAGACCAACCCTGTATTCATCCTATGGAGGGAGTACCTCCTTCTCTAAGCTCTGATTTATAGAAGATAAATAATTGGCCTCAGCAGGCAGTCAGGCAGGAACACACCTCGCTTTCCCTGGGTTGCTTCTCTTGAATATATCATTTGATGTTGCAGCAGAATTGGGGTTGCACCCCCATGTTAACCGATGCCCTCCAGAAAGCCAGGGGCAGCGAGAGGCCAGCCATGGTGGAAGCGGCCTTTTATGAGTGTGTGTCAAGAAAGCCTGTGGTGTAGCGAGCTAGACTGTTAGAGATTACATATTGACCTGGCTCCCTGAATTTATTCTCTGCTGGTTGTGGATTGTTCACACCAGTCCCTTGGAAAGTCTGCCACCCTGCAGCTCTCACGATGCTGTTAGGGACGGGGAGTCCACGGGGTTTACCTGTGTCTCTGGGCTATCTGGAATACAGGAACTGGAAGGAAAAACACATTTGGTAAAAATGTAGTGCCTGCAGAGGGTGGGTTTGAGTGGATCCTATGGATTGAGCTGGGAGCCAGGGGCTGGTCATCAATTCAGAATAAGACCTGTCTGAACACAGTGGAACTCTAGAGTGATCTGCAGTATAATTTAGGGCAGTTCTGCTCATGACTCCCAGGCCTGGGGGTTGGAAGTGGGCCTGAGAGGAGCAAGCTTGGTGCCCATAGCTAAGTGATTAGACATTATCCTTGAGCACTGACTCCTGCTTAGGAGGTCAGCACTGCTCTCCCACCTGTGTGACGGCCGGGAAGGAGGCGGCACGGTGGGTCTGTAAGGTGGAGGCCCACGGCTTCTGCCGGCATCGCGGGGGCTCTGACACCAGAATGGCATGATTCAGGAAACAAGTTTAGGAGCCAATCACCAGTTTGGATGGGGGCTGAAATCCCTGGCTTCTTCAAATATACACCTTCGTAAAAATTTAGGAGATTCATGCAAAAACTTGGAAAGCAACCCAAATGCAAACCCACTCACAAGCATTGAGTGGAAGGAACATCTATTTTAAATGTAATAGGCCCACAATTCTCACCCTTGAGTAGCATCTTCCAGGCTTTCAAAGAGCACAAGGGGAATTTTGCATGGTTTTCTTGGGCTGCAGGGCGAGGAGAGATGGTCTACTTCTTTTTGATTCCCACGGGCCTCCAGAAGGACTTCTTGGTGGTCCCAGAAATGTCATCGGGCGACCACCACAGTTCCACAGGGAGGGAGGTGAACGACCAGGGCTCCTTATTCCATAGATGAATGAACGAAAAACTGGTCTTGCAAACCTGTGCTAGCGTGCATTTGTGATAACTGCCTGCAGCTGAGACACAAGCCTGTATCTTTGCTTTGTGGTATTCTTTTATTTATTTATTTATTTTGAGACAGGGTCTCGCTCCATTGCCCGGGCTGGAGTGCGATGGTGAGATCATAGCTCACTGCAGCCTTGACCTCCAGAGCTCAAGAGATCCTCCCACTTCAGCTTCCCAAATAGCTGGAATCACAGGGCACCACTGTGCCTGGCTATTTTTTTATTTTACTTTTTGTAGAGGCAGGGTCTCCCTTTGTTGCCCAGGCTGGTCTTGAATTCCTGGGCTCAAATTATCCTCCCACCTCAGCCTCTCAAAGTGCAGCAATTACAGGTGTGAGTCACCACACCTGGCCTTGGAGCATTCTCAATCATCTAAAGTTATCCCTCTGGACAGGAGGGTATTGGCTGCCAGTCTGACACCCTTCTCCTCCCCCTGGCCATCCCCCAGTCTGTGTATTGTGTACAACTTTGAGACCTCTAGTATCAAGCATACTCCATGCAGCAATGCAATAATTAGCAGGACATGGCCTGAGCGACCTGAAAGAAATAATGACATCTCCAACATGCCAACCTTGCACCCAAGGCTCGGCTTTCACTCCCAAAGAATTAAAGTCAACATGTGTTTGGGCATCAAATCAGAGAAAACTGTCAACTCTTTCGATTTGTCAGTTCTGCAGTACTGAAATTTCTTTCTAAAAACAGTATCCAGTTTCAAGTATGAAAGAAGGGAACGTATAATACAGATGTTTCATGAAGTTTGAAGTAGCAAGAGTCCAAAACCATCACTTTTACATTATCAGCCACCTCTGAAGAGTTCAAAGCATTTTTGTGAACATTTTAGGGCAAAATTTCTTGACAATAGACTGTGCAGAAATTATCCTTATTTTTGCAAAAATAAATGAATGAACTTTAGAACTGATAAAGTTCTGCTGATTCCTATTCTTAAAACCCAGCGGACAAAGCCACGCTTTCAAAGTAGTACTCATACCTTCCCAGGCTGTGCTGGCTCTTTCAGGACTAGCCAGGCAAAGGCATGCTTGCAAACATCAGGTGAGCCAAGAGAAGGGCAGCCTTGTAACCCTGTAAGGGTAGTGGCAACCAGAATGTTCTTGGTCTATTTAGAGGAGGCAGCCACGATGGCACTAGCCAATCCCTGCCAGGCAGGAATATGAACCTCTCAATATGGCCAGACAATCTGATTTTTAAGGAGAAAATGGAAATCTAATAATTTGGCAGTAAAATCTGATTATTGAATGTTGGCTTCTTCTTATTATGATTTTTAAAATTTACTGTGAGCCAAGCAAATCACATCTGTGAGCCAGACATTGCCCAAGGAAGCTGGCTTACAACCACAGTCCTGAGATGTCACTACTGATAGCAATTTCTATCTATGTTTAAGGAAGGAAGAAGAAGAAAAAAGAGACTCCGATTTGAAACCATAAATGACCACAGCCACATCTGCCTACTTGGAAGGTGCATCGTTTCTCTCCAGTCTGGAATAATTTCTAAGAAGTATACTATGACAGGTCTGGGCTGGAAGCTCTCCCTGTCACCATCCCCACACATCCCCAGAGGTCTGTGCCCTGCTACAAATGAAGCCCATCCCTCTCTCCCCGCACCTTCCTGAAAGTTTCCACATGTGACTGCCATTTTCCAGGAGAGCCTGGGGGTCTAGGGAAGGGCTGCTGCTCCACGCCTGTGTTCATGCAGTTAGTAGAGGAGCCAAAGCCACAAGGAGCAAAACTCCTGATGTGTCAATAATTCTATATAACGAGGAAGTGGGAGAAAAAGAAGTCACGCAGACTGCCCAGAGATCTTAGGTAGGGGGTTTCTGGGCTTTTTACAGGAAGTGGGTCTGGATTCTAGATTGATCTATGTATGTATGTATCTATCTATCTATCATCTATCTAGCCATCCATCTATCTATCTATCCATCTATCTATCTATCCATCATCTATCTATCCATTATCTATCTATCTATGTATTATCTATCATCTATCTATCATCTATCCATCCATTCATCTATCATCTATCTGTCATCTATCTATCCATCTATTATCTATCTATCTATCTATCTATCTATCTATCTATCTATCTATCTATCTATCTATCTATCTTTATTATCTTAAAGGTTAGCATGATCCCAGAAGCTCGGAACACTTGTGGTTATGTTTAGCCATGCAGCCAATATTGTCCCCAGAGAGAAGGGCACACCCCGTAAGCTGCTTCACAGTGGATCATGAGTCCTAAAAATATAAGAGGCATGGGGAGTAGGGTGTGAGATTTGCAGACAAAGGTTGGTATTCCAGAATGTTGTGACCTCTCTGCATTCAGCCACCCGATGGCAGGGCTGGGGGATCCTCCACCCTGGAGATGCCATGTAGGCATTACCTCGTGGCCACAGAGCAAATCCTGGAGCAGCTGTGAGCAGGGCATTTGCTCCTTCTCTGGGCTGTGGAGATACCTAAGCACACACACAATCTTGGTGGCAGCAGAGGTGCTATTGAGTAAATAGAAATGGCCATGGAACTCTTATTACAGCATTCATAGGGGTTAAAGAAGCTAATATGTTTGTCAAACAGGAGGGCTGAGTGGACGTGTCCTATGGCCTCCCTTGGAAATGGCTCTTTCTGCTTCAGATAGTGGAAGGCTTCCAGACACACAGTCCCCACCCATTCCTTCTCCTGGGGAAGTAGCCTTAACTTACACAGACAGCCCGAAAGAGTCTGGGGACTTGTAGCTCAGAACGAAGGAAAATGACATCCTCCAGCCTGGCTTAGGAACATTGCTGTTCCCAACCCCGTACAGGAGACGCCTTTCTTCTTATCTTCTTCTGGGGGATTTTAGAGCCACTCATCATGAGTCACAGTGAAGAGGTGAGTTTTTCTTACATCTGCTTAGCTATAATTAATGTATGAATTGTTGGCATTGTTTTTCTTTAAAAAAAAATTAGAACAACTGCAAAGGGAGAGTAATGTGCCCACCCGTGGTCTGACTAATGTCATCTCACATATCCAGATCAGTGTATTTGGTTAAAGCAATGTGAACTGTAAATCTGAATAATTTATCAAACTATTGAACCACTTGTAAAATAATTGAAGCTTGAGCCTAGTTTTGCATAACAGATTTAAACTGAAGAGCAATGTATTAGCAAGATCTCAACCTCTAGAAATAGAAATGGCTGTAAGAGGGCTGACAGTCTTTATCATAAAACACACATATATAAAGCATTCATAACTGGCCACTGTCTTTAACAATGACTTGGTAGCATTTGCAGCCCACCCCAACTGGATCCTAGCACAGAGGAAGGGAGGCTGAGATGGTGGAGGAAAAGGGTCACTGACAAAATATTTGATAATCTCAGAGTTTAAGGGTCTGGGGCTGGGGGAGCAGAGACGTTCTTTCATCCATAGCATAGGTTAGCTTGACAATTGCATACAAACCAAAGGTCTGGCGAAGACCAGCTGGAGGTATTTAGTTGGCAACGGATAAGATTGACTCCACCAAGGCAGGGCACAGTGGCTCACAATCTCAGCATGTTGAGAGGCTGAGGAGGGTGGATCATTTGAGGCCAGGAACTCGAGAACAGCTTGGCCAACATGGCAAAACCCCATCTGTACTAAAAATACAAAAATTAGCCAGGCATGGCGATGCGCACCTGTAATCCCAGCTACTCAGGCGGCTGAGACATGAGAATTCCTTGAACCCGGGAGGCAGAGGTTGCAGTGAGCCGAGATTGTGACACTGCACTCCAGCCTGGGTGATAGAAGGAGACCCTGTCTCAAAAAATAAAAGTAATAAAATAAAAAAGATTGGCTCCACGAGTATGAGAACGGGAGGTGTTTGGTTCACCTTAGTGTGCCCTGATGAGACAGCATCTGCAGTGTCAAGTGTACTTCTGAGCCCACATGATAAAAGGGACATTGATAAACTAATGAATCCAGCAATTACCATTCGGGATGGAGAGAAACGTCAACCACATTCAGTGAGGATCGGTGGAGAAGCACACTTCCTCCTTCATTTTAAAACTTCATTATGAAAGTATTGAGATACATATATTATAGTAACAAAATTTGGGGGAAAAACAGATAAGCAAAAGAGAAAGAAAAGGAATCAGAAATCATAATCTCTAGGGAGAATCCTTCTGCACATTGGTCTGAGCAGTGATTTTTGGATATAATACCAAAAGCACAGACAACATAAGCAAAAATAGACAAGCAGGACTGCACCACACTAAAAAGCTTGTATGCAACAAAGGAAAGAATCAGTACAGTGAAAAGGCAGCCTACAGAGTGGGAGAATATATGCGTGAACTTTGTATCTATCTAGTGAGGAGTTACTATCTAAAACATATCAGAAACACAAATCTGTAAAAAAATACAAATCACCCAATTAAAAAATGGGCTACATTGCTGAACAGACATTTCTCAAAAGAAAGACACACAAATGGTCAACAGGTGTATGAAAAGGCACTCGGCATCACTAATCATCAGGGAAATGCAAATTAAAACCACGGTGAAATATCGCCTCGTGCCTCTTAGGATGGCTATTATCAAACAGAGAAAAGATAACAGGTGTTGGCAAGGATGTGGGGAAAAAGGGAGCCCTTGTACATCCCTGGTGGGAATGAAAATTGGCACAGCTGCTATGAAAAATAGAATGGAGATTTCTCAAAAAATAAAAAACAGAATTACCATAAGATCCAATAATGCCACTTCTGGGTATATGTAGAATGGAAAAGATATCAGTAACTGGAAGAGATATCTTCACTCTTATGTTTATTATGGCATTATTCACAATAGCCAAGATATGGAAACAACCTAAAAGTCTGTCAACAGATGAATGGATAAAGGAAATGTGACACACACACACACACACACACACACACACACACACATATAATGGAATATTATTCAGCCTTAAAAATGGAAAACCTGAGCCGAGTGCAGTGGCTCCTGCCTCTAATCCCAGCACTTTGGAGGGCTGAACCAAGTGGATCACCTGAGGTTAGGAGTTCAAAACCAGCCTGGCCATATGGTGAAACCCCATCGCTACTAAAAATACAAAAATGAGCCGCCCGTGGTGGCACACGCCTGTAGTCCTAGCTACTCGGGAGGCTGAGGTGGGAGAATTGCTTGAACCTGGGAGGCAGAGCTTGCAGTGAGCCAAGATCGTGCCACTGTACTCCAGCCTGGGTGACAGAATGAGACTCCTTCTAAAAAAAAAAAAAAAAAAGGAAAACCTGCTATTTGTGACAATGTGGACAAACTTGGTGGAAATTAGGCTAAGTGAAATAAACAAGGCACAGAAAGACAAATACTGCATTATCTCACTTATATGTGGAGTACCAAATGGTCAGCCTCATAGAGGCAGGGGGTAGAATGGTATCTGCCGTGAGTTGTGGGGGTTGGGGAAAACGGAAAGACATTGGTCAAAGGGCACAGTTAGGGAAGATGAATGAGTTATTTGGGTCTAATGTAGCCCATGGTAACTGTAGTTAACAATATTGTATACTTGAAATTTTTGAAGAGTATAGATCTTAAGTGTTATCAACACATACACACACACGCACACACAATGGTAAATATGTGAGATGATGTGTATATTAACTAGCTTGATTGTGGTAATCATCTTACAGTGTATATATATTTTGTGAAATATATATATAGTGATATATATCAAAAGTCAAGTTTTACAAGTTAAATACATACAATTTCTATTTGTCAATTTTATTTCAATAAAACTGAAAATTAGAAATAAATTGAGAAACAAAAAAATAAATAAATCACAATCTCGGCCTGGCATGGTGGCTCACGCCTGTAATCCCAGCACTTTGGGAGGCTAAGGCAGGCGGATCACGAGGTCAGGAGATCGAGACCATCCTGGCTAACACGGTGAAACCCCGTCTCTATTAAAAATACAAAAAATTAGCTGGGCATGGTGGTGGGCACCTGTAGTCCCAGCTACTTGGGAGGCTGAGGCAGGAGAATGGTGTGAACCCGGGAGGTGGAGCTTGCAGTGAGCCAAGATCGCACCACTGCACTCCAGCCTGGGAGACAGTGTGAGGCTCCATCAGAAAAAAAAAAAAAAAGAAAAATCACAATCTTAACAGCCAGAGGTGCATGTCATTTCAAATTTTTCCATCTTGCATTATATGAGAAGTTGTTTATAAAATGTAGATCATACAATCTCAATCTGTAGCTTTAAATTAGCAACACATATTGTTATTACAGGTAACAATACGTATGTTGAATATGCATACCTACCATGTCCATATAAAGCATGTACAAAATTATTTCTAATGGCTACATACCATTCTTCCTGCCCTGCGGTTTACAAATGAGCAGAGGCCGATTCTGATTTTGATGTTCATAAACAATGCTGATATAACAATAACTGAAAAAACTAAGGAAGCATTCTCTATGCTTTATCTTTTAATCCTACTAACCCTAGAAAGGAGATATTGTTAATTTCTCCATTTTATGGCTGAGGAAAATGGACTTAGAGAATCTAAGTAACTAACAAGCTGTGACATTCCGGGCAAGGATCAGAGCTGGAATTTAAACCCAGGTCTGTCTGATGCTTCAGCCAAGATTGGTAATTACCACAATCTACTGCTGTCTACACACATCTATTGTATTTTTTCCTGATTACTTCTTCAGGATAAATTCCTGAAACTATACTTGCTGGGACAAAGGAGATCAGAATTTTAAATCTGGGAAACAGAAAAGATGGTTGTGATGTTCAGAGACGTGCAGGCTGATGACATGGCTGAAGATTTGGTTCCTTCCGGCTCACTTACCGGCCCGACTGGAACCGAGAGGTAGACCATGGGTCACATGTGCTCCAAAACGGAACAACCTGCCAGGTGAGGTGGCTCACGCCTGTAATCCCAGCACTTTGGGAGGCCAAGCCAGGAGGTTCACCTGAGGTCAGGAGTTGGAGACCAGCCTGGCCAGCATGGCGAAACCCCCTCTCTACTAAAAATACAACAAGTAGCTGGGTGTGATGGTGGGCACCTGTAATCCCAGCTACTCAGGAGGCTGAGGCACAAGAATTGCTTGAACTCAGGAGGCGCACGTTGCAGTAAGTTGAGATTACACCACTGCACTACAGCCTGGGGCAACAGAGTGAGACCTGGTCTCAAAAAAAACAAAACCCAAAATGTTCACAAGGAACAGCCTTCCTTGTGAGTCAGAGAACATCCCCTCCCCAAAAGCATTCCAGCCAAGTATGCAGGGGACCCTGGCAGAGATGTCAGCACCAGGAAGGAGACTGAAGACCCAGTGCCCTCTCCAATTCTCCGGTTCTTTCAGACCGCAGCCCATCCGGCCGTCTGGTGCTATAATTATGACATAAAATTTGGGGAGTCTTTATTTATATGCCATACTTACTAAATCAGTGTTTCAAAACTATTTCTATAAAAGAAAAGTCATCTTTGATCTCTAAAAATGTAGGGGGGTAGGTGGTGGAGGAGGAAGGCATGAACCCATATAAGGAAATACATTCAACTGGAGCAAAATGCAAAAACGGCCTCTGTTTCGGATTAGGAGCCTTTGTTCCCTGGCAATGGCTGTCCTCCACCTTGCCGGAGTCTTCTGTCCAGGCTTGTTTTATTTGTGAGAGCCAGAGCCACATGTTATTATAACTTAAAATGCATATCCACCTCAAGAAAGCTGTGACGTATCTACCGAAAGAGACACAGACTGCCTAGCCTAAGTTGGCCTTTTTTTCCCCTTCTTAGCCTAAGTTGGCCTTTTCTTCCCTTCTATTCTAATAGACCTTGTTCTTTTTTTTTTTCTTTTTGTCACTCAAAATGAGTGTCTGATGTACTAGCATAAATTGTTAAAAGCAGTTTTAGGTAAAGGAAGAGAGAGTAAAGTGGAGATTTTTTCACAAAAGCCAACCTCAATTTATGTCAAAGAGGGTTAAAAGACCTTGGGATTAAAGCAATAAACTTGCTGCTGTCAAAGCTAAAACCCGCTAACAATTTAGTGCCAAACGCATGTTGTTCAATATCATTTCATATTATATTATGTCACAAAGAGCTGATGGTTCTGCATCACCCTGACAAGGCTGATTTACTCTGAAGAATTCATCGACATTTTGCACAGTCAAACTGACTTCATTTTGTTTGGATGGACGGTGGGAAATGTCTCTGTACTCGAGTTCGAATATTAGTCTGAAAATCTATTGTGGATTAAAGATTCAGGAGGACTGTTGGTCTACAGCTTTGCCAAGTAAGGTCTTTGAAAGGTAGCTATAGACTTTTGAATGCCTTCATTGGCGAAGTGCTTAGACCAAAGACTAATAAAAATCAACAGACGTTAAGTTAGATTTTTGCGGCACCCCTTAAAGTATGTGAACTGTTAGCCAACTCTCCGGAAAAAGAAAGTTGTAGGAGCAGATTTTCCCCAGACTAGATATCAATTATTTATAAATTTCTCAAAAGATATTAATCACCCTATTTTCTTAATTATGTGCACCCATAATTCCCTTTTCCCATTTTATTTTTTACTGGAACAAACTCATAGTTGTAATTGTGGACATTAAGATGTCTTGTCGTTCAAAGGTGATGGGGCAGTGGGTATGTAGGACTTCAAGTCAGGGAGACAAGATTTTTTCCTGGGACGATTACAGAAGGAATAGTGGCTCTGAAATTATATGACCTCTGCCTTGAAGAGCTAGATACAAATGAGGTCATTTTTTAAAATCAAATGATTGAATATACTATACACAGTAAAATAATATTTACATAAATGTGGATCATTTATGAAATATGTATCTATATTTATATACTTAAGTCTGAAAGATGATTCAACAAAATATTGAGTGGTTATTTCTGGGAGATGATATTAGAGGCAAAAGTTGATTTTTTTTTCTTTTCAACCTACAGATATTTTCAAATTTTCTTTTATTAAAAAAAGAAAAAAGATATAAAATTATACTGAAGGAATTGATTGTCCAAAGCTATTCCACAGTGAATGTCTTTGTAAAGTGTGATCCAATGGTTTAAATCAGAAGAAAGAAATTCCTAATCTAAAAGGGTTCTACAATTGTTGTTTTCAAACATTGCTTTCTTCAGAATGTGGCCCTTCCATGGTCAGCCCTCTGCCCTGCAGGAAGGAAAATGAGTAAGATGTTGTTGCTTCTACATCGAGTGGCTGGGATTCTAAGCCCAATATCCTCAGGGCGCTGTGTGCATTCCACTGAAGATGTGATTGACAAGCTAGGAGGAGGCCAGCCTCCACCACCCAAAGGGTGCTGAAAGGCCTAGACGGGGTTCCAAACAACTCCAGGTGGCAGGATCAAGTGACTCCAGAAAAGGAAACTCTGTGTGTGTGTGTGTGTGTGTATGTGATTTGATTTCTTCTACAAGGATGAAGGAGATGCTTCTCAGACTTGCCTGACTTCTCTCTCCAGGGCCTCAAAGGCACCATCCACCTTCACTTTCTGATGGGCCCCCAGTGCCACCTACACCTCACCTGAGCCTCATACAGCTTCCCCTACAGGCCAAGGGGACACATTGCCAAGGCTGCCTTTTTTTTTTTTTTGAGGTAAGTCTCACTTTGTCACCTAGGCTGGAGTGCAGCGGCACCATCTCCGCTCACTGCAACCTCCACCTCCTGGGTTCAAACGATTCTCCTGCCTCAGCCTCCCGAGTAGCTGAGATTACAGTCATGCACCACCATGCCCAGCTAATTTTTGTATTTTTAGTAGAGACAGGGTTTCACCATGTTGGCCAGGCTGGTCTCAAACTCCTGACCTCAGTTGATCTGCCCACCTCGGCCTCCCAAAGTGCTGGGATTACAGGTGTGAGTCACTGCACCTGGCCCCAAGGCTACCTTCTAACAGAGGATGTTCACTTCCTAAAACATTAAGTCAATAAGAAAGTGCCATGCGTACAGAACACCACGACACCTCTGCCTAACACAGTGTGTGGCCTCAGTTTCCTTCTCAGTGTGATTGGCACTAACACACGTGTCAGGTCTGTCCTGCAGGGTTAATGTGGAACCCAGCTGCATAAGGCATAGCCAATGAACTGAATAGACACCTTCCAGTGCCTAGGTAGCAGTTTGGGGGTGGCACAGTGGGGTGAGACGTTACCGCACACCCCAGGTGCTCCCTATCTAGGGATGAACTGAAACCAAGGCCCAGATGTGGTAAGGGCCAAAAGAAGGGCAGAGTAAGTGTGCTGCACACCCAGTACTTTTCTCAGGGCACAGGAGGGGTGTTGGTGGAGGAAGTCGCAGTGGAGCTGTGTTTTGGAGGACAAGAAGGCAATTGCCTAAGGAACACTTTGAGATACAAGACAGTTATGGTTAGGAGACAATTCCCAATAGTAACCCCTAATGAGATAAGAGTGAGTGGAGAGCTTGGCTTTCCTGTTTATTTCTCATGCAGCCCTTGCAGAAGGCAGAATAATCAACCCATGTGGATGCAGACATTCCCCTTAAGCCATCCCCAGCCCTCCCTCTCCCTCCTTTTGTCCCAAGACAGACAACCCCTAAAGCATGAGCTCATCCCCTTTTGCACACTGGATCCTGTTCCTTGGACTGTGCTCCTGTTCTAGGTTCCTCTGTCCCCAAAGAGCTTCTAACCATGGCCATGCCTCTGCCACCCTTGGCTTCTCATCCCGACATCCAGGAATTGTCCTGCCCACTTTGGACCAGCCCTGCTTCTGGCAAGCACCTGAGGCTCTCAGCGGCCCACTGGGCAGAGACCTGGGCGAGGACAGTGCCACTGAGGGCCAGGAAGTTTTGTAGGATATACACCCAGTCATCCTCACTGACCAATCACTCTTGCCTGGCTCTCTGGTAACACAGAGCTCCCAGACCAGAAACTTCCCTCCAGGAGTAACTGCGCTGGTATGGAAAGTGGAAAAGCAATAGCAACAATTCTATAACCCAGAGCACAATGGGCTGATGACAAGGGCTGGAACGCACACAAGAGAGTGTCAGGGTCAGGGTCGGAGGAAGGTACTCAGATGAGGAGACACCTGGCCTGTGTCTCCAACAGGGACACATAACCCCAAGTTTGGCCGGGCGTGGTGGCTCACACCTGTAATCAATCCCAGTACTTTGGGAGGCCAAGGTGGGCGGATCACCTGAGGTCAGGAGTTCGAGACCAGCCTGGCCAACATGGTGAAACCCTGTCTCTACTAAAAACACAAAAAATTAGCTAGGCGTGGTGGCGGGCACCTCTAATCCCAGCTACTCAGGAGGCTGAGGCAGGAGAATTTCTTGAACCCAAGAGGCGGAGGTTGCAGTGAGCTGAGATCGTGCCATTGCACTCCAGCCTGGATGACAAGAGTGAAACTCCATCTCAAAAAAACAAACAAACAAACAACAACAAACCCGAGTTCAAGGGGAAAGCAATGGAGGAACTGTAGAGAAACTTGATGGGATGAGGGTGTTGGGAGGACAGGAGTTGGAACTGAAAATATAGGGTTGGGGCCCATATAGCTTAATATTTTCTAAGAAGTCTTAACCTTATCTTCTAGGGACCCCGAGTTGCAGAGGGGATTTAGACAGAGATAAGGATACGGTTAGTTTGTTGTGTTGAAAAGTTGCATCTCATTGTAGTTTTGCTTTTCATTTTCCTAACAAGGATTGGTGTTAAGCACCTTTTCCTGGCCTTCACTCGCATTTTTGTATCTTCTTTGGAGGAACATCTCTGCAGATCCTTTGCCCATTTTTAAATATTGTGATTTATCTTTGTATTGTAGAGTTGACATGGTTCTTTATATATTTTGTGTAATAGTCTCTTATCAAATATATGATTACAAATATTCTATTCATCTATCATCTGAACTATTGAAGCCTCCTCCTGTAGGCCTCCTTCCTCCTTTTCTTGCTCCCCTACAATCTAGTAGCCAGAGAGATTTTTTTAACATAAATCATAACATAAACATAGCCCTAGTTCTCCATGCAATATGATTTTTTCAAAATGTTTCTTCGACCGAGTCACTCTCCTGCTTCAAAAAATAGATTTAAGAAAATAAACCCCTTTTCTTGCTTCCCACTGCTGTTGGGATGATGTCCAGGACCCTTCCCTTGGACTCTAAAGGCCCTAAATGATTTGTTCTTTTTTGCAACGCCACTTCAATTCTCACCACTCTGCACCATCGCCATCCCCCAGCACAGTGATTTGATTTCAGATCCCCAAGCTTCCCTGCATCCCATCCTCTTTGCATTCCAGAAGACTCTCTCACCCCTCTTCCCTGGCCAATTTCCTTTCACCTGTATCAGGTTAAATGCTGCTTCTCTTGGGAGAACATCACTGACCCTTTCAACCTAAATCAAGTCCCCTTTAGACAAGGACAGTGCTCATCAAACTCATCACACTTTGATTGGAGGAATTATTGATTGATGGTCCTTAGACTAAAAGTGGGAGAAGGACGGGGCCCATCTGCTCTGTGTCTGTAGAGGAAAGTGCCAGAATGAAGGTCCCCTTCGGCCACCAGGGGCCCAATGGAGAAGCTGTGTCCACAAGGTCTCTCTCTGAGACTGCCGTCTTCCCAGGTGAAGGCGTACCCGATAAAGCTCTTATCAAAAGAGCATTCACTATATTTCTGTCCCACTCTGTATAGGCTGCTCACTCTTTCTCCCAACAGATTTGGAAATCACAAAATTTATGAAATTTCACCCAAGTCTTTGCTGACTTTTGGTGCTGAAGAAAGTGCCATCAAAATCACCCCCACAATTCATTAGTAATTCATCAGCCTTTTCTCCCTCACCCTAAGGGACAAAGAACCATGTTTCTTAGAGCTTGGGAGAGCCCCACTGCCTTTGTTGTTTGTGTCTGTGTGTTTTAAGTTTTATTTTAAGAATGATTTTCTAAGAGGCCTTTGAAGTATAAAGCTGCCGCCTTTGCTAAACCTAATGTTCTTGTAAATTTTCACCTTGGATCTGACAGTGAATCAGAGACAGAGCTGGAAAGGGCTTCAGTGAAGGCAGTGATTGGGAAATAGGTCCAGAGGGTGGGCACCTTGTTTTTGCTGCCTTTTCACAGGTCACTTGGAAGGAGTACTCTAGTTGTCTCTTTTTGCTTTTAGAAACTTCCCTTCCCAACATTCTTGGCTGCCCCAAACAGCCATGCCCTCTGATGGCTCAGAGGTGGATCATGTGACCTATACTTAAGCCAACCAGCCCTTCATGTCCATTAGTCCTCGGTGATTAGTTTGGAATTAGACATTTGACCCAAGTACAGCCACCAATCACATGCAAACAGGTTGTGGGAATGCTGGGTGAGAAGCTCTCATTTTCCCCTAAGCTGTAGGTGAGGGTGGGTGCAGATGCCAGAGCTGCTGCAACTATCCTATGAATAGAGTGCAGAGATGGTTAGGGCTTGGTCTGAGAACCCTGCCCCAGTCCTAATGCAGGGGGGCCTAGAGGCAGCATCCCTGCTGCCATTATTAGTTATGCAAGGTGGTGAATTTCTTTTTTGTTGTTGTTGTTGTTTTATTTTTGTTTTGAGATGGAGTCTCACTGTCTCACAGGCTGGAGTGCAGTAGTGCCATCTTGGCTCACTGCAACCTCCGCCTCCTGGATTCAATCGATTCTCCTGCTTCAGCCTCTTGAGTAGATGGGATTACAGGTGCCTGCCATGCCTGGCTAATTTTTGTATTTTTAGCACAGATGGGGTTTCACTATGTTGGCCAGGCTGGTCTCGAACTCCTGAACTCAAGTGATCCACCCACCTCGGCCTCCCAAAGTGCTGGGATTACAGGCGTGAGCCACCGTGCCCGGCCGTGAATTTCTTTATCCTAGGTTCTGGCCACTTTCACAGACAGTGTCCTTTTAACGCACTCTACCCCGTGTTTCTATGCCTGCTCTCCGGATGGAACTCGGCTGCCATTCGTCCATGCAGCTGTGTGCACGTGAAGGGCCCTCTACCAGGACGGCACGGTCCTCAGGCCTGAGTATCCTGCGGCCTGCTGTGGTCTCACTGACCCTCCTCACCCAGGACAACCTCCAGCTCCCTGTAGCCACCTGTCTCTCTCAACTGGGCAGCTCTTGCATTTTGAGTGGGTTGAGTCATCCTCCTGTGGAGCTTTCACAGGTGCTGCGAGGAGCCAAGTAGTCTACCTGTCTGGCCCCACCACTGTGACAACCTTCACACACATGTTTGATGGGACCATGGCATTTAGAGCCTGCATCCACCTTCTCACCCTTATCTTCCAGCGTCCTGCCTTCCTTCACAGGACAGAAGGAGAGTTGGCAGCCCCAGGCTCACTCTATCCCATGGCCGTCCCTCCTGAGGCTTCACTTCTGCAAGGTAGGAGCCTGGAGATGCTGCCCTAGCCAGGTAAAAGGAAGACAGAGACACTCATCTACATGTTATCATAGTCCCTTCCCCGAGGCTGGGAAAGGAGGATTTTATTCTCCAGGCAACGTCCACTGGCAACGCTGCCCAGGCAGCTGGTCCCTAGCCCCACTGGAGGCATTCCAACCACTTAACACAGTTTTTCAATTTCCACTGTTTTTGCACATACATTTCCATCCCTGGGATGGATTGCCACGGGGCTTTCCTCTCCAAAATTCTGATGGATGGCATTTTTACCCTGCAATGATCCCTAAGTTAAAGTGATATTCACCAATATTTATTACGTGGTAATGGCATGGAGCACCAGATCAAAAATTCATGGCAAGCACACACTGCAACACTCTCCCTGAATGCTCTCAGAGCAGATATATGATTCTATGGATATGCACATCTGTATGTAAGTAGTGTACGCATGCGTGTGCACTCATATACACACACACACAGCCTGGGCCACATCTTGTCTTTCAACTCCGGTGGCACTACAGTAACAAACCGGTCTAGAAGCAGGCCTGAGAGACAGGATTTCTCAACCAAGAGATGGGCAGATGTGAGTTTAAAGGAAGAGCCAGTAGCAGGAGGTTCAGTTTCTCCCACTCTACCACCAGCTGGGAGTTAATTCATCAGTTCTGGGACTCATTCAAACAGCATGGCATGACACTGGTGGAAAGCAAACACATCCTCTGAATGCCTGCTGTATTCTGCAGAGGAGAGCAGGGAGCTGAGCCTGGTATCCGGAGCTCAAGGCCTGATAGCCCGGACTCACATGAAGGCCAGAGGATGAGCTCCCAGAACTCCACGAGTCTTGGCCTAATGTCTTTTAGCCAAGAGCATTTGGTGAAACAAAAAAGACCCTTTGAGGCCAAGCGTGGTGGCTCATGTCTGTAATCCCAGCACTTTGGGGGGGCCAAGGCAGGGGATCGCTCGAGGCAGGGAGTTCAAAACCAGCCTGGGAAACATGGCAAGATCCTGTCTCTACCAATAATTTAAAAATTAGCCTGGTGTGGTGGCATGTGCCTGTGGTTCCAGCTACTCAGGCAACTGGGATGGGAAGATAAGATCACTTAAGCCCAAGCATTCAAGCCTGCAATGAGCTATGATTTTGCCACTGCACTCCAGCCTGGGCGATAAAGAAAGGCCCTGTCTCTAAATAAGAATAATAAGACCCTTCACAAGCCTCAACAAAGATAGATCCAAGATCCTGGCTCCTCACTCCACAGGTAGCCAGAGAAGACCCTGCCATCTCCTGAGCCTACCCTAACCTCTCCCACTAGGTTTGATCCTCTCTCCTTTGTGTCCTGACCCACATGACTGCCTGCACCCATCCCCACCTTGGTAACATTCCCCAGGAAATCATTTTAGTGCCTCTTTCCTGCCCTTATGCCTCTAATCTATTTTGATTTTCTGTTACTGTGCCTAGGAATGCCAATGCATTGTTGAACAGAAGGGGCTAGGCATCAGGGACAGCATCCCACCTCTCTGGCCATCTTTTAGCCATTAAAATTTGCCATCACCTATTGTTGACCTGCCGCCGAGCTCCATGGAAAGAACACAAGATACGTATTGCAATGGTGTGAAAACATTTGGCTCCAATTTTTTCTATATATATATAAATTTTTTTCTCCCTTTTCTTCCTCCTTTTGACCCACAGAAAAGAGAACCCTAAGTCCCCACACTCTGTCACTTCATAAATCTCTCTCTAATTGCACCCTTGGGGTCTCTCTTGGCCAGTCTTTCAGAAGAAGGGCTACCTGGCCTTCCAAGGATTGGTTTATCACCTTAGTTGCTTTTTGCCAGGTTTTCTCCATCACAAGAGTCTTTTCTTTAATGACCTGAGCTATTTACAATAAGGAAATAACGTGGTCATAATCAGAGCTGGGGTGATTTTGCTTTATACAAGCCTCTCTCTCTCTCTCTCTCTCTCTCTCTCTCTCTATATATATATATATATATATATATACACACACATATACACACACACACACACACATATGTATATACACACACATATATGTATATATGTATATATGTGTGTATATATGCATATATATGTATATATGGTGTGTGTATATATGTATGTTGTGTGTGTGTGTGTGTGTATGTATAAAAGGCATCTATCTGCCCTTCTCCACCTCCTGAAATATTCCTCAACTGAGATTTCCATCAAACCCACCAATGACCTAGGAGTATCTAGGTGGGTCTCCTTGCACTGTTGACCATGGTGAGTTCACTTGGAAAGCCCTGCTCTAGGGACAATGTGCATCCTATTCTGTGCCCCCAGCATGCATATGCCCAAATCCCCCAAGAATAGAAGAAAGACAATGCATTGCTATTTCCGTCTCCAAAATTACCGTGGATGGCATTGATAAGTCTGAAGGAGGGAGAAAAGGAAGAATAGAAGGATAGGGCGTTAGCGAGAGGGCAAGGAGAACAAAGGAAGGCATTGTTGGACAATAAGCAGCAGGTGAACAGGAACACTTTGTCCAGAGGGCCTCCACAGTGGGGAGGGAGCAGGTAGGAAGACAGCGGTACTTAGAATCTTAGCCAGAGTTCAAATTATAGGGCACTGTTTCATTCCCCAAATCAGGTATTTAGAAACACAGATAGAGGGAATCCCTTTCCAGGCTTCCATTGTCTCCCATAAAAGCATGCTGGATGGGCATAGAGAGAAAAAATGAAGCAGAAACTCACAAAATTAGACTCAACATGAATTTGATGGGGTGTAGAAACGTCCTGCAATCAGAGGAGACATGCTCCCACCTTTAAACATGAGAGGGCTGGGCTGGCGTTGCTGCCTCAAATATAGGATGAACTTGAACTTCAGATAAGCAATGAACAATTTTTTATAAGTATAAAGTATGTCCAAATATTTCATGGGGCACACATATAACAAAAAGTATTGGTTGTTTATCTAAAATTCCATTTTAATCTGGCTTTTTTTTTTCCTTTTGCTAAATCTTGCCAGATTTAGATCAGGCAAAATTTCCAAAGCTTCTTTCAGTTTTTCCATTCTCTGTTGTGTGTCCCCACCCCAAGGGGAGAGCCACTGGGGCCTCAGAAGAGGCAGGGGACACAAGAAGATAAGAAGAGTTCTAGGATCAGGGCAGCAAATTACGGCTGAGGCTACACGCATAGGGAAGGGGTTGTTGAAACAGGCAAAACCAAGTGTGCCAAGATTTGCTTTAAAAAGAAAAAAAAAAAAACCACAATGGCTCACACAATGGCTCATCAGCAGTGCGGCTGACCCAGTGAGTCCAGACACCACAACCTACGGCAAAATCTGAACTGTGGAACTGTCACGGAGCAACTGGGAAAACATGAATTCATAGTTAAACCGATAAAATTCTGTGTAATCTGTCTTTGTAACCCCAGAAACTGAAACTTATGCTTAAAAAAAGACTAATATTCTTTTTTTTTTTTTTTGTCTAAACCACTAATTATTTTACCTGGAGGAAATTCCTCTATTATTTTCACTGCTGGAAAATCACAGGGTGGTTAGTACTGCTAGTACCTGTCACAGACAGACGTAAACAATGCGATCCAATAAAACCTTATATAGCACATTGCACACAATAGTGGCTTGCCAGACTCACCCAGTAAAACAAAACATCAAAGCAGAAAAAATTAACCAAAAATAGCTTGCACGGGGAAACGTGGTAAGCGAGTTTGAAGACTGAATTCCTAATATCCCTGGACAACAGACTTCACTGATACGAGATAGTGGAAGGAAAGGGTCCCGGGGAGGGGCTGACAATGAGCTGTCAAGATCTGACCGCAACTCGCTTCTCCTCTGCACCTGGGTTCATAGCATAGTCAGGCCACTAATAGTCCTGCATGTCGGTTAGCACTTACAGTTTGCAAATTGTTTTTACATGCACTGGCTCATTGGGTCTTCCCCCAATGCTGTACAATCAGATAAAATCCTGCCATTCTCCAGGAACTGACTCAACCAAAAATGCTCACCACAAAAATGCTCAGCCTAGTTGGGGAGGTACCCATTTATCAAATTGCCGTACTAATGAAAATCCAATTATAGACAGAGATAAATTAAAGGACTTGGATCTGACTTTGCGCAGGGTGATAGGGGAGGCTCCCTGGAAAAGGTGATGTTAGACCTGAGCTCAAAGGCAAATAGGATGGGGGAAGCAGCAACTTCCAGTGAAAGGGCAGAGTCCTGAGCAGGGAAAGCCTGAAGGTATGCAGAGAGAGTGAAATAGGCAACTGTGGGGGTGGAGGTGGGCAGAGGAAGAGAGGAGAAGAGAGGGGCAAGGCAGAGAAGGAGGATGAGCAGGTGCCAGACCATCCAGGGCCCCAGAGGCCATTCCCAGGGTTTGGGAAGCCACGGAAGGGTGTTTAGCAAGGAGGTGAGAGTTTCGGATCTCCTTTGCAGTGTGCCTTCTCCACTTCACAGCTATGATCCAGGGTCCGGAGCCCTGCCTTCCTTCTAGGAATTTATAAGTTTCCTAAATTATCAAGAGAAAGTTTGGGGCTGGGTGCAGTGGCTCGTGCGTGTAATCCCAGCACTTTGGGAGGCCGAGGCGGGCGGAGCACCTGAGGTCACGAGTTTGAGACAAACCTGGCCCACATGGCAAAACCCTGTCTCTATTAAAAATACAAAAATCAGCTGGGCATGGCAGCGGGCGCCTGTAATCCCAGCTACTTGGGAGGCTGAGGCAGGAAAATCACTTGAACCCGGGAGGCAGAGGTTGCAGTGAGCCAAGATTGCACCACTGCACTTCAGTCTGGGCAACAGAGAAAGACTGTCTCAAAAAAAAAAAAAAAAAAAAAAAGAGAGTTTGATAACAAAGAGTGAGTCAGATGTCACTTAACAGAGCCTCATTTGGAATTTGGAAGTGCACCCCTCCTATGAGTGGCCAACGGGCAAAGCTAACTGCAGTGGAAGAAAAGTCCTTAGTGGATGCCAACTTCTTGAATCTAGTGGGAAGACAATCAATGTTTCTCCTCAGGATGGCACAGCTTTGACCTTTGCTCAGGTGGACACTAGAGGGCCTCTTGGTCATTAGTTATGGGTGAGAATCATGCCGGAGGAGGTTAGGCTGCCTCTGCCCTTCATTCTTGGTTTCCTGGAGGTCTGGTGTCATTGTTGCAAGCCCCATCCACCTTTCTTTCTCTTGTTACACTCATTCATCTCTGTACATCTCCTCTATCTTAAGAATTCTTTCAAGTTTGGAAAGTGAGAAACTTTTCTTTATTTATAAGCATTCTTCCAAATGCCTAAGTTCATCTTTCTGAGGCCTAATTTTGGATTATCCATAGCTAGAACTAACTTTCTTTCTTTCTTTTTTCTTTTTCTTTCTTTCTTTCTCTTCCCTCCTTCCCTCTTTCCTTTCTTTTTCTTTCTTCCTTCCTTCCTTCTTTCCTTCCTTCCTTCATTCCTTCCTTCGTTTGTTTGTTTCTTTCTTTCTCTCTCTCTCTTTCTCTTTCTTTCTTCTTCTTCTTCTTTTTTTTTTTTTTTTTTTGAGACAGGATCCAGCTCTGTTGCCCAGGCTGGAGTGCAGCAGTGTGATAATAGCTCACTCACTGAAGCCTCAAACTCCTGGACTCAAGCGATCCTTCTCCCTCGGCCTCCCAAAGTGCTGGGACTACAGGCATGCATCACTATGCCCAGCTAATTTTAAATTTTTTTTTGTAGAGACAAGGTCACATTCTGTTGCCCATGCTGGTCTTGAACTCTGAGCTCATACAATCCTCCCACCTCAGTCTTCCAAAGTGCTGTTATTACAGGTGTGAGTCACCACATCCAGCCAAATGTTTTCTTTTTTCTTTGTACTCTGCTAGTATCATTCTTTTTCTGAGGCATCGAATATAAAATGCCCACTTGACTAAATGGGCAAAGGGCAGGGCTTAGCAGGAAATAACTTTATTCCAACACAAAGAGGTTTTCCATTTGCAAAGATCACGCTGGAGGCATCAAAGAGAATGGTGGCATGACGGTAAATCAACTGGTAATTACTGAATAGCTCTGGTGGAAAGAGATGGTAACTTGGACTGGGATGATTGTGTTGTACATGGAAAGAAGAAATCAGATTCCATACAGATTATGAAATAAGATATTGAGACTAAGCCATATTTTGGAGATAGTGACCATGAAGAGAGAGGAGGACCTAACAATTCTGTTTGACATTTGGATGAGGCAGGGTTGTCTTCACTGGAAATGGAAAACTAGAGATGAGAGTTACTTTTGAGAATAACGACCACCAGTTTGATTTTGAACACACTGAGATTGAGACGACTTTGAATTATTTAAGAAAAGATGGAAACTAGCCAGAGATATTGATCCAGTGCTCTGCAAAGAGGCATCTACTGCAGATAAAAATATGGAAGTTATAGATATATGCATGGTAGGAGGAATAAGTTCAAGCAATCTATCGTATAGCATGGTGAATCTAGCAATTAACAATGTGTTGTATATTTGAAAATTCCTAAGACAGTAGATTTTCAGTGTTCTTACCACAACAAATAATAAGTATGTGAAGAAATGCATACCTTAATTAGCTTGACTTAGCCATCCTGTAATATATATGTATTTTAAAAAATCATGCTGTATGCTACAAATATATAAGATTTTAATTTACCAATTAAAATAAATAATTATGGCCAGCCATAGTGGCTCACACCTTTAATCCCAGCACTTTGGGAGGCTGAGGCAGGCGGATCACGAGGTCAAGAGATCGAGAGCATCTTGGCCAACATGGTGAAACCCCGTCTCCACTAAAAATACAAAAATTAGCTGGGTGTGGTGGCGCAATGCCTGTAGTCCCAGCTACTCAGGAGGCTGAGGCCGAAGAAGTGCTCGATCCTTGTAGGAGGTTGCAGTGAGCCGAGATCGCGCCTCTGCACTCCAGCCTGGTGACAGAGCAAGACTCTGTCTCAAAATAATAAAATAAAATAAAATAATTATAATAAATACAATTAAAAACGGAAAATAATGGTAAGAAAAACAATAAAGGAGATTACCCAAGGAAAATTAAAAGGGGTAGGGCCATACCTCAGACAGATCTCTTATTTAATGGTTGAATCAATGAGTCTGCAGAAGACTGAAAGGGGATGCTAGGATGGTAGGAAGAGAACCAAGGGAGTGAGTCATGACAGAATCTAAGGGAACAGATGGTTCCAGTGAAGAAGCAGGCGTCATCAGTGCCCTGAGCTGCTAAGGGGCAAGAGGGTAAAGAATTTAACACTTGTTGGATTTAGGGCATGAAGGGTATTGGTGAACTAATGTCTCTCTTGGTGGAGGGATGTGGGAGGAAGCTAATTGCATGAATGTCATCGCAAATGGGAGGTGAGGAAGCAGGAACAAGAGAACACAGACAGTGCAGGTTATTCTCACTGTGGCAGACACCATTCTTGCCACCAGCTTGGCTGTGGCAGGGAGAGAACAGCAGGGCAGCAGCAGGAGGGAGATGTGGCATCCAGGGAGGTGTGCTTATTGGCTTGCTTGCCTATTTGTTTGAAGACAGGAATTTTGAGGATGTTCGTGGTAAGCAGAAAGGCCCCTGCAGGGGGAAGAGTACTTGTGTGGATAAAAAGGGGAAGGGACATTTTATAGATCATGTTGGGTTTTTGTTAAGTTAGGAGGGGTGGGACCTAAAGCTTAGGTGGTGACCATGGGGAAGAGAATTCACCCCAGAGAAGGTGAGGAGCATCCTCCATCCCATAGTTGAGTAGGGAGGAGGACGCAGATCTGCACAGGTGGAGGAGGCTTGGGGCATGGCACCAGGAAGCTTTGTCTAAGATAATCACGGTAATGTAAGAGGACATGTCGTGTGCTGAGTGGTGGCAGTCAAACATTTGAAAGGAAGAGATACATTTCAGAATAAGTCTATAAGCAAGAAAGCAAATTAATTTGGTAAGTGCAGCAGAAGAGCCTCGCAGGTTTGAGAGATCTTCTAGGGTTGGTGACTATGGATTTAGGATAGAAATGGAGGAGCTTGTGGTCCAGGAGTGGGATGTTGAATTGGCCTCTGTCTGTTTGCCCAAAGCATTTGTACATTCCTGACCCATGTAAACTTTATCAGTCTAAATAAGATGATACTCTTGGAAATGGTTACATGTAGTTCACCCTATTTCCCCAACTAGTATGCACACTCTTTGAAAACCTAACTTCTCTGCCACTTGTCCCACCCATCTTCAACTATCTTCCTACAGTTTCAGGCAAAGACTACATCGTAGCATTTTTGTAAATAAGGTAAAGTTTGTGAAAGCATTACAAAAACTTGGCAGTGGGCAAGATAAAACTGAGTACTTAAATTATTACTGCATCAATCCGGAAGCCTAATATGGATGATATTAACAACTTACTTTTTGAGAGTTTTAATTATTTTTCAGATTGCAAATTCCATTCTCACACAGTATTTTATTTGTTCCGAAAATCACTAATGAGGTGGGTATTTTTTTATTTTATTTTTATGGAAGCTCACTCTGTCATCCAGGCTATAGTGCAGTGGCAGGATCCCGTCTCACTGCAACCTCCACCTCCTTGGTTCAAGCAATTCTCCTGCCTCAGCCCCCCAAATAGCTGGGACCACAGGCCCATGCCTCCACACCCAGCTAATTTTTGTATTTTTAGTGGAGATGGGGTTTCACCATGTTGCCAGGCTGGTCTAAAACTCCTGGCCTAAGGTGATCTGAGGTGGATATTTTTGACCCCATTTTCAGTCCAGGAGCCTGGGTGGCTAGTTGAAGGTCAGAGAATAAAGATGTGTCAAAACTGAAGGTGCAATCCAGGTCTTGGGACATCAAGGAGGAAGCTGGTTTCATCAGTGCCCAGAGATGCCAAAACGTGAGAATATTCAATACGGATTAATGATCCTCAAAGCTGACAATGGAAGATGAATCTATAGACTCTTTTTCTTTGTGGATACCAAGCATAGTTTTCAAATATCCAGGCCAACTGTCACTACACTACACTACACCTGGCCACACCTCCAAGACTGAGAGATGCAAAGACCGTAGAAAAGAGTCATCAGCAGTTTCCTCACCTCCTGCAAGAACTGCTGTGGATTGTATTTGTGGAAAGTTGTTTCTTCATCTAATGCTTTGGGACAACGGTGATAGAATAATAGCCCTGCCTGGGGGAAAGGACATTTTCCTGGATGTGTAGATGCCGGACCCCCAGGGTCGATGCCTGGCCACTGTCTATGAATCTAAAGCTAATCTCAGAGAGCTTGAGGCTGGTCAGAGAAACCCAGTAAAGGCATCATTTTTCCATGAGCTTTACGCTAAATGAATTGTCCACATAAGACTCCCCTTACATCTCCCATGTGCATTAATTTTTTGCCAATATTAACAAAGAAATGTCCAAACAAAATGCCAACGACTTGACAGGTCTATTTTTCAGAGATAAATTGGAAGAAGGTATCCACTTAGAAATTGGGACATTGATATTGAAAGGGGAATGTGGATCTTGTTTATCTTCAAAAGAATTCTTTAAAAAAAAAACATTGCAAATCCAGTAATCCACATCACACTTTAGAAGATGTCCTTGAGTCTCAGAGGGAAATTAGTTGTATGCATTCTAAGCTAGGATATGGCTGGGTTTATTCCATTTCTTAAATGTCTAAAAAATATCAGGAGGATCTATTAAGCTAAAGGACCCATGTTAATGCAACATTAGGGAACTTGATTACAGCCCAACACTCAGGAAAATCATTTTCAGCTTCGCACATGCTACATTGCACATGTAATATTTTCTGTTTGATGTTATTTGTCATTTATTAAATGTATATATTAATATGAAGTGTTCCATTTCCTGGCTATGGGGTGTTTAAAAAGTTCAATCTCACTTCACACTCACACCGAAGAAATCTCATTTCCCTACCCCTTTCCTGAGCCAAGATTCCTCTGCCTTGCTCAGGAAATAGAATGCTCATTCTGTTTATTGAGTGCTTAGTGTGCTCTGGGCATTAGGCTATGAAATACGTCAGGAAGACCATAAGCATAACTGAATAGTACACAGCCTCTGCCCTTCCGAGGCTTACATTCAGTGGGGAGAAGGAGACACATAGACACATAAATACAGCAGCTGTCGTATTTAACTGATTAAATACAACATGCCAAATACAATAATGTAGGCATACCAAATGCATCAAGGAATACCAAGAAAAAATGTATTCACTCTGGTGGGGGGTTGGAGAAGACTTAGGCACTAGACAGCATCTAAGCTGGGCATATGGAGTAGTCATTCTGGTTTTGCTAGAAAGAGAAAAATATAAAAAACTATTGTGAACATTTTTTTTTAAGTGACAGATTGTCAAAGTGAGTTTCTTATGGATTTGAGGTCTCTTGAGGAGTCAACTAGATACACATCAAAACACCAAGGTGTCTGGGGGACTAACTACACTGTATGAAAAATAGGCAATGGCTATAAAGTAAAATCTGCTCCACAACTCCTGATACTGTCTTTGGAGAATGACTAAAAGGTCTAAAGAGAAGAGAGTGAAAAGATTCATAACAAGGTTTCGTTCTGAAATAGTTATTAACCTAGAGTGAACCCCCTTACACCCATCCCCCTGAGTCACCTTCACCCAAGAGTACACAGTGAAGTCAGGACCTCAGGGCACTTTCACCAAGGATATGGAAAGGCTACCCAATGAATAAAGTTTTTTGTTTGTTTGTTTGTTTGTTTGTTTTGAGACAGAGTCTCGCTCTGTCTCCCCAGGCTGGAGTGCAGTGGCGTGATCTCAGCTCACTGCAAGCTCCACCTCCGGGGTTCACGCCATTCTCCTGCCTCAGCCTCCTGGGTAGCTGGGACTACAGATGCCCACCACCACGGCCGGCTAATTTTTGTATTTTTAGTAGAGACGGGGTTTCCCCGTGTTAGCCAGGATGGTCTCGATCTCCTGACCTCGTGATCCGCCCGCCTCAGCCTCTGAAAGTGCTGGGATTACAGGCGTGAGCCACCACACCTGGCCCCTCAATGAATAAAGTTTAAGGAGATGGTAGTTAACAAAAAATAAAGTTTCCTTTTGATTAGGTCACAACTCATGCTTACTTAACATACCAATGACATCAAACCATGTAAAACTTGTATTGACATTTAAAAACATGGCATAATATACCATGCTAAGGTTTAACTATTTTCCTGTAGTGTTCATTATTCATCTATCCAGGCTTTTCTTTCTACTTATAAACAATGTTTCCATAAACATATTTGGTTACATCTCCTTGTGATGATTTCTACTGCTTTGCTATGATAAATCCTGGAAATGTAATCGCAGGGAAAAGTTTTCTTTTCCAAATTGGCTGACTCCTTTGAAATATTTAAATAGTCTTTTTTTTTCTATTAGATGGCTTGAATTTTCTCATTGATTTATAAGCATTTTCATGTATTTTTGACAGTTGTTCTCGTCACATTTGAGGCAAATATTTTCTCCTAGTGTCACCTTTAGATTAAGATGTTTCCTACCTACATACTGTGTTTTTTAAAACTTTGGCAACTTCAAATTTATCCATCTTTTGTTTTCTACTTTTAAAAATAATTATTAAAATAAGACTCTATAATTCTTTTGATATGCTTAAAGTTTTATTTTGTGTGTTTGTGTGTGTGTGTTTAGGCACTTCATATGTCTTAAATTCATTATGTAAATTTTGTAAATTAGATATCTAACATATCAGACTCCCCATTTTTAAACACCCCTTTCAATCTCCACAGTGATGGTTAATATTGAGTGTCAAGTTGATTGGATTGAAGGATGCAAAGTATCGTTCCTGTGTGTGTCCTTGAGGGTGTTGCCAAAGGAAATTAACATTTGAGTCAGTGGACTGGGAGAAGTACATCCACCCTCAATCTGGGTGCACACCATCTAATCTGCTGCCAGTGCCGCTAGGGTAAAAGCAGCTGGAGGGACGTGGAAGGACTTGACTGGCTGAGTCTTCTGGCCTCCATCTTTCTCCGTGCTGGATGCTTCCTGCCCTCGAACATCGGACTCCAAGTTCTTCAACTTTTGGACTCTTGGATTCACACCAGAGGTTTGCCAGGGGATCTCGGGCCTTCAGCCATAGACTGATGGCTGCACTGTCGGCTTCCCTACTTTTGAGGTTTTGGGACTCGGACTGGCTTCCTTGCTGCTCAGCTTGCAGACAGCCTATTGTGGGACTTCACTCTGTGATTGTGTGAGTCAATTTCCTAATAAACTCCCCTTTATATATTCATCTATCCTATTAATCCTGTCCCTCTGGAGAACCCTGACTAATGCATCCACTAATTTCAAATATCAGTGTATCTCATGATAACTTCAATATACAGGAGTGTCTATTTCTGAAATTTTGAGTCTATTTCATCTATTTGTATATTCTTAAGTAACACCACACTTCTTTAATGTTTAAAGTTTCATAAATATGATATCAGATGGTGAAAGTCCATCCCTTTGATCACTTTTTTCAAACTTTCATGTCTGTTAATGAGCAGTTATCTTCCACTTACATTTCAGAATTTATTTGTTGATTTGCATAATAATATCATTGTCATTTTGTTTGGGGTTACATTAAATTTTCAGATAATTTTGGAGAGAGGCAACATTTTAAAAATAGAAACTCCCATCCAAAAATAGTAAGTAACCCTCCATTTATATTCAAGTCAATTTATTAAAATGTTAGATGTTTCTATAAAGGTTTATTATATTATCATTAAATTTGTTTACTCCCAGCTACAATATTTTATAGATTTTTTTTATTGCTGTTTGGAACAAAATGTGTTGTACTTGGTTACTGCTGGTACACAGGGAAGTTTTTTACTTTTTCATATTGATCTTATATCCAGCCACTCACTTGAAATCTTATATCAATATTACTGGATTGTTAATTATCTCAATTGTTAATAGATTGAATTATTTAACATAGTTAATTATATTATCTTCAAGTAGAGACAGTTTTGTCTGTTTCCAACTTTGTTTCCTCCCTTTTCTCCCTTGCTAATTGGCTAATACATCTAGTAAAATGTTGAATGGTAGCAAGCATTTTTATATTTCCTAACTTTAATGACATCACTTAGGTTTTACCAATATTTTGTATATTTGCTGTACTTTTTATCATATTTTTTCTATCCTAAGTTTATTATTTTATCACAATATGGTGGTAGTTTTTTTTTAATGCTTTCAGACACCTATTATGATGATAAATTAATGGTTTTACTACTTTGCTTTGCTAATATATATAGTAAATTACATTAATATATCTTGTAATGTAGAAATAGCCAAATTTATACCTCCAGCCCTAAATTTTCCCTTGGACTCTAAACATTGTATAACTAACTGCTTCTATACAACTCAGATGAACAATACACTTCTTATACATAATATAGCCCAAAAGCAAACATTTGATTTTTTACCCAAACCCCTTTCTCCCTTAGTGATTCCAATCTTAGTCAATGGCAACATGACCTACTCCGCTGCTCAGGGAAAATCACTGGAAGCATCCTTGGCCCTCATTCTCTGTAATCGGTCATATTGAATCCATTAGTAAGCCTTGTTGTCACCACATTCAAAATTTATCTGGAATTGCAGCCTTTCATCTTCCATCCCTCTAGCCCAAATCACCAGCGATTCTTACCTGGTTGGCTTCAGTAATGTCCAGCTGGTCTCTATGTTTCCATATTTGTTCTGTTTATTCCATTCTCAAACCAGCAGCCACAGGGATCCTCCTCCTGTCAGCTGCTGAAACATTCACTCTCTTCCCACCACATTTAAAATAAAATCTAAAATTGCTTCCAGGGCCAAGAAGGCACAACACCATCTAGGAGCTGACACTTCCTGACATTATCTCTTATCACTTTTTTCCTAGCTCACTGACTTCAACTACGTTACTCACATTATGATTCCTTGGTGACACCAAGCACATTCTCATTGTAGGGCCTTTGCAGTTGCCGTTACTCTGCATGGAAGACTCCTTCCACAGATACTCAACACAACTCTTCTCTTTACTTCACTTCTCTGCTGAAAAATCATTCTATCAGAAATATCATTCTATCAGTCTTCCTTGACCCTGCAGTCCCAGCTGGCCCATAGTCCTCATTTTCTATTTCTTTGTTCTGCTTTTGTTTTCATCCCTGACTTTATTTTATGTATTTTAATCTTGTTCATTGCTTGTGGCTCCCATTATATTAAAAATTCCATAAGGGAATTATGTGTTTAATTTACTCACTACTCTATTCTCACCGACTAGAAAAATTAAAATGTATCCAGACTTTGTGAAATGCCCAGTGGGCAGGAAGCAAACCACCCCCATTTAAGAAGCATTGCATTGAATGCTTATTTTAAAAATAAAAGAACAAATGAGTCAAATCAGCAATCTTATCTTCTGATGGAAAAGAACTAGAAAAGAAGAGTAAGTTAAACCCAAAGCAAGAAGGAAGAACATAATAAAAATCAGAGTAGAGTGACGAATAAGGAAACACAGAGAGAGAGAGAAGATAGAAAAAAAACAATAAAACCAAAAGCTAGTTCTTTAAAAAATAAAACAACAAAATGTATAAACCTCTAGCTAAAGTGACCAAGAAAAAGAAGATATAAATGACCAAAACTGGGAGTAAAAGCAAGAACATCGCTAGAGACTCAAAAATAAAGCTGAGTGGCTATGTTATTATTATTAGACAAAACAGACTTCAGAACAAGAAACATTACCAGAGATAAAGAGGGACAAGACAGTTCATAAATATGTATGTACACAATAACAGACTTTCAAAATACATAAAGTGACACTGACAAAGCTGAAAGAGAAAAAGACAGATCCAAAATTATAGTGGAAGATTTTAACACTCCTACATAGTACTTGATAGATCAAGTAGGCAGAAAATCAGTAAGAACATAGAAGAAATGAACAACACTATCAACTAACTTGACTTAGTTGACGTTTATAGACCGATCAACCCAAACAGCAGAAAGCACATACTTTTCATATACTCAGAGAATAATAACTAAGATACATCATATTTTGAGCCATAAAAGGATTGCTAATAAATTTGAGAGAATTGGCGTCAAACAGAGTCAGTTCTTTAACTTCAACAAGAT
Organism: Homo sapiens; assembly: GCF_000001405.40. Classification (NCBI taxonomy): domain Eukaryota; kingdom Metazoa; phylum Chordata; class Mammalia; order Primates; family Hominidae; genus Homo; species Homo sapiens. The sequence continues at coordinate 31,686,511 of NC_000019.10, forward strand.
TAGATATAAAAAGCAGAAAAAATATCTGGAAAATCAGCAAGTATTTGGAAAGCTGAATAATGCTCTTCTAAATAACTTATGGGTCAAAGCAGAAGTCACAGGGAAAAATTAGAAAGTATTTTTAACAGAATGAAAACAAAATTACAATATAGTTGGCCCTCCATATCTGTGGGTTCTGCATTCATGAATTTAACCGAACTTGGATTGAAAATATTAACAAATAAAAATTGGGTTTGTACTGAATATTTACAGACTTTTTTTCTTGTTGTTATTCCCAAACAGTAGAGAAAACAACCATTTACATAGCATTTACATTGTATCAGGTATTATAAGTAATCTAGAGATTATTTAAAGTATACTGGAGGATGTGCATATGTTATATTCAAATACTATGCAATCTTACTTTAGGGATTTGAGCATCCCTAAGTTTTGGTATCCACAGGAGGTCCTGGAACCAAATCCCATGGGCACTGAAGAAGAACTGTATGTCGAAATGTGTGGGATATGGCTAAAACTAGGGATATGGCTAAAACTCTGCATAGAGAAAAAATGTACAGGTTTAAATGCTTGTATTAGAAAATAATAAAGTTCCGAAATAAATTATCTAAGGTCTCACCTTCAAAATTTAGAAAAAGCATAAGTTCTAGAGATCCACTGTACAACATCTTGTCTACAGTTAATGACACCATATTGTACATTTAAAATTCGGCTGGAAAGATTGATCCTATGTTACCTGTTCTTACTACAATAAAAAAGAAAGGTAAATTAAAATCCAAGTAAGTAGAAATGAAAATTAATAAAGACAAGACCAGTCAAAACTCAATAATAAACACACAAACAATAAAGAAAAAAAAAATAAAACTAAAGCTTTTTTTTTTGGAAAAAAAAACAGTAAATTGTATAAGGCTCTAGCTTTACTCATTAATAAAACAAAAGACAGAGATCAACAATAATGTAAATGAAAGAGGGGAAACCACACCATACCCTACGAATTTATGAAAGAGAAATTACTAAAACTGACTAAGGTAGAAATGGAAAATCTGAATAGTCCTATGTATCAACTAAATATACTGAATTCATTAATTAAAAACCTCCCACAAAGGAAACTCCAGGCCCAGAGGGCTTCGCTGGTAAATGCTATCAAACATTTAAGAAGGAGAATACCAGCTCTACACAAAATGTTGCAGAAATTAGAAAAGGAAGAAGCACTAATCAATTTATTTTATAAGGCCAACATTGTGCTTACACCAAAACCAAAAATATATATATTACAGGGATTTAAAAATTTTTTTAAAGCTAGACATTAACTTTCTCATGATCACAGATTTAAAAATCCATAGCAAAATATTAGTGAATTGAATTCAGTAATATGTTAAAATTAGAATGCATCATGACCAATTGGGGTTTATCCTGCTGGGAGGATAATTTGCAGGCAGGCCCTACTTCCCCCGTGATGGGTGGACTGCTTTGTTGCACAACCTCCCTGTCTCTCTGGACCCCAGGCCTGCACCGGCCAGGCTGCCCTCCAGCCCTCCCATCGAGTGAGATCTGCTGCAGCTCCTCCCCACCTTAAGCATGTCCAAATCCTGACAACCAGATTTTCACTCTGTCTTTTACACAACAGTGAAGTTTGATCAATGCTTCTTAATCTGTGGATAAACAGTCCTTAAAAGTTCAAGAGCAATCTTGTTCAAAAAGCAGCAGCTCACATTCCATGATGAATTTAATCAAGGTGTCCTTGTTCCCATCCTGTACCAACCCGCCTAACTCATATCCATTTTTAACTTTATTTCTCTTTTTAACAACATACTCAATGCAGGGAAGTCAGAAAATTTGGACATCAAACATCAAAATCAGAAGAATCACTCAAGATCCCACCAATCAGAGGTGACCATTGATCCTATTTTCTTATGCAAATTTGTAAGTTATTTTCTGACTTTGTTATTCTGTTTGGAAAGGATTTTTCTGACCCTCAGAAGGTAAACTAATTTGTGTCTCTTATCCTTTAAGCAATTTCCTGAGAATAATTTCACCATTTAATAAAGCACACTGCATGTGTAATATAATAAATACTTTTATAGATTTTGGTATATTTATGATCCTATTATTCTCTTTCATTGATCTATTTTTTGTCATTCATTTTTAAACAATATGATTTCATAATATGTTCTAATACATTATGTGCCCGATTTCCATAAATATTTTTTCCAATTTTTTCTCATTTTCAACTTTCATTCATTTCACGTTTATTTTTCTAGATAAAAGGTGTAAAACATTTTTACATTTGCCAAAAATTTATTTAGAAGATTGATTCAAATTTCATTATATTTATAGATTGACTTAAGGAAGAAACAGATTTCCAATTCTGTATTCCCGTTTATTAAAATTCTGTTTTTATTTTCTCAGTAATATTTTTCTTCATTTCCTCATAGATACTCCATATTTAAAAAATACTATTCAACATTTCTATTTAATAATTGTGTTTGTTTTGAAATATAGTATAAGGCAACTAAACATGCTCAAGAAGACCCTTTGCTGGCCACAGTGCTCAGTCATCTCCAGGCAGTGCAGGAAAACTCTTCTCTATGGAATTCCAGCACTCAGGAACCTTTTCCCACCTCCTGGGATTCCACAGTCTCTCTTGTATGTTGTACCATCTTTTTGCTCTTTAGTACTGCAAAGTTGACCTCTATTTCATAAACTTCTGAGCAGGTATAGCAAGAGCTAGAAGGAGACATCTGTCCTTATCAAATGATGATGTAAAAAACTGCAGCTACTGGGGGGTAATTTTTGTGTTCCTGACACAGCAGCATATTTTGCATGAGTTTTCTTTGCATTAGTCCTGAGTGCAATAAACTATGATCACTGTCTTTTGTAGAGAAAAGAACTGAGGTTTATGGGGTTGACGCCACTGGTATAAGGCAGTCTAAGCAAAGAGCCCATACGCACAAAACTACACATTTTTGCCCCCTTCAGAGTAAATAATTTCAAGACTAATGTGGATTTTTCCTGCACCATCCCCTTCCAGCAGGGTTGGGAGACAAATCTACCATAATGGATGTCCTCGTCCAATACTTCTTCAATACTTTTCCTTTCTGTACCTCTAAAGGCTCTGATTTCTCTGTAAACATGTAGATGAGAAGCCTATGTAACTAAAGACTAAGATGACACAGATGGTAACATCTCCCTGGAGTCACAGAGGTCTCTAACCACCTTCTTTATTACTAATTCTTAGATGACTTTCTAACGTATTTTTTCTTAGGTTGCACCTACATTGATTGTAGGTTGCAATGTAGGTTGCAATGTAGGTTGCACCTACATTGATGCAGGACTCTCTGCATATAACCATTCTGCTATACTGCCTTTTGATGATGAGGTTTTTTTTCTCTCCCAGTGTTCATGCCTTTATTTCTTTTTCTTGCCTGATAGCATTGGCTGTATCTCCCAAATAATATCAAATAATAATGCTGATAGCTGTCATTCTTTATTACTCTTAGCGCTCTCTCTCTCTCTATATATATACACACACACATATATATATATTCAATGTGTTATATGTGATGGTCATTAATAGGTTAAGCATTTTTTACAAGTTTCCAAAATATCTTTCTAACTTAATTCTTTTAATAGAAATAATTTTTAAATTTTATTAGATGTCTTTTGGCAATTGAGAATTTTTTTTGCTCTGTTCTATTAACATACTGAAATACATTAATAGATTACCTAATATTGAATCACCTTTGTTCTTTTAAGAAGAAGTTTCCTTGGCCATGGTAGCATTTTGTATTATAAGACTGATTTGTTGCTCATATTCTAACACTTGAGAATTAAAATCTATACTCCTAAGTAAGAGATTCTGTGGTTTTCTTTTTAACTTTTGTCTCTGGTTTTAATATCAATACTTTGACAACTTTCTTAAATAAATTATGAAGCACTTAACTTAGGGCTCTCCTGCTTATTGAAGTTTTGAATAGCTTGCCCATGTTTGAAAATTGAAAAACATTTTAGAAGACAGTCTCCTACAGGTTTTTGTGTTTATTCTTCATTATTATTTTTTTAAGCACTGGGTATATTTAAGACCTATTAATTCTTTGCTTTCATGGATTAGAGTTTGTAGTGATTCCATTACCTTTATTTTCTAAATTTTCATTAGTTACAGATTTTTGGGCCCTTTTGATCAGTTATTTCTCCTCCAATTTAGAAGGCATAGATGGAGCTTTGCTAGGATATATACTATTTAATATCTATATTAATATTAATGTAGATATTAATTTTCTTAGCAAGAGGTACCTACCATCAGACAGAACAATTTCTAGCAGAAATTCCTCAAGATTTATGACATGCATCTTTAAACTCTGACAGTGCTTTGATCATTTTATTGAGTCCTGGGAAAGAGGGTCAGAGACGACACAGCAATCCCCATGGTTTCCAGGACTCTGCTGTAGCTTTAAACTCTTCCCAGTGTTGATTTGACTTCCTAACTAGATTGCTCATTCTTCAGTTCTGAATCCAACACTCTCTTCCTCAAGGAGACATTTCCTGTTACATCCTCGGAGGTTTTGTTTCTTCCAATATGCCCTTCCTGGCATCCTGGACATCTTTTAAAATAATCTTCCTTCCCCTCTAGAGTGTAAGTTCCATGAGATCCAGCACTAAGTCTGCCTTGGTTGCTATCGTGTCTCCAGGGCACTGCCTGGCACCTGGTCTTTAGTAGGCTGTCCATACATTTTTGTCCTATGATTTCTAGAGGGCAGGGATTCTTACCATCCTTTGTCTCATTTCCCTGGATGCAGAGCAGATGCCCAATAAATACCACATTTCAGAAAAATACATGGGATTGATTAGTTTTTCATTTTTCAGTGACTCTAACTCTTTAGAAACTGAGTTTTTCTCTCCTCTACTTTATGACTCAACAGCTGAAAGTGATCCACAGAGATGATTGGGCCTCAGCCTCTGACAGTAACATGTTGATGTTAATTCAGACACATAAATATCTAATTTTCAAAAAAAAATTCCAGGAAAATTGATTTTTTCTTAGCATTTTTTGAGTTCTCCTTAATTGTCACAAATATCTCTAAGAAAAAAAAAAGAGTTCTTCCTTATGTCTAAGCTTATTCCTGCATGTTGCAATGTCAAGACACTGGTCTTTGTTTTCTCCCCGGGTATTTGTAGCTATTCCTGCTGTAATTACATCTTGGCCAAAGTTTTACTTGTCTGACAGTGAGAGAGACAGAAAGACAGACAGCATGTTCACCTTTAAACTCAAGGGAATCCCTCTTTTCCCTCGGAAGGTTAGGGGCAGATCCAGCAAACAGAATTCTTAGCAAAGGCAAGGAATCACACACAGAAACTGCATCACAAAATTGTCTCCTGAAGTCATATCAGCCTTCCTTCAGAACTTGCAAAGGCCAAGCAGACAATTGCCTACGTGGCTTGGAAAATTTCTGACAGACTTTCTTTCCTCCAATTATTTTTTCTTCACAGTTTAAATTCAGGTCTCACCATTTTATCTAAGGCACTGATTTATAGCTCCGAAGACTTCTGTGGTAGCATCCCCACGTCAACTGTCATGACACAGTGAGCCACGGTTAGTCTCTAATGTCTGCTTGCATTAGCAAAGTTCTGAGTGCATGATACTTAAGACTGGTAAGTTTGGAAGGAGACCAGGCAGTCGAAAATATAGGTGCTTAGTAGACTCTATTCTCAGGTAGCACAGGGTGTCTTCTTCAGGGGAATATGTGTCATCATGAAGTACAAGGAAGTCAATTTCTTAGAAATAGAACAGAGGTCCATGCAGGATGAGAGAATGCTCAAAGTTGAGACAGAGGGGCCTGGATGAGTCTGAATCTGTGATTGACAGTTGCAAAGAGGAATTCCTCTTACTTGGAAAGATGAGCCCCTTATATTGGGATTCCTGCCCAACTCTGTATTAAGACGGTTCACAGGTTCATGGCTTACCAGTCCCTGGGGGCCTGGTGACCACCCGAAGATGGTTAAGATGGTTCTGTCCTAAAGAGCCCTGCACTGGCTTTGAAAAACAGTAAGATGCTCTCTGAGATACCTTCTGATACAATTATTCTAGAATGACAATGACCAGGGTGGCCCATACTAGAGGCTCTAAATGGATATAAGAAAACATCCATTTCTCTATCAGTCACCAAAACACAGGCTTTTAGTGGAATCCTTTAGAGTATGTGTTGGCCATCCTTTAATTGCCCATCAAAGTATCCATTTCCCTCACGTTCTTTCCCAATATCCCATCTTTTCCACTAGGGTTCTTATGGTTCTAGTGAAGATAAATCCATCCTCAGCTTTAGGCATGGAACAAAGGACCCCAGCTAAGACAACCAGGATACTCCATTGTCCTACACAGAGTGATTGTTTTAATGATTGGAACTCACCTTGGCTCATCCAATCAGGGGTTGTATGGGAAAAGAAAGATGTCCAGGGAATTGTAGGCAGTCAAGTTCATCTGTGAAGATGAGATGAGACCAATCTATAAAAGGCAGAGGCGAGACCTCAGTGATGTGTTTGAGCCTCTAGATTAAGCCTGAATTGAGTTCTGCCTAATCTCCAGACATTAATTAACTGATAAATTCTCTTCCCTGTGCAAGCCAGGTTGAGTTGGGTCTCTCTTCTTTGCAACCACATGTGCTCTAACTGATGAGCTTCTCTATGATGCCATGGCTCCCGTGCAAAGTCATTACATGCTTTCTTGAACATTTATTTCAAGATTTGACAAGGGGCTTCTCCTCTCCTTGCGAGAAACACAAGCAGATAGATGTCTGGTTTGAGCGCTCCCTGGCGGAGGCAGGAACCCCACCTCACACCGGAGATTTCTCCTTTTGGTAGGCAGGGAGGCTGAAGATGGAAGCCCCAGCACTGGGACACCAACATCATACCCCTCCCTCCCCCTCATCTGGCCACCAGCAACCCTGTCATTTCCCTGCCACTGGGCTGGCTCAGACAAAGCTGTCGTTGAAGAGATTACAGACAGATGCTCTGGCAGGATTCAAAGACCCCGTGGAAGGAAAGCAGTCAGGTTTTCTCTTAAGCGACAGCCATCATTTTCGGCAGGCAGGAAAATTGCAGGTTTGCCCTTCCCCAGTGCAAGCTATCTGAAGGTAAAACAATGGTGAGCAGCATGCGCTTGCCTCAAGGACGGAGGGGAGAGGAGAGAAGGCAACAGAAGGACTCCATCTCCTTTAATTTATTTTAATAAAGCATGGGTTTTCCAAAAGGCCAAAGGGCCTCATTTGCCACAGCATGGTTGGGATCCGCCAACAGCTTCCCCAAACCGCCTCTTTCCCCATAATTCAATCAGAGCTGCAGATGGAAGCACTCAGCTGGCCTCTCCATGTTCTTGGCCCTTCCTGAATCCCTCCTCTCCTCCTCTCACGGCCTCCACCAGAGAGGAAGGCTCACGCCTGCCAACAATCATGCCTCCTCATCCTTTTCTTCCTCCACATCCCTGAGCTCCCATGAGGGCCCCACCCAGGGCCTTCCCTGGCCGTCGGTCCTCAGTCTTCTCAGCCACAAACAAGGAGCAGGTGCATATCCTAGGGGGGAACAGGCAGGAGGGTCGCCAGGCAATGGAGCAAGACCCCAGGTCCTGCTACTGGAGACAGGATAAATACCTGGAAGATGAGAGATCTGCAGAACTTGGATTCTCAGCCCAAAGACCACCATGCATGTCCTGGGGAGAGTTCTGAGTCACAGAGGATCAGCGGGCCTGTGCAACCTCAGGACACCGCTAGAGTGGAAAGCTTCCCCTGTGGGCTCTCCTCTCACTGAAACTGTCTGGGAGGAGCAAGGAATCAGAGTTGAAACTTCAGCAGGAGGGAAGCAGGGACAGGGCTGCTGCCTTTGTTCTCTATTAATGAGGAAGTGAAGGCAAAGGACTCTGCCTCCAGTGACAACAGAGATTTCTTTAATCAGGACCTTATTTTCTACAGCCCCAGGTAGAAAAATTAACCCATCCGTTGGCTGTAAATGAACCAAAATCCCCTCCCCAAGGTGTCCCATTTTGTCTGACTTCTTGCTACTTCTGCTCTTTAGGAAAGGTCGATAAGGTGGCATTCGTGTTTCTGGGCTTTGAAATTTGGAGGCAATCTGTGATGAAAGATGAAGAAAGGAAATAGTCTTTAAGAAAATTCCAGATGTCTGGAGCAATGGCTGAGACTAGGGGGTGGGGATGGTCAGTACTGGAGTGGTAAACGGTTTCAGAGCTCAGAAGTGGGAGTTTTATTACTGGCTGGAAAGGCTGGCGGTGGTAGTCAGTTTGAGATTGTTCTGTATTTTTTTTCCACTGTCACCCCAAGAGTGTATCATCCTCAAAATTAATTCAGTGAAACTGCTCACTCTCTCCTGCACTCATACCTCCCAGGCTGCTACATCTGCCTCTCTCTGTCCAGGGACCCTGGACCCCTCCACTGGCCTCGCTAAAATGTCTAGCTCTGAGCATCTCAGACACCAGCTTGTGTCCCATTGTCCTCCATATGGGCAGGATGTGCCACCACAAGCCATCTAAAATGAACACATTCTGAAGAATCAAAAGAAGAGCCCAAGTCGGGGTCACCCCATAGCCTAGTTTTTAAAGGCATCTTGCTGTGAAGAGGTCATATCCTGGTGTAATGCTGGATAGTTCTTTTCTGAGACCAGCCAAGACACATAGTGGATCATAGCAATGAGGCTGCATAGAGAAGCTTCCTGGGAGCTAGAGACTTCAGACACTCTCCATTCATCTAACCCAAGCATTTCTTTCTTTGTGCTTAAGCACACTTGTACTACAGAGCAAATTGGGTCCATATGCACCATTTCTTGTAAACCCCAAGTAACCACATGCTGTTTTCTGGACCAGTTTAATTGCCCATGAAACCCTAGAGTTGTCTGTGGCATGGAAGGCACCCAAACAATCCTGTCACCATCACTGTCACAGACCACACCCTTGGCACGTGGGTGGGCAGGCATCACTGCTGACATGTGTGGCTTGCTGACTTTGGGTCCAAAACAGAAGGGCCATCACAGGCAGCTCTTATCTCTTTCTATTTCTTAAGGCAATGCTGCTATAAATGCCTGGATTAGGAGTGTGAAGACCTGATATAGCCCCAGTTGTGAGATCTAAGGCAAGATCTTCACCTTCTGAACCTCAGCTCCTTCCTACTTCACATAGGTCTCATGATACCTGCTTCATTACCTCGACAGTTCATTGCGAAGAGGATTGTGAAAGACAGAAGATGCACTTCTATCAATGCCTGCAAGGGTGAAAGCCCAGGTGGTAACCAACTGCCCTCTCTCCCTAAGACCTCTAGTCAACAGAGCAATATTGTCATTTGACATCAACACCATCAACAGCAGCAGCGTTCACTCACTGCTTTAAAGCCACACACTGCTTTCACCTGGATTATCTCAAATATTCCTTACAACACCCAAGGGAAGACAGTGGGTGTGTTTCTGCCTTCCATTGAGAGGACCCCACGGTTCACGGAAACCCAGTGAGGTGCTTAAGACACTATGGCCCATGGAGTGTCAGGGCTACACCCAAAGCCAGCCATGCACTCTTGACCTGTCTTCTTCACCACTGCATTTCCTCTGCTGGTTCACACAGCCCTGGTACCACCTCAGAGACAGCAGGTGCTGAGATGGTGCTGGAGATGGCACACCTGCCCTATCAGCTCAGTTTCCCACCCTCTCTCATTGCTGCAGACCATACTGTCGCCCAGGACCTCTGTTCTCATTGCGTCTGGGAAGGAATGAGCCATCTATCCAAAGTTTTGAGATTGTCTAAGTCTGTTTTCTGTTGCTTATAACAGAATATCTGAAACCAGGTAATTTATAAAGAAAAGAAATTTACCTCTTACAGTTGTAGAGGCTGAGAAGTCCAAGGTCTAGGGGCTGCCTCTGGTGAGGGCCTTCTTGCTGGTGGGGACTCTCTGCAGAGTCTTGAGGTGGTGCAGGGCATCACACTGCAAGGGGGCTGAGTGTGTTAGCTCAGCTGTCTCCTTCTCTCCTTATAAAACCACCAGTCCCACTCTCGTGATAACCCATTAATTGTTAATATATGAATGGATTAATTCATTCATGAAGGCAGAGCCCTCATGACCCAATCACCTCCTCAAGGCTCCACTCAATACTATCACACTGGGGATATTTCAGCAGGAGTTTTGGAGAGGACAAATATTCATATCATTGCAAAGATTAGTGCAAAACTTGGCTTTAATGGAATTCAGCATAGGCAACCCCCAGGCCAGCCCTGGGGCCATGGACAGAGGCTTCCAGCTGGTCCACAGAGATCAGCAGTGTTGTGATCCAGGTCTTCTATTTTAAGGGACATATATAAGACAGATGCAACCTGCTAGCTATGGAGACACAGAATTCAAGCCGGGCATGATGGCTTATGCCTGTAATCCCAGCACTTTGGGAGGCCGAGGCAGGCAGATCACGAGGTCAAGAGATCAAGACCATCCTGGCCAACATGGTGAAACCCCATCTCTACTAAAAATACAAAAATTAGCTGGGTAGCGGCGCGCGCCTGTAGTCCCAGCTACAGGAGGCTGAGGCAGGAGAATCGCTTGAACCCAGGAGGCAGAGGTTGCAGTGAGCTGAGATCGTGCCACTGAGATAGTGCCACTGCACTCCAGCCTGGAGACAGATCAAGACTGTCTCAAAAAAAAAAAAATGAAAGAAAGAAAGAAAGAAAAAAGAAAGAAAGAAAGAAAGAAAGAAAGAAAGAAAGAAAGAAAGAAAGAAAGAAAGAAAGAAAGAAAGAAAAAGAAAGAAAGAAAAGAAACACAGATTTCAGCAAAAATGTGTGGGTTCAACTAGATAGACAGGGGATAGGAGAATCAGTTCTGGCTTCATTCAGGGCTGAAATTAAGTTGCCAGTTCTGACTCCCTTATCAAGTCCCTCATTGTCACAATATGCTTGGAGTTGCCTCCACCTCTGCAGGGCCTGGTTCACTTCTCATAGGAAGGGCACGTGTTCAGAAGCCCAGACACAAATATCACTGGTCCCATTGAGTCAAGCAACCATGACATGGAAGTAATCGCTCTGCCTTGGAGAGAATAGACCAGGTGACTGGCTGCAGCCTGTGCTTCATCTATGGGGTGGGGTCAGGCTGAGGGAGAAGGACAAATCCATTGAAACCACATGGACAAACTGAGAGCAAAAGATGGGGAGTTCTTCAAGGGAAACTAAGATGGGCTTGCTAACAGACAAGAAAATGCAGCCCAGGTATCCCAAAACCCCAATGTCCCTGAAGGCACAAGGAAACTCTCATCCTCTCTCTCAAGCACAAATATGAAAACGTTTTTTCTTTAGAAGGCCAGAGGGTAGGCCGGGTGAGGTGACTCACACCTGTAATCCCAGCACTTTGGGAGGCCTAGGCGGGCAGATCACTTGAGGTCAGGAGTTCCAGACCAGCCTGGTGAAAATGGTGAAACCCCATCTCTACTAAAAATACAAAAATTAGCAGGCATGGTAGCATGTGCCTGTAGTCCCAGCTACTCAGGAGGCTGAGGCACAAGAATTGTTTGAACCCAGGAAGTGGAGGTTGCAATGAGTGGAGTTCACACCACCACACTCCAGCCTGGGTGACAGTGATACTCTGTCTCAAAAAAAAAAAGAAGACCAAAGAGTAAACATTAGAGGCTTTGCGGGCCATAAGGTCTCTGTTGCAACTGCTCGAGTCTGACATTACAGTGTAAAATCAGCCAGACAACATGTAAACAAATGAGTGTGGCTGTCTTTCAACAAAACCTTATTTTAGGGACACTGAAATTTGAATTATATATCATTTTCACCTGTTAGAAAATACTACTGTTTTTTCAACCATTTAAAAATGTATTAGGTTGGTGAAAAAGTAATTGCAGTTTTTGCACGGAAAGTAAAAGATTGGCAATTACTTTTGCACCATCCTAATAGAAAACATCCTTAGCACACAGGCCACACAGGCAGGCTGGGTTTGGCTCACAGGCAGTGATTTGCTGATCCTTGTTCCTGAACAAGGATTCTCAGGAGGTGGGAGGCAAGGATTAGGGCTTCTCTCACTGTCAAAAGGGCACACAGTCCAAGCGGAATTGTGCATCTAGGGAACACGGATAAGAAAGAGCTTGAAGGGCCGAGTGTGGTGGCTCACAGCTGTAATCCCAGCACTTTGGGAGGCCAAGGCGGGGGGTCACTTGAGGTCAGGAGTTTGAGACCAGCCTGGCCAACATGATGAAATTCCATCTCTACTGAAAATAGTAAAATTAGCCAGGCAAGGTGATGCACGCCTATAATCCCAGCTACTCGGGAGGCTGAGGCAGGAGAATCACTGGAACCAGGGAGGTGGAGGTTGCAGTGACCTGAGATCATGCCACTGCACTCCAGCCTGGGCAACAGAGCAAGACTTCATCTCAAAATAATAATAATAATAACAATAATAATAATAATAATAATAATAAATTTTTAAAAGGCTTGAAGAGATCATCGGAACAAATTGAAATTCTTAGTTTGGTTAGCAATTTACCTATGTCCTCTTCTGTACTAATTTACAGAGAGAAGTCTATTAATCATTCTGGATGCAGAAAGGAAACCGCATTCTCAGCATAAACATAAATTATCAGCCTAAAACTCAAATTCCTTCAGAGGGATGAGGCACATTGAAAGTTTCAAATAGCTCAAATAGAACAAATGGATAAGAAGAGATAATGCATCTTTTGAAATACAAACCTGAAAAGATGTTATGCTCAATTACACTGACAAAAGATTTGGGATCCAGCAATATCCTCTGTGGAATTCTGCAGCTAAACAGGAATGCTAAATCACAAACTCCAACTTAAGCAAGAATAATATAGCCTAAGCCACATTACACGCGCATCCGTTGGGAGGTTGAATCTGCTCTGATGTTTACAAAGTGCCTCTCTTCGTCCCTATAAGAAAGTGGGCTTGCCTGCTAAGACCCATGCATCACCAAGCAGCCAGGCTTCCAAATTGCCCATCTGGGTGTCTTGGAAAGAAAGCAAGGTTAACAGAGGTCAAGAGAGTTCATGATGAGGCCTGGGGTGTGAAGGGGCGGGATCTGGACCCTTTGGAGGGAGGAGCCTCCATTCTAAGAAGCCAATGACAGGGAAAGAAGACACGGGGGAAGATGAAGACAAAAGGGAGTTTGAGTGTGGTTGGGGGTCCACAGTGCCACTTAGGCACAGGCAAGGAGAACCATGACACTGAACTCAGGCCACTCCAGCCCCAGCATGGCCCCAGCTCCTCGAGCTGGTACAGATTGTCCCATCCCTTGGAAGTCTCTAGTTGGCCTTCCTCAGCCAGTCTCGACTTCCCAAAGGGGAAGGCTTTGTCTCATCTGCTTCATTGCATCCCACAGCACAGCTGGCACACAGTAGCTACCCAGGAGGTGATGTCCTAAGAAGGGCATGTGTGTTGGGACATCAGAGGAACAGAAAAGAGATGCCAGGACCTGCAAAACAAGAGCTACCACTGTCACATTTTCCAGAAGGCAGGCTGAGATTCTACATGAATTACCAGTTAGTGTCACAACACGTGTTGAAGGGCTGACTCTTGGAGTTTGTACCCTGGGTGTCCTGGGAGGGAGACAGATGGGTTAAAAGAAAAGAAGAGAAAAAAGAGATTCTGAAGAAATGGAGGGGTGGTTCTTCTCTGTGCAGCTTCAAAGCGCAAATCCAGGCCCTACAGATGTGTGCTGGAGGAAGATGGTTTGAGCTGCACATACGGTAAGGAGTAACAAGCTCGGCAATGCCAGCAGCTGCCTTATGGAGGATGGAGCTTCCCGCCACTGGAGCTGGTTGTGCAGTGGTAGGAAAATCAGCCCCAAGAGTGAGTGCAACCTGCAAGTAGGTAAAAGTAAGGACGTAAGTTGTGTGACCACATCTTGTGATTTCTGGTGTGTCCAGCTCACCATAAGACCTGAACTGAGAAACAGACCCAGGAGGTAGAGAGAGCTGTGTTTAGTAGTTACGGCTGCTTACGCTGGACTGGAGGACATAGCTTGACCACCTACCAATATTGGGCTTCCCAATTCTCCCCCAGCTCCATGCCTAGAGTGCGGTCCCTCATGTCAGGAATCTGGGTGTCCAGGGCAGATGTCTACACAGCCAGGGGCAGAGCATGGTGTGCTGTCTGATACTCCATGGAGCACAGATCTAGGAACTCCAGATGTGGGTCCCCCCTGCTTCAGGAGGCAGGCTGGGCCATGCCTGGTGTGCCTTCACGAGGCTGCAGGAGAGGAGAGGTATCCAGGCTTCAGGGGAGTCCCTCCCCACCCCATAAGAGAGACTAAGTAACGTGGTCAAAGAAAGGATGGAAGCCACCTTCCCCACACCGAGCACTAGAGTCTCCCAGAAAAGGAAGGGACATTTACCCTCCTTGCAACAAGAGCTTTGCAGGGATGAATGGAATCCAGACCCATTCCTCAAGGGAGGCCATGGTCCTTGAAGTTTCCCTAGAAGGCACCGAGGACGCATGACAAGCAGCTCTTTAGCCATCTGCTGGGGAAATACCAGAGTAAATTAAAACAAGAGTGGATTTGTGACTTCTGTCTTTTCCAAAAAGATAGTGTTGGCAGGTTTATGAGAAAACCATTCCCAAACACCTTGAATTTATATGGCACGCTTATTTCAAAAGCTCTTCCACATCTGTTAGCTCTTTGAAGCCCCTGGAGGCAGGTAGGGCAGGAAGGAGAACTGGGTGGAGGAACAGAATCACAGAGGGGCTGGGCACCTTGCCAAAGAACTCTCGGCTCCCTGGGGAGAGGTGGGGGTGGCACCCTGCACCCTGACCCCTCATACATGTTCAGGGGCTGCTCCTTCTTGCCTGGAGAGCTCTGGCCAAGGGCATTATGTAATAAGGCTGGAAGCAAAGCGACCACTTCAGAGCAGGGCAGTCAAGTACAAGGAGGGCCCGGGAGCACCCCTTTCTCATACACAAACACAGCCCTGCACCCATGTGCCCTGCAAATTAGCCAAGGTTTACAGGTAAAGGAATAATGGCTCCTCAAACAGAAACAAACAGAGGCTGATTGACAAGGAGGCCCCTCATAATCAGTGCTACAGTAAACTCTACTAATTATGGTGTCAATTGGTAACATTATAAAGGTTGAAGCTACATAATGAAAAAAGAGCGTACACACAGGCAGAGTGAGTTCAGCAGATGTAATTACAGGGTGACATTATTGGCAAATAGTATTTTATGAGGTATTAGCAGGAATGTGGCATGAACACATTCCAAAACTTAACAGGCTCCTCAGAAGTGTAGGAACCCAGAACTGGCCAGAGACCCAGCCCCCAAAACTGTAGTTTGTCCAGCTGAGCATTTTAGGGGAGCCCCTGAGGTCTTCTTGCCATCTTCAAAAGGAGAAGACGCTTACAGGTGAATCCCTATCCTACCCTTGACATCTAATTCCTTACATGCTACATCATCTCCCTGTTCCTTGATGGTCCTGAGCTCTTTCATCCTCATATCATAAGATCTTGGACTATTCAAGCCAGAGGGCACCATAGATGTCATTTACCTTGACAGTTACTCTACGGTGAGCATGGGGGAGGAACAGAAGCCTACCTGTTCATTCTAACAATATTTACTGGTGCCCAATAGTATTCATGGAATTCTGTGCCAGGCTCCTGTTCTAGATATGCAGGCTATGGCCCTTGCTGTCATGGTGTTCACATTCTGTGGGAGATTGAAGAAAAACACACAAGATGCTATCAGGTGCTATGAGGAAAACTGAATAGAGTGATGTGATACAGGTGGCTAGAAGAGGATGGGCAGATTGAATGGGAGGTCCAGGAGACTGCTTTCTGAGCTGAGACCTACAGGAGGAGAGGAAACATGCCTTTTGAAGGACACCCAGCTCCCAAGCAGCAGAGCAAGGGCAGAACACAGGTGTCCTCACATGCAGCCCAGGGTCTTTCTATTGCATCAAGCATCCCCAACCACTACTTGAGCCGGAAGAGAAGAGACATTACCAACTCTAAGGATATGGGGGCGGCCATTGCATTGCGAAGGCTAAAGGAACATTAAAGATCAGGTGGTTCAAAATCCCTAATATGCAAAAGAATCACCTGTGTTATGTGTCATGAAGGAGCTGCCTCCAAGGTCTGGTTGTCTGTTTCTATATAGCATACCATCACAAGCTTATATCACCTTTCCCATTTCTATGAAGTGCTAGACAGTTCTCGTTCATGGTCGCCTGTGTGGACTACAGTCAGATGGTGGCTGGGGCTGGAGCCATCCCAGGTTTCTTCACGCATGTGACTTGTGTCTGGGCTGGAATGACTGGAGGAGCTAGGAACTGGTCAGGCTTCTTTGCCTATGGCCTCTTCCTTCACAACTAGGTTGGGCTTCCTCACATCATGGCAGTCTCAGACCATGAAAACTTGAAAACTTCATTCATGGAGGCTGCCTCCACCCAGAAAAGCATCATGAAAAGCCCAGGCAAAAGCCACAGGGTTTCCCAGGACTTAGCAATGGAAGGCTCAGGACATTCTTTCTTATTTTTTATAAGTTTATTTATTTTTTAAATTGACACACAACATTTTTACATAGTTATTGCATACAATATATTGCTTTAAAATATGCATATATTGTGATATGGCTAAATCAAGCTAGTTAACTTATGCATCACCTCACATAGTCATTATTTTTTTGTCTTGAGAACACTTCAAATCTACTGTCTTAGAAATTCTCAGGAATACAATACGTTGTTATTAACAATATCCAGTAAATCTCTTGAACTTACTCATCTTATCTAATTGAAATTTTATACTCTTTAACCAATATCACCTCAGTTCTTCCCCTGCACAATCCCTTGGCAAGCACCAACCTACTCTCTGCCTCTGAGTTTGACTTTTCTAGATTCCACATAGAAGGGAGATCATGAAGTATCTGTCTTTCTGTGCTTGGCTCGTTTCACTTAACATAATCTCCTCCAGGTTCATCCATGTTGTTACAAATGGCAGGATGACAGGACTTCCTTCTTTTTTAAGGCTGAGTAATATTCCATTGTATATATGTTCCACATTTTTTAAATCCATTCATTTATTGATGGACACTTAGGTTGATCCCCTCTCTTGTCTATTGTGAATATTCCTATAATGAACATGGGAATGCAGACACCTCTTCAGCATATTTATTTCATCTCCTTTAGCTAGATATTCAGTAGTTGGGTTGCCAGATCATTTAGTAGGCCTATTTTTAATTTTTTGAGGAACATTCACACTGTTTTCCATAATGGCTGTACAATTTACATTCCTACCAACAGTGTACAAAGATTTCCTTTATTCCACATCTCCAACATAGTTATTGTTTGTCTTTTTGATAATAGCCATCCTAACAGGTATGAGGTGATATCTCTTCATGGTTTCAATTTGCATTTCTTTGATGATTAGTGATTTTTGAGCATTTTTTAATATGCTTATTGGCTGTTTATATGTCTTCTTCTGAGAAATGTCAATTCAGGTTCTTTGCCTATTTTTTAATCGGATTATTTGTTTTATACTATCGAGTTGTTTGGGTTTTTCATATATTTTGGATATTAACCCAGCATCAGTTGTATGGCTTGCAAATATATTGTCCAATTCTGTAGGTAGTTTCTTCATTCTATTGATTGTTTCCTTGGCCGTGCAGAAACTTTTTAGTTTGATGTAATCCCATTTGTGTATTTTTGGTTTTGTTGTCCAGAATATCCTTTCTGCCACAATGTATTGATCCAGCAAATAAGTAAGCCCATCCTAGATTCAGAAGAAGGGAAATTAGACTCCACCATTGAGTGGGAAGAGTAGCAAACAATTTGCAGCCATCTTTAATCTACCACACTCCTCTAGTGTAGAAACATTGCCTCTACCAAAGGCCTGCTTAGTCTCTTGACAACCTAATAAACATATGCCATTCACATTCAGATTGTCTTTCTTTTCCTCAAAACAATCAAAGAATTAGCCCATGTTTATTGGGGGCTTATCGTGTAAAAATACTTCATGCTTTGTCCACCATATACCATATACCATACACAACACACAGTGTGCCGAGCCTTCCCTCTAGGAGTGTGCATTCAAGATAAGGTGTCACATTATTCCATTCGTAATAGCTTAATTAACTGTTAGAGTGAGATTTGACATGCAGCCTCGGTACATAAAACAGGCCAAGGTAGGACAATTTGGGCTACAGTGGGAGCTCCAGAACGCCTCTGCTGAATCCCAGCTCAGAGTCACAGTGTGCATGACATCACAGTGGATGAAGAAAGAAAATAAAGGGCAATGAAATATTTCTTCTCCCTAGAAGCAGCTTTCTTGATAAAAATATATGAACCTTGGCTGGGTGTGGTGGCTCACACCTGTAATCCCAGCATTTTGGGAGGTTGAGGTGGGTGGGTCACTTAAGGTTAGGAGTTGAGAACAGCCTGGCCAACATGGTGAAAGCCCATTTCTACTTAAAATACAAAAAATTAACCAGGCATGGTGGTGCACACCTGTAGTCCCAGCTACTTGGGAGGCTGAAGCAAGAGAATCGCTTGAACCCCAGAAGGTGGAGGCTGCAGTGAGCTGAGATCGCATTACTGGACTCCAGCCTGGGTGACAGAGTGAGGCTCCATCTCAAAAAGCAAACAAACAAAACAAACAAACAAAATATATATACATGAATCTGGCCCTATGGGAGAGCTAGTAGAGTAATAAGACTTTTTAGCATATTAATGAGTTTTTTATTAAAAATCTATGTCAATCTGACTTAGGCAAAAAAAAAAAAAAAAAAAAAAAAAGTCCTAGGGGTTAGCTTGTTTCAGGTAGGGCTGAATCCAGGGGCTCACAAGATATCCTATGCTATCACAAGATATTAGTATAGGATATCACAAGATATCCTATACTAATTAACATGTAATATACTAATTAATACAGGATTGAGTCTCCTCAGCTTTCACTTGTGCTGGCTTCACTCCCAGGGGCACTTTCTCTATGTCCTTGCAGGGACAGGATGGCCAACAGCAGTTCCAGGCTTACTTCTGCTGTTGTGCTCTTTCTCTAGATCATTTCCACCAAATTTCGCTCTAGTTGGCCTTACTTGAGCGCAATGCTCAGACCACATAATCAGAGTGGTCAGCAGATGTTCTACCCTGACTGGATGTCCGGGTAGTCAAATGTACCCTGGAGCCCCAGGTGAGCTGGTGAGGTCACTTGTATTGAGAATGAAGGGCAACTGGCTCCCCAAATGGACTAGGTTCTCTTGCAAAAACAAACAAAAAGGTAGCCTGGAAGCTGGGGAGGCAAAAACACTCACACAGAAAGGAAAGTACAGCAAAGAATTGAGAGACAGGAGGACAAGAGACCAGGTCTGGAAGCGGGGGGCAATGCCTGGTTTCTTCCCACAAGGTAACAGGCGTGCCCAGCTGTCTAGGTCTTGACTGCCAATCAATGAACTTCTCTTAAAAGTGGTACTGGGGCCGAGCACAGTGGCTCATGCCTGTAATTCCAGTACTTTGGGAGGCCAAGATGGGCGGATCACTTGAGCTCAGGAATTCGAGACCAGCCTAGCCAACATGATGAAACCCCATCCTTACAAAAAATACAAAAAAAAAAAAAAAGCCTGGTGTGGTGGCATGCACCTGTAGTCTCAGCTACTTGGGAGGCTGAGGTGGGAGGATCACTTTAGCCCAGGAGGCAGAGGTTGCAGTGAGCTGAGATCAAGTCACCACACTTCAGCCTAAGCTACAAAGTGAGACCCTGTCTCACCGAAAAAAAAAAGGGGAGTCCCTGCATCCCTGGGAGGAGGCTCAAAGTCAGAGGTTAGCCCTTGTCCTGTACCCCGTCACCAGCTCTGCCTTCGGCGCTGGGCCTATCACCGGTTCTCCAGCACCAAGATGTCCTCTGAGCTTGGAGAGCACCCAGACATGTCCCAAAGAGCTTTTCAGTGGGTGCTTTGGCTTGAAAGAAAGCCAGGGAAAGAGAAACACAACTGCCACGTGGCATTCTGAAACATTGCCATTAAGTTTAATGCCTTCCTAACAAAGAATACCACATTTATTATCACAAATAAATCCACAGATTTAACACCCATCAGGCTTTAGATTTTATTTTTCCATATAAAATAAATATGGCCAGAGTATAAGATTATGATGGCACCATTATTTTCTAAAACTATTTAATTTAAGCACAGCCCAACTGCCCCATGCTGGACACAGGAAGGGACCACCCCACTCCTGGAAGAACACTGGTCCCACTGACTGCAAAAGCCAACAAGGTAGGTTTCCCCATGCAACTGCTGGGTTTCATCACTGTTTAATGAATTGTTGCACTCTTTATAGGATAAACAATAAATTGCACATGATTTATCATATTACTCAATAAATCATGGGACAAATCATTAGGCAGAGTGATAAAATCAAGTGTTTTAGAAATAAGTTAATCTATGATGCCAATGTGTAAACTAAACAGTTGCTTAAAAACCCTATTTACTAATCATTTTTACATAAAGAAAGATTAATGATTATGTAGATTAAATGTGTATTTACTCCTATAAACATCAGACAGCCATGTGCCCCGCTGGCCTTTTCTTTTTAGCAAAGGCCCCCCAGAAGCATTCCTCTCGTAACAAAATTTCATTTGGAATTTGGCACGATGGGGAAGGGAGGGTGGAGAAGCCTGGGAAGGAGGAAGAAGTGGTTAATGAGAAGCATGTCAGCGGAGGGGTCTGGTGCAGAGGCTGTTCTCACCGTAAATTTTGAACTACACTAATTAACACTTACATTAGGGCTTGGAGACAGGTTCCAATGCTGCTTGCTTCTCCCATCTGCCCGTGACCTAGCGCTCTATCTCACTTGTGACAACTATGTTTATAGCTTCTCTGCCCATCGAGCTGGCTGGCACTTCGAATTACCCTCAAGAGTCCATGGGCATCACGTCACATTTGCGTGCCCAATATCATACGTGACGAGTCGTGCCACCGCCAGGGCCTTTAATGCACATCCCACAGACGGCCAGCCCCTGGAATGCATAGGCAGATATTAAGCTAAATCTTTTTGGAGTCAAGCTTGTTTCACGTCAGTTACACAAACATATTGGTTCCCTTAAAAGAACAAATGCTTTGTGAGTAAGGAAACGACTCCAGGATGGAAACTTGAGAAATCGTTCTCAGTGTCAATTCAGCCCTTCCTTCTGAAGGCCTTTTATCTTAGGGGGATGAGGGCAGAGACTGTTTGGCTTCTAGAATATGAGTTTTGGACTAAATTTATTATAAACTGGATATTATTAAGCAATGTCAAGGGAGAGGAAGGGTGTGCCCCAGCTAGTGTAGCAGGGAAGATGATCAGAATATCAGAGAAGGTGTTTTTCTCTCTTGCCACTAAAATATTTTCATTTTGAAAATGCCTAATTGCATATGATTCCTCTGACTTTGAATTCCTCTAGCACAACAAATCGGACTCTGGAGCTGATCCAAACAATGCACAGGGAAGTAAAGGCACTTCGATGTGTTCTTACACATTCTCTTTTGCATGAAGTCATGCTAGATTGCTTGAGAAAGTGCTAATCACCAAGGTTTGGGAACTCCCATTCTTGGTGCCCAGCAAAACAGTTGTTGAGAGGTTGAGTAAAGGATGGGAGAAGAGAGAGACTCCAAGGACTGCACTGTGTTATCATTTTTCTGACAAGCTCTAAAAAATGAAATGGATAAATTTTACTGACAACTTCAGCTTCAATGAACTACCTGGAAAATATTGCCTCCAAGGCAGAAATCCAAGACATGAGCTTTTACACGTGGTCCTTAGCCCTTCCCAAGAGGCAGAACATGAGGGGTTATGGGAGGAACACAACAGGAGTTCCAGCTCCTTGTACATGGCCTTCCCCTGAGAAGCCACTAGCTGCAGAGTGGAGTACAGCTCTCAGACATGGAGAAACTGAACCCAACTACCAAGATAAAACAAGAAAAAGGTGCAAAGCAGGTAGTATTTCTAATGCCCAGAAAAGAATACACCAAGTGACAGCCACACTGCGTCCTCTTTTCCCTTCTCCTTATCCAACCCACCTCAAAATCTACCCTGAGTCACATTTCAAATACCACCTGTATCAGTCAAGGGGAGGTTGAGTTTTTCTTCAGTAACATAAAAGATCAAAATCTCAGTAGCTTAAAGTGAAATTTTATTTCTTGCAGCTGCAGCGTCACCATGGGCCCAGGGAACTGGCTAGGACAATTGTCCTCCCTGTGGTAGCCTAGCAATTGGTTTAATGTTAACTTCATAGCATTATGGAATTTCCTAGCAACTGAAGAAAAGAGCATTCAGAAGCAGGTGCTTCAATGCTTTCACCAGAACGGACGCACCATTTTATTTGCCAGAATGAACCATGTGGCCAAGCCTAACTTCAACAATGGGAAATATAACTCTCCATTAACCAGAAGTAGAGAAGAACCAGATCTTGAGAAATATTCATCAGACTGATCACACAGCCCACTTCCCAGAACCCCTTTCTCTGCAGCCACATCATTCCCTGCAAAATCTGAAAAGCAAAGCTTTTTATTTGTAGGGCTCATTTCCCAATATCTTGCTGTTACAATGGGGACCGCTTTCATCCTTAAAACAGTGGTTTATATTTCTGTCAGGGACAGTGAGAAGCAAATGTGTGTAGTGCATTTTGCAAAGAAGCAATACAGTGGCCAAGAATGTGAATTCTGGAGCCAGACTGCCTACCCTTGAACCCCAGCTCTGCCACTTACTGCCTCTGTGATCTTGGGCAAGTTATTCACTTCTCTACACCTCAGTTTGCTAATCTGCTACATGGGACTAGTGATGGTGCCTAACTAATAGGATTATTGCGAGGATTAATTATGCTAATACTCACTACAGTCTTATAAAGATGCCTGGCACTGAGTGAGGGCTATATACGCGTTTTCTGTGACTATAATGCTTCACTGTCAAGAAAGAGCACTCTAAAAAGTGCTCCACTGGCCTGATTGGTCATTATAACTAATCTGAGAGACCATCTCACTCCCTGCGTCCTTCATCCTCTCCCCCATCCCAGACAGAGGCCAGAAGGATGTTGTGCTTAAAGGCTGAGGAAGTCCTTTGGAAATGAAATTTGGGTGAGCGGTGGTGGTAGTGGATTATTTGCTCTGCAAGTGAAAATGGGAGGATTTTGAAAGAATGTGGCAGAAACAGTCATGCCTGCCAAAGAGTCCATATGTCCCCTACATTCCCTAGCCTTCTTGTAGTTAAAGGGGCCTTATGGCTAGCCATAGCCAGTGAGCTAGGGGCAGAAGTAACATAGCCACATTCTGGGCACAAGATCTGCTTGCTAATGCAAGGTCCTCCAGAATTCTGCTGTCCCATCACAATCACTGTTATGTCATCACATTGTGAAGGCAACACCTGGATTGCTGTATTACACTGGAGGATGCTCGTGGAATTGCATGTGTGAAAACTTTTGCTGAGTTAACCCTGGATATTTTACAGTGGTTCGCTGTGATGGCATATCCTAGCCTAAACTGACTAATACAAGGGGTTTGGCTCCTAAAAGTAACAGCAAAGAACAGAGAAGATGGTCAAGCTACAGTTTGGAGTGTCTGAACATTTCTTAAGACCAAGAGTAGTTCGTGACAATCTTAAGGCATTTTGCATTGCTACGGTGTATATGCCTTCTATCTCTCCTTTTCTGTTTTTGTTTTACTGTGTTTATTGTTTATTTTGTAAGTGTTTGCACAGGTAGAGCAACTAAAGAAAAAGACTGCGCTCTATATTTAGGCTGACACCAGGACAACGATAAAGAAAGAGCTACAAGTCAAAGCCTGAGCTTTGCAGCAGAAAGTTAGAGCTAGACATAATTAAGATAACATCACAATACACCCTCTCTAGATATCTTAGAGGGGACCTTAAACTTTCCACAGGATATACAGCAAAAGATTAGTCAGTCTGATTCTTTCTTAAGAGGTAGGCTGAACTTAGCTCACAAAAGCCTAAGTTAGGATGAACAGTAATTAATATCATCTCACATATTCAGATGACAAGGAAACAAAAAGGATTCAGAGAGACTGAGTAACTTTCTGAAAATCACCCAGAAAGAAATGTAGTGAATCCAGGACTAGAACTCAGATGTTTTACTCCTAAGGTAATATTTATATGTAGGCCAATCTCCATAGAGTCAAATTTGTCAGTAATCCCCATGTTGCTAAATCCAGCGGTCAATTCTCAGGCCTTGGTTGTGGACATACCTGCAGCATTTGATGCAATTGACTATTTTCTCTTCTCTGGAGAACTCCTTTCAATTGGCTTTCAGAGCACAACACTCTTGGGTATCCTCCTGCAACACTGGCTGCAACATTTTAGTCTCTTTTGCTTAATTTCTTTCTTGTTTTCTCAACCACCATGTTGAGGGTGCTTCAGAGTTCAGTTTTTGTTTTATGTTGGTGGTGGGGAGAAGGTCTCACTCTGTTGCCCAGGCTGGAGTGCAGTGGCACCATCATGGCTCACTGCAGCCTCGAACTGCTGGGCTCAACTCAAGCGCTCCTCCTACCTCCCAGCTTCCTGAGTAGCTGGGACTACAGGTGTGTGCCACCACGCCCAGTTAATTTTTGTATTTTTTGTAGAGATAGACAGGATTTTGCCATGTTGCCCATGCTGGTCTCGAACTCCTGGGCTCAAGAGATTTGTCTGCCTTGGTCTCCCAAAGTGCTAGGATTATTGACATGAGCCACCATGCCGGGCCCAGAGTTCAGTTTTTAGATGTATGTTCTAGATATTCATCTTCTTGATAACTTTGTCTAGTTTCATAGTTTTAAATGCCATCTGTATACTGATAAACCTAACAAATGTATAACTCTCGGCCTCTCCCTTGAACTTCAGAATTGCATCTCCAGCTGCTACCTGGCACGGCTACTTAGTTGCCTAATGGGCATCTCACAGATTTAACATGTCCAACGCTGGGCATCCAATCTTCCTCTCTTCTCCAACCTACTCCTGCACAGTTTTCTACATTTCAACCAACTGCAGTTCCAACCTTCCCATTGCTGAGCCCAAAACCCTGGAGTCCTCCCCAATGATTTTGTTTCTCTTTCATTCTGTATCCAGCCCATGAGCAAATCCTCTTGGTTCTTGGGGGGTTTTAAACAGTACAACAGCTGCCATCGTGGTCCAAGCCATCACCTTGACTCGCCTGCACTCTTGTGTTCGCCTCTTGGTTGGTCTCCTTGAGTCGCCTTTTTCAAGCCTTTGCTGAAACATCACCTTCAATATGAAGCTTTCCTTGGCCACCAAATTTAAAACTGATCAACTCCCCTTTCTGTGACACTCCTAAGACGCTTTCCCCCGGCACCCAGAAGCTTCTCTCATGTTACATAATTTTCTTATTTATTTTATCTAGACTTCATCTCCCTCCTACCAGAAAGTGAGCTCCAGAGGAGCTGGGAGAATTTGTTGTGTCCTAGGGTGTAGAATCACGCATGGCACAATAACTTTTGTTCAACGAGTGAATATTGAGGACTCATGTGCTCCGCAGCCTGACCTGCCACCCTCTGCCCTCTCCTTCTAGTCATGATCTGGCTGTTGAATTCCTTCTCACCCTAGTTTTTCTCTCCACCCAGGTGCTTCAAGCTGGTGTCTTGAAGGACAGGCTTTGTCACTTCTCTGCCAGCTCCCCCACATCCTACTTCTTAAACATCCTTCCTGGCTTCTGCAGCAGCAGATCATAGAATCGTCTCTGCCCGTTCATCAGCCTCAAGGCCCTGATATACTTTTCCATTCACTAAGTTTATGCTCTGCTTGGTTGGAACTGGGATTGGAAATTTTATGGTCCAGGAATCCCTTTTCCTTTGCTGTGACATTTTTTTCCCGACTGCTCCAACCCATATTGAACTGATTTCCCCCATACCTAAATTATTTTAGGGCATGGATAATAACAATAAGCATTACATACATTTCTCCCTGAATGTTTGTAACAATATTAGAGAGATATTATTATTATTATTTTATCAACAAGAAAACTGAGGCCCAGAGAAGTTAACTAGTTAGCCAAGTTACTGTGAGATAATAGAGTAAAAATTCTAATGCAGGTTGGTCTAAATTCAAACCTTGTGCCCTTGGCCCTTTCATACTTACGGTCAGAACCAAAGTTAAATTCTTAGTCACTTCTAATTATTTCCTGGAAGTGGGATTCAAGTTCCCTGGGGGCTCATATATAGGAATGGTCATACCCCTAATCTGTCTGTGACCTCTTTGGAGCCTGGTTTAGAGGAGTCTTTCTGGCAGATTCATCAGGTTCGGTGGCCTTTGGTGGGAAAGGAAGAAAATGGGACAACTTTATGAATCATTATACAAGAAAGAACATCCCAATAGAAAACTGCCCTGCACGGAAACTAGAAAACCCTACTCCCTTTCCCTCCTGCTTCACTACTGCATCTTGGTGAAAACCACAATGGCACATGCATGCTTATTACGATGGGAAAGAAAGAGATAGATAGGTGTGTTTTTATATTTTCCAACCAAATGATTTTTCTGCTCCTTAAGTGATATTTTCAGAGACTATTGTTACTGAGGAAGCAGCCTCCTATAAATCTGGAAGCAGCTAATATAAATCTAACCATCCGCCTACCTATGTATTCAGTCCCAGGGAAGATACGAAGTCTCTTCCTTGTAGGGATTACGAAGAAGCAGGTACAAGTGACAAATCAAAGAGCAAGGTAAGTGACTATATTCATGCACTGTGCTTCTAGTTTGTAAGGCATGTTCTCATACATTTTATGGGCACTGTACTAATGAAGAGCTTTGAACAAGTTCATAGACTAAGTACGTAGATGATTCAGGGTTCAAACCCAGTTTTCAGACTCCAAGTCCAATGCTGTTGGCACCAATACACACTGGAAGGTTCCATCCTGATGCTCACATAAGTAATACACTCAGACAATAGATGAGATCTGCTCTTATCTCCTTATTAATTACCTTGTGAAGGTCAAAACTTAACTACTAGCTTCTTTGTGCTGTTATTTAGACTCCCCGGGGACTGCCA
Organism: Homo sapiens; assembly: GCF_000001405.40. Lineage (NCBI taxonomy): Eukaryota > Metazoa > Chordata > Mammalia > Primates > Hominidae > Homo > Homo sapiens. Next base: position 31,713,499 of record NC_000019.10, read on the forward strand.
CCTTGCCTTGAGTCTCCAACATGGCTGGCATCCCTGGACGGTAGAAATTACATCTTGCACATCATTTATTTCCAAAGGATGTCCAGCAATGCTCTGGAGGCACAGCAATGCTCAGAGGCCAGCAACAATCTCCCTTGGCCATGCAATATTCCCCAGCTGTTCTCATCCACATAGAACTGGCTCATCTTCAAATCAGGTATGCAGTAGGTGCTCAAAAAACACATGATAGTTGAGAAAATATGGAGCAAATGCAATCGTGGGCTGCAGGATACCTATACCCACCCCCTTGACAATATCATTCCTCCTCTTGAATTTGGGACGTGGGTCAGTCCTGGGAACAAGAGATGGCTTGAGCATGTTTGGATCCATGTCTTCCAGCAGCCATGGGAATCAACTGCAGACCCTTTGAACATGACATGCCACTCAATTTTTTTGGTGTGATGGAAAATCCCACACCCCCATAATGGCCCTGTCTCCAACCCTTCCACCCTCAGGTTGTCTCTCAATCCTTGATGTCAACTGCCAACCTCTCAGACCAAGGCTTGGGACTTTGCCATATGGGATGCCTTTGATTACAGTGGGGGTCACTATGAACAAGGATTGCAGAGTTGTTCAGAGGAGATTAAAAACCTGCCCCATCAGGCAGCCAGTGCATGCCCAAGCCAAGAAGAAAGCTAAGAATCTCCACTCCCACTTTATGATCTAACCACTAGACTGAGCTCCTGTTACTTGACAAAAATGATTTGCTTTTAATTAAAATAGGAGCATAAGCTATTTTTATCCCTATATTATTGGGCGGTAAGTAAATTCACAGTAACTCACTGGATTTTTTAAAATCTATTTTAAATATAAACACACTGCCATATTTTCTGTGGGTTTGAAAGCTTATGTTAAGTTTGCAAATAAGTCAACTCCATAAAGATAACATCTTTCCCTAAAAAATGTGTTGCAATCTAATGGCATGCTATGGAAAATTAACATCTTATTAAGAAAATACATGAATTCTCCCTCCGTTGAAAAGGTCCAAATAGCGCTGAGTTTCTTACCTGCCCGTGAGACAAGATGGACTGATGGGGTGGCCTCCAAGCCTCCAAACCCAGGCACCCCCCACCCCAGGAGTGTCCTCTGCCACCCTCACGGGACTCACATGTAACAAAAAGCTGTGATTTTATTTTGGGTCATGCTGAACTCTGTTTTTGAACTTATCCTGTTACATGTCTGACAGGTCCTGTATTCACGGAGGGACCTGCATTACTCTGGTTCACCCTGAAAAGATGCCATCTCAGACAGGCTGCATGGGAAGGTGCAGTGATCTCCCAGCCCAGCTGCCTGTCTGAACACCAGGGATCCAGGTGAATCCCCATAAGGATAAGGACATTAATAGCCAGATCTCACATGGCCGTAACAATTAGAGCTCAGTGATGGGGACAGAGCCCTGGACTTCTAACCCATTACAAGGAACGTAAAAACCCAAGGCCACAAAGGGCTAGGTATCATCTTTAGATGCGATGAGAGCTCACTGTGCACTGCTCCCCAAGTGAATTCCCTTCTGGTCCTGCCTTCTATGTATCTTCTTTTCCCCACTCCACTAAAGAGTGTTTTAGGAACCTAGCAGATGGACCTAGAGCCATGGCTCTTTCTTGTGCCTCAATGACACATGTTTTCAACACCCTGCCCTGGGCCTGAGCCTTTGAGGGGTTCCACCGATGCCCCGTCCAAACCTGCATTCACCTTGCTTCCCCTTTCCCTCCTCTGACCACTGGTTCTCAGAAATCTTACCAAAATCAAAGGACTTATGTAAATATGAAAAGGGAAAAGCTGTCAAAACCTGCATGAGTTGTTTAAATACCATGAATAAGAACCAGTAACAATAGGCACATCAATGAAGATGTGCTTCCTTCAGACTTGGCCAGGTGCCACCCAACGCGAGTCCCCCAGAAAACGCTGCTCACTCGGCAAGCAAGGGAGCTTGGCTCACCCGCCCCTTCCCGGCGCCCCCTCCCCAGGAAAACATTTTTGACAAGCAACTCATCTAGAGCCATTTCCCACAGCTTTCCTTTCATTTGCATTCTCATTAGAATAATGTGATTTCGCAGAGTGGGAATGTGTGTAAGTCTTCACCACCAGGAGGAAACGCTAAAACCCAGATTCCAGGGGACAGGGGAAGATCTGCCCGTGGGGACACAGGGCAGCCAGGAGGAGCCCCGCCAGGGCTTGGCATGTGGCACCAGCCAGGGTCAGTGAACGCCCACAGTGACATCACAGCCAAACAACCGGGACCTTATGAAAACCTCGAATTGACCCAAACCGGAAAGGAGGTTTCGAAATGGAAGAAACACATCCCCCACGTTTTGAAAAATAGGCCCTGGCATCAAAAAAGAGTAAAACAAAGTGTTTTCACAGAGAATGGGAAAAGCATGCCTTTTGCTTTCTCCTACTGCTTTGTTTTCTTGAAGATGCTTGCCCCTAATTTAAAATTGCCACATGCCAACTTTTAAAAGTGCTATAATGGAATCAGTTTCTCTAAGTCATTCCAGGGCATGACTTATAGAATAATGTTTTTAGTGTACCCACTGTGTGTGTGTATGTGTGTGTGTGTGTGTGTGTGTGGTGTGTTTGTGTTTTAAAAGGACATTTACTGAGTGATATCTTGTAAATATTTTTTGGTCATTTAAAAGCAAGAAACAAACAATACAAACATCCTAAGTTCTTTCCCACATCCTAAGCTGATTTCCATTCTACTTTGGGAGGTCGGGTTTCTTTTATGTCCTGAAAAATTGGAAAAGCTTATGAAGCCAAAAAACTTTGCAAAGCAAATTTTCCAGTATTTGCTTAGCTGGGTCTTCAAGCAAGGAAAGAAACCGTATTCGGTGTAAAGATACATAATAAATGTCTCAGAACAATTTCAGGACAGAAGAGGAGTTGAGAGTGGGGGATTGAAAACGGAGCTGGAAGTAGGAAAATGGGGCAAAATATTGAGTTTCAAATGACTGTAAAATGAGTTCAACTCCAGAGGAGTTCCTTCTGGAGCACGTTTTCCAGCCAGTCCTTGTAAACTAGATCTCCCTGCATTAGCAAGTCTTAAGGAGCGAAGAAAAAAAGTGAATTAATAAAATGTTCCTGTGCAACATTGTCCTACCCTGCTCAGAGATGCTTTCTGGGCTTCCTTGGGGCAAACTGGGATCACGTTCAGCATTCCAAGTCTAAAGAAACAGAAAGGGAATGTGTTCCACCTGCCGACTGACACCTCTGTCCTAGGTCACCTGCCCTGAAGATGCTAAATGCTTTTCCAACGTGGTGTAATTTGAGTTTTTTTATTTTTTTTTAAGATTCTATGAGCATATCACATTTCATAAACATAAGAATGACATTTCAATTTTTTCATATAAATGGCAAATTTGCAGAATGAGAGAAAAAAAACAAGACTCTAGAAACCATTTTTTGCACACTCAAAGAATGTGAGCACAGCCCCCTTCTGGCAAGGACATCTGTCACTCACACAGACGCAACCCTCTTGAAGCCAATGTAAACAGCTCCTTACTCTCCCTGCCTGGCTCTTGGGTGGAGGCGCAGAACCTTCGGCGGTGTGGATGGAGCTTCCTTTGAAAAGTGCATTTGCGTTTTGGATAGCTTGGCGAAAAGCACAGAGCTGTTTTCTGGGGTGCCAAACTGTTTCTATTTTCCCATTAAAAGGAAGGAAGGAATATATATATTCCTAAGTGGAAGTGCATTCACTACATACGCAGACGGTTACAAAATTTGGGCGAAATTAATACAAGGCAATAAAAATCATTTAGCATATAGATAAGTCAATTTATCATAGACTTTCTACTAGAAGAAACATGAGCGTTCTCGGCCATGACCCTGACAAATGTCTCTGGGCCCAGTTCTTTAAGCGTAGTCATCGGGCGGGCTCCGAGTCCCTGTCTCGGGCTCTGTGAGTGTCTAATAAAGCGTGGGTGTCAGGAGCTTTGTCAGTGCAGTCTCTGCCTGTTTGGTTCATCTCGTCTCCTGAATAAAGCCCTGCAGTGGCAGTGCACCGCGACTGAGATAGCTTGGCTGACACTATTGATTTCCATCCACAGTACACTTTGTCAAAAATCAAATAGAAGGCCCTTTGGACCCTTTCACCTTTACCAAACACACCACAAATAAACCTTTTTATATAAAGCAGGAGAAGGGCCGCTCTGTGGGAACATTGTCTCCTTGGGTAAATGTTACCGGGAGCCCTCACTCCAGTACTCCAGCACAAACTTAATCACAAGCCGAGTTGAGCAAGGAGTAATAAATAATCTGGTCAAGGTACTGGAAGAGAGAGGGGCTAGATCGGAGCCAGAGACTGGGCAAGATTGAGAGGGAAAAAGACAGAGGGAGGGAACGAGAGAAAGAAGCAAACATTTTAAATTTTGTTCTGTGAATCTTTTTTCCCACTTTATTTTTTTTTACATTTAAATTAAATTCAAATATAGTCTTTTTAAAATTGTAATTAGATTCTTTTTTCTTTTTTTTTTTTTTAAGGAATTCTTTCCCCAGCATCCACTAAGTAAACATTATAGCAAATACATTACTGGTCAGATGTATGCATTAAGTATGCCATAAACCTTTCTACTGGCCACCGACTCTGCTCCCGCTCCCTCTCTCTCCTGACACAGAGAAAATATTATGCAGTGACTCGTTTCTAGTGAATCCGTGTGATTCATTGCCCAATTTTAAACTGCCAAGCTGCTAAATTGCATCAGGTCTGCCAAAATTCATTCCAGGACTACGAGGAGATATGAAAAATTAAATGTCATCTTGGTACAGTGGAAAACTTTTACCTTTCAGAGAACAGAATATGCTACATTCTGTAATGATGGATGATTGCCCGTGGCTATACTTAACCTACTTAGTAATGTCATGTAGTGGAAAGCATGTTTACCTAAAAAAATGGCAGAAGACATAAACTGTATCAAGGTCTGACATCAACGCATTTTCCTCCAAATAAAGTGACTTTTTATGTTGATTCTCCGATATAAAATAATTTTTTCTCATCAGCATTTGCGGCTAGTACTCTGTGTTGCGAGGGTAAGGACCGAGGCACCTCGGCCATTCTCTCTCTCCGTTCTCGGAGGCACAATGCCTTTGTGCTACCTGACTCAAAAACGCTGCTATCTGTTCCGGCCACAGCTTAATCACATAAGTCCCTAAGAAGGGAGAAGCCGAGATAAAAATATTTGAACTGTTGAAGAAATACGGACTCACGGAACCTACAACTGAGTACAGGAAGAAACATTTTGCATAACGACTCCAGCCTGCCTGGTAATTTTTCTCTTGAGCCTAGCGTTTTTCTGACAGCTTCATTTGTTTAACACACAACTACCGGCACTCTTAGTTCTAGATTATGATACCGGTCTTCGGTGCATTATTATATCTTCGCTAAAGGAGGAAATTTGGGAATACCTGGACTCTGATGTCTCTAAAATGTATGGCCACTGAGGGTTTGCTCCGATTCCTATTATGGCCTCATCTTGCAGGCACATGCAAGATGTTCGCCTAAGAACTCTCAGCTCAGCGAATCCCGGCTCCTTCCTCAGTGCCGAACGCAAGGGCTGTGATATTTATTATTATGAATACCATTTGTATTAATCATTACGATAAATGACTGGTTTGGCTATCTGAATGCCTCATTTAGAGAAACTTCTCTCCTATGTCATTGTTATAAATTACTGCCAAAGCTCTGTTTCACCCAAGGCGGCTTCATTCACTCTTTCATATTTTTCTGTCCAAGAGACGTTGTTACCCATCCTCCAAGCAATAGGCTGGGAGGGCAATTGTTATCATTGCAAAGATGTCCACATACATGGCAACAGAGAGTTGTGGATTGTTGTGGGTGATATTTTTTCCCCTTTTAGGTGAACAAGAGGTATTCTTTTCACATCTATATTTGATTAAATTATTCAGTGCTACAAACTGCAATCATGCTTTATTAAAAATTATTACAAATTCATGCAAGGACTACAGATGTGAAAGAATTTATTGCCTGCTTGTTTTTCTAATTTGCATCATTGATTTTGCAGGGAAGAGTTTTAAAAACAATCTTTATTACATAGATTTTAAGGGGAAATCACAGAGTAATGTCTCGTAAGATTTATGATGTACTGCGTGTTGATTTTATTTACATTTTTTTTTATTTCTTTGCTTTTGAAGAAAGGTTGAAAGATAAAATTAGGTTTGCACTTGTAAACAATGAGGCACAAAGATAAAAAGAAATGTTTTTCTAATAAAGCAAGCCCACAGACATGAAGTGCAGAACGTAAGGTCAGAAAACAGTTACCAGCTTTTGAGTCAATAAGATAAAAGGGATAATGAATTATACTGTAAACACCTAAAACACAGCACATCTTTTTATGTTGTTAAATCCATCTTCTCAATTCAAGAATGTTATTTGAACAATTCATCATTTATAGAGAGCGCCAGCTATGGCTCCCACATAGCATGTTCCAACATGCTGCGGTGGCACTGGTCAGAAACCCCTCATTTATAACAACCCCCGCCATAATCAAAAGTAAACCCAGAAGATTTGATGCAAGTCAAATGGGGCAGAAAGTGACTGGTTAGGCCCTCCTAGACTAAATAATTCACTAGGCACTAGAGAGAGACTAAACCAATGCATGCATGTCTCCTAAAGAAATGAATGTCACATTATATTATAACCAATTTATAAACATGAAATATGCATGTTTAATTTGCACTTAAAAGTTTAATTTAATGTAGAAGACATTACTTATTCTCTTCTTTGTTCACCCTGGCTAACCCATGAATGATTAAAGAGAAGTTAGAGGACTCCTGTTTCCTTTTTTTTTTTTTTCCCAAAGACCATCTCCACAGTTTCCCAACTCTGCTTCCCATTGAATTCTGAGCAATGACTGGCTACTTTAGCAATTAAAATCCAGGGGCAAAGACACAGCAGCTTCGTTGGGCTGAGAGACTCCGCCATTCATCATCTCGGCTGCCATAAAATAGCACTAGATGGAATCTTTGATTTTAGCTTTAGAAGATCATAAATCAAAATCTAAAGCACGGCTGTCAGAGGCATCACCAGGATTATCCATTGGAGAGGGGCTGGAGTGCAGGGCACACACAGGCATTGTTCCCACTGAACTCACCTCCTGATGCATAGAGAAAACTCCTAGCCAAGCACTTGCTGGTGTATAAGTACTTTATCCTAAGTGACCCATAAAAAGACTCTCAAATACAAGGTTTGATAACTACAGTCACAGTAATTGTACGCTTGATATGTCTGAATATAAAATAAATAGGCCCGCCTGGCTGGGACCCACCCTGCCCAGTCCCCTGCCCTGATCGCCTGGTCAGCTCCCTTACCCATGAGCTGGCTGAGTCCTGGATAAGGGTGTCTGTTGGCGAGAGAGGCCTCCAAGTAGGTGCCCCCACCTGCCTCCCCGACAGTGAGATGACTGCAATGCAGGGATGATGACCATGATGGGAGAGATGCAGCTAGAGGGAATCCATCCCCAGAGGAAAGAAGTCAGCCTTGCACTTATCAGCCCCAAGTTCATGGCTCATGTTCAATTGAAAGTAATGAGTATTGATATGCCCTGTGCTACTGAACGAATTAGAGAGGAGAGAAGCTCAGGATGACCCTCTCAATACAAAGAAAGATCTCCCCTGAAATCTCACTTTAAGGGAAGAACCCACATGTGCCCACCCAGTTTTCGCAAACCATGTTATTATACTTCTTGGAGCAGGACTCGTTCCTTTACTGCAAACAGAATGGCGTGGCCTTTGAATCCAGATTATGCCATCCCAGCAGTGGGTGGTCAAAAGGGAAAGGTTTTGTTCTTGTGAATCAGAAGGAAGCAGGCCAACATTTTCTCCCCCTCTGTTGTTTCTGAAGCTTTTAGGCCACTGGCTCAGAATATCGTCTAGCAATAACACGTCCAATAGCAAAGGAAAAGCAGCCGTGACCCGTGGCCGAGAGCATGCATTTCAGACAGGTGTCCGGCTAATTAAAAGAAACCCCGGCCCAATTTAGAGAACCCCAAGATCTCTGAATTCCACTGTGGGTTGCTGCATGCTCAGACCCTCCGATCCCTGCAACCAGGCCTGCTCTCAAGCCATGTCTCAGACATTGGTGGTTCCAAGGCAGCTCAGTGCCGGTTTGCCTTAGATGAGCTTGAATCAGTTTTCGACAAACAGCTGGTATGACGGATGGTGATACCCGGAAGATAAACAGCATGCCGTGCTTTATAAGAATCTTGACTGCTAATTTGAAGTGGAAGAAAGAGGTGCCATAATGAGCCAGCTTCTCTTGTCTAAACGTGGGTATTGAACCTGGCTGCCTTGGAGTTGTGTGTATTCACTTGGTATGGACATTGACCAAACCAGGAGTCGGCGTTCCAGAGTGGGCGCCAGGTCTTGCCTGAATGTGCTGTCTGCCTTTCAAAGGAACCAGGTGGTAGCCACGTGGTATGGCTTCTAGACCTGGTTCTGAGACTTGGCTGCAAAATACAATTCCCAGGAGGCACTTTGTCAAAATGTTCATGCCTGAGCAAAGTCACTAGAGATTCTGGTTTAATTGGCTTGGGGTGAAACGTGGACATGGGAGTTCTTAGAAAGCTCTTCTGGTGATTCTAATGCAGAGGCAGGGTTGAAAATCTCTGTGCTAGACTAGTGGGTCTTGAACATTTTGGTCTCGGAACCCTTCAGAATGTAGAAATTCTGAAAGTTTTAAGGACCCTAAGTGCTTTTGTTTAGGTGTGCCATTAGAAATTAAAACTAAGAAAATTCTAAAATCTACATGCAGTCATGTATTTAAAAATGAAAATAAACCTATTATATACTAACATATCTAGAATGTTTTCATGGAAAAAATAACAGTATGTTCAAAAAGTTAGTGACAAGTATGGTGTCTTAGTAGCTCTTTGCAAACCACTGGCTTAATACAGAAGTCACTATATGAAAAAGGCATGTACACGCCCATATTTATAGCAGCACAATTTGCAATTGCAAAAACATGGAACCAACCTCAGTGCCCATCAACCAATAAGTAGATAAAGAAAATGTGTATATACACTGTGGAATACTGCTCAGCCATAAAAAGGACAAAATAATATCTTTTGCAGAAACCTGGATGGAGCTGGAGACCATCATTCTAAGTGAGGTAACTCAGGAATGGAAAACCAAATATCATACGTTCTAACTTATAAGTGAAAGCTAAGCTATGAGGATGTAAAAGCATAAGAGTGATATAATGAACTTTGGGTATTTAGGTAGGGGGAAGTCTGGGAGGGGGATGAGGGATAAAAGACTATACATTGGGTACACTGTACACTGCTTGGGTGACTGGTACACCAAAATCTCTAAAGAACTCATTCATGCAACCAAAAACTACCTGTACCCCAAAAACTATTGAAATGAAAACAAAAATTGTTTTTAAGAAAAGACGGCTAGATTCTAATATCTGCTTCCACATTCAGTCTTGCAATATGTTGTTTCTGTTCAAATCTATGAAGAAAACCTGACCTCACACAGATGTCATTGGAAAAGGGAGGTATATAGTAAAAGCCCTTTCAGATAATTGTGGATGTTCTTTGATACTACACCAAAACTCAGCAACTGGTAGTTTCTCAAAGGTTAGTTGCAATGTGAAATCTGAAAATATATAAACTTTTTGTGCTCCATTACATTAAAATCCACTGGTCTATCTTGATATTTGAATGGATTTTTTTACCATTACATGATTTTATTACATCTAGCACAGGTCACTTGAGAAATATTAGCTCAATGAGTCATGTATGCAGATCCTGCAGTGTTGACACATCCATTATTCAATATTAAAGAAATCACATGTGTTAGTATCTCTTTAACTATTGGAAAGCTATCAAGCTCACGGTGGCTGATACAAGTTTTTCAAAATTCTTGAAAGCTTGAGTTTCATCATTGGCAACAAATACTGTCACTTATTTTCTTGGAAGTGACAGAATTAATTTGTTCATTTTCCAGATAATGTCTGCCAAATAGTCAAGTTTGAATAACCATAGTTTGTCTATCAGTTGTTCTTTCAAGTAAAAATGGTGCTCTCTGAAAAAAAAAAAAAGGGCAGGGAATTCAGCTCACAGTTCAGAAGATTGGCAAAGGTGCTTTTCCTTGAGGCAGCTGTGGAACTTCCAGATGGGGCAGAGGTGCTCTATGTCTACCTCCCACTTCATCACAAAGAACATTGAAAGGCCAGTGCTCAAATATTGAGATTTAATAAAATGAATAACTTTCAATATGTCATCAAGTACATTCTTGTTATTTCAAATTCATAATCTCTATACTTTACTCGTTTTCTTATTGTGGTAAAATACATGTAATATAAAATTTTCCATCTTAATTATTTTATATTTTATTTTTTTGAGATGGAGTTTCACTTTCATTGCCTAAGCTGGAGTGCAATGGTGCAGTCTCAGCTCGCTGCAACCTATGCCTCCTGGGTTCAAGTGATTCTCGTGCCTCAGCCTTCCAAGTAGCTGGGATTACATGCACCTGCCACCATGCTTGGCTAACTTTTGTATTTTTAGTATAGGTAGGGTTTCAACATGTTAGCCAGGCTGGTCTTGAACTTCTGGCCTCAGGTAATCTGCCCCCCTCGGCCTCCCAAAATGCTGGGAGTACAGGCATGATCCACCGCATCTGGCCCCAACTTAGCTATTTTTAAGCCTACAGTGCAATTGCATTAAGTAGATCACGTTGCTGTGCAGCCATCACCATCATCCATCTCCAGAACTGTTTTCATCTTGCAAAACCAAAACTCTGCATTCATTAAACAATAACTATCTGTTCCCCTCTCCCCCCAGCCCTTGGCAACCACCACTCCACTTTCTGTCTCTATGAATTTGACTACTCTGAGTACCTCATATAAGTGGAATCATACGGTAATTGTCTTTTTGTGACTGGCTTATGTCCTTTAGCATAATGTCCTCAAGGTTCATCCATGATGTAGCCTGTGGCAGGATTTTCTTCCTTTTTTAAAGCTGAATAATATCCCATTGTATGCATACACTACATCAAGTACATTCTTAAGTGAAACTGGCTTTTGTTTTTTCTGCACATGCATGGCAGTAAAGAATACAGTGATGACTAGTACAGGTCTGTGCTGAGGAGACAACAGTTCTACCCACCCTGAGTACAAAATGGAAAGGCAAACCATGTCATATTATCACAAAAATAGCGTTGGCTTTTCAGACACCGGAAACCATCTCAGCAAATTTACAACCTAGGTTCTATGTTGCAATTTCTACTTACACAGTGGATTAGTCCATTTCCACCTGCTTATAAAGACATACCCAAGACTGGGTAATTTATAAAGAAAAAGAAGTTTAAAAAAAAAAAAAAGAGGTTTAATGGACTCACAGTTCCAGGTGGCTGGGGAGGCCGCACAATCATGATGGAAGGTAAAAGGCATGTCTTACATGGCAGCAGACAAGAGAGAGTGAGGACCAAGTGAAAAGGGTTTCCCCACATAAAACCATCAGATCTCATGAGACTTATTCACTACCATGAGAATAGTATGGGAGAAACCACCCCCAGGATTCAATTGTCTTCCTCTGGGTCCCTCCCACAACACGTGGGAATGGGAGCTACAATTCAAGATGAGATTTGGGTGGGGACACAGACAAACCATTTCACACAGTAAAGTAGAAAGTCTTCAAAAAAGAAAGAGAAAACAGAAAATGCACTCATAGTCCTAAAGCCCAGAGGCAGCCACCATCAGTATATGCGCTGGTATGTTTTCTTATCAAGGCCACATTCCTGAAATGTTTTGTCTTTATGATGCTGATAAGCAGGGAAAGGGCCAAAAGACACTGTACTGGACAGATATTTTCATTCTCTCTACAAGCTCTAGAAAAACAGAGGACAATTAAATTCAGGACTAAACCAACATTTGGAAATGTGAACGTAATTAATTCCATAGAAATATTTAGGGAATATTTGTCTTTCATTTTTCCTCCGTAACATCTTGATATAGGGAGTGTGAGAATCCCTGGCTCCTTACCTCTAAGGTCCTTGTTTCTAAAATGTGGGTAGGCCATGGTGCAGTGGCTCATTCCTGTAATCTCAGCACCTTGGGAGACTGGGTGGGAGGATAGCTTGAGCCCAGGAGATCGAGGTTGCAGTAAGCTGGGATTGCACCACTGCACTCCAGCCTGGACAATAGAGCAAGACTCTGTCTCTAAAAATCCAAAAATAAATAAAATGTGGGTAACGGTGGTCTCACACTGGCCCATGGGAGAGGGTTAGTGATATAATCTCCACTTAGTGCCGAGTGAGAAGTTGGCATAGAGGAGGGAGCTCACCAAGTGTCCATTGTCTTTCAATAAATACTAATATAAGTAACAATAATAGTAATAATAATCATAGTACCTCTCAGATACTTATTTGCTTTATCTTATTAGGAACTCACACAGCAATGAGATTCAGAGGCTGGCCCAACTCTGTTTACTTAGCAGATGAGTAAATGAAGGTTAGAAACCCTGAGAGCACAGAAAGGGCCCAGACACAGGAGGCAGGACTGCCAGTTTCACCAGGGAGAGGATCCCTGAAATGGATCCCTGTACCTCCCTGTGATGGTTAATATTGAGTGTCAACTTGATTGGATCAAAGGATGCAAAGTATTGTCCCTGGGTATGTCTGTGAGGGTTTTGCCAAAGGAGATTAGCATTTGAGTCAGTGGACTGGGAAAGGCAGACTCACCCTCAATCTGAGTGGGCACAATCTAAACAGCTGCCAGTGCAGCTAGAATAAAGCAGGCAGAAGAAAGTGGAAAGACTAGACTGGCTAAATCCTCTGGCCTCCATCTTTCTCCCCTGCTGGATGCTTCCTGCCCTTGAACATTGGGCTCCAGGTTCCTCAGCTTTGGGACACAGACTGGCATCCTTGCTCCTCAGCTTGCAGATGGCCTATTATGGGACCTCACCTTGGGGTGAATCATGTGAGTCAATACTCCTTAATAAACTCTCACTTACATATACATCTATCCTATTAGTTCTGTCCCTCTAGAGAGCTCTAAGACAGATTTTGGTACCAGGAGTGGTTCTAGAGGAACACAATATTAAGGATAGAGTTCTTAAATTGGTTTGGGGGTTTCTGGAAAACCCTGACTAATGCACTAGGGAGAAGTTCCCTGAAATGGATCCCCGCACCTCCCCACACCTCCCTGCTGGTGCTGTCTCACTACCACACTGCACTAGTTCTACCATTCATTTGAAGTTCCTCCTTTAAAATGACTCACTTTTTTTTTTTACTTAAATAGTGATTGAAAGGAAAGTTATATGACTACTGTAAAAGTAAAACGAGCATTACTTGCCACAAAGAGGCAGTAACAACAAATTTAAATATATAGCTATCTGAATAGAGGGTGTTCTCCACGTATCACTGAAAGTCACCTGGTGGCCTCCCAGAAGCATGTGGTCCTGGGCTCTGGCTCTGAGTGGAGCGTGGAGACTCTGAAAAGCCCTAAGTGGATGCTCAGAACATCTACAGCCATAGCACCAGCTGAGCGCTATTACAAACCAGATACACCACTCAGGATGTTCTATCATTTGTATTCCTGTGATCTAAATACTTCTCCGTCCAAACTTTCAGGGCGGTTTCTAAATGCACAAATATTTATAGGTGTAAATTCAAGTGGGTGGCAGGTATTGTGTCAGGTGGGTAAGGCATATAGAACAGGAGTAACTGAGATGATTCTGCCAATCCCAGAGCTTGGATGGAGAGCTGACGATGAGAATGCAACCCAGGGACAAGGAGGAGGGTGCTGGCCTTTGGTAGCCTGCAAAATGGAAGTCTGGGTGGTCTCCCTCAGCACTTGGCAAGAACGGTGGCCCCCACTGGCTGGGCTCCAGAGCTGAGAGTCTGTGGATCTCCCTGTCCCATGAGCCCTTGAAACAGAGAGTGGAATAAGACAAGATGGTGACAAAGGAAGTGTTAACCTGTGCTACCCTCTGCACCTGCTCCCAACAGCCTTACAAAGGAACATTTAATTCCCACAAAAAAGGAAACAGATGTTGTCCTGTTAATAAAACACCAATCCTTAAAATCATCATCCTGGCCAAATGCTATGGTCCTCCCTAATAAACATGGATGGCTCTGTGACCGGCTGGATTAATTAATACCCACAGGTTCCTGACCTTTTCCTGGGCACATGGACAGTCAGTCCCCCCAAGACAGATGACCCGCTGGCTCGCCTCTGCCTGTGATGTGTGCGTGTCCTTCTTATGCGAGAGACATGGGACCAGAATCCAAGTCCCCGAGCGAGCCTGCTTTCTGTTCCAGAGTAAAATAAACATAAAAATAAAAACAAGCCTGCCTGTCGTTGACGTTCCTCATTGCACAACAAGCGCCTTATAAGAAAATCAGTATTTGCTGATTTTCCAACAATGAAGGAAACATTGTTCTCTTCTAATGAAAGGGCAAGATTTCATTTTCTTTTTTTAAAGCAATAATTCCCACCCCACCCCTCCCCAAGGAAATGGTAATCATGCTCTCTTTGTCTTACCTGGTTGGGGAAATAGCATCACCTGAGTCAGGGTCTTGACTGGAGAGTCAGCAGGTCCATGCCTCTGTGAATACATCAGGAGCAGGTGGGGCCTCCAGGTGGGGTGTTTGGAGGCCCCTATTCATGGACAATCAGGAGGATCCTCAAACTAAGAGAAGGAAATACATGGAGTGTTCCGGTTTCCATGTACCCCCACGCTTACCCTTACACCTACTTCCATATACACAGGGCTTTCACCAGTCGCAGGTCTAGCCTCACGGTCTTGTTTTCTAATTTATACTAAAGTATGAACAGCCATCCCAAGCGTAATGGGGAATAGGGCAGGGAGGGCACACAGATAGAAGTGGGCACCTCAGTTTGCTGTATTAGATCACATCCATGTTCCACTATCACAGCCTGAGGCCACAAAAGCAAAACAAAACAAAACAAAGCAAAAAACCCAGTAATGACTTGTACCGCTCAGGAACATCATAGAAAATGAAACATGAGAATACACAAAATCAGCTACAGAAACAATGAAAAGGTACATCTGGAACGATTCGACCTGGGGCAGCATAAACATTGCAATTGTTTGTAGTCAAGGTAGAAAATAAAAACAGAAAAATACATGAGCGTCATCTTAGGGAAAAACCCTCCCCCCGATCTTGGGTCAGTGCAGGGAGGTAGTCAAAGTGCAGGTGGGAAAGCCCAGTGTCAAAGCTGATCATACCATCCAACAGCGACTTGGCTTTGATCAACTGTATTTAGTTTTTCTGCCTTCATTTCTGTGATGGTTGATTTTAGGTGTCAGCTTGATCGGGTTAAGGAACTCCCAGATAGGTGTTAAAACACAACTTCTGGGTGTACATGGAAGGGTGTTTGTGGAAAAGATTAACATTTAAATTGGGAGACCAAGTAAAGAAGGTCGGCCCTTGCCCATGTGGGCTAGCATTGTCCAATCCATAGATTGGCTTTAAAAGGTAGATCCGATGGATCAAAAAGGAGGATGAAGGTGAATTCTCTCTCTTTCTTCTGGAGCTGGGACATCTCACTTCTGCTCTCAGCTGTCAGAGCTCCAGGTTCTGAGGCCTTCAGACTTTGGGACTTTCTCCAGCAGCTGCCCATATTCTCAGGCCTTCAGATTCAGATTGAATCACACCACAAGATTTCCTGGGTCTCCAGCTTGCAGAGGGCAGATCATGGGAGTTCTCAGCCTCCACAATCACGTGAGCCAACTCCCATAATAAATCCCCTCTTAGTTTTCTCAAAGAATGAAAAACAGATTACCATTTGACCCAGCAATCTCATTACGGGGTACAGACCCAAAGGAAAATAAACTGTTCTACCAAAAAGACACTGCCCTTGTAGGTTAATCACAGCACTGTTCACAACGGCAAAGACATGGAATCAACCTAAGTGCCCACCAATGGATGACTGGATGAAGAAAGTGTGGTCCATATACACCTCAGAATACTACACAGCCATAAAAAAAATAATGTCCTTTGCAGCAGCATGGATGGAGCTGGAGACTATTATCCTAGGCGAACTAACGCAGAAGCAGAAAACAAAATACTCCATGTTATCACTTATAACTGGGAGATAAACTGGGTACATCATAAAGATGGGAACAACAAGCACTGAGTTACAAAAGGGGGATGGAAAGGAGGGAAACAAGGTTGAAAAAACCACCTACTGGGTAGTACTTATTGGGTACTATGTTCACTACTTGAGCAATGGGAGCATTAGAAGCCCAAACCTCAGCATCTCATAAAATGTCTGTGTAACGAACCTGCAAATGTAACCTCCAAATATAAAATTTAAAAAGTAAAATAAATCCCTATCTACCTATCATCTATCTAATCCATCTGTCTATTATCTATCATTGATCATCCATCCATCTATCATCTATCTGTCTATCATCTGTCTATAATCTATTTATCTACCTCTATTTATCTATCTATCCATGCATTTATCCTATTGGTTCTGTTTCTCTGGAGAATCTTCATACAGCTTCCCATCTATAAAGTGGGTGGAATAATAGTGCATATCTCATAGGATGTTAGGAGGATTTGTGGGGAAACATCTTAAATGGAACACTATGACTTTTTGCTACTCTATGGCTATACTTGGGACTACTGTAAAATAAGCTCTTCGTAACTGAGAACCAAAACTTTCAAAACAAACATCTGCCTTTCAGGGACATGTTGGGTTGAGAGTCCCCTTTTCAACTACCACCTCCTGCTCAGCTTCCCTCTCCTGGGTGGGCATGGTATGGGGCAGTGCTTTGTGGGGGATCACACAACCCTCTCTGGGAAGCAATTGATGGGGACTGGGAGGCTTAGGCATAGCTCCTGCCTCCTCTCCCTTCTAACCTGAGCACTCAGACAAGTGGTTTAACTGAGTACAGCTCCTCCTTGTCTGCACTATCTGCCATCTGGAAGGAGATAACAAGAATATGCAAATATGTGGTTCTAACACCTGACCTTCTAAACCTTCTGGCTTCTGGGTCCCAGTGAGGACCAGTCTTGACTTTTACGAGTTCTCAGGGCAAAGACATCCACACAAAGATAGCCCCATCATGTTCAACCAACCCTGCCCAAAGTTGGAGCGCCCCACCCTTTAACTTACTGCTTATTTACTGCTATCAGTAAGCTTCTTTTGTTCTGGCTGCCAGGAAGTTCAAAGAAAAATTAAGTGTTCAACTAGAGCAACTATGTAAACCCTCATGTTAAATGTGTGTATTACTTCTACATGAAAGGGTTTTTTTTTCTTTCAATACATTGTTGAAATATTCTATTGACTAGATGATTTTTTTCAAAGGTTAAGAGGCAGAGAATTCCCCAGTGGGGATAATACAATTCTAAACAAGCAGGATATAGGATCACAGCGGTGAAACACACCAGGGTTTGGTCTAAGAGTTTCTGCTCAAGAGACTGATGTTTCAGTGAATGCCTCCTACTATCACCTCCACTATAAGCTGAAGGAATAACAGGAAGAAATGAACAAGGGCAGGTGGATCGGGAGTCAGAACACCAAGGTTCTAGCCATGGCGCACCATTTGGTAGCTGTGTGACCACCCTGTACCTCAGTTATCTGATCTGAATCTGTGAAATGGGATATAATGGGAAGAATGAGGCCAATTCTCCCTGGGCGTCTGAGGGTCTAGGATTGCTACAAGGGTGACATGAAACAAAGGACGCCAACATCTTTCGAACAGGATGAGGCACTAAGCTTCTCTGCAACATTGTCATAAAGATGTCATCTTCCACGCTTCCCATCATAATATCAGCAGGTGCACCTTAGAAAAGACTCACTGGGGAAATCTGTAAGCAATATCATGCAAAAATCCTTCTCCACATTTCTATTTCCTCACCCATGAAGCAAAGAAGAAAAATTCCTGACCCGTGTCCCCAAGTTGGTGGTGGTCAAGAAATGATGACAACTCATGCTGCTAGTGCCCAGGGATGGCAGCTCACACATTTGACCTTCCTTGAAAATGTATGAGTAACTGGAATTCTCAACCCTGGTTTTGAGGCCAGGAGTCTAGGGCACAGAGAACTTAAGATATTACCAAAAGGCACATAGCAATTCATCCACAGGCAGTCTGGTCTTAAAGTCAGGATTTTCACGGTACTTCCTCTGCGGTGAAAGAGGGTGGGAGTTCTCAACAGGAGTGAAGGCTTCTGAGCTCAAAAGAACTTCTCCAGGTCAGCAGTGCTTTAAGCAACCCGTGTTCCTAATGGGCCCTGAGGAACCCAAGTAAGACAGTGGCAGGGCTCACTGGAACCAGGTCAAGGGGAGGTATGCACCCACTGGTAACCACCAGGATCTGCCGTCCCCCGAGGTCGAAGGTCAGCTCCACCTCTTTGCACTCTGGTCAGATGTAATGGAAAGACACTACAGACACCAGCAGAGCCCACATGAGAACACGGATGAGTCTCCCAGACAGAAGGTAGAGCAAAGGCAACATTCACAGAGAGAGCACATGAGAAGCGGTTGCCCTTAAGTATAAGAGCAGGTGAAACCAGCTGCGGAGGCGTGAGAGGTTTATTCATGTTCTAGTCCTGAATCTCGGTGCTAGTTACATGGGGGGGCTCTGTTTATTTAGCTGGGTCCTTACAATCAGTGTGTTTTTCCATATGAACATACCCTTTCACACTTCAAAATAAATATCTGACAAAAATGAGCCACAACGGCCTCGCGCGATGGCTCGTGCCTGTAATCTCAGCACTTTGGGAGGCTGAGGCAGGCAGATCACAAGCTCTGGAGTTCAAGACCAGCCTGGCTGATATGGTGAAACCCCATCTCTACTAAAAATACAAAAATTAGCCGCAGGCGGTGGCACACACCTGTAATCCCAGCTACTCAGGTGGCTGAGGCAGGAGAATCTCTTAAACCTGGCAGGTGGAGGTTGCAGTGAGCCAAGATCGTGCCACTGCACTCCAGCCTGGGCGACAGAGCAAGACTTTGTCTAAAAAAAAAAAAAAAAAAAAAAAAAAATGAAATGAAATGAAATAAAATTAAATGAGCCACAACTTCTGGGTGGAAGCAACTATGCTGGCGTTCAGAGGTGCCCGCTGGCATTTGCTGGGAACACCAGTCAGGGCCAGATTTGAATCCCTAAAATAAATAAATAGGTAGAGACACCAAATGCTTCCCCCCACCTTGGCTTTCACGGGATGGACTCAACCTGCCTCCTTAGAAGATGCACAGACAAATTTCAGAACAAAGAAAGCACGGGTGGAGGCTGGGTGCATATTTTAAGTATCACACAGTACAAGCTGCCTGCCTCAGTTGAAATTAAATAATATTCATGTGATTGGTTGATGTCCCTCTGTGAGCATGGGGCAGCTGGGCCAGAGACTGGTGTGCACCATCCGGGGACATAGCAGGTGCTCTAGAAACAGCCAAAGAAGGAGGAGGTGGATAAAGGAGGATTGGCCCCCATGGCGCCGGCAGCTCCTACCCTGTGCCTGGTGTTCTCCCACCTCACTCCCTCTCTCTGCCTCTCCCTCTGTCTCTGTCTGTCTCTCTCTCTGACACTCTCTGTCTTCCTATCTCTTTCTCTGTTTGTCTATGTCTTTCTGTGTTTCTGTCTGTTTTTGTCATTGTCTCTTTGTTTCTTGTCTCTGTGTGTGTGTGTGTCTCTCTATCTCTCACTGTGTCTGTCTCCGTGTATATGGCTATCTCTGTCTCTCTGTCTCTGTCTCTGTGCTTGGCTGTCTCTGTCTCTCGGTCTGTCTGTCTGTCTGTCTCTGTCTCTCTATCTCTGTTTCTTTGTCTCTCTGTTTCATTGTGTCTGTCTGCCTGTCTCTCTGTGTCTGTCTCTCTGTCTCTGTCCCTCTTTCTGTCTCTGTTTCTCTTTTTCTTTGTCTCTCTGTCTTTCTCACTGTGTCTGTTGGTCTCTCTTTCTTTCACATGGGTGTACACCCACCCTTACCCACAGCCTCAGGTCACAGAGGCACTAAGGGATTCTGTCCCTCAGGCTCTCCAGGTGTCTTGGCCATAAGAAACCCAGGTGAGTCTCTCAGAACAGCCAGGATTCAGCACACAGAAGACAATGCTTCAAGCCCTTGCCCAAGGCCAGACCCCCAAGCACAGCAGGCATGGGCCTTGCTTCAGATGACGCTGACCTTCTGGGCATCCCTGAAGCCCCAGGGACCTCAGATCCCACTGTGCAATGGGGCTGCAGTGGTCACCACGTTCTTTATGTAGAGCTCAGACTTCCGGCTCCATAGCCACAATCGTGGCCGCCCATCTGAGCGTATCTACAGCTCTAGAGTTCACCAACACCAGGTTAGCAATTTCCCCACATCTCATCTGAAACCTACAAGGGCTGTGCTTAGCAAAGCAATGGCAGGGATGTCACTGGCACTCATTGCAAGGGGGAATCTGGGCATGCCCACTTCTCCTGCCTCATCGTCGTACCCCCCCATCTGCTTTGAGATCTGCTCCTGCAGCTGTGACCTTCTGCTCCCTTCTTGCAACCCCTGCAAAAGGCAGCACTTCACCATGGCTGGAGGGAGGGCTGAGGAGGCCTCAGAGGGTCAGCCCGACTCCCAGAAACACTGAGGTCAGTAGCAGCCTGCCCCGCCCCAGCCAGCAGACCCCTCTGCTTCCTCTCCCCTCTGCAGTTTGCCTGTTGCTACCTGGATTCCTGGACCCTCCCGCCCCCCTCAGCACCCCTGTGATCGGGTGCTCCACTGCAGGATGGCCAAGTTTATATGCTGTCAGGCACTTTATATCCCCTATAACTCTGCCTCCCAAGCCCTCCTGTGCATGTGTTTAATTTTTACAATCAGGAAGAAGGATGGGGAGAGTGACAGCCCAGACACCTTGGAGGGGTGGGCTCCGGCCCTGCCTCGGAGGAACCTGCACATGAATTCCATCAGTGACCCTAGGTTGTATTTTATGCCTAACACCCCAGTGGTTTTTAAATCTCCTTAAACTTTTGATGACTGAGATAAAGGAAAAGGAGGAGGTTGTGTAAATATGGAGCCACTATTGGGGAAGAGCTGCCGGGACCTCGGTAGGGCAGGAGTGGAGGCCACCAGGTATCGGTAATGGAGCCTTGCTTCTAGCTCCCTTGCTGCTCACCTGCCATGCCAACACTCCCTCCACCTTCCAGTGGGCAGAACAGTGGGAGAACTCAACTACCCCACACCGTGATCTTTCCGAGACACACCCTACCTAGGATGATGGTGATGATGATGACGACCACAAAAAGAAGGAACACTTTTTTTTTTATTAAATGAGAATGAACACATCTTTTAACATGCTGGTTTTTATTGATCATCACTCACAGTCTAGTAAAAACAGTGCCCTTGTTATGCAAATACAGCTCTAAACCGAGTCCCCCCAGTGCCACTTCCAGCTGGATGGCAGCTCAAAACCCCTCCTGCAAGATAGTTCTGCAGCCACAACACCAGAGCAATTGTCTAAAACGGCAAATCTGCTTGTATCCCTCCCCTGTGCCAAACAACATCTCCCCATCACCCTCAGTCTATACTCTGTGTCCACCCTGCCTAGCTCCCCACCTTCCAATAAAACAACAGCAGTAACTGTAACAGGAGCCAATACTTAGTGACTGATTGCGTGCTAGGTATTTTACAGGGATTATACTGTTTTCTCCCCATAACAGTCCAATAAGGGAGGTACTTTTATTTTGCTCATTTCACAAACCACAGGGAGGAGGAGAAGGCTGCCTACGGTCACACTGCTGGCCAGTCCTGTCCTCCAGGAAGCCATCCCAGAGGGCCCTAGGGTATGGGCTGAGTGATGTGACCAACTTACACTGTGCCCACAGCATTCCAGGCTTTTCTCTTATCACAGAGATATGTTGTAGTTTAAGGTCAGCTTGTCCATATTCCTCCATGGGAGGGAGACAGATACACCATCTGAGTCATTCTTGTGCCCCCAAGACCCAGAACTTGGCACACGGGAGACATCCAGAAAGCTTTTGAATGCACCCATGTTGGACTTAAGCCACCAGGCCTTTATTAGCTCAGGTGGGCTCTAGGGTGCCTCTCCTGGCCCTGTGAGCTGTTGGGCTGGACCCCACAACCAGGGAGGAGGGTCCTTGGTGATGGGGATTGGCCTTCCTCTCCCCCTTCCTCCCTACTTCATGAAGTCTTGTTCATGCACACCATCAAGGTGCTTGTTAAAGCAGGACATCACTTGGGGACCCTTTGTATCCATTGGATTCCCTCGAATTCCTTGGCCCCAGGAGTAAAGTTTAAAACTGATTCTGCAAAAGGATAGCCCCAGTTGGGCTTCCGGGTGAAACAAGTGTACCAGACAATAAACACTTTATTCCCATAAGAGGAGGAGAGGCCGGAGGGCCCGCAAATACCAGCGAGCTTCCATGCAGACCCAGGACTCCAACGAAGACGGCAGATGGACCCAGACAGAGCTGAAGCAGGACTGATAGCAATCAATACCATCCAACTTAATTTAATTCATTTGCCTTGTATTGAATATGATCTTAATATACTAGGAGACATCAGCTTCTATTAGAGCCCAGGAAATCATCTTTGAAAAGAGGCAAAATGGTATCAAATGCATAATTTGAAAAACATTGTTTTCAACATCTTTCCACTTCATTTAGCATTTTGAGGAATTGAGGCTATATCTTGTAACTATCAAACTGAATTAATCACCTTGAGACCTGATAGAAGATAACTGGAACTCTAATTTCAGGCTGCTTTTATTCTTGGAAGATAGCCTTTTAAGTGGGAATATGGGAATTAGTGCAAAATCGCTTCCACTGTGCGTAGGCTGCCACACTACAATTTTTCAGTAGACTACAGCTTGCTATTAAATATGATAGTCACTGACTACAGGTGGCTACTGAACCCCTGGAATGTGGTGTTCTAAACTGAGACATAAAATACACATGGATTTCAAAGACTTAGTTAAAAAACTGTGAAATATCTAAATAATTTTTATAATAACTACAAGTTGAAATGGCAAATATTTTTGTATTTGTGGGACTAAATAAAATATGTGTGTTCACTTTAATTTTCACAAGTCATTTCACCTGATTTTTTTCACTTATTTGTTCATCTCCCAGAAAATTAAAAATTCTATATGTGGCTCTCATTATATTTCTGTTAGACAATGCTAGTCTACACAATGAAATATTGTGGATGTGTGCCCAGAGTTTTTTTTTCTTTGAAATAGTGTATTTCCTAAGAATGCATTTACATTAAGTTGTGCCAATACTGATGTATTTGATTGTGTTTCTTTATTTTGATTGGAATAGATAGATTTATACATAGAAGAATATAATTTGGAATTTGGATCTCTAAAACTGTGCCCAGAGTTTTTAAATGACCTGTAAAAATATATAGGATGTAATTTTACATGAAAGAGGCAAGGAAATATGTATGTAGAGGATAATTAAAACCATGTAAAACATACGGATATGTTTACATATATGTAGACAAGAAAAGACAGAAAGGAAATTCAGCTAGAATAGACATCTCAGAATGGGTGGAATGACAGTTGATTATAATGATCTCTTTTATGCATTTCTACACATTCCTGAGAGAGATTTTTTTGCATTTATTATTAAATAAAAATAAACATTATTTTTACAAAAATATTTTCCACAAAATTAGTATTGTTATGTGTATTTTTCTCTGTCTTGCTTGGTATTTGCTAAAGTAAATAATTTACAATCACACTTAGATTTTATTTAACCCCCAGTGGCATCTCGTCACAAAATACACCATTTTTATGAAGAACTCATTCTCGTGGAAGTCCACTTTTTAGTTAGATCACAAAACATTTTATTTAAATTAATGTTCTAGTCAGCAACAGATGATTTGGTAAAAAAAAAAAAAAAAAAAAAAAAAAATTGGTGGGTGGTCACTATTACAATATTACATTGGAAAGAGAAATTTTATTATCAAAGCTTGCTCATCCAAAATTCATTTTTAATGGGCTTTTTGCCTGAACAAAAAGAGAAAAAAGAGATCCTGGAAAATATCTCATGGATTTCTAACAGTTAGTCTTTTATATGGGCTACATTTGAAGAAATAATAAGAATTTTCTGACCTAGAGAAGCACAAATGAGAAAATGGTTCTGGCCTGATCTTTTCCCAATTTGGTTGACCCTCAAGAAGCCCTGTTGCAATGACCTCCACCTGGAAAACTTGAACTCCTTCTGGGTTGCACAGGCCCACCTGCCAATGCATTTATCCATTTATCCATCCACCCATCCATCCATTCATCCATCTACCCATCCATCCATTCATCTGTCTGTCTACTCATCTGCTTGTCTGTCCAAGCTCTTAGGCCTGTTGGAGGAACAAGGAGTCCAGTGTGGCTGCAAGAGGCAGTAGATAAGGTCAGAAAAGTAGGCAGAACTTCACTTAGATCTTATAGGTGGTAAGGAATTTGGACTAATCTCAATGGAAAGGTACTGGACAGGTTCAAGCAGGGGCGCTGATGGCATCTAATTTCCGCACTGCAACACCACTCTGGCTGCTGTGTGGACAAGGAACTCTATGGGGATGAGAAGGAAGGCAGGAAACCATTTAGGAGACTACTTCACTCATCCATGTGAGAGAAGAGGGCAGCCTGGATGAGTCATCACTCCAGAACAGACATCTCTCAGGTTCCACTCAGGGTACACAGGCTCACTCATGGCTGGCATTGGTTTATAGCCCCTTCTAACACAGTGATGTGGGAAGGGCACCCCGGAATACAACATCATCTGCCTGAATCCTTAAAATATTTAAGCATCCCAAATCACCCTCTAAGCAAAAAGTCTTCTTTAGGTTCCCAGAGGTTCAATTCTATGCAGTTTCGCTGCTTTTCATTTACCTCGAATGGTCCCAGCTGGATCTGGAAACAGATGTGTCAACACAATCCCTACTCATGAACGCTTCCCAGCCACCGGGAAACAGGTCATCAATTGTAATCTCCATGGAAAACCTGATTCTGTCAGAGCTTTGCAAACCCCACAGGCCTGGGCTATATCAGGGAGCAAGTTCCTGCTGGCAGTAAGAACACCAGACTTCCCCAAACTGGACCGACTGACACTGGAGAGAGGGTGAACTTCCCCAGTTCTCTGAAGTCCTGGCACACTTCCTGTGCTGTTAAATCATCCCCGGGTAAACCTGACCTTCCAGAATCTGTGAAAGCTAGCTACTTCATGATGAACCACCTTTCTGAGTTTATCAACCACTGTTACTTTTCTGGCTCCTACCCAGCCCCATCTGGGGAGCAATGCAGACCCAGCAATCCTGGCTTCTGGAAGCATTTGTCTTAAAAGAGCCAATTTCCTCTTGATGTCCATGATCAGCTCAGCTTCCAGCCAACAGACCAGATATTCTCTCCCATGACCCAGACCCACAGGATGCTACCTGCAGTACATGTGAAGTGTCCCTACTATGGGCCACTGTCCTGGAGGCATCCGCAGACCTGTCCACCATTCTGGCCCTATGGGGAAAATGGGTGGATGCCAACACATTGAGATCATTTGCAAGTGCACAGATACCCATGCACACACACATTGCTTGGCCAGAAGTTAGTTTAAGGAACTGGACCTCTGGGAAGAGTGTGGCTTGGGCAGGGATATTGGCTGTTTACAGACAGCTGCTATATGCTCAGCTATGCTCTGGGCTGCATCAGTTGGGGCTGCAGAAAGACAACAGCATAGTCCTCAACTGCTGATAATTTGATGTAGAGTTGGGGAGGTTGTCAGAGGGTTGACAGATAGTGGAGTCCATAGACTATGAAGACAAAGTGGAATTCACTCTGGAATTTACCCACTGAGGAGACCGCCCTTGGAGCTCTGTCCTCTCTGGGTAATGATCCTGCACAACACCCTCCACTTCAGGAGCTTTGTTTTTCCCGCATTCTTTCAATGGAAACAATGGCTTAGAGGAGTTCTGGAACTTCCTAGGTACAATGGAATTCCATCACACATAGAGTGAGGCTCTAGACTCAAAAATCCTGCTGAGCCTGGGCACAGAGGCTCATGCCTGTAATCCCAAAACTTTGGGAGGCTGAGGCAGGCTGATTGCTTGAGTCCAGGAGTTCGAGACCAGCCTGAGCAACATGGCGAAACCCCATCTCTACCAAAAATACAAAAAATTGGCCAGGCATGGTGGCATGCTCCTAGTCCCAGCTACTTGGGAGGCTGAGGTGGGAAGATTGCTTGAGCTTGGGAGGCGGAGGTTGCAGTGAGCCCAAATCATACCATTTCATTCCAGCCTGGGCGACAGAGCAAGACCCTGTCTCAAAACAAAAACAAAAACAAAAACAAATTCTGCTGAGACATGACTGCTGCTGAAAACCACCCAAAGTGCAGCAGAAATGATTTTGTGTAGTCAGTCTTCCCTAAAAGACTTCACTTGTACAACATGGACAGGATAGATTAAGAGCACATATGCAAAATATGAACCCATTGTACTATGTAAATTACTCCCTTTTCTGACAACCATGTATATTTTAATTTATAAATACCCATGCATTGAAGAAACATGACCAACTATATAGCATTTCTACAAGTTGATCAGGCTCAAACCCCATGACCCAGTTTCAAAACGATCTAGCTGGAAATTTCCAGCAGGAAATTATTTTCTTATAGTAACTTCAGAAACATTGAACGGGCCTGAAAGTGCCCTGCCTGCCTGTCCACAGTAGCAAAGCTACAAAAAAAGCATGCAGAGAGCCCCTGAATCCCGCACCAGAGACAGGATCTTTACCCCCCACAGTAGAGAGGAGAAGCCAACCTGAGAACGCAATTCGGTTTTTTGTTTGTTTGTTTGTTTGTTTGTTTGTTTTTGAGATGGAGTCTCACTCTGTCACCCAAGCTGGAATGCAGTGGCTTGATCTCGACACACTGCAACCTCTGCCTCTGGGGTTCAAGTGATTTTCCTGCCTCAGCCTCCCGAGTAGCTGGGATTACAGGAGCACACCACCACGCCCAGCTAATTTTTATATTTTTAGTAGAGTCAGGTTTTCACCAAGTTAGCCAGGCCAGTCTTGAACTCCTGACCTCAGGTGATCCACCTGCTATGGCCTCCCAAAGTGCTGGGATTACAGGCATCAGCCACAGGGGAACGCAGTTTTCTATGTTAATAAACTACTCTGCCACCCTCTGAGTGCTGTGTCCTGAGCACATTCCCTCTTCTTAACGTAGTTGAGGAGGTCTAGAATCCTTCTTTTGGAGTACAGGACACATTTCCGTATAACTGACTCCCTGACTCCCTGAAACTTCTTCCTGAAGGAGAGTTGGGCTACAAGGACTCCTTCTCCTAAAGCCAGCTCCTGAGAGTCCAAAACCTCTAAAAATTTCTCATCCTTACCGGGTTTCCTTCAAGACACCTTCAGCTTAGGCTTCAGGTCCACCCTGTGACAACTTTGCACTCTTTTTGTCCTGCCTTGGGGCATTGGGACCTGAAAGGCATTTTCTAGAGCCTTGTTGAAGAAGGAATTGCAAGTCAAAGCTCTGACCCAAGACAAAACCCAGAGATGGGTACAGCAGATTCAAGCAAGTTCCAGCCCATTCCTCAGCATGGACTCATTAGGCACCCACATGTGCGGGGTCGGAGGAGGTTTCAGGACAAGGGTCCCCCTGCGTGAATGGAGCGACGCCTTTGACATTGGCGTCCTTCCTGATGGACTTGGCCTTGGCTGCTCTCCATCTCTAGTAGGCCAGGGTGGGTGGAGGGGCCTCCCTGGGACATCACAGCCCCTCCCCGCTGAGGAGACCACCCTTGGAGCTCTGTCCTCCCTCTGTAATGGGCCTGCCTCTCCCTGCCAAGGTTTTAAAAGCATCTGGGCACAGGTGCGGGTGCTGCCAGCCTCCAGGGCTAATAAGAGGAAACTCGGCAGAGGAAAATGAGGCCGCGTAGCCACAATGCCATTATGTTTTCCCAGAACGTGCAATGCTCCCAAATAAATGTGTCTCCAGCATTATCACACCACAATATTCATACGGCTCATTACTGGTTTTAATTTTGCCCGTTGCTTATTTACTGTCTCCTTCCCCACTTTATTGCCGGGGTGGAAGAGTTATTCATCCAAGCCCAGCACAGAAGGGCCCCAAAGCGGAATTTCTCCAGAAGCCGCTGGCCCAGCGCTCAGGCCTCGCAGGCTCCAGCTCAAACCCACACAGCATCAGAGGTTCCCCTAGGCGGCCCTTCCTGCAGCTCCCTGCCACGTTGACTGACTGCTTTTCCTGCCTGGGGAATGAGCCCTTTCTCCTTTCTATGACCAAAAGCTGTGCGGCCACCTGCTACGCTGGATAGATGAGCCCATGACACCACCCAGTGATTGCCTGTGTAGTGTGAGGTCGATGACACCCACACGGGCCCCTTCACGTAGGCAAGCCGCTGTCATGTGCCCTCTGCAACCTGGGACTCCTGCCTGCTCTGCTGTGATACAGGGCTAGTGCCCTTCCTCCCTAGGCATGGCTCAGGTCCCAGAAGCCACACTCGTCACAGGTGGAAGGATGGCAGTGTTCTCTGAGCTGCATGGGGAACTGAGTGTGGCATTCCATCCCTGGAGACACCTCCAGAAAGGTAAAACCCTTGAAGGAAAGGATGCACACAATGACTTCATAAACATACTTTTAGAAAAAATTGGAATTAATGCTTTTTAACTCAAATTTGACAAGCACAGAATGGTATAAAGAAGCAAATCACTATACCTCTCTGCTCATCAACAGAAAACTCTTAAATTTTGGGGCTTTTATATTTGATCTTCTTTTACCTGTACTAAAAAAAAAGAAAGAAAGAAAAGAAAAAAAAGAAAACAACAGAATTCAGAACATAATCTTGTCCTAGAATCTCTTTTTTATTAAATCCCTCTTCCAAAATTATGAAGTCGGCCTGTGTTTTCTACAACCAGTGTTGAAAAACAGTGTTATTAGCATGTACTATCCCCTTCCATTATCGTATTTTTGTCCGTAAGCGATATATTAGCATAACGAATGTTGGAGAGGGAAGGAAGGAAGGAAGGAAGGAAGGAAGGAAGGAAGGAAGGAAGGAAGGAAGGAAGGAAGGAATACAGTAAAGAAGGAAGAAAAGAAACAAGAAGGAAGATAAAAAGTAAGGAGAGAAGGAAGGAGGGAGAAAAGGAGGAAGATAAGAAGGAAGAATGAAAGGCAGACAGGAAAACAGAATGAAGGACAGGAGGGAGGGAGGAAGGAAAGAAGGGAGAAATATTTAACAAAAGTTATATAGAAAAACAAAAGAAACAAAAAGGTTTCAAAGAAAATAAAAGACACAACAAAAATAGGCCTTCACTCTCATACATATATCATACGTTTTCATTTCTCTGTAACTTTTTTCCTCTCAGTGAATTATCATGGTCATCCCTTTGCGAAAAACAGATACAAAGCACTTTCTTCTCTCTCTCTCTCTCTCTCTCACTGCATAGTATTCTTTAGTCTTGACATGCTCAATGTATTCAATCATTCTCGTACTTATGAACATTCAGAAGATTTCTTCTCCCTCCTTCCTTTAAAAATAATGCTTTTATTTCCATAAGTTACAGCCATAAAGTAGAATTGCTGGGTTAAAGGACATGCATACTTTAATTTCAATAAATACTCTAAGACTACATTCCCAAAAGGCTGAAGCAAGTCACCATCCCACTGGCAATATATGAAGCGCCTATATCCTGGCATCTTTGTCAGCATTTAATATTATCATTCGTATATTTTTGTCAACTTGATGGTAAAACGTGTTATTTCAGTTTTACTGTAATTTTTACTTTCCCATTCACAAAGGTTGAGTATGTTCTCAAAAGTTTATTGACCCATTTGGATTTTCTTTTCTTGTGAATTGTCTATTGATAGTTTTTGCAAGGTTTGAAATTGGGTAACATGTCTTTTTCTTCTTTTGATTTGTAAATACTCTTTGCATATGATGCATATTAACTGTTCATCTGTCAGGCGTTGTAAATATTTTTCTCATTCTGTTTAACATTATGTCACACACAATTTCCCACATCTGTCAAGCCTCATTGTAAACATGTTTAATGCCTGCAAAATATTCCCAAGTGGGAGGATATCGATTCACCATCCTCTAGCTATTGTTGGACACTTAGAAGTTTCTTGCTCTCTTTATGGTTTTATGAACGATTTTGTGGGAACCTCTGAGCTTAAATCTTGCCCACGTTTTGTGTTATTTCTATAATGCAATTTAGTACATTTTGAAAATAGTTTTATTTGTAAAAGTAAAGTCATTAAATCAAAAATATAAGCATTTAAAAGCTGTTGATGCATATTGTGAAATTGCTTCTTAATTGACTATTTATTCTTCCCCTAACTCCACACTCAGTCTCCTTTGCTGGCACTGGGAATTGCATTTCTTAAAAATGTATGCCATTGATGGCTTGAAAGAGTATCATAATATTGTTTTAATTGTTATCCTTTTTTTTACCTTTGAAGATCTTGATTTTTAATGTATATGAATTCTATATGTTTGTAGGTTAAAAATCCTTAGTTATATTTGTAGGAAAAATATTCCTGGTTATGATTTCAACTTATGACTTTATTGACAGATAAGATATTTACATCTTATAGAGTCAAATCCATTGGTCCACTGTAATTTTTTTCATAATGTTAAGCTTAGTCCTCTGCTAGCCAAGAGATCATTTCAATATGCACTGATGTTTTCTAGTTTGTTGTGTTTCAATTTCTATTTGACATTTAACATTTTAATCTGTTTTATCTCATTTTGGGGTATGGTGCAAATATAAAATCTGCTTCTTTAACCTAGGTAGTTTTCCATCAAATTCAGTGCCATTTGGAAAATACTCCTTAAATATCAATCCCTTCTAACGAAATTGTTTTGGAGCTCTCTGGTCTGCATTTTAGATTTGTATACTTCTTTTAGTATTAGTATCTAATTAATTTAAGGATTTTTGCATCATAATACATTTTATCTGGCTTTGCAAATTCTCCTTCCTCCAATTAATTTTTGGTTTAATTTTATTAACTGGTGCTTGTCCATCTAATTTCTCCTAGGTATAATTTAGAAATATTTTGTTCCTTGCCCCCACCCCCACAAAAAAATCCTTCCCACACTTCGATTAAGATTACATTGAACCTCAATCTAACTTGAAGATAATTTAGACATTCAGTCCCCTCATTTGGCTGTAGCTATATTTATAGCTGTCTTTAACTGAAAGGTTTTTTTTTAATCTTTATCGTTATTCGTTTCTATTTTCTTCAACTACATTCTACACCAGTCTTCTGAAAACTTTTTCTGGGCCAGGCGCGGTAGCTCATGACTATAATCCCAGCACTTTGGGAGGCTGAGGCAGTCAGATCACCTGAGGTCAGGAGTTTGAGACCACCTTGACAAACATGGTGAAACCCTGTCTCTACTAAAAAATACAAAAATTAGCCGGGCATAGTGGCGCATACCTGCAACCCTAACTACTTAGGAGGCTGAGGCAAGAGCATCTCTTGAACCCAGGAGGTGGAAGTTGCAGTGAGGTGAGACCATGCCACTGTACTCCAGCCTGGGTAACAGAACGAGACTCTGTGTCAAAAAAAAAAAAAAGGAAGAAAAAAAGAAAGGAAGGAAGAAGGGAAGGAACAAAGGAAGGAAGAAGAAAAAGAAAAGAAAAACTTTTTCTGGATGCTTATATTTGTGATTTTTAAAATTGATTATTGGTGGCCTGGTGTGGTGGCTTACGCCTGTAATCCCAGCACTTTGGGAGGCCTAGGTGGGTGGATCACAAGGTCAAGAGATTGAGACAATCCTGGCCAACATGGTGATACCCCGTCTCTACTAAAAATACAAAAATTAGCTGGGTGTGATGGTGCGTGCCTATAGTCCCAGCTACTAGGGAGGCTGAGGCAGGAGAATTGCTTGAACCTGGGAGGTGGAGGTTGCAGTGAGCTGAGATCATGCCACTCCAGCCTGGCAACAAAGCGATACTCTGTCTCAAAAAAAAAAAATTGATTATCTGCTATTAGGTTAAAAAAGGAACTTCTGCATGTCTGTTAAGAGTATAATTATCATATAATTATAATTATAGAGCATTGGTGATCACATTGATTTCATTGGTGTCGAAAATACTAAAATTATTAGTCCAATTAATAATACAATTATAAATAACATCAGTAACAGTAAAACTGTCACCACATCTGAGATTCTTTTAAAAATAGTGTTTTGCATATTCTTCTAAGATGCCACAGAAGTTTGTGGTTAGTTTTTGATTTAAAAGCCTTGACTCTTGACCTATTAAATAGGTGAACACTTTGCCAGGGTTTTAAATTAGGAAACTTTCAAATTAGGAACCAAATTTTTCTAAGACTGTAGAGATTTCTAGTCCTCTTTAAATTTTCTCAGAAAGAGATTTCTGTGCTCATTGCTGACAGAAGTTGTCACTTCACTGACGTCATCGGTGGAATTGAGGACGAATGTAACACTTTGTGATCTGATGGTTTCCCTGGACACATTTCAGCCCTACAAGTTGAGAGAAAGTGAGTGCCCACAGTCAGGGGAGGCGCCTGGTGGCTGCAGCCAGCCTTCGTGTGCACAGGCGTGGAGAAGACGTCCTCTCCAATGGGTAGGGGAATAAAGATCGCAGTTAACAGAATCACATAGCCAGCACTGCCTGAGTGCTGATCGTGACCAGCCAATGCTCTAAGGGCGTGGTGTGCACCATCCCTGTAATCCTTTTCCAGCTTTATTGAGGTTTAATAGACAAATAGAAATTCTGTATATTTAAGATGTATCTCTGATGTTAATATAAATATACAATGTGAAATCACCACCACAATCAAGATAATTAGCATATCTATCACCTCACATAGTTACTCTTTTCCTACTTTATTTTTTTTATTTGTGGTAAGAACATTTAAGATCTATATATCTACGTTGTGCACAATAGCCAAGATATGAAAACAACCTAAATGTCCATCGATGCATGACTGGATAAAGAAATTGCAATATATACATACATACATATGTACACACACACACACAATGGAATATTATGCAGCTGTTTAAAAGAAGGAAATCCTGCCATTTGCAAGAACATAGATGTAACTGGAGGACATTATGCTAAGTGAAGCAAGCTAGACACAGAAAGACAAATGTTGCATGATTTTTCTTATATGTGAAAACTAAAAAAACAAACAAACAAACAAAAAATGTTGAATGCATAGAACCAGAGCTGGGGAGACGTAGGTCAAAGGGTATAAAGCTGCAGTGATGTACGACGAATAAATCTAGATGTCTAAATACAGCATGAAGGCTATAGTTAACAATACTCTACTGTATTGAAAACTAAGACAGTAGCTTTTGGGTGCTCTTACCACAAAAAAAGGTCACCATGCGAGATGATATGTATATTAATTGGCTTCACTGTAGTAACCATCTCATTAAGCAAGCATATATCAGACATCACCTTAAGTATACACAATTTTAAAAAAAAAGAAGAGGAGCTTGAAGCTTGCTAAGGTTTTGTCTGCCTAGGTACACACAAAACAGTAAGAGACAAATAGCAGGACTTGACACTAGCCACTCTGCAGTCTCCCTCAAAAGACACATTGCCTAGTTCTTTTTCATTTTGTTGTGGATATATATATACACACACATATATATGTGTGCATATATATGTGTGTGTGTAGATATATATAGATGTGTGTGTAGATATATATAGGTGTGTGTGTATATATGTGTGTGTGTAGATATATATAGGGGTGTGTGTATGTAGATATATATAGGGGTGTGTGTATATATGTGTGTGTGTAGATATATGTAGGTGTGTGTGTATATATGTGTGTGTAGATATATATAGGTGTGTGTGTAGATATATGTGTGTAGATATATATAGGGCTGTGTTTGTATGTGTGTGTAGATATATATAGGTGTGTGTGTATATATATATGTGTGTGTAAATATATAGGTGTGTGTATATATGTGTGTGTGTAGATATATAGGTGTGTGTATACATATATGTGTGTGTATATATAGGTGTGTGTATATATATGTGTGTGTATATATAGGTGTGTGTATATATGTGTGTATATATATAGATGTGTGTATATATGTGTGTGTGTGTAGATATATGTAGGTGTGTGTATATATGTGTGTGTGTAGATATATAGGTGTGTGTATATGTGTGTGTGTAGATATATATAGGTGTGTGTATATGTATATATAGATATCTAGATATATGTATCTATAAATATAGATATATATAGGTGTGTGTATATGTGTGTGTAGATATATATAGGTGTGTGTATATATGTGTGTGTAGATATATAGGTGTGTATATATGTGTGTGTAGATATATATAGGTGTGTGTAGATATATATAGGTGTGTGTAGATATATATAGGTGTGTGTATATATGCGTGTGTAGATATATATAGGTATGCACATATATGTGTGTGTAGATTATACAGGTGTGTGTATATATGTGTGTGTGTATATGTGTGTGTGTGTATATATCTATTACCAAGTTATCCATGTCTACATGCTCTGTTCTGTGGCATTAAGCACATTCACATTGTATACAGCCATCACCACCATCTATATCTATGTCCAGGGTTTTTTCATCTTCCCAAATTGAAACTCCATAACCAGTAAACAATAACTTCTCATCTCCGACTCTACCTGGCCCATGGTAACCACCATTGTCCTTTCTGTCTCTATGAATTTGGCTACTCTATGGACATCCCATAAATGGAATCATACATCTCATAAATGGAATACAATCATACCTTGTTCATTTGTATCTGGCTTGTTTCACTTAATATCTTCAAGAGCCATCCATGTTTTTGTCAGAATGTCCTTCCTCTTTAAGGCAGAATCGTATGTCATTGTATGTCTACCCCACATTTTGCTTATCTATTCATCCACTGGTGGACGTCTGGGCTGCTTCCACCCTTTGGCTATTGTGCCACGCCTAGTTCTTGTCCATGCGTTGGCCTGATGCTTGGGAGCCAACCTGGTTTCTTGGCAGCCTCTGTTCCTTGTCCCCACTTGGCAACATGGCATGGCCCATGCGGGGAAGAGCTGCGCGATATGGGGAGAAGCAAAGGGTAAAGGATTCCATGCAACAATCACTAGAGGCGCACTGATTTGTTGCCAAACAGTGTGCTAGGCCCAGTAGAACCATGGAGAAAGACAAGGCACCATTTACAGGCTAGTAAGATGCGCAAACTCCAGACCATAATTCAAGAAAAAACAAACAAACAAAAAACGCTGCTGTTGAGGCACTGGAGAGAGATGGTTTAATTCCACATTGGAGAGGGTTGAGTCAGAGGGGCTTCATGCAAGGGTGGATCTTGATGGGAGCTTGAATGCCGATTGGGATTTAATAAATAGAAATGGAGGGAAGAGTATTTGCCTAAAGGAGACTATATGAGCAAAACCACAAAACTCAAACGTGGAGAAGGTGAAGATACGAGTTCGGAGGAGCACAGTAGTCCTGTTTCGTTGCGCAGGAGCACAGTCAACTTCTAACGTCAATTACGACCTGAACTTGGGAACTTGTTAAAAATAGCAGTCCTCCCCACTTCGTTCCTCTTTCTCTTAGATAAAACCAAGTCTGCATCTATTGAGAATAAAGGCAGTAGGTCAGATGAAGAAGCTGTGTCTGGGAAATTATCTCGTGAATTCAAGCAATTAGAGAGGAGGAGAGGTGGTAAACTTCTGTAAAGCTGTTTTGCAAACTAAGTCAGACATTCAAGAAAGCAGGTTAATGGTGCATCCAGTGACAACGATGTCAGGGTATATATAGATCTATACCTGCCCGAGCTCACTACAGAATATTGTCACACTCTAGTGGACAGCATGTTCATGTCTGCTCAGCATCTATTTCCCTGTGTTTGGTAATGCCCCTTGGATTATCCCTGTGCTTTAGGTAAGGCTAATCCTACCTCACTGGCTCGTAGCCACAGGTTATGGGTTCAGGGATGAACACGTTGATCCCGGCAGGGCCAGTGGGACTCAAGCCAAGAACTTCCGTTGCAAACGAATGAAAAAGATAAGCTGCTTTTCCGTGGATTTGCCAAGCTTATGGAAGACAAGCTTGGAGCTGCTGAAGGTCAACTTGCAGAGGCTACTCATGAAGAAAGCCAAGAATCAGAGAGAGACAGGCTCCTGGATCCAGTCATGCCTGAAGACACAGCCCTGGATGTATCAGTTATGTAACAAAATATAATAACTCGCAAAATTCGTTTGTCTATCTTTTTATGCTGGTCAGGGTATGTTTTCTGTGACAGAAGGAGTCCTAATTATATATATCTATTCCCTGCAGAAGTATCCTTTCAAATTCTATGAGCAGAGCCAAGGCACAGGACAGAATTGGCTGCATCAGCCCAAAAGATTACTCAGCCAGGTATATCAGAAGCAGAATTCTGATGAAATATGTATGCAGATAATTTTAAAATATTTTTTATATATGAATCTATTTTAGTCTGAATACTCTCAAGGTGTGTACACAGTTTGAGTTCACCAGATAATGTACCAAATCCAGCTTCTTCAGCTGATCCACTGCTTCTGTTCTCAACAGACACAGACTTTAATCTCATGTAAGGGGAAGAGGAGGAAGTGGAAAGTACACTATCTTTCAGCAAGTCCCCAAGCCAAGGTCACACTCACCTAAGAAGTTAATCACTCATTCTGCAGTTAATAAATCACCTTCTGCAAAATTTTGGTAAAAGTGTGGTTTATTTAACATATATAATAGAAATTAAGAAATAAAATTATCTTTATTTGCAGGTAACATAATTGTCTACATAGAAAATCTAAGGAATATACAAAGAAGCTACTAGAAGTAATAAGTGAGTTTAACAATGTCACAGAATATATCAATAAACAAAATAACAACTGTATTTACATATTGTAGCAACAAATAATTGGAAATTAAAGCTTTATAATATAATTTATTGTACTAACAATATCAAATATACATAAAGATAAATTTAACAAAATATGTGTGGGACTAGTAAACAGAAATTACAAAACATTGCAAAAAAAAGACCTGACAAAAAATATATACTATCTTCATAGACTTATTATTTTTAACTTGTTAGTTCTCCCCGAGTTAAGTTACAGGTTTAAAACAATATCAATTAAAATTCTAGCAAGCTTTTTAAATTAATGTAAATTGACAAAGTGATTCTAAAATTTACTTGTGAAGGCAAAGGCCCTAGAAAAGCCAGAACAATTTTATAAAGAACAAGTTTAGAAGTGTAAGAATACCTTATCTCAAGGTTTAATACAAAGTAACAGTAAACATTATGGTGTGGCAGGGGCAAAGGAATAGCTGTATAGATCAATAAAACAGAAAAGAATGTCCAGATATAGCAGACCCATACATATGTGGTCAATTTATTCTTGACAAAAGAGCCAACGTGATTTATGGGGAAAGAATAATCTCTCAACAAATGACAATTAAACAATTGGATATGTATATGGGGGAAAAAATCACAACCCTAAAAGAACTTGAAGTGGATGATGTACCTAAGTGTACAAACTAAAATTAAAAAACTTCTAGAAAAAAAAAAAAAGATAAGTATAAACCATTGTGACCTTGGGTTAGGCAAAGAATTTTAAGATACAAAATGTGCAAATCAAAAGAAAATATTGGGGCCTGGTGTGGTGTCTCACGCCTATAATCCCAGCACTTTTGAAGGCCAAGGTGGAAGGATTGCTGCAGCCCAGGAGTTGGAGACCAGCCTAGGAAACATAGTGAGATACCATCTGTACAAAAAAAGGGAAAATATTGATAAAATGGATTTCATCAAAGTTAAATACTTTCAACTCTTCAAAATATATAATTTTAAAAATGAAAAGGCAAGTCACTGGCAAGGAGAAAATATTTCCAATATGCAATATAAGTCTTGTGGTCCAGCATGGTGGCTCATACCTATAATACCAGCACTTTGGGAGGCCAAGGCAGGAAGATGGCTTGAGGCCAGGAGTTTGAGACCAGGATGGGCAACATAGCAAGATCCTGTCTCTAAAAAAAAATTAAACAAAAAAAAGAACTTGTATCCAGAATATGTAAAGAGCTCTTAGATCTCAATGATAAGAAGACAAACAATCCAATGAAAAATAGGCAAAAGATTGGGACAGGTACTTCCCAAAGAAGATATACGAATGGCCAATAAGCACAGAGAAAAAAGCCCAACATCGTTAGTCAACAGACAAAGGCAAATTAAAGCCACAATGATGTATCACTTGGCAAAAATTAATAAGACTAAAACTACAGGCATAGGCAACAAAAAAAGCATCAAATTAGACTTCATGAAAACTAAAACATTTCGTGCATGAAAAGAAACTATCAACAGAGTAAAGAGAGATGTGACATTGTAAGATGTATATTTGGTCTTTGACACAATTTCCTGATACACAACTTCTAAGATCCTTAGAATCTCAAAAGTGATGGTCTTTTTGTATGCTAATGATTGACTGGTGGCTGGGGGTCCCTAGGAAGCTTCAGGATGGGGGCTGGTCACTGGAAAAACCAAAGACAGGATTAGAGGAGGGTTAGGACTTTCAGTCCCACCCACATTATCCAGAGAGGGGAGAGGTGTCGAAGGTTTGAGTTGGTCACAATGGCCAATGGTCAGTGGTTTAATCAATGCCTGTGTATTGAAGCCTCCAGAGAAACCCAAAAGGACAGGGATCAGGGGGCTTCCAGTTAGTGGAACACCTGGAGGTTTCTGGAAGGTGGCATGACCAGGGAAGGCATAGAATCTCTGCACCTCTTCCCCTACATCTTGCCCTACACATCTTTTCATCTGCACACTTTGCAATATCCTTTACAAAAAATAGGTAAAAGTTTCCCTGATTTTTGTGAGCCACTCTAGAAAATTAGTTAACCCCAAAGAGGAAGTCATGGGAGCCTCAACTTGAATGCCATCAGTCAGAAGTTTCAGAGGTCCGGACTTAACAACTCGTATCTGAAGAGGAGGTAGTCTTGTGGGACTGAGCCTGTGGGATCTGATGCCGTCTCCAGGTCGACGGCATTGGAATTGAATTAGAGAACACCCAGCTGTGTCCACTGCAGAATGGATTGCTTGTTTGGTGTGTGGGGAAAAACTTCCACATATTTGATGACAGAAGACTTCTGTGTTGATTGATATAGGGGGAGAGCAGAGGAAGAAACAGCTTGAGGTTTTCTCCCCTCAAAAGGCAATCCACATAATGGGAGAAAATACTTGCAAATTATATATCTGATAAAAGATTAGTATCCCTATTCCACAGAGAACTTCTAAAACTCAACAGCAAAAACCAACCTGATTAAAAAATAAGCAAAGGAATTGAAAAGGCATTTCTCCAATGAAGATATACTAATGGCCAATAAGTACATGAAAAGATGCTCAATATCACTAATCATTAGGGAAAGGCAAATCAAACTACAATAAGATACCAACTCACACCTGTTAGGAGGGATACTATTAATATAACAGAAAATAAGTACTGGCGAAGATGAGAAAATGGAATTCTTGTGCACTGTTCTTGGGAATGCGAAATGGTTTAGCCAATGTGGAAAACAGTATGGTAGTTCTTCAAAAGACTAAATACAGAATTACCCTATTCAGATTCAACGATTCCGTTTCTGAGTATATAACCCAAAAGACTTGAGAGCAGGGTCTTAAAGAGATATTTTTGCACACCCATGTTTCGAGCAGCATTATTCACAATAGCTAAAACATGACAGCAACCCACAGTCATTGATGAATGAATGGATAAGCAAAATGTGGTTTATGCCTACAATGACTTATTATTCAGCCTTTTATAAAAGGACATCTGACACATACTACAACATGGATGAACCTTGAGGGAGTTATACTAAGTGAAATAAACCAGTCACAAAAAGAAAAATACTGTATAATTTCACTTCATAAGGCAGAATAGTCAAAATCTTAGAAACAGAAGGTAAAATGGTAATTGCTGGGGCTGGGGAAGGTGGGAATAGGGAGTCGCTGTTTAATAGGTACAGAGTTTCAGTTTTGAGAAATTAAAAGAGTTCTCGAGATGATTGGTGGTGATGGCTGCACAACCATATGAATGTGCTTAGTACTACTGAATCGTGCACTTAAAAATGGTTAAGATGGTCAATGTTATGTTATGAATATTTTTCCACAATGTTTGATTGAAAATATCAAATGTAGGAGAGAAAGGGGAGTAACTGGAACCCTTATTTGTTGCTGGTGGGATATAAAACAATCTATTTGGAAAACAGTTTCTTACAAAATTACACATATTTGTCCAGTGTATTGAATTCAGAATATTTTATTGAATATATTTACCCAGCATATTAAACACATACCTAACATTTCCCATTAAAATGAAGACATATGTCCACACAAAAATGCTTACACACATGTCCATAGAAGCTTTATTTGATGGATCAAAATGGAAACAACAGAAATATCCATCAATAGGTGAATGGACAAATTGTGTTATATCCATATAATGGAATATCACTCAATTAATAAAACTGAATGATCCTCATGAATCTTATAATCATTATTTTTGGTGACACAAAAGGTTGCACATTGTATGAGTCCGTTTATAGAACATTCTGAGAACAAACAAAAAGCCAGGGACAGTGGTGAGGAGAAGAATTGAAGCAGGTGGCATGAGGACACTTTTTGCAGTGGTGTGAATATTCATATCGCGATTGTGTTGGTGGTTACAGAACTGTATATATTAGTCAAAGGCCATAGTGCTCTTCATCCAAAAAGGTGACTTTTTGGTAC
This sequence comes from Homo sapiens, assembly GCF_000001405.40. NCBI lineage: Eukaryota > Metazoa > Chordata > Mammalia > Primates > Hominidae > Homo > Homo sapiens. The sequence continues at coordinate 31,754,231 of NC_000019.10, forward strand.
AAAAAAGTATATGCAAGAAATCTGGGTTTTAAAAAGAGTCTCAAAACAAGTATATAGAGAAAATTTAAAGTTTTTTGGGGGAAAAATGCAAACCTGTGTTTCTGGATTAAAAAAAACTCAAAGATGCTCATTGTTTTAGTCCATTTTGTTGTTCTTAGTCCATGTTGCTATAAAGGAATACCTGAGACTGGGTAATGTACAAAGAAAAGAGGTTTCTTTGGCCCATGGTTCCGCAGGCTGTACAAACATGGCCCCAGCATCTGCTCAGCTTTTGGTGAAGCCTCAGGAAGCTTTTACTCAAGGCAGAAGGTGGAGGGGGAGCAGGTGTGTCTTATGGTAAGAGAGGAAGCAAGAGAGCAAGGAGCAGGTGCCAGGCTCCTTTAAACAACCAGCTCTCATGTGAACACACAGAGCGAGAACTCCCTCATCATGGCGGGGAGAGCACCAAGCCATCCATCAGGAATCCGCCCCCAATGACCTAACACCTCCCATCAGGCTCCACCTTCAACATCAGAGGTCACATTTCAACAAGAAATTTGGACGCACACACATCTAAGCCATATCACTAATTCTTTCCAAATTAACGTATTCGACTTTTGTGATTCTAAACAAATCTTAACAGAACTTTGTGGGGGACAGATGAAACTTGACAAAACGATTCTCAAATTTACATGGGAAAGTTAATTGCTTATAATGCCAGAGAAAGTTGAGTAAAATAAAATAATGAGGGAAAACTATTTTTTTTTACTCCACATACACCCGTGTGTAGTGATTTCCAACCTGGGTTATGTGTGCATGTGTGTGTGTGTGTAAATGTGTGTGTGCACATAGGTGTGTACATTTATTTTGTTGTGGGCAACAGTCACAGTTTGAAGAAAGGATAAAATGGTGGTTGCTAAGTCCTATTGTTCTTTGTTTTTAAAAATAATATAGTTTTTAAATTATGCAGTAAATGATGAAGAGATTCTTTTATGCATCTGAAAAGATAAAAAAATGAGCTTAATTTTTTTAAAAGAAAGCCTTCTTTACCCAAAGTAACTGAATTAAATAACGGGATGAATGTAATTTTTTTACATGTCAGGAAATAAAGTAAATATTTACCTAAACTTGAAATGTAAACTAATTTTAAAGAATGGTGGCAAAAATATGATGCTTTTCAACCTCTATTCTTTTTGCTTCTCTGCGCACAGTGATGTGCTCAGGCGTCATGCTAAGCATTTGGGCAGAGGGTTCCACAATAAAAGAAGTTTTTCTTTTTTTTTTAAATTTGCCTTTCTTTCTATATAGAATTCAACAATATATAAAATTATAAAGAAAAAAGTAAGAATCCTCTGAAGTCTCACACCTTTGAAATAACCATTAATAACACTTGGAATAAGCTTTTTATTATAGATTTTCTTTATTCATAGAAACATACATATGTGTAAACTTTGTAAAAATGGAATAATATCACACGTGCTCCATGCTCACCCTTTCTAACAACCCACATATTTCTTCATACTCCTATAATTCTATGAACACCTATACACAAAATTCTCCAAAATTCTATTTGTATGTGTACATGCATTTATATACATGTACTCTTTGGAAGATTTTCTATTATTTGATTTACAGGAATGGAATATCTTCCATTCTTTCTGCATTTTAATTTCTTGCTTAACAATACCTTATAGCAGCTCCTCAAAGTCACAGAGTGTAGCTCGAATCCCTTCTTTGCCCTGGCTCCATGCCATTCCATACTGAAGGCATAGTCCTCTCTTTTTGGCCATTTTGGTTGGTAAGCATTTGCTCTGTTTTCAGTTTTGGGGCCAGTGCAAACGATGCTACAATAAACCTCTGTATGCCTGTCCTTATGGATTTGTTCTTTCAGTTCCATGGGGTAATTTCACAGGAGGGCAATTGTAGGGTTGGATGGTAGATATATTTTTTAATGTTGAAATGATGTTGCCAGACTGCATTCCCAAAAGGTTATTTTCACCAGCAACCTGTGACAATATCTCCTTTCTTCAAGCCTGTCAATATTAGTCAATAGTACATATTTTTATTTTTGAATATAAAATATCATTATTCATCTAAGTGACATTTCTTTGACCACTGTTGAATTACCTTAAATGTCAAAACAGTAAAACATTTCAATATCAAGAATTATACAGAAATATTGACAGTGACTATTGGTAGCATACATTTTTCTTGAATGTCCTACCATAGCACTGTCTGGTAAAAATTTCTGTGATGGGCCAGGTGTGGTGGCTCACACCTGTAATCCCAGCATTTTGGGAGGCCAAAGCAGGTGGATCACCTGAGGTCGGGGGTTCGAGACCAGCCTGGCAAATGTGGCAAAACCCTGTCTCTACTCAAAGTACAAAAATTAGCCAGGTGTGGTGGTGCACACCTGTAATCAAAGCTACTCGGGAAGCTGAAGGAGGAGAATAGCTTGAACCTGGGAGGTGAAGGTTGCAGTGAGCCAAGATCGCACCTCTGCACTCCATACTAAGGGACAGAAGGAGACTCCATCTCAAAAAACAAACAAACAAACAGACAAACACATTTCTGCAATGATGGGAATGTTCCATATTCTGTGTTACCCAATATGATAGTCACTAGCCACAGGCAAGTATTGAGCACTTGAAATGTGGCTATTGTGAGGGATTGAATTTTTATTTTATTTCATTTAAATTCAAATATCCAGATGTCCCTTGTGGCTACTATATTGGATAGTCCAGTTCTAGAAAATACAAGTTAAAAGATTAAAACATTGAAATATGCACTTATCTTTTTTCTGATATATCTAAAAATCTCATGATATTTTATTAAGAAAAAAACTACTAGAAATAATAAGAACTTTTTTCAGGTAACTACATATAAGCTAAATATACAAAAATCAATAGCTCCTTTACTTAGTACTAAGCACTTGGAATATAAATTAGGTAAAAGTTCATATACACTAACAACAAAAATGGCAAAATGCTAAAGAATAAATTTAATGGAAAAGCTATATAACATATCCAACACAAATTTTAAATTGTAATAAAAAGAATAAAACAAAACCAAATACCTAGAAACGTATACTATACTCTTGGACAAGAAGATATATTATCATATACATCAATTCATCTAAAATTAACTTATAAATTTTATCAATTCTAACTAGATTTCCAAGAGGTTAAAATGATCCTTGAATTCATATTGAAGAATATACCTAAAATGTACTAAAAATATATAAGAATAAAGTGAGTGAGGCTTAATTTATGCACTACTGTTATCTTCTCAAGAGCCATTGTAGTAAAGTTAACATGGTGTGGACGTAAGAAGAGACAAATTGGTTTATGGAAATTAATTAAAAATCTAGAATTTGATCCCAGTATATGCAAAGTTAAGAGCTGACAAATATAGAGTTTTACTTAATGTGAAAAAATAGACCATTTAATGAATAATGCTGGCAAAATTCATTATCTTTATAAAATAAAATTTTAAACTTTTATTCCATTACCATAGGCAACAATAAATTTCAAGATAAAAGGCTCAGATAAAACAAAAGAATCTTATGATAAAAATCAGAAGACACTCATACAATCCAGGGGTCAATGTAGTCTTCCTAAATAAGAATAGAAACTCAGATTCTTAAAAATTAAAGGGAGGTTATATCTCTCTTAATATAAATTTAAAGCATTTGTTTGACAAAATACACAGTAAACGAAGTCAACACACAAATGATACTGTAGAAAATAATCTTTGAAACAAGGCTAATCTCCACACTGCATAATAAAAACTCAAGCAAACTAATCAGAAGAAGGCAAACAAGCCAATTTCAAAAAGAAAATAAGGAGGAATCATGATGAGAAAATTTACAAATCTAACCCAGACCCTGAACAAAATTAGAGAAGATGTACAAGTCCCCTCTTGTTGACGTCCTCGACTAGCTCTGCCTCTCCTTTGTTTCTGGTGTTCGTCTACAGTTTCTAGGAACATAGGAGAAAAATCATCACTGCCACAGCAACAGAATGCAGAGGAACATATGATAGGTTTCCCATTATTCAGATTGACAACTGCATGTCAAATAATCAAAAGCAAAAGATCAGACCTGTAATTCCAGTACTTTAGGAGGCTGAGGCAGGAGGATCGCTTGAGGACAGAAGTTCAGGACCAGCCTGGGCAATATAGCAAGACCCCATCCCCAAATAAAAATAAACAAAAATTAGCTGAGCATGGTGGTGCATACCTGTAGTCCCAGCTACTCAGGAGGCTGAGGTGAGAGGATGGCTTGAGGCTAGGAGTTGGAGGTTGCAGTGATCCGTGTGCATGACACTGCCCTGCAGCCTGGGTGACAGAGCAAGAGCCTGTCTCAAAAAAAAAAAGAAAAAAGAAAAAGCAAGTCGCTTGTTTCGGATACGCCCACTGAGCAGACACACCGCCTTCACCAGGTATTTTTAATTCTGTGGGCCAGATAAGGAGGGTGAACACCATCTTACAGCTTACACCAGAGCCAGATCCCCTAAATCTACTACAGATGCTGCGGTCTCAGAGCCTTGGTAAACTGGGCTTCAAAGGGGCCTAAGGACCTGTCTTCCTCAACCCTTGCTTGGACCTGCTTGAACTCCTTCCCTCAGCCTCCCTGATGGGTGATTGTCCAACGTCCATTTGATCATCAGCCCCAATTAGTAAGGAACTCACTCTCCCCGACAATGTAAGAAGAAAGGCTTTCTCATTCTGAACCCACAATTGCTTCCCTCCAAGTTCTGTGTTCTCAGACCCCCAAATCTCCCAGGGGGTTCCTGTCATCTGCACAGCAGGGATGCTTTATTCTATGGGAATCTTTGAGCAAGTCTGACCAGTGGGATAAACGCACGTTTGGCCTCGCCTTGGACAGATGGCCGTGGTGAGTTTCCGTAACATGCCAACACCTCACCTGATCCTCAGAGGTGGCCATCTCTGGGTCTCACTCAGCTCCTGAACTATCCAGGTCACCACACTCACCTAAGACAAGGTAGAAAAATCAACTTCTAAGCCCCAACTTAGATGCGCTTCATCAGCGTCCCTGGGCTCATCGGTCCGGCGTTCGTATTTCAAAATGCTCCCAGGTGATTCTGACCCTCAGCTGGTTTTGAAAAGCCCTAGCTCAGAGGAGCTCAAACCCAGGCATCTTCAGAAAACTACCAACACACTTTGATTAGGATTGGAAATCCCAACTTTCTGGCTACCGATAGTGTTAAACTGCTGATGTTTCCCATGGCCCTTTCTTGTTTGTAAATTACGTTCTCCAAAACCGAATTTGAGAGTCATAACAGCTCATCAAGGGATGCTTCTTACCTATGAAGACAGTGAGTCACTGAGCCCTACTGGGTGTAACAGTTTCAGGACACCATATGTGCAAATCAGCCACTTTCTTTCTCTAGAACTTAACTTACTCCTACCTTGAACCTAAGTTCTGAGTCAACAGTCAGTTCCATTTTTTTTTTTTTTTTTAGATGGAGTTTCACTCTTGTTGCCCAGGCTAGAGTACAATAGCGTGATCTTGGCTCACTGCAACCTCAGCCTCCCAGGTTCAAGCGATTCTCCCGCCTCAGCATCCTGAGTAGCTGGGATTACAGGCGCCCTCCACCACACCCGGCTAATTTTTTGTATTTTGAGTAGAGATGGGGTTTCAGCATGTTGGCCAGGCTGGTCTCGAACTCCCAGCCTCAGGTGATTACCCACCTCAGCCTCCCAAAGTGCTGGGATTACAGGTGTGAGCCACTGCGCCTGGCCAGTCAGTTCAAATTTAAACTCAGCCCATTCCGATGTCTCCTCTCTGTCCTCCAACCATATGGGTGGAGGAAGACAAAGCAGTTTTGAGCTTTGGTCAGCCTCTGTCCATGCACATCTGCTGAGCTGAGCATGGGTCTTTTCTGTTCTTTGCTGATATCCAGTTCACTAATGGATCAGCAGAGATGTGTATACCTCCCCTATGGTGCCTGACCCCTGGTCCTTGGTGTGCTCTTGAGCACCCACCAGGATCAGGAGGCCCCACAGGAAGGCCAGCCCACCCCCACCTATTCTGTAAGCACTTCTTAGGGCTGTGGAAAAGCAGCTGCCCCTCACACCTTTAGGGGATGGCAGGAGCTGTGAGGCTCCCCTCTGCTGGGATCACCTTGCTCCCAGGCCAGGGTGTGGAGCCACTTGGGGCCTCCCACTTCACAGCTTCTCCTTGGGAACTGAGACCCAGGGATTCTGTGTTCTCAGACCCCCAAATCTCCCAGGGGGGTCACCTGCTCACAGATACTTAACCGAGGAGAAGGAGATGGATGCCCTGTCCCTTCCATGTGGCTTTCTCTCAGTTCACCCCCTTTTCTTTGGAGTGAGAAGTGGGCATTGGCACAGCAAATATTCTTTGCTTATTTTTAGGCTAAAATGTTAACCTTCGGAAGCTCAAAAGGTTAAAATAAATAATAACTGCATGTGTCTCCCTTTGAATTCCTGCTCTAGGTGTATTCCTTGGGGTAGGGGGGAGTAAAAAGACCATGGAAAATGAAGAATAGAAGAGATTGCTAAGACTAGTGGTTTTTTTTTTAAAAGAATATCAGTAGAGTGACTCTAGTTAACAATACTCTGTGGCATATCTTAAAATAGCTAGACAAGAATAATTCAAATGTTCCCAGCATAAAGAAAAGATAAATATTTAAGGTGATGGATACCCCAATTATCCTGATTTGATCTTTACACATTACATGAATGTGTCCAATTATCACACATATCCTGATATTATGGACATCTATTTTATATCAATAAAAATAATAATGAAGTGAATGCTTGGCATTACTATCCCTCAACAGGGAAATGTTTCTAAGGTCTCGGGGTGAGCAAATAGCAAAATTTGGGCCAGAAGTCAGGGCCCCCACTAGTGAGCCAGAAGTCTGTGGGCTGTGTCCTGTCTGTAGGAACTTAGACTTCATCTCCATCTTCCCCCTGGGGAACTCCTCCAGAGAGAGGCATTGCTGACCCTTCAAAGCACCAAAGATAACAACAAGTCTTCTTCCCCAAGCAGGTATTCCAGGTGAGTCCGGGGTGTAGAAGACTCCCTCGAACAAAGGGTGTCCTCTCCTCCTTAGCTCACACAGGCTGCCCAGGATGAAGACTCCGTGGGAGTTTGGGACCTCGAATGGGGGCTTGTTTCAGTTCTATTGCATGGTGAGGCAGGCTTCTCATCAGAGACCTTCCCCCTCCCCCAGCCGGGAGACTGACAGGCATCACAATACTGCACGCTGGGCCAGGGGACAGTGAGTGACAGCACTGCTTCGAGGGACGATTAATTCTGCACAAGGAGGTGTTCTCTCCTGGCTCTGCCACTCACCTACTTTCCAGCACCACCATTGACTGACAGCGCATGTTACTCCTGACCTCACACATCACTGGGTATAATTGCCGGGGGCTCGTTATTGTCATTAACGTCTCCTGCATGCACACGGGAGTGCCTTTCACCCCAACTCACGCATCACAATGAAGGCTGCACCTGTGGGGTGCCAACCACAGGCCTGCAGTCCTGGGCTTGGCAGGGACTTCTGGGGCCAGACTATGGTTGTCCACAGTGGCGGTGTCCGACATTCCAGCAGGTCTGTGATGCCTGTCCCACTGCCAGGAGTCTAAGAGCCTCTAGTGCTGAAGAGTTTGAAGAGCCTACCTTTGCAGTGGACCCTTCTTCCAACACACAACCAACCCAGAGCCGACACACAGCAGCAGCTCCTTAGCCTGTCATAACCTGAAATGTGTATATTCAGAAAACTAAAGCTCAGAGCTCCCTAGGGATTATCTAGTCCTAATCCTTCTATTTCTTTTCTCCTTTTCTTTTTTTTTTTTTCCTTTTTTTGAGAAGGAGTCTCGCTCTGTCATCCAGGCTGGAGTGCAGTGGCACGATCTCAGCTCACTGCAACCTCTGCTTCCCTGGTTCAAGCAATTCTCCTGCCTCAGCCTCCCAAGTAGCTGGCATTACAGGTGCCCGCCACCACGCCCGGCTCATTTTTGTATTTTTAGTAGAGATGGGGTTTCACCATGTTGGTCAGGCTAGTCTCTAACTCCTGACCTCAGATAATCCACCTGCCTTGGCCTCCCAAAGTGCTGGGATTACAGGTGTGAGCCACCGTGCCCAGCCCCTAACCCTTATTTTTCTAGATGAGAAGATTAAGATCCAGAGAAAGCTCTTAACCAGCTCAAGCTCACCAACAATTACTGATGTGGTGAGGCAAAATGTGTTTGTTTGTTTTTTTCCTCCATAAGTGCTTAACCTGGATTTGCGAGTCCCCGGATATATTCACTACACTTAAATTTTCAGTGTAGTAATGAAATTTTTGAGTGCTTGCTATGGGCCAGGTACTGTTTCTTTTGTTATTGCTTTTATCGTTTTTTAAAATGTTGTTTTCCAGAAATGGCTGTTGAATATTTATTTAGTTGTTGCTGTTTTAAAATGCATACAATTGCCAGACACGATTTTAAGTACTTAACTTTTAAAAAATCATTTCAGTCTCTAGATAATAATTCGATGTTAAGGCCGGGCATGGTGGCTCACTCCTGTAATCTCAGCACTTTAGGAGGCTGAGGTGGGCAGATCATGAGGGCAAGAGATCGAGACCATCCTGGCTAACACGGTGAAATCCCATCTCTACTAAAAATACAAAAAATTAGCCAAGTGTGGTGGCGGGCGCCTGTAGTCCCAGCTACTCAGGAGGCTGAAGTAGGAGAATAGCATGAACCAGGGAGGTGGAGCTTGCATTGAGCCAAGATAGCACCACTGCACTCCAGCCTGGGTGACAGAGCAAGACTCTCTCAAGAAAATAAATAAATAAATAAAAATAAAAATAAAAATAATTCTATGTTATGCACTATTCTCATTTCATACTATTCATACTAGTTTCCTGCCATGAAGGAACTGTTCCTATATTCATCTACATTCTCAAGGATATGTGAAACCCTTGATATGATTTTTGAAGGTGCTACATATCACCTTTTCAAATGCTAACCTGGAAATTTTCTGTCTCAAGGAGCTAAAAACTGTTCTCCCCACATTACCCACATTTTCAAATTGAACAACACATTTCTAAATATTCCATGGGTCAAAGAGGAAGATCTCAATGAAAATTAAAGATTCATAAAATTGCAATATTGTGAGAGAAATTTATAGCAGTAAATGTTTACATTGGAAAAAATGAAAAGTCTCAAATCAACAATTGAAGTCCCTATCTCAAGAAAATGAAAAAAAAAGAGCAAAGTAAACACAAAACCAGCAAAAGAAAGTAAAAAAGATCCAAGAAGAAACCAATGAAACTGAAAACAGAAAAACAGCGAAGAGAAAGCATAAAACAAAACAACTACTTCTTTCAAAAAATTATTTTAATGATCAACCTCTATCAAGACTGACCAAAATAAAATGAGCAAGGACACAAAACGTGAATGTCAGAAATAAAATGGGCTATTACTACAGATCCTGCAGCCATTAAAAGGGCAAGAATAGAATACTATGAACAACTTGACTCTCATAAATTTAGCAACATAGAAGAAATGGACTGATTCTTCAAAAACTGCAAACCACCCAAACTCAATAAAGATGAAATAGATAACCCAATTAGCCCTATAAACATTAAATAAATTAAATTTTTAATTACAGATCTCTTTTTAAAAAGTTGGTCTCACTAGAAATTTCTACTAAACTTTTAAAGAATAATTAACAATTTTACACAGTGTTTTTCAGAAAACAAAAAAGGAGGAAGCACTTCTAAACCCATTTTGATCCCCTAAACCGCACAAATATGGTACAAAATAAGAAAAACTATACTCTCTAGCTCTCATGAACTTAGTTGCAAAAATCCTCAACAAAATATTAGCAAATCAATTCACCAACATAAAAAATTAACTAGACAACACAACCAAGTTAGATTTATTTCAGATATGCAAGATTAATTCAATAATCAAAAATTAATCAATGTAATCCACTGCTATGATTTGGATATGGTTTATTTGTCCCTACCATAACTCAAGTTGAAATTTGATCCCAAATGCAGAGGTGTTGGAAGGTGGGTCCTAGTGAGAGGGGTTTGGATCCTGGGGACAGATCCCTCATGAATGGCTTGGTGCTATTCTCATGGTAGTGAGTGAGTTCTCTGAGACTGGATTCATTCTCAAGGAAATAGATTAGCTACTGTGAGAGTGGGTTGTTATACAGCCAAGATGCCCTCAGGCTTTGTCCCTTCACACATTTCCACTTCCTCTTTGACCTTCACCATGTTTTAACCCAGCACAAAAATCCTTACCACAAGTTAAGCAGATCCCAGTTCCAGGCCCTTTAATCTTCCTGGACCAAAACATTTTTAAAAATTATGACTAGGAGAGGAATCTGACATAGTTGACTCCATCTTGCTTCTAACCTCACAAGCTGTCTTTGCTCATTCCTGGGCATAGGCCAAGCTAACTATGGGAGGAATTTACCTCATAGTTTAAGACAAAGATGATCACAGTCTTTTCCCAAAACTAACCCCCTCTTTTCTTGAGGACCAAAAACACATCTTTGTAAAACTAACAAATTGGCCACAAAGTTAGAATTATGGTAGGACCCTAAAGTCTGTTAGGAGGTAGGTATAGTTAAACTCTAACCAGTCATTGTTTTATAATTTAGCTTTTCATATCTGCTTACTGCTCAGGAGTCATGTGGCCAGAGGACACAAGATTTGTAACTTCTCCAGTTGATCCTATATATTACATCACGATTGTAACAGCTAAGATTGGTGTTTAAGATATTTTTCAGACCCTGCATTCTGACAGACCAACTGATGCCACCTGGACCAATAACCCACACCAAGAAACTGACTCAACTTGTTTTGTCACTTCCACCCAGGAAATGACTCAATGTAAGAAGACAGCTCCTACCCCCTATTATTTCATCTCTGACCCAACCAATCAGTGTTCCCCATTCCTTAGGACCCCTGCCTGACAAATCTTCCTTGAAAGCCCTAGCCTCTGAATTCTCAGGGAGGTGGATTTGAGAAATCTCTCCCATCCATCCATTCGGCTGCCTTGTGATAATTAAACTTTTTCCCTGCTGCAACACTGCTATCTCAGTGTATTGGCTTTACACTGTGAAGCAGGCAAGAAGAATCCTTAAAAAACTCACAGAGCCATGAGCTAAATAAACTTATTGTCTTTATAAATAACCCAGTCTCATATATTCTCATATAGCAACACAAAACAACTAAGACATACACCACATTAACAAGCTAAAAAAGAAAAATCACATGATCCTATGGATTGACACAGATAAAGCATTTGACAAAATTCAGCTCTCATTGATTAAAAAAATTCAGAAAAAGAGGAAAAGAAGAAAAATCCGTCTACCTTATAAAAAGTATCTACAAAAACCTGTGGCTAACACCATCCTTATGGTGGAAGATGGAATGCTCTTCTTCTGAAACAGGGAACAAGGGCAAGGGCTTCTCCCTCATCACTCTCACTCAATATAGTATTGGAATTTCCAGCCACTGCAACAAGGCAAGAAAAGGCATACAAATTTAAGAGGAAGAAATAAAACTCCCTTTTTGCAAATGATAATTGTCTACACAGAAAATCCCAAGGAATCCACAATAATCAAAAGTGGAATTAATAAGTAAGATCTGCAAGGACACAATATAGCAAATCAATCCCATTCCTGCATAATAACAATAAATATGTGTCAACCAACATATAAGGTGAATATAATTTATAATTGTTCCAAAGGAAACAAAATACTGCGGTATAAACTTAAGCTCCCTCTATTTCATGTTTTTGCCATGTGACATGCCTGCTCCTGCTTCACCTTCCATCATGAGCAAAAGGGCCCTGAGGCCTCCCCAGAAGAAAAATAGATGATGGCGCCATACTTGCACAGCCTACAGAACTGTCAGGCAATTTAACTTCTTTTCGTTATAAATAAAATAAAAATAAAACACTAAGCAAAACATGTACAAGATCTGAAAACTACAAAATGTTGATGAAAGAATTCAAAGAAAGTCTAAATAAATGAGGAGACATGCCATGTTCATGGATTGAAAGTCTAAACACAGCAAAGATGACAATTTTCCCCAAATTGATTTTTTAACTACATAATGGGCAAAATATTTGAGTAGGCACCACACAAAGATAAACGTGTAGAAAATGCTTAATATCATTAGTCATCAGAGAAATGCAAATTAAAACTACAATGAGAAGCCACTACACACTTAAAAAAGGTGGCTAAAGTAAAAAAAAAAAATGATGATATCAATTGCCGACAAGGAGCTGGAGTAACTGGAATTCTCATAAATTGCTGGTCTAAATATAAAATGACATGATCACTTTGGGAATCGTTTAGCATTAGTTCTAAATTTAAACATATATGTATTACATTACTCAGTAATCCCACTCCTAGGTATCTCCATATATCTATACATAAACCTTTATGTAAGTGTTTACAGCCATGTTACTTATAATTTCATAAAACTGTAATTAATCCAGATGTTCATCAATTGGTGAATAGAATCAAATGATAATGCATCTATGCAATGGAATGCTACTCAGCAATGAGAAAAAAAATAAAGAAGCAGATGAATCTCAAGTACATTGTAGTGGGCATTCCATGTGAAAAAAATCAAGGCACAAGAGCAAGGCACTGTATGATTTCTTTTATGTAAAATTATAGAGAAGGCCAAATTATAACCAACAGAAAATGAAACAGAGGTTTCCAAGGCTTAGGGCTAGGGAATGGGATTGAATTTGAAGAGGTGCAAGTGGGTGATGGAAATGTTCTATATCATGACTGAGTAGATAAATGTATGCGTGACTGTGCACGTCTACCAAAACTCATTGAATTATGCTCTTACGTTTGGTAAATTACATGCATGTAAATTATAACTCATTAAAGCTGATATACAATTTAAAATTTGCATAAAATGAAGACAAAGAAATTAAAAAAAAAATCTGTACACTCTTGCACAAGTTGGCCGAGAGAGAATGGTGCACAGAATAGGCAAATTGGATAATGGAGGAGAAGGAGATAATTGAAGAGCCTGAGTCACACTGGCCATAGTGGTCCAAAACAAGGTAACAGGTGTGACCCAGCCCAGGCACTTCACAAATATTTGTTGAGTGGGTGTATGAACAGAATGGCAGAAGTCTGAGAAAGAAAAAAAAAATAGCCTCTGGCAGCTGGCAGCTGGGAGCTGGACTGGTGCTCTTGGCCATGGTGGTCTTCTATTAAACATAGACATTTTCAACCAACACCAACATCAGAGGTTGCTCTGTGACCATGATGGAGTGAGACAAAAACAAGACTCTCTCTAATCATTTCTGAGTACAGACCAAAAGAAAAGCACAGCGCAAACCACATCAAAACCAAACATTCTCTCCTCTCTGCAAATGTGGGTGAGTGAGGTTCCTTTTTTGATATTTAGCCCCACTTCATTTCTCAGGCTTCCAGCATGCAGATGAAGACACGCTGGCATAGAACTGCCCCCGATTCCTGACAGCACTCAAGCCAGAGCACACCTTTGATGTGCTCCCAAATAACCAGCTCCAATATCAACCTAACACAAGTTCAAGCCCTGTAAGATGTCCCCACAACACAATCTGCCTCAGTTTCCCACCATTTCCCATGGTGTGCAGGCTACAGGTGGTCTCCGGTGGTCTTAGGCTAGTCATTGTTGGAATCATCAAACCCTATCCATGCCTCCTCGGAGCTCTCGTTGCTTGCATGTGTCCTCAGACTATAACATTCATGTGAAAAGTGCCAGGGTGCTGGCAGTACCCACTTACCCACCTACGTAGATATCAGCATATGAGGGCTGCAGCATGTTGGACCCAGCAGTGAGCCCAGGTTAATTGGTTCACGTCATTATGTTACAGCTTGGGTGTCACCAGCACCAGCATTCTTGGGGGAATCCACAGCTAGGGACAAACATTGGTGGCCTCTCTGCCTCCCAAAGATTGGGGAACAGAGGGGACAGAGCAGTAAATCAACGAACAGGAGTGCCCCTTGTTGGCCTGATATATACAAGGTTTCTATGAGCTTCTGGGCCAGTGTATTCTAGTAGAAAGATGCCAGATTACCTGTTCAAAATACCAAGGGTCTATCCCAGCACCAACCTTATGTCTTATATATTTTACACTCCTGGGGAGTCACTCGCATGAAGGGTACCCCTGACACCAACATGTGGGAAGGGGGAGAGGAGGGGTTGGTCATGCCATTCCTGGACAGAACAGACAGCCGTGAGAATGCGGAAACATCCCCGCTGTTGGCAGGTCCTTCCAGAGTCAAACCTTTCAAAAGAACACTCAGACATGTTAGAAATTTACCCTCCCTCACTGTGGCTATATGCAAATATTTAGCTATAATGTTTCTTTTAATTCCATAAAAAGAAAGGGAAATGATATAAAATGGTACCAACCTCAGTATTCAATGTTGAGAGACTGATTAAATTGATACATTCAGATAATTAAATACTATGCAAATATTTAAAATGACAGAATAATATCTGATAGAGGAAGATGTATGTCCATGATCTACTTTTCAGTGAAAAAATATCAGATCATAAAATAATGCATACAATATAATCCTGTTTCATAAAAATAGTCATATAATATGTGCACATATAATATGTGCACATGAAATAAATGGCTGGAATCAGGTCCACATGGAGAGTGGTTGGAAATGGTAATTTGCATTTTTTTGTTTATTCTGTGTCTTCAGAAACACATCTACAATGAACTTATATCTTTCATATCAGAAATAATGAAGGCTTAGGGTTTTGCCTTTGTTATTGGCCTGTCGTTCAGAGAGTCTACATCACAGGTGAGTTTGAGCAGTGTCAGAAATCTGATATCCAGATGGGAAGAGGCTGCATTTCCGACACTCAGGGCTCCCCACAGCTGCTGTTTCAGACCCAAATCACTCTTACAGCTCAACCAAAATCCTCCCACTGTCTGAGATTAACGACTCCACCCTTCAAGGCTGAGAGCTGGAGGAAAGATTGCTAAGAACACTATATGCCAACATGTTTTCAGATACTTGCATTTCTATGTCACCTAAACAAAGCAATGCTTACCAAAAATTCTCAGAATCCCAGAAGCACAAAGTTGCTAAGGCTGAGCAAGAGTGATGGGACATGGTCACGGTTTACTGGTAGAGCTGGCACTGCTTTCTCCTGTCCCAAGCCCTTCTCCTTGGACCATGCTGCTTTCCTCGTGGTGAGTGCTTCCCTGTGGTTTAACCAAGGAAGAAGACGTTCCTACGAGAACAACAAATAGATTGAATACAGGAGCTGTTGGGCCAGGGGGTATGTGGGGGGCATTTTCCCCAAAACTTCAAGAATAAATCTCCAAACCAGTGTCTTTCAGATGCAGGGATGGTGCTCAGGATAGGCCAAGCCTGTGTGAAAACCCTGCAGACAGCCATTCTCAGGGCAGTTGGGCTGCCCTGCACTGCCAAGGTGGTCTTCCCGGGGCCTTATGTCCACAACTGTATGGGCTCCAGGGCTCGCCTAGTTTCATCTGGTTGATTTCATTTCCTCTTTCTTTCTTTCCAGTGATGAGGTTGGTGAGGACAGTCTTTTACCCAACCCCTGCATACCGGTGACTCTTATGTGAGAGACGCCGGCCTAGGCTACTATCTCCTGGGAACAGATACTAACGAAATGTAATTTCACTGAGGCCACAACACATCTGAGAAGGACAAGGTGATGTGGGGCCAGCCATCTTCATCCTAAGGCTCCGGTGCAACATCCTGTGTCCCTGGAGGCCCAATTTGACAAACCCCTGCCCAAGGTGAGCATCCATCTAGCAGGGGGAGGCAGGCTTAGCCCATCCGCATCGCCCTCTAGCCTGGGTCCCCAAGAGCTAGGTTGCCTGAGTCACTCGAGGAGCTCAGAGCACATAATCAGACTCTCCAGAGTCCAGGCCCTGCAAACTATAGTTTGGGGACATTCACCAGGTGGTTCTGATGCACAGGGAAAATCCACTCCAATTGTGCAAATAGTGTATGCATGGGGAGCCTTGAACCCAAATCAGCTTAGGCAAAGTTTACTTGACATGGCCTGGGTACTTTTAAAAGAAAAACTCTGGACAAATTAAATTTAACAGGTTTAACTGAGCAAACAATGATTCAAGAATCGGGCAAGCCTCAGAACTCTATTAGGTGCAGAGCAACTCCAGGGCCGCCTTGTGATTGCGCAACATTTATAGAAAAAAAAAATAAAAAAGGAAAGTGAGCTACAGAAAACAGAAGTGAGGTACAGAGACTGCTCCATTGGTTAAAAGTTGGCATTGCCTTCATTGAACCTTGTTTGAACAGTTGGCCTGCATTCAAGGATTTGGGAATTTCACCTGTAGGGGCTTTGCCATGGAGAGAGAGCCGTGTGGAGCTTATAGGGATACACAGGAAGATCCTGGCTAGACAGGGAGTTGCTCCCTGGAGGTGCCTGCTAACCCCATGCCACCCCATGATCCTGCAGCACGGGGCTCCTCTTTGTTCAGCAAGTTCATCTCTAAACACAATAAAGCTGTCAGAAAACACTCATTTCTTTAGAGGGTGACTTACTGACATCGTTAGTTGTTGCATTTTCTTCCCCAGTTGCAAATGAATGTTTCTTAAAAACAGAAGCCATGGATGGTGATCCTGACTCTTAATAGCAGGGCTGTTGGTGACGAGCCATGTGCATCCTATAAAAACACCCACCTAGTCCTCCAACAGGGAGATTTGCCTTGTGCAAGAATCTGCACAGAACACTGAAGGTTAGAACAGCAAGTACTTCAGACACGAATAATGCCCATTAGAATACTCTTTTTATTTTCAAAAGTATTTCTTTACCCATAGAAACCCTACATTCCCTCCTCCACTTTCAGCATGGCTCATCAGTTCATAGCAAAGTTCAAGGCAGAAACGAATTTTTCAATATTTTGCCAATGGCTGCTCTACGATAGAATTGGTCATACAGGAAACAGGGGCATTTTAAAACACAAATATGTTGGCTGGGCCTAGAGCAGGGATCTCAGTTGTTCCTGCCTATGAGAACCATCAGGAAGCCCCCTCCACAGAGGCTCAGATTTCATTTTTCTGATATAAGCCAGGGCATCATATTTTTTCAAAAAATAAAAATACTTACAAGTTTTCTAGTATGCATTCAGGCTTAAGGACCACTGGCCCAGCATAGGAGACATAACAGGAAGCATTAATTAAGCAAAGCTGGGCTGAGCACTTATGTATCGGGCACAATGCTTGAAGGCAGGTGAGTTTTCCTATGGTGGAATCCTGAAGCTCTTATGCTCTGTGGCCAGTACTAATACCAGAGCAAAGGGGAAGCCATCTTGAACACCATCTCTGTACACACTGTTTCAGCAAAGAGAAGAACTACCAACATCTTATGTTATTCAAGCAAGACTCAACCCAGCCTACCAGGGTAGAGAGAAAATCTGCAAGTGACAAGGGAAGATTGGCAAAAGAGAGAGATGTAAGCACAAAGATTGTACATTTTAAAAATCTCCAGTAATTCCAGGATATGGACAAATGTACAAGCTGATAGCCAAAGAGCATATAAGGATTTTAATACCACATTTCCAGTTACAGCTAGTGAAGCATAATTGGGTACTAAATTACAATGTTAATATTCATTTGAACAAGTAAGTGCTGTACTTGGACTAGTAGCATCAGGACCCCGGGAGGGCAGCAGAGGGGCTGCTTAAGTGGACAGAGAGCTTCTCTGGATGAGTTTTGTCCTAGGTTTGGTTAAGGTTGGTTCTCAGCAGAGTCTTGAGAGGTTACAACATGGATTGTGGTTGATGGGATTTCTCCCATTGCAGTGATGCTCAAAGGATTCGGAATTAAGCAAGTTAACATACAAGTAATTACAAACTGCAGTTGGTAACACATGCTAGAAAGAAACAGAGAAAAGAACCCCAGGAGAAGGCCATAGTGAGAAGGCATTCAAGACGGCAGATGTGCAATGGGGGAGGAAGTCCTGAAACCTGCTGCACAATTTTTCTAGCACAAATAGAAGGAAAGGGTCTTGCTTGAGGTCGCCTATTATTGCGGACTTATCTATTTATACCTCCATTTCCTCCAAACAGAGTCTGAGGTGGGGCTCACCTGTCATCTGCAAGAAAATTAAAGTCATTTCTTAAAAGGGGCAAAAGCAAATTGAAGTAATGAGGAGGAGGGAGAGAGGAGGTTAAAAGAGAGAGAGAGAAAGGGAGAGAGACAAACACACACATTCACACACACACACACACACACACACAGCCATATGTATTTGAGTTCCTTTCTAAAATCCAAATCTTACATAGAGCACAATTTTCCTTTTGCCCATTTCTCAAGGAACTTGTTGTCTTCCTGTGCAATTTCTTTGGGCTTCATACAAAAGGTAAGATTCCATATTAAGTAATACTAATTAGCTAGGACAATCTTGAGTATGTAACAAAAGCAAATCTATCACTAGCTGTGGGGGAAAAAAATAGTCCTCATCTCCCCCAAACCCCAAAACACATAAGCTCAGCATTTTAACTGGCTGGGATGAGAGCCATTATTTTCATTAATGGAGCTCATTTTTATTTTATTGGGCTTTTTTACTATCAGATTAAAAGCATGTTTTTATTGTAGTTTTTTCTAACGCAATCTGAGATGATGTGCTCAGGATGAATGGAATAGTTATTGTTTTAATTATTTTTTCATTCTGTGATTTTATTTTGTTTGTTCCTTTTATTTACTACTCTTAAGTTTGTCTTAATAACATGGACTCGGGGTGCTTGGAGGCCTCCAGTCATCATCCCCGCGGTGGTTTGCATTTGCTAATGACCAAGGAACAGGGAAATCACTAGCATGCGGATGCTTTTGGAACTGAGTCATGGCCCAGCCTTCCTGTTGAGGATGCCCAGGTTAGGGCCAAGGGCATGGACTCCCAGGGTTGGAGGGAGCAACACAGCAGCTCCCAGAAGCACCTGATGTCTTTCCAGGACATTTCTGTCCCTGCGTCTGCTCCAGGCTGTCCTGGCTCACTAGGTCAAGGAAAGGCTGGAAGGGATCTCAAGGGAGGGAAGTCAGCAAAAGGACATGTTCCTCACCTACAGCCACATCTCTCCCTGATGCCCAGTTCCATATGGGATACTGTCAGAACACACAGGTTTTCACACACAGAGGCCCATAGCTGGACACAGGCACGTGTTCTCTGCCTTGAAAAAAAAAAAGGAAGACCACAAAGGCTTCCCAGCAAGTTTAGATGTCTTGGGGACCCTGTGGGCCTAGGAGAACCAGAAACAAGGGCAGGGCAGAGTTGCTTACTTAGAACAGAAATCAAGTACTGCTTTGGGAGTTAGCTGTCCAGGGGCCAAGCTGAAACAATACCGGACACTGCAAGTTACTCAGAAGCCCGACCCTCAGCCCTGCCATTTGCAACAACACAGATGAATGTTATGTTAAATGAAATTAGCCAGACATAGAAAGAAAGCACTGGCTGGGAGTGGTGGCTCATGCCTGTAATCCCAGCACTTTGGGAGGTGGAGGCAGGCAGATCACTTGAGGCCAGGAGTTCAAGACCAGCCTGGCCAACATGGTGAAATCCCGTCTCTACAAAAAATACAAAAATTAGCCGGGCCTGGTGGCATGAACCTGTAATCCCAGCTACTCGGGAGGCTGAGGCAAGAGAATTGCTTGAACCCAGGAGGCGGAGGCTGCAGTGAGCCAAGATTGTGCTACTGCACTCCAGCCAGGGCAATAGAGCGAGACTCCATCTCAAAAAAAAAGAAAGAAAGCACTATGTGATGTCACTTATACACAGAGCCTAAAAAGGTCAAATACACAGAGGCAGAGAGTGGAATGCTGGTTACCAGGGGCAGGGAGCTGGGAGAACGCTGGTCTTAGGGTACAAAGTTGCAGCAATGTAGGAGGTGTAAGTCCAGAAATGTAACGTACAGCAGGGAGATTACAGTTACTAGTAGCGTATTGTTTGCTGGAAATTTGCTAAGAGAGATTTCAGGTGCTCTCACTACACGCCCACACACACACAAAGGGAACTAGGAGAGGAGACATGGATACGTTAATTTGCTTGGCGGGATTAATCATTCCACTAGGTCTATCAGAACTTCATGTTGTATGCCTTACATATATGCAATGAAAATATTGGGCATATAAATGCCCATAATTGCCTGATCAAGGATTCATTTGGGGTCACTTGTGTGCCAGTACTCACATTCTCTGGGCCTGTTCTCCACTGTGACTGAAGAAAGAATCTGTCTTCCTCACGAGAAGCCTTGGCCTGTGCTTGGGTTTACCACAGTCCCTCCCTCTCTCTAAAGTGTCATCACGGACTCTAGTTGCCTGCCTGCACCCCATTTGCAGAAGGAGTCCCCAAAGTATGCTCTAGTTTCCAAGCCTGTTTGAATTAAAATCTGGCAAAGAACTAAAGATCACGTTACTCCCTGCTCAAAGGGCTTCCCAACACATTCAATATAAAATCTGAACACTGTGTGGCCCCAAGAAGCCCTCTGTGACCCGACCCTCTCATCGTTATCCTCATCTGCTCCCATCTCTGCCCAGAGGCTTCACAGAGAGGCTGCCTGTCATTACCTGCCATGCCCCCCATGGCTCCTGTGCCCTCACCTGTCTTCCTTTCTGTCATGGCTCTGTCATCCCTGACTGGCATTAGTTATGCTTTTATTGACTATCTCTCCACCTGAGAATGAGCACATGAGGGAAAAAATTTTGTCTGCCCCTTCATCACCACCGTGTCTCCAGCACAACAGCCCTAGGTACTTGGTAGGTAGTCAAGGAATATTTGGAAGATGCTAGGGCTCTCTGTTTTTGTTTTTGTTTTTTTGACAGAGCCTCCCTCTGTCGTCCAGGCTAGAATGCAGTGGCATGATCTCAGCTCACTGCAACCTCCATCTCCCGGGTTCAAGTGATTCTCCTGCCTCAGCCTCCCCAGTAGCTGGGATTACAGGCCTCTGCCACCATGCCTGGCTAATTTTTGTATTTTTAGTAGAGACAGGGTTTCACCATGTTGGCCAGGCTGGTCTCCAACTCCTGACCTCAGGTGATCCACCTGCCTCGGCCTCCCAAAGTGCTGGAAATACAGGAGTGAGCCACCGCGCCAGGCCTAGGGCTCTCTTTTCACTGCTGCATCCCCTGTACTGGGAACAGTCCTGGGCATATAGTAGATGGTCAGTAAATGCTTTTCATCCAGGGACAAGTTGAAAAAGCACTGGGCATGTCAACACCCAGATTTGCATAACCAAAGACTCCTTTGTTTCCACTCGTGTCCCAATGGATGAAGAAGGAATTTCAGGAGTGAAGGTGAACCTAGGACTCAGGTATCTCTTTCCAGCCCTCCTCAAACCCACAGAATACTGCGGAGGTCACTTTATTTTGTTACTGAACAAAGGTAAGGGATATAATGCTTTAAAATCCCCATAAAGCCTGCTTGTTAATCAATGTTGAATCACTAATGCAATTTATTACATCCTTTGATTCATACATATCCATTTCACAAGACATATTCTATCTATACCAACATTTTACACAAGGATCGAAACAGAATATTGAGCACAGTTTAACAAAATCTAGGCACTAATTTCTGGAAATAAATTCTACTTATCAAAAGGCATTGTTCCCCTAAGGGAAGCAACCACTATTATCTAAAGAACTGTTTTTTTCATAAAGATAACTTGGAAGAATCTACCGTGCCTTTGGAGAAAATACCCAGATTCAAGTTACATACACGAAAGACTTGTATTTATCATGATCCAAATTCACAACACTCAAGTGCCAAGGTCGCATGGTCTCCAGGAATTCTGAGTGGGAGAGATGAATTCACCATCAATAAGGACTAGTATATTGTCCTTGAATATTGCACTTGTGAATTCCATATTGAATAAGATTCTATTTTGCTCCAGAGTTTTGGAGTTATCTGTCATTTTGAAAATTCTTGATCTAAGCTCGGCAGACTTTGGTTAGTTCTATTTGGTTCTATTTGGTTGGTTAGCAAATATAACCAACCATCCCTTAAAAGGTGCTGCAGGAGACAACAAAGCTGTGGATCACGGGTTTATAAAAAGAAAATGTTCGGCACTCACAAATAATTGCACGTCATTTGGCTGGCAGTATGTGGAATGCAAGTCAGACCTTGTAGTTTAACCTCAGGGTTGAGCTGCATGCAGATTTCTGCATTGGTTCACTAGGAATAATGGATGACTACTGATTATTATTACATATTATCAAATGTATATTATAAAAATTATATCATTAAGTATTATATAAATATAATCACAAAGATGGCAATGGCCAAAACTTCGTGAGTGCCTTCTCTCTACTAAACAACATGCTAGGCCCCTTACAGGCATTTTTCCCTTTTAACGACCACGCCCACAGCGGTGGCACCATTATTCTTACTTTCAGATGAGGAACGTGGGACAGAGAGAGGCTAGGTTGCTTGCCCAAGGGGATCACTGGTGCAAATGAGGCCCCGGCAGCCAAGGGGAATGAGGTGTGAAGCTACACACAGAGTGAGGGGCCATGGCAAACCCAAGGGCTGAGCTGCGGCTGCTGTGGCCATATCTCCACATTTCAAGAGAACCGCACATCCTGATTTCAATTTGCAAACATTAAAAACGTGATAGACACAGATGAAACACAGCTCCAGGCCCACAGCCAATCCTCTGGGCACCATTTGGCCAACTCTACACCCTCTTCCTTTGCTCCTGTGCTGTTTGGATGGCTTGTTTTTTCCTCCCCCACGAAGTTGTAGAGTTCTGAGAACAAGGACCGTATCTCACACAGCTTTCATCTCCTTCCAGGTAACACCAGTGCTGGCTGGGAGTATGCGATGGTACGCTGGGGACAGATGGTACCCCCAACCCCAGGATCCAAATCCTGCCCAGTTTGCCTTCTTGGACACAGGGGCTCATTTGGAGTCTCAGCGTCCATGTCTTGCTACCTTTTACGTAGCAACTGTGCTCTAAAATGAAGAAGCAAAGCCAGGTGACTCAGTGGGCATGGGGGTGCTTGTGACTGGGGGCCAGAGCTGCAGGGTCTGTTTCAGGGGCGGTGGGGCCCTGTCAGCCACATGCTCAGACACCCAGATCTAAACACCTTGCAGTGATTATCCAGGCAACCCTGAGTCTAGAATCTTCCTTCTCCTTGCACATCTTCTTCACCGTACCAATTTGAAGCAATACTGTAAAGTGGTACCAGCTCAGACACACACACCCAGAACATGGAAACTTGTATATACACACTCAGCACATGAGGACATGTGTGCACATACCCAGAACATGGGAGTGTGTATATACACACCCAGAACACGAGAGCTTGTGTGCACACCCAGAACATGGGAACATTTGTAAACACACCCAGAACATGAGGACTCGTGTGTGTACACCCAGAATGTGAGGGTATGTGTGTGCACACCCAGAACATGGGAATGTGTGTATACACAGCCAGAACATGAGGACATAAGTGTGTACACCCAGAATATGAGGGTATGTCTGTATACACTCAGAACATGGGAATATGTGTATTCATACCCAGAATGTGAGAACATGTGCGTGCAAACCAAGAACATGAGAACATATGTGTGCACACCCAGAACATGAGAACATGTGTGTGCAAACCAGAACATGAGAACATGTGTGTGCAAACCAGAACATGAGAACATGTGTGTGCGCACATGAGGGGCTGTCTGTTCACACCATGTGATGGCTAATTTTAGGTGTCAGCTCGACGGTTAAGGGATACCAGGATAGCTGGTATGGTAAAGCATTATTTTGGGTATGTGTGTGAAGTTGTTTCTACAAGAGTTAGGCGTACGAGTCAGGGAGCTGAGTAAGGAAGATCTGCCTTCTCCCAATCAAGGCAGACACCCTCCAATTGGATGAGGGCCCAGATAGAACAAAAAGGCCGAGACAAGGTCAGTTTGCTCTCCGTCTCTTCTGTGTCTGGAACACCCATCTTCTCCTGACCTTGGACACCAAAACTCCACATTTTCCAGCCTCTGAACTTTGAGACTTTTACCAGTTCCCCTACCCTCTGTTCAAAGGTTTTCAGGCCATGGGCCTAGGACTGAGCTGCACCAGCGGCTGCCCTGGCTCTCCAGCTTGCAGATAGCATACTGTGGAACTTCTCAGCTGCCATAATAGTGTGAGCCAAGTCCCATAGTAAATCCCCTCTCTTCTATTTGGCTAGCTATATCTATTTCTATATACATGTATGCCTATATCTCTATATCCTATCAGTTCTGTTTCTCCAGAGAACCCTGATTCATACATGCCAGAACATCAGAACATGTGTGTCTACACCAAGAACAAAAGAATAAAGTTGTTCGGCACACTCATCTTACTTCAAAGACAGGCGTTGTTGGAGAAAATTCAAGATCATTGGTTTTGCATTTCTCCAGCCCAGCAATGAGGGGATGAGGGAGGTACTAGTCCACTTGGGATAACTAAGAATGGATTGTCACTTTTCATAATCAGGGCTGGCTGATGGGAGGAGGCTTGCTGTGGGGAAATGAGGGCAGGACGGGGAGCGTGGCTGTCAAGTGCCCTACCAGGCTATGAGCCTCTCAAATGTAGGGGTTGCACAAGAGTGGGCTTAGCTCAGCCAGCATCTACCTGTGAATGATGAAATTGACTTCGAGGCTAGTGATGGGTCTGCAATGCTGTGTTCCCATTATTTGTTTATTCTGGTTGGATCTGTCCATTCTGACTCATCAGAGAAAAGCAGGAGATGAACACAGGGCATATTGGGCATTCTGTGTTTGAGTTGGTATCTCAGACCCTGCTAGGCTGCAAAGCACACACCCAGGGACTTGAGGGGACACCCGTAAAGGAGGGCTTCTCTCCCATACGCTGCCACTCCACTGCCGAGCAAGCTCCAGCACTAACCACCACCTCCTGCACACAGTAAGTCCAGGATTTAATGGCTGGGCTTATCTCATGCGACGTTCCCAAGGCTCCATTTTTCATCAAGCAATTTTTAAAGAGTTTTATGACCCTGTGAACAATAATTTTTTTTAGTGAAAGCAGACTGAATCGTAAGTGATGGTAATTACACCAAACTAATTGTAGACAAAATTAGTAAGAGGTCAGATCCGTTTAGTTACAAAAGAAAATATATGCTTGGAATACACCTTAAATGATCTCTGGGAAATTAATTCATCATGGAAATAAAAGGAATCTTAAATCAACAGCGACTCTCTGGTAAAACATTTGCAAGGAATAAGGTTTCCTCTTTAGTTTTGGTTTTGATTTGATGCCCAGGTGTCAGCCTGCACCAGGATTGCAACAGGACCCAGGACCCAGGCGTTTACTTCAGTGCAGGGAGGACCCTGCAGACATTTCCCATGACTAGGGTTCTAACTGAGTCATCTCCTTTAACTTAGCTCACAAGATCCTTCATGGCCTGGGCCCTTCTACTTTTTTTTTTTCTTTCGAGACAGAGTCTTGCTCTATCACCCAAGCTGGAGTGCAGTGGCATGATCTCAGGTCACTGCAACCTCTGCCTCCCGGATTCAAGTGATTCTCCTGCCTCAGCCCCCTGAGTAGCTGGGATTACAGGCATGTGCCACAATGCTCACCTAATTTTTGCATTTTTAGTAGAGACGGGGTTTCACCATGTTGGCCAAGCTGGTCTTGAACTTCTGACCTCGTGATCCGCCTGCCTTGGCCTCCCAAAGTACTGGGATTACAGGTGTGAGCCACCACATCTGGCTGCACTTCTACTCCTTGTAGGTTTATTTCCCACCATACTCTCACTACCTGAGACTACCTCAGTGCCTTTGAGTTAAACAGGATATTCCTCCTGGAACTTTTTTCCTGCTATTTCTCTACCCATCTAAATAATTGCCTCTAGATCTTCAGGTGTCACAGCCCGGTGTTGTGAAGGACAGGGGGATTACTTGCCTCCCATATGGACTGGGTGTCCCTGCTCTGTCCCTTACAGAACACAGAGATTTCATGCTCACAAGTGCTTTTGCCACTGTTCAGGGACACATACCTGCTAGGGGTGGGGGACCCAGGACCTGGTGACTGTGGGGCAGACACACACCCGGCAGGCTGGGCAGTCAATACATGCTTATTATAACACTGATTATAAATGCTTATTCAATGAATGAATGGGTCCATTACCTCTAAGTCACTCTTCAGCAGCCACATCTGGCTGTTCCCCTCTCTGCTCAAAGATAAACAGTGCCTAAAGGAAGGCACCCTTAGCATATCCTCACCTCTAGTAAATTCCACTGCCGGGGTTTAAAGCGTGGTTTGGACCACCATTCTGAGCCAAAACGTCAGGGAAATATTCAAATTTAGATATGAACGGGGAAGAGGAGGAGGGGAAGAAAAGGAAGTGGTGAAGAGGTCAGAGGAAGAGGGATGGGGTAGCCAGATGGACGCATGAAAAAACCAATCCTTACACCCCAGTCTACCTGAGTTGCCCAGCCACTGAAAGGCAGGGATGCCTGAAGACCCTGGCACCAAGGGAAAAAAACTCCAGCAAGTCCTCGTGGGCTCTGGGTAAAGAAAAGAGGCTCCCAGGAGGAAAGCCCAGTCAGAATTCAAGTTTTGGAAGAGACAAGATGGCCTCAAAGATTCAGATCCACTCTGAAATCTTTTAGCAGTAGCTTCAGCCAAGTAGCTCTAAGAAAGGCCCTCAGAGATACAAAATCTAAGAAAAATAGTCCTGGCATCTAATTACAACAGTGCAGTTTGCTGCTTTTATCTGTAATTGGACTGTATAGTCTTTCATTCTAATTTACTTTACATCTAAACTGTGATAATCAAGACAAGCAGAACAGAATGGTCTCTGACTGGCTATCCTACTGACACCCGTTAATGCCTAATTATAACAACTAAATTAAAGATGTGACTGTAAAGAGGTGGAATATCAGTTTGAAGCATTTAATTCTGTGAAAAGAAGTCTAGATTTTAAATCCTAAGTAAGAAAATCAATACTATGCCTCATTATATTGGTATTGCTAAACAGATTAATGAAATAAAGTATTTTGTTGTGTTGCTTTTCTTTTTTCCAATGTTCTCCTGATGCAATGATGGTTTGTAATGAAGGACTACTGCAGGGGAGGAAGTTTAAATTGAGAGCCAATTTATACACAGAAATTGGGAGATAGCTAATCTCGTTTATAGAGCAGCGGCTTTCTTTTGATATGGTTGGATTTTTAGATAGGCATCATGGGTCTCGACTTCTGCAGTCTCGTAGAACAAAAATAAATTCAACTCAAGCTAAGCAGTGGTGCTGTCTTTCCTCTTCCTATGAACAGATGTGTCAACGGGGACTGCTGTGACAGTGTCAGCATCTATGAGCACCAGTTTGGGACAAGCATCCCTGAAGCTTTGTGTGCCAGTGGCCTTGTTGTCTATGCCAGGCTAAATGTAGCCACCTGTGAAGGTTTAAGAGACACAGGGAAGCTGGGCAGGTGAATGGAGAATATATGAGGTCCCCAAAGCCGTTCGATTGGTTGGAAGGTGGAGGAGAAGCCATGGAGGAGAAGCCATGAGAAGCAGCCACGTTTCAAGTTGGACACCAAAGCCTGGAAGGAGAAGGACCAAGGTGTGCAGAGAGAAGATGTCCTGTTCCTGGGACCAGGGAGGGCAGCATGTGCAGGGTGATAGCAGCACGCTCCCAACTCATCCAGCAACACTCTAAGTTACCTGTTTATTTATTCATTCTTACTATTGCCCATCCTGACTTTTTCTTTTTTTTCTTTTTTCTCTTGAGACAGGGTCTCACTCTGTCACCCAGGCTGGAGTTATCATGGCTCACTGCAGCCTCCAACTCCTGGGCTCAAGCCGCCCTCCTCCATCAGCCTCCAGAGTAGCTCGGACTACAGGTGTATGTGATCACTCCTGGCTAATTTATTTTATTTTATTTTTTGTAAAGACAGTGTCTCACTATGCTGCCCCAGCTGGTCTCGAACTTCTGGGCTCAAGCAATTCTCTCGCCTCAGCCTCCAAAAGTGCTGGGACTACAGGCACACACCATCATGCCTGGCTATTTTGTGTGAGTGTATGTACAGATGGGGTCTCACTATGTTGCCTAGGCTAGACTCAAACCTCTGGGCTCAAGCAATCCTCCCACCTCAACCTCCCAAAGTGCTGGGATTACAAGGGTGAGCAGCCATGCCCGGTCTCATCCTGACTTTGAAGCCTTGGAACTCAACATCAATTATAAGAATCAAAAACCTAAAAAGTGGCAAAGGCTGTGTCAATCACCCTGTGGGACTTCCCCAAATCCCATGCTGCTGAGATTCACCAGTGCAGGTTTTTGAGGAATCCAAAGACCTTGCAGAATAGACTGACCACCTGGAGGAATCTCTAGAAATCACCTAGAAGTGACCTTACTGACCGCTGAGTTACTATGAGTGAATGACTTGGGGACTATAGTGTGCCAGGCCTTTTCTGGAGCTGGGGACACAAAAATGAGCCACACTGAGTCCTGGCCCCTTGGAGCTTGCCATTTCCAAACCACTGGGTCACGCAGGGGTGAGAGATCCAGCAGGAGAAGGGGAGCACAAAGCCGGGGCCCCGGACAATGGAGAAAACTTCAGCTTTGGTGAATGTATCCAGAACTTCCCAATTATAAAATCAACAACAGCTGGGTGCAGTGGCTTATGCCTGTAATTCCAACATTTTGGGTGGCTGAAGTGGGAGGATCTCTTGAGGCCAGGAATTCAAGACTGGTCTGCGCAACATGGTGAGACCCTGTCTCCACAAATTTTTTTTTTTTTTGAGATGGAGTCTCGCTCTGTCACCCAGGCTGGAGTGCAGTGGAGCGATGTCAGCTCACTGCAAGCTCTGCCTCCCGGGTTCACGCCATTCACCTGCCTCAGCGTCCCAGCAGCTGGGACTACAGGCGCCCGCCACCACGCCCGGCTAATTTTTCGTATTTTTAGAAGAGACAAGGTTTCACAGTGTTAGGCAGGATGGTCTCGATCTCTTGACCCCGTGATCTGCCTGCTTTGGCCTCCCAAAGTGCTGGGATTACAGGCATAAGCCACCACGCCCGGCCTCCACAAAAATTTTAAAAATTAGCTGAGCATGGTGGTTCTAGCTTCTCGAGAGGCTGAGGCAGGAGGATCGCAGGAGCCCGGGAAGTCGAGACTGCAGTGAGCTGTGATCATGCCATTGCACTGCAGCCCAGACCACAACAGAGCAAGACCCTATTAAAAAAAAAAAAAAAGACATTTTAGTTTTAAAGTCTAAATTAGATCTAAATGGGCATTTTTGGCGATGAGAATTTTTGGCTGTTGAATGTTGCTTGTACCACCCTCTCTTTGGATTCCTGTTGTCTTTCCCAATTTCTTAAGCACATGAAGATGTGGAGGCATGGGCAGGGGGTGCCCTGGGGACCGTGCATATGGGCTAAGTGATCATTGCAGGCCAGAGAGAGGTTACCAGCCCCCTTAGAAAGGAATGGTGCAGCTCCTGACCCTGCAGGGCCAGACAGGACTCTAATTGCTCCTTTGCTTCTGGGACTCGGAAGACAAACCCTGCCGTCTCCCACCAGGCCCGCCTCCCAGCTGCACAAACAAAGCCAAATAAAAACTGCCAGCGGCCGCTGGTCCCCTTGCGACAGATGTGGTGCCTCTGTGCCATCTTGTCTGTTCTTAAGGGTTTGTTTTTATTGCAAACAGACAGATGTGGCTTGTCCCTTCCATCTTGTTTACGATGCTGCAGGAACACCTGTGGAAGAACAGGTCCCTGCAGAAATCCTTGACTTCCGTTCAGATGGCTTGAGACTAAGCCAGCCGGCTGGGCAACCCCATCTGCTAAGGATTCCAGGTTCCTCTGCCCAGGGAAACCTGGAGAATCACCCACAGGATAATCCCAGACACAGGAGTGTCACTACACCTATGTGCACCTTATGTTAACAATGTGTACACCTTCATTCAAACCTGTGCAGAGGACCTACGCTGTGTGCGCTGCCTGGCCCTGCAGTCTGCACTGACTGACTTGTGGTTCAGCCCAGCTTCTCACTGCAAAGGCTGCTTTCATTGCCTGACCTGTGTCCACTTAGCTATAGAATTCACTGCATTGAGAACCCACAGCCCTGACCCACGAGTGAGGGCCATGAGGCTTATGAGGATTGCCTTATTGATTCTCCCGGTTTCAGACAAAGTGGCTCATGACCTGGTGTGGAACAGACCTGTGTCACCAGGGTGAATTCTATGCCTAGGTGCAGAGGGAAGGGGAAATGCTTGCACAGAGCCCAGGCTTGGGCGATATCCTCTGCTCTCAGCCAAGCTCTGTACACCTTCTTAGAATTCTGCGGCTCCAGCCACACCATTATAGATCGCTTGCCTAGCACTTACTTTATTTCATTAGCACAGATGATGGGAGAGCAGTGACACAACTTGTAACTTTGTGCAACAACTGCCTCTTTGTCTTAACCTTATGTTTTCATGCCACAGCTTTTGCTGTGTAACAAACCACCCCCAAAACTCAGCAGCTTAAAAACAGCCACTATTTAGTTAGCTCACGACTCTGTGGGTGGGCTGAGTGGTTCAGGCAGCCTCAGCTAATCATTGCTAGGCTCACTCAGGCATCCAAGATCAGCCGGTGAGTGGGCTGGTGGCTAGAAGAACTCAGATGCCCTCAGTCATACAACTGGCAGCTGGCAGGCCGTTGGCCAGGGTGACAAGGGTAATGGGGCCACATACCTCTCACCAAGCAACAGCTTAACCCTGGCTTCTCCACATGGTGACCACAACAAGAGAGTGAAATAGAATGTGCACATGCTTTTCAAGTCTGCCTGTGGTATGTTTTCAGCTGCCCCATTGGCTAAAGCAGGTCCCAAGGCCAAGCTCAGAGTCAGTGTGGGAGCTTGATGATGCTAAGAGCTTGGAGAGCTTAGACACCAGCAGGAGGGATAATTTGCCTCCAGTTTTGCAATCCACCACAGGATTTTTTTAAAAGAAATGTCTTATTCGTTTTCTAGCCTCTTCCATGGAATGTTTCCATCATTTATCTTCAATGTTTAGTGTTTATAAATGAGGAAGAAGTTCAGTTTTGTTTCCCTAATTAATTCACAAGTATTTAGAATGTATCTTTAAATTGCAATTGGGTTAAATTTTCTGCCTAAGATTTTCCTTTTTTTCTACTTCTACTATATTGGGGTCATGGAATTTGAAATTAGTCCTATTCTTTAGGATTTTTAAAGCCATGTGTGTGGGTGTCTGGGTGTGGAATTCTCATTATCCCATGGATATTTGAAGACTGTTCAGTTTTATTGTTTGATATAACTATATAGACGCAGATATATGTAGATTTATATTTAGATAGAGAATCAACCTTGTCTGTAATGTTTTTAAATTTTATCTATGTTTATTATCTGCCTGATCTGTTACATTCTCAGAGGAGAATGTCACATTATTGTCATATAGTTTTTGTTTGTTGTTGTTGTTTTTATTGTTTTTTGAGATGGATCCTGTCACCCAGGCTGGAGTGCAGTGCCACGATCTTGGCTCACTGCAACCTCTGCCTCCTGGGTTCAAGTGATTCTCCTGCCTCAGCCTCCTGAGTAGCTGGGATTACAGGTTCCCACCATCACATCAGGCTAATTTTTTTGTATTTTTGTAGAGACAGGGTTTCGCCATGTTTGCCAGGCTGGTCTCAAACTCCTGACCTCAGGTGATCCACCCGCCTTGGTCTCCCAAAGTGCTAGGATTACAGGCTTGAGCCACCGTACCCGGCCTGTCATGTTGTTTTACTTAATATATTTTTGTGCCACATTGCACAAGGAAGTAAGAGTTCATTAATTATATAGGAATTATGTTGATTCTTATATATTCTTGGTTAAGTAAATTTTTTATCAGTATAAAACAATTGTCAGGGCACAGTGGCTCACACATATAATCCCAGTTCTTTGGGAGGCCAAGATGGGAAGATCAGTTAAGGCTAGGAGTTCGAGACCAGCCTGAGCTACATAGTGGGACCCCACCCTGACAAAGAATTTAAAAATTAGCCAGGCGTAGTAGAGCATGCCTGTAGTCCTAGCTACTTGGGAGGCTGAGACAGGAGGATAGCTTCAGCCCAGGAGTTCAAAGTTACAGTCAGCTATGATCAAGCCACTGCATTCCAGCCTGGGCAATACAGAAATACCCTCTTAAAAATAATAATTAAAAAACTCACTTTATCTTCCTTATTCCTGGTTTCACAGAATTCCCTATCGTACTGTAATGAGCCAAAAATTAATAAATCCACAATAGTGAGCATGCTCATTAACTAGCTCATTCATATGGTGAGTAGAATTCTACATTATGCTCTTCTTGGAGTGAAATGTGTTAATGTATTTTGAAATTATAAAAATGCTGATCTTGGCCGGGCATGGTGGTTCATGCCAGTAATCCCAGCACTTTGGGAGGCTGAGGTGGGAAGATCACTTGAGCCCAGGAGTTTGAGACCAGCCTGGGAAACACAGTGAGATTCCCCCATCTCTATAATCAAGAAAAATAAATAAATGAATAAATAAATAGTAAGTAATAAAAATGCTCATCTCACTTAAAAATTACAATGTTTATTGAGATAATTATAGATTCACATTTAGTTGGAAGGAATAATACAGAATGATCATAGATCATATACACTCTTTTCCTAGTTTCCCCCAATGATAGCATCTTAAAAACCACAGTATAATTTCACAACCTCATACTGACATTGATACAACTCAGCACCCTCATTCAGATGTCTCCAGTTTTACGTACGCTCATTGGTGTGTGTGTGTGTGTGTGTGTGTGTGTGTGTGTGTAGTTCTGTACAACTTAATCCCATGTGTAGTTCTGTACAACTTAATCCCATGTGTAGGTTCATGTATTAATATTTACAACCACAGTCAAGATACAGAACACCACTTGGTGAAAACACTGTCCTTCATCCATTGAATGGGTTTTAAGCCTTTGTAAAAAAAAATATGGATCACTTCGTGAATTTGCATATTATCTTTGTGTAGAGGCCATGTTAATCTTCTTTGTATTATTCCAAACTTTTATTATATGCACTACCAAACTGAGGCCTGCTCATACTTTTTGACTTACCAATGCCACTTGTGTAAATAAGTTTCTGAAGATGAAGTTATATTCTCCAGGCTATTTAATGCAGTAATACTTATAATAGCAAATAAAAGAGGAAAGAGGCATGTCCAAAAATAGTAGATAGAAGAAACGTATTTGTTATCTATTGCTGTGTAACAAATTATTCCAAAGTGTAATGACTCAATAATTCCAAAGTGTAATTCCAAAGTGTAATGATTTATTATATCACAATGTATGTGATATCTGGGTGTTGCTCTTCTGGGATCTCTAAATGGGGGCCTCTCACAAGACTGCTCTCAGGTGGCAGCTGAGGCTGGGGTTTTCTCTGAAGGTTCAACTGAAGAAGAATCTACATCCAAGCTCATTTATATGGTTGTTGGTAGGATTCAGTTCCAAAGGTCTCAGTTACTCTCTGGCTGTTTTAAGAGTCTTCCTTCCATTTATTGCTATGTGGGCCTCTCCACATTGAAGCTTACATTGTCATAACGAGCGAGACAAGAGAGTGCAAGAGACTGCTAGCAGTGTTTCATAATCTAATCATAGAAGTGATTTCCCATTCATTTTTCTGTGTTCTACTCATTAGAAGCAAGTTGCTAGGTCCAGCCCCTACTCAAGAGGAAGGGATTCCATACAAGTGGGAATACCAGGAGGTGAGATTTGGGGGATCTATGTTGGAAGCTTCTTATTATAATAAGTAAATTATTACACATTCATACTATTACATACTATGCAAACATTGAATTTTCTTCAATAATTACATTGGGTATAGGGCATGTTGTCATAAGAAATGAAAAGAGCTTCTGTAACTTGGAACTCAATATCAAGTATTCTAAAATATGTGAAACATAAATCCCAAAAGAAGATGAGGAAAATAGTGTACAGATAAAAATATTTGAGGAAATAATGACTGAAAATATCTCAAATTAAGTCAAAAATACAAAACCTCAGATCCAAGAGCTCAATGATCCTCCAGGAGGATAAAAATCAAAGTAAATCACACCAATGAACATTATATTCTAATTGCTGGAAATTCATGATAAAGAGGAAAAACATTAAACAAACCAGAGTGCTATGGTTTGGTTGTCTGTTTCCTCCAAACCTCATGTTGAAATTTGATTCACAGTGTTGGAGGTGGGGCTAATGGGAGGTGTTCAGGTCATGGGAGCAAATTCCTCATGAATTGATTAATGCCCTTTCTCAAGGGTGAGAGAATTCTACCTCTAATAGGTCCTTAAAGAACTGGTTGTTAAAAAGAGCCCAGCACCTCCTCTCTCCTTTGCTTCCCCTCTCCCCACAGGATCTTGGCTCCCCTCTGCCTTCTGCCAGAAATGGAAGCAGCCTGAGTCCCTCATCAGATACAGATGCCCAGTCTTGAACTTTCCAGACACCAATAATTCCAAAGTGTAATTCCAAAGCCAAATAAACCTCTTTTCTTTATAAATTACCCAACATCAGGTATTCCTTTAGAGCAACACAAAATGGGATAAGACACAGAGGGGGAAAA
This sequence comes from Homo sapiens, assembly GCF_000001405.40. Classification (NCBI taxonomy): domain Eukaryota; kingdom Metazoa; phylum Chordata; class Mammalia; order Primates; family Hominidae; genus Homo; species Homo sapiens. The sequence continues at coordinate 31,788,779 of NC_000019.10, forward strand.
GACTCTTACTTATAGAAAAACAAAGATAAGCATAATAGCTTCTCTCTCATCGGAGATATTGCAAGCCAGAGACAATGGAATAACACCTTTAAAATGCTGAAAGAAAATCCTGTCAACCTAGAAGCATACATCCAGTGAAAATACCCCTCAAAATGGAAAGAAAAATAAAGACTTTTTAGATGAACAAAAGTAAGAAAATAATCACAAGTTGATCTGTTACACAGAAATGTTTAAGATACTTCTTCAGGCTGAAAGGAACTGATAGAAGATTGCAACATGAAGGAATAAGTCTACATGAAAGAATAAAAGACCTAGAAATGGCAAATATATGGATTAAATATGAAATACTTTTTCCTTATTTCTTAATTCCTTAAACTACATTTGATTATTAGAAGAAAGAAAATAACATTGTATGGTGACATTTTAACATATGTGAAAGTAAAATGTATGACGATCATAATAGAAAGAATGAGATGGTGATTACAGAAAGTACACAAAGCTACTAAAACTAACAAAGAGATTTAGCCAAGGGAAAAATAAAATGCTAGAAATTATCAATCCAAAAGTGGAAAAAAGGAGCAATAAGCAAATAGAAAATAAATATAATGGTAGATTTAAAGCCAGCCATGCCAATAATAATATAAAATGTTGTTAATGTTAACACTAAAAATATAAAAGCAAGCAATATGCTAAGTGTCTACAAGAAATACTCTTTAAATATAGAGAAGTAGGGAAAAGTAAAAGGAGGTAAAAAGGCATGTAAACAATATGCATGAAAAAGAAAATACAGCTATATTATAAGCAAAGTAGACTTCAAGACAAAGAATATTCATAAAGACAAAGACAGATATTTTATACTGATAAAGTATCAATTAATCAAGAAGACATAACAATCCTAAATGAATCAACATATAAACAGTTATTCAAAATACATTAGGCAAATTTAACAAAACTACTGGAAGAAATAGACAAATTTACAATTATAACTGAAGACTTTATTCTTGCCCCGGTGGTTAAGAAAACAAATAGACAAAACAACTGTAAGGAAAAAGAATATCTGAATATTATCAAACAATTTAACCTATTGAGCTGTATATATCCAAGAAAACATACATATTTGTTTCAAGTGCACATGGAACATTCTCCAAGACAGACCATCTGTTAAGAAATTAAAGAAGACACAATAAATGTTATGCATTGAAATTACATAGTATTTTCTCTATGATGAAATTAAATAGAGTTAAAATAGAAGTTAACAAATATAAAATATGTTTTTTTAAAACACTACTGTGTTGGAAAGTTAAACAAAATCTTCCAAGTATGCCATGAATTTTAAAAAGTGCAAGGTAAATTTTAAAATATCTTAAATGAAATAGTAATAAATTTATAATATTTTAAAATTTATGAGATACATATAAGGTAGAACTTGAAGTAATTTTATACCTTTAATTGCTTATATTAGAAACACAGAAAGGTTTCAAAATAAAAAATTTAATCTTGCAATCTCAAAGGCTAGAAAAATGACAAATTCAATAAAATGTTAACAGAAGTAAGGAAATAATAAAGATAACGAAGGTAATCAATAAAGTAGATTATTTCTTTGAAATGGTAAATAAAACTAGCAAGACTGACCAAGGAAAAACACAAACACATATTCAATACCAAAAATAAAATAGGAGACATTACTACAGATTCTACAGACATTAAAAGGCTAATACAGGGATAGTATGCCAAGAAATTTGACAATTTTGATGAAATTTGACAATTTGGATTAAAATATATTAGAAATGCACAATTATTCAAGCATATCCAAGAAAAAGAGGAAACATAATTAGTTTTATATGTAGTAATGAAATTAAATTCACCAGTATAACCTTCTCACGATTAAAACCTTTTCAGATGACTTCACTGATAAGTTCTCTTGTGTATTTATAGAACAAATGATACAAATTATTCACAAACTTTTTCAGAGAGTAGAAGAGGAGAAAATATTTTCCATGTCATTTTATAGAGCCAGCAAAAGCCTTATACCAAAATTAGACTGCACAAGAAAAGAACACTGGGCCAGGCATGGTGGCTCATGTCTGTAATCCCAGCACTTTGGGAGGCTGAGGCGGGTGGATCATGAGGTAGGAGATTGAGACCATCCTGGCTAACATGATGAAACCCTGTCTCTACTAAAAATACAAAAAATTAGCCAGGCATGGTGGCACGTGCCTGTAGTCCCAGCTACTCAGGAGGCTAAGGCTGGAGAATCGCTTGAACCCGGGAGACAGAGGTTGCAGTGAGTGGGGATCACACCGCTGCACTCCAGCCAGGGCAATGGAGCAAGACTCTGTAAAAAAAAAAAAAAACACTACAGATAAATATCCCTCATTAACATAGATGATAAAATTTTGTACTAAGTACTATAATATTTAATTTACCAACATATGAAAACAATAATACATCTCAAATAAATGAGATTATCCCCCAAATACAGGGCTGTTATAACATTTTGGTGTGTAATTCACTACATTAAAAAATGAAGCAGAAGTACTATAAGATTATCTCAGTAGATCCAGAAGAAAAACCTTTGATAAAATTCAGCACCTCCACTTTTCATCAAAATAGAAGTAGTAGGAAACTTCCTAAATTTGGTCATGGGCTTCGGCAGAACTCCCAACTAACAAAGTTACTTCAAGTTAGACAATTGATAGATTTTCAGCTAATCAAGAGAAAGGCAAGGATGTTTCTTCTCCTTGTACTGAAATTCCCAGTCACTTTTATATATGAAGAAAATCCTAAGGAAATTACAAAGAGAACAATATTACCTGGACTAATACATGAATTTAGCAATGTCACAATATACACTGTAAATAATACAAATAAATTGTATTTCTATATAATAGCTGTAAAAATTAGATTATACAATTTAAAAACCATACTCAATAGACATAAAGTACTTAGAGATAAATTTAGCGATAGATGTACAAGAAATTTACATGAAAAACAACATATAATCTCTAAGAGAAATTTTAAAATATCTAAATAAAGATCTGTACCTACTTCATGAATTGAAATTCTCAATACTTCCAAGATGTCATTTCTTCCCAAATTGATCTATTGATTCAATTCCATGCCAAGCAAAATCCAACAAGCCTTTTTTAAAAAGAAATTGAAAAGCTGTTTCTACAATTTATGTAAAAATATATCTAGTAGAGCCAAAGCAATTTTTAAAAAGAAGAACAAAGGCTTTCAAGATTTTTTTGTAAAGTAATAATAGAAAAGGTACTATGGTTTCTGTATAAGGAGAGACAAAAAAATCAATGAGACACAGCAAAGAATCTAGAAATAGATTCAAATCTATAGGGTCAATAAATGTTTGACAAAGGCACTGAAGTAATTCTTATTGCAATAATAGTCTTTTCAACAAAACATTCTGAAACATCTCAATATCTGTAAGGAAAAAAATAATATTTTACTGCTGTCCTCCATCACAGACAATAATTAATTCAAAGTAAACTACAGACCTAAACCTAAAAGCTAAAACTACAAAGCTCCTAGAAGAAAACATAAGAGAGTATTTTCATGACTTCAAGGCAGGCAAAGATTTCTCAGGGGGGAAAAAAAACACCAAAAGCATTTAACAGAAAAACAAATGAACTCCATCAAAATTTAAAACGTCCACTTATCACAGGATATTGATAAATAAATGAATGGGATAACCAAAGACAAGGAGAACGTCAAATGTGTCAAATGGCTTATATTTAGAATATAAAGAAGTCCTACTCAATAATAAGATAGAGCAAAAGATTTGAACATGTATTTCACAAAGAAAGATACAGGAATGGCCAGTTTCATCAGGCGCATATACATTAATGAGACACCACTTCAAACCTTAGAATGGCTACAATTAAAAGGAGTGACCATACCAAATGTTGAGAATGAGGAGCACCTGGAATTCTCATACACTGACGGTGGTAGAGTAAAATGGCATAGCCATTTTGGACACTACTAGGGCTGTTTCTTATAAAATTACACATACACATACCCCATGACCCAGGTTTGTATTCCTTGACATTTATCTAAGAGAAATTAAACTATATGTCCCTCAAAATTTTGCACAGCAATGTTAATAGAAGCAGCAACTACAACAAAAAAGGAAGCAACCCAAACATCAATCAACAATAGAACAGACAAATAAATTGTGGTATTTTCATACAATGTGTACTACTCAGTGATTAAAAAAAGATACTAATACATCCAAAATATGGAAGAATTTCAAAACCGTCATTCTTACTAGAGAAGACAGACAAAATAATGCATACTGTATGATTCCATTTATGTGACTGTTTTAAAACAGATATGATGAATCTATCATGATAAAAATCAGAACTATGGTTTTCTCTGAAGAGAGAGGCTAAGAATGTACTGAGAAGGGACATGAAAGAACTTTCTGGAGTGTGGAAATGGACTATATCTTAACACGGATGTGTGTCACTCTAGTGTGCATATTTTTCAAAACTGATCAAACTGTATATTTAAGATCTATGCATTTCACTGTACGTTAATTATAGAGCAATACAAATTTTAAAATCTTAACTGATAATCCCGTCTCTTTTTGGCAAACTCCTGCTCATTAATTGTAGTCCTCAAAATGAACCCTTTCCCCCAGCCCCAAAAACTCATTTTGCAGCTGCTATCCTGCCAAGAGAATGAAATGGCAAACTCCAGTCTAATGTACTTTCATATGCATTTTTTTTCTTCAAACACATTCTCTTGCACCTGCAACATTGCACTATATAAAAAGAATAGATAAGAAAACCAGATGGAATCTCATCCAAATTTATTACTAAAGATAGTTCCCAAGTGAATGGCAGTACCACCTCTCCTTCATAGCCAGGCAGACATAGCAGTTCAAACATTTCTTTCTGAGTAGTGTAAACACTTCTCTGGTTTGAAAGTTTATTAAGTTTTCATTAAATTTTGATATTGTCCTGGCTGCAAGTGCTAGCTGGTTCATACACTTGAAAGAGCAAATGCTCAAACTGTTCACTATATTTGGTCGGCAAAGGTCCCTCCCATTTTTCCCTCAAGCCCAGTCAAAATCCTCTCTGGAGTCTCAAACTTACAGAACCCTAGACAGAGAAATCTCTAAGCAAGGGGCTATTATAAGCATCTCAAGAAACTCACTACCTTTAACACTGCAACCATTTGCACCAGTAACATCAAGGTTTGAGCCTCTTCAAATCAAATTTTCCAACCATGTTGATCAATAATTTAAAAAGACTGGAAAAATCTATTTCTAAAATCTGTTTAAAATGTTCCTGGGTACATGTGCAGGACTTGCAGGTTTTTTATACAGGTAAAACATGTGCCAGGGTCGTTTGTTTCACCTATCAACCCATCACCCAGGTATTAAGCCCAGCATGCATTAGCTCTTTTCCCTAATGCTCTCCCCCTGCCCCTGCCAACAGGCTTCAGTGTGTGTTGTTCCCCTCCCTGTGTCCATGTGAACTTATTGTTCAGTTCTCACTTAAAAGTGAGAACATGCAGTGTTTGGTTTTCTGTTCCTGCATCAGTTTGCTGAGGATGATAGCTTCCAGCTTCATCAATGTTCCTGCAAAGCACATGATCTCGTTCCTTTTATGACTGCATAGTATTCCATGGTGTATATGTGCCACATTTTCTTTATCCAGTCTATCATTGATGGGCATTTGTGTTGATTCCATGTCTTTGCTATTGTGAATAGTTCTGCAATGAACATACACACAACCCCAGTAAAATGTGGGCAAGGGAAATAAACAAACACTTCTCAAAAGAAGACATACATGCAGCCAGCAAACATACAAAAAAAAGCTCAACATCACTGATCATTAGAGAAATGCAAATCAAAACCACAATGAGATACCACCTCATGCTAGTCGGAGCGGTGATAATTAAAAAGTCAAGAAACAACAGATGCTGGTGAGGTGGTGGAGAAATAGGAACGCTTTTACACTGCTGGTGAGAATGTAAATTAGTTGATTTCTAAATTTTTAAGCAGGATACGTAAAATGCAACCAATAATGTTCAGCTTCTGGTGGAATTCTCAGAAAATTCCATTCCTTATTCTCCAAAGAAAAACATGTTTGTAGCCCCTCTCAATCCACCTTAGTAGATCCAGAAGTCCTAACACCCCCAAACTCTAATACTAGTTGAATGCAAATTATTAATTTCACAGTAAAACCAATATGAAGATGGTAATAAAAAGAAGTCATTATGTTCTCTCAGATACATTCTTTCCATGCTTACAACTAATATCTGTCTCCTGAGAATCTGTTAGCTTGCATCAATTCTTGCCACTTTGAAATGAATTAGGGACCAGTATATTGGGATTGGCAAAAGAGAGAATTCCTGAAGACTGGCAAGCACACTCCTACCACCTCCTTCTTGAAACCACTCCAACCCCAGCTCTTTATCTGATTGTGTTAGGGAGGCTAGGTCTGATCCAACATGGAATGTCACGATGTGATGGGAGTCAGGAAATCTGTCTCAACTCTGCCACTGTGTAACCATGGGTAAGCCCTTTGTTTTCACTCCCCCACATTGCCTTATCTGACAATCTCTCATTTGTCTTGGCTAAGAATTATAGGAATCATTTTGTGTAAAGATTCCTGAAAATATAAACCAACCATGGGGACCCTCCTTAACATTCCATCATCAAACTTTCAAACATACTGCATCTGTTCCCATCTTCCATTTTTCCTTCCTGTTGCAGTGAGCAACTCTTCTTGCACCTAAGGCCAACTAATCCACCTACACTTGGGATCTCGGCCTTTTCTGTCTTCTAAGACAGTGGTTCTTAATCCTGGCTGCACATGTGAATCACCTAGTGAGCTTCTATTGAACACACACACACACACACGCACACACACACACATACCCCATGCCCCAACCTGCCTCCAGAAAGGAACTGTGGGGGATAGGAATAGAATCTTGGACATCAACATTTTTTCAAAGTTCTCCAGGAAATTTGAATGCACAACCAGAGTTGAGAAAATCTAATCTAGAAAAATTGTGCAATCCATTATTGTTTCTGTGGGCACTGGTTCCTTCCCATTCCCACCATGCATTTAGAACACAATTAAGTCCCCTACTACAAAAGTTCCTCCCTAAGTCCCTCCACCCCTCTCTGACTATCACCCAATTGTCTCCTCACAATATATTGCCATTTGTACTTGTTTCATTCGATTTTCTTAAACCTTAAACCTGTGGTCATTTTTGTCACCTACTTCTTTCTCACTTCCATAAAATCCATAAACTCTATCCAAGGTATTTCTTGAATATACTCCTTTTTCTCCACTTTCATTGCCTTCTCTTCAGTTCAAACCATCAACTTTTCTCCATGACTTGCTGTAGCTAGTGGCCTCCATCTAGGTTTTCCTCTATCCACTTGGTCTGAACCACATCCTCACGCATACATCACAGAGCACCAGAGAAACTTCACAGTGGCACAACCCACATCATGAGTTTCTTTCACATTTCAACTCTTGTAATGCTTCTGTACATTCAAAGACATCATTAAGAAGTGAATAGATAAGCTATAGACTGGAAGAATATATTACAACAACAACACACACACACAAAACACAATACACACCCACAAAACACAATACATGCAACACACACACACACACACACACACACACATTTGTATCTGGATACAAATAATTAGGTCCAGAATATTTTAATAGTGTTTAGAAATTCTAAAAGAGAAAGCAATGAGACCAATAGAAAAAAAATGCAAAGCAGCCATTTACAAAAATGGCCTTGTATTAATCAGAGAAATGCAATTTGAAACCATAACGACACACCAATTCCCTCCTCCAAAATGGGATGATATTAGAGAGCCTGGCAATATCAAGCATTGGAAATAGGAATTAAAATAGGCAGCTGGAGGTTATACAAATAGATACAACCACTCTGCAGAACAATTAAATTTAAAAACATGCATACCCTGTAACCCAACATCTCTACTCCTAACTTTTCAACTAAGAAAAATTTGTACATATATATATAAATATGTAGCTATGAGAATGTTTATGGCAGTATGACTTATAGTAGCAAAGAAAAAAAGAGATGCTTATAGAGTCATCAAAGGAGAATAACAATTCCTGCAATGGAATACTATGTAGCAGTGAAAATGAATGGCTCACAGAAAAGGAAATCATTGAGATTGAATCTAATAAACATGATGTAGAGCAGGTGCAAGTGACATAAGATATCAGACAGTGTGATCATTTCATAAAGCCTAAAGGAAATAAAAATACTGTATTTGCCTAGAGATGTGTACATATTATCAAAGCTTTCACGAAAAGGAGTGTGAAGTTAGGACTTAAGTACAGATCGTTTATTTGGGAGGTGATCCCAGAAAACAACTGTAGGGGAGAGGAGAAGCGACAGGGAAGGGAAAGCAGCCAATAAGAAGTGTGCTACTTAGCCAGCTAGTCGTTGGCACTTAATCCTGCAGGGAAATTCTATGTCCTGTGATAGCTCATCAGAGTGGGGAGAGACCTGGGGTATTTATACACCAACTCCGGTCCACCTTTTTCTGAAAGCTGCAGAGGAGGAGGAATTAACCCCTAGCACTTCTAGTCTCACACAGTGGTGGCCAAGTAACCTCTGGTGGCCAGAGAAAGCCCTCAGGCAAAACAACAAAAACAAAAATAAATTACTAGTTGATCCCTAATGCACTAAAATGAAAAAGGTGAGGAAATGTGGGTGGAGCTCTTGACAGCAGCTGCCATATATAATGAGCTAAGAGCATACAAACAAGCAGAAGAATGAGAATGCCATATCCAGAATAGATTAATTTTGAGAGCTAAGAAGGGGGTTTAACCAAGGAGAAATACATCAGTGTAACTACTTTTATTTTGTTTTATTTCTTAGGCTTTTAGATGGGTAGCTGTAGGAAACAGCCTGAAGCCTGGATTGAGTAAACAGTCCCTTATCCACAAAGGTGAGGTCAGGGTATTGGAAGACCACAGGGATAGTGGTGGATTTAAACACTGGCTGGGCGCAAGGGGAAAGGGCAGAGAGAAGTTGCAGAAACCCAGAACCAGAAATAAATACCGCTTCACTCTCCTTGCATCCTCCAGTCTCCTTTGATCACACCAAGCAAGAAGCCAGAGGTGGCCAGAGGAGTCACCCTTCCAGGCACAGAGTGGGTGGGAAGGTGGAGAGTTGACCTGGAGGCAAAGAGAAGGTGATGAGCACAGTTGGTGTGAGTTGTTTTTTATATATATATAAATTTTATTTATTTATATATATATTTTTTATTTATATATATATTTTATATATATATTTTATATATATATATTTTATATATATATTTTATATATATTTTATATATATATTTTATATATATTTTATATATATATATTTTATATATATTTTATATATATATATTTTATATATATTTTATATATATATTTTATATATATATAAATTTTATATATATATTTATTTATATATATATTTTATTTATATATATATGGAAGTATTATATATATATGGAAGTATTCTATATATATATATGGAAGTATTCTATATATATATATATGGAAGTATTCTATATATATATATATATGGAAGTATTCTATATATATATATATATATATATATATATATATATATATATATATATATGGAAGTATTCCATATATATATATATAGAATACTTCCAGTATAGCTGAAAACATTTAAGAAATATCTCCCTAATGGCATTAGATTGCCTTGGTGTTAGATCGCTTTGGTGTTAGAACACCAAAACCTAATATGGCCATCTGGTCCGCCTCCCACCCCATTCTGTAGCCCCTGCTAGGGCCACCTCCATGGTGCACTTTTGTCACTTGCCTCCTTGTGGCCCTGTGATCCTCCATCCTTTCCTGTCCTCAGGGTTTCCGCAGATGCATCTCCTCTGGCATTAAATACTTTTCTCCCCTTGCCTTTGCTCAGCCAACCCTTATTTAACTCTAAGGCTCCCATTTAAATATTTCACTCCAAAGAAGCTCTCCCTGATACCCCAGACCACAGAAGTCCATCTGGTGCATACATTCTGTATGTGTTATTCTCCCTGCTAATTACACTTTAATAGCTTATTTATGATATCATCAGCACCGGCACCACACGCTCAATAGCCACGATCTCTTTGGGTTCTGAGGACACAGACAAAATAAGAATCTGGACTTTTTCCGTCACATAGCCTCTGTTACCCCAGTGGAGGCTCACCCCCTTTTCAAGGCTCACTGAGAAACAGAAAATGACAACGATTTTGGAAACCCCAGTATTAAAATATCTTCTCCAGGTTTCTTACCTCATCCTTGCAACATGGTGATGCTCATTTAACCCCAGGGCCTTAGCTCCTTGTAAAATCCATGCCTAACACCCACGCACAAAAAATGCAGCATGGAGCTTGGAAGGTCTTTAGGAGGAGGTTTGAGAAACCCTAGTGCTCGAGGAATTTCAAATCCATCTCCATGATTCAATGATATAAATTCTGAATTTTTCTTTCTGAAATTTAAGATCTCTGATAGAAGATGACTGTAACATAAGTGATGGGCCAGGCGCGGTGGCTCACACCTGTAATTCCAGCACTTTGGGAGACTGAGGCAGCTGAATCACTTGAGGCCAGGAGTTCAAAATAACACTGGCCAACATGGTGAAACCCTATCTCTACAAAAAATACAAAAAAAATTAGCCAGGTCTGGTGGGCTCATGCCTGTAGACCCAGCTACTGGGGAGGCTGAGGCAGGAGACTCGTTTGAACCCGGGAAGTGGAAGTTGCAGAGAGCTAAGATCACGTCACTGCACTCCAGCCTGAGAGACAGGGTGAGACTCTTTCTCAAAATAATAGTAATAATAAACAAATGAATAAAAAAGACAGAACTGGAGAAGCCAAGCATTCCCAGCCCTCTGATGAGCTAGGTCCACAATGGGTCACCAGGTCACCCCCAGGCAGGCAGGTATCCCTCGTGGCCACACCTGAAGAAACAGTGGAGCCCAGGCTATTGTCTGGAGCAAATCACAGACACAGGACTGGGAAAGGACCTAACTAGAACCAAATCCATGCCCATGTAAATAGGAATATCATTAAATATATAAAGAAACATGTAACATATAAATAGAGGCATCAACATATATGTAAATAAAAATTAGAATAGAAATGTTTATAGATACAACAGTCTAGGGCTGTGTGCCATTCTATAGCAGTGTTTTTCTACATAGGAGGAAAGCAAACATATATACATATACATGAACCTTTACATAGACATGTATATGTGTGTGTGTATATATAACGTATATATTCATATTTAAATAGATACTGTTAATTATTTATAGGTATATATAAATACCTATACATATAGAAATAACATACATACATATAAATGTCTACTTGAGATATACACACCACAGCGTGGTGTTATGCTGGTATGTGCCAACCTCTCACACCTGGCAAGGCCACTCTGCTCAATGGTGTCTCTTGAGAGGGCAGGGTCGGCCGGCCTCTCCCTGGGGGAAAGGCCCACCTTCCTTTGTTCTGCTGTCTTCCAAGTTCCTCCACCTTTGCATGCAGAGTGAACAGGTGGTGCCAGTCTGTAGGCAAGAGCCACTGCAGGCCTGGACCGGGGTGTAAACATGATGTGGAGCCACAGCAACTGAGCGTCCACCAATCACCAAGCTGGGCAAGAACACGCAGTGACAATGCCCTCTGCCCTCCCGCACCCTCCCCAGACTTCTGTGAGTGTCAATGTCAAGACTCCACACCAAACATTTTATGCTGAGTCTGGAAGTTGGCAGTTTGCTTTTATTCACAACCCTGGGCAAACCTGTGCAGGAGATATAATCATTTTCCCAAACCAAGGGTGAGGTATGTATCTCAGGAGAGCTAAGTTGGTGGCCTCCTCCACAGAGGACCTCATATAGGTCCACCTTTGAGTTTTGGGTGCTGTTATAAACCAGGTAAGTCTCTTCCCTAGCATCACATGGTTATTAACGGGCAGAGTTAGCATTAACCCTGGTATGATCCCAAAAATCCCATGCCTTCTGCTGTAGCAAGACTGCCCGGAGTGAGTGTGGCCCCTGGGTGCGACCCCCAACCCACCCTCCCCATTGCCAGGCAACCTTCATCCCCTGAGAGTCCCTCCACCCAACAGACCCCCTGCTCCATAAAGATGCAAGGTGGCTCCCAAGCGCTCCCTCTGGGGAGCTCAGTCCTGGCCTCACCTTTCCAGACATGGAGCAATTTCTCTCTGAGACAGGCAGGGAACATAATGAATGAACAAGACCTTAAGGAAAAAAGAGAGCAAATCATATTTTTCTTTCTTTTGAGATAAAAATAATATGCCTGCACATCAGATCTCCTGTGACAGAGCTAATATCCAGGAGCAAAATCAGAAAAAGCATCCTCCTCTTGCTAATAATGTGAACATAACAACGGGCTCCTCTGACGACCACAGTGCCACAAAAGTCCCTGTCAAGCCATAGTCTGCAATGAGACCTATGAGAGTTCAAGAGGAAAGTCTTCCCTTTGCTTCACTTTATCCCTATTCGCTAAGTACAGCCAGAAAATAACCGTAAAAATTAACCTAAAGCTTAATGGCTTATGTAAGAATGCCTTAATAAAAATATGTTGGCAAGGTTATTGAACTATACAATTAAACCCCTCCCACTCGATACTTTTCAGTCTAATTTCTATCTAAAGCTTATTCAGCAAACCCAAATGCCAATGCTCTCCTTCAATTTCCACTTCTTTGAACCTGCTAATTTACGAATAAGAAAGGATTTATTTGTGTTATTAGCCACATGTAACCGCTTGTTGAAAAAGTACTTTTAAATACTGAAATCCTGAGATGCCTCGAGATTCACCAAATATCTGAAGGATGACTTTGATTTTTTTTTTCTTCCACAAGCTGTGTTTGATTTACATCAATTAGGCCCTCCACATAAGGTATCATATAACAGGAAGGCTAATAACCCAGAAATAACCTCATTAAAAGAGACAGCATATCGGTCTAAACAGAATGAACTCTAAGCAGAAAAATTAGTGACCTGGAAAGTAGCAGGGAGAGGTAATGGCAGTACCAAGAAAAAATACATCCCCGTTAGCAAGTCAAAGGAGAAATCACCAGCAATAATGTAAGAATACAATAGAGGCAGAAGCAGAACATTTTTGTAATGTTTTTAATCTGTTCAAATCCTGGAACATGCAATTTATTTTTCACCTGGTCAAAAATACTCTCTGAAATCATGCATGTATTCCTTGTAGACTCAGGCACACAAAAGGGACCCTCGCACCAGCCTGTCCCTAAGTGGGATGTGTTGACTGTGTCTCTAAGGTCAGCTGGTTTCCAGGGCTCTGAATTTTCCCACCATCGTGAACACTTTCTCAGATGGGTGAGCCCCTCTTGGACTGCCACCCACCTGATACCAGCTTATGCCAGGAATTTTTCTCCTTGACATAAAGATGCAATCTGCTCTATCTTATGGCACAGCCCATCAGAAACACAAAGCTCCCCTTCTGCAACTCCTTGTTGACTCCAAGTTCCCCCCTCCCACCAAATTCCCATTTTGTGGGCGTTTTGTAAATGCATGGTTTGCCAAGAAATGACTGTTTCTACGAAGCCTCGTGCATGTGGTGTTTTTTGTTTGTTTGTTTTTGTTTTTGTTTTTTAAAAAAAGAACAAGAAGGTGGTCACATCAGAGGGAAGCCATTTCTAATGGTAAAATGCAGCAGAAAGAGGAAATATAGGTGTTGCCCCCAGCTCCCTGGACCTGAAGAGTCTGGTGCATCATGGGAGATCCTGGAAGACTGTATTCAAATGCTGCTCAGCTCCTGAGTCAACAGAGTGATGCTTAATTAAAGAAATAGAGATAAGCTTTAAATGTGTGTAAGTGTTTTTACAGAGCACATTAAGACAGGGATTGTAGTGGAGTCCCTGAGAACCTCCTGATTCACTCTTATCTGAATTTCCCATGGGCCATTCCTGGGCAGGTCAAGCCAGCAGATAAAATTCACTTCTCCGGGGACCCTGGCTTTTGAGGAATTCCCCAGCAGCAGGGCATACGGGAGCCCAAGACCTTGCACAACCCCAGAAGAGGATCAGAAAGTAGGAGGCCAGAGCCTAGGAGACCTCGGGAAGAGGCTGAGGCCTCAGCCTCAAATGACCAATGCTGGGGCCACCTCCAGGGCTTTGGGGCTCGGGGCCAATTCCAGTCATGCAATCTGCATCATTCATCTCCTGCCCCATTCCTACTTAGAGTTCAGAGTACCAGGATGTGAGCCAGAAATCTTGATACTACCTTGAGGTCTGAAGGGAGACTCATGACTGTACAAAGAAGCCTGGCAGGATATCTGGTACTTCCTGCAGCCCATCTCCCTGCCACTCCTCTGATCTCCATGAAATCACACCTCCAGATGGACAGGTAACTGTGAGACTATGTGGCCTGGACCACTAGGTCAACACACTGCTCCTGGTTTTCAGCTGACACTCCCTTTCTTTCTCCAATGAACCCTCTGATCCAGCACCTCGCCTCCCCTTGGGAGCCAAGCTCACGCTCACCTACATGCCTTTGCCCTTATGCCCTTTCCCAGACCCACCATCGCCCCAGGCAGCCTCCTTCCTCTCCTCCTAGCCTAACCCACACAACTCTCAAGTACAAGCTCATTTCCCAGCACCCCAGAAACCCTTCTCAATGCTGTCTGTCACTTCCAGCATCACCTCCCGGCCTAGCTCTAGAATCATGCAATCCCTCCCTTTTTGTTTGGTTCTGTTCCTTAACTATTCTGGAAAGATGACAAAAGCAAATTCTGCTTCCCTAGGGCAGGAACCACAGATATGGGTTCCTGCATGGCCAGGGCTGATAGTTCAGCAAAGGCGACTTGGAGAGGACACTGGCCAATGGAGGGGATTAAGGGGACAGCTGTTTCCATGTGGTTAGGTCAGACCAGCACTGCCAAATGCAAATGTTCTCTTTTACCAAAAAAAAAATAAATAAATTTAGAAATTATAATTTTTATGTGAAATCTTCTGGGGTTGGTGAAGGAAATAATGTATACAGTGATCTATTTCCAAGCCAAAGTGCCCTAAGTAGGCTTCGGTCAGCAAACTACAGAAGTAACAGGATATACTAGGCCCCTGCTTCCATAGCCAATGCCTGATTGTCAGCCTCCCGCTTCCTCCCACCTTAGTTGCCTTCACCTGAGCCAAAAGTGCAGTCTAAGATGAAAGTTTACTAGCTTGCGAAATAGCTCATTTTGTCTGTTCTTATCAGCCTGCCCAGCTACTTAGATCATAAGTCAAATACTTAAAGAGCCCCTAAGCTAACTAGGATTGCAATGCATTGTGGGCTGCGACAAAATGGAGCAAGACAACCCAAAAAAAAAAAAAACACCTAGAGCCTCTACCCAACAATCAATAGGCAACATCCGGGAAGACTGTGACAGCATAGTACTCAGCCTATGAGGAGCTGGGGGAGGGACCTGTGCCCTAAGAGATAAATTGCTTGTTGAAACTGTGCTGGGTGTGCCTGTCTATCAAAAACATTCAGTCTTGCAAGACCATCATTAAAAGTCTCACTTTCGCTGTTCTCTGGGTCTCTGAGTCCATTCTTTGGGCTTGGATGGGTGAGTTTCTCACATTGGCAACCTATGCTACAGCAGTTTTAAGCATGAGTTAGCCAGGCAGAGCCTATTGGTGGCCATCCCAGTGCATGACCTGGAGGCTGCATGCTCCCTCCCAGGTGATGGGAAGCGGCTTCCCAGGGGCCTTTCTTTCTCCAATAAACTCGCTGATCCAGCACCTCACCTCACCCAGGGAGCCAAGCTCATGCCCTAGTAGGTTTGAGTAGGTTTCTCTGGCCTGTTGCATCTTCCCACACCCCTGCTGCTAGGTGCCCACCTCTCCTACAGCCTACCTGGCTGCAGCCCAGGTGTGGGAAGATAGAAGGGACCAGAGAAAAGCTGGGGTATCTCCCACCTCATGCCCCACAACAAGACAAGGCTTCCTCCCCGGGTTCCCTCCTGCAGTGGGTGGGGCCATCCCAGCTTTTCTTACAGCATCATATCATTAAAGCAAAAAAAAAGAAAAAAAAAAGAAAAAACCACAACCCTAAAGTGTTTCATGTGACTCCGTGAGGGCTGCCAGAGAGCTAAGAGCTTCTTAAGCAGCTTCCTTCCAAGCCATTTGGGCCCCTTCTATAAATAAAGCTTTAGACAATTTTGCAAAAGGATATTTATTTACCTGATAGATCATAACAGCTCCTGCTCCTGCGGTGTCTTTAGCCCTGTTGGGTGATCTTTGAGCACTTAGCTCCCTCTCACCTAGTTAGGCCTCTTTTTGGACAGCAAAAGAAAAAAATAATATAGAGTTGAGCTCCTTGGAGGAGCAGGCACCTGACGTGGGGTGGTCCTCCTCGCCGTGGGCTCACTCTGATCCAAGCCATTAACACAGAGGCGGCAGCAAATGCCAAGGGGAAATTATTAATAAGCAATGTCTGGAAGACTCCAAGCCAGCACGAACATTTCTAAAGTGGCAAAGGGAAGAGGCGGGAATGGGGGGAGGAGGGAACCACCGTTGCACATTTCTCAGAAGAGCAGGACCAAGAGGAAAACAGAAGAGAACAACCCGAGGAAGATGAATGATTACAAGGGAAGCAGTTCTTTCCCTCTCTGGGTTTCACCTGCTTCGATTTTGAGGTATCCCTACATGCTTTTCTTGCTTCAAATTGTGCAGAGGAAGGGCTTAGCTCGGGCATTCTCAGCACTGGCACTACTGATATTTTGAGGCCAGACCATCCTTGTTGGGGACAGACCTGGGTATCGTAGGATGCCTTTTGGCATCCCTGGCCTCTACCTGTGTCATGCCAGGAGCAGCCCCCTCTCCTAGTGTGACAACTGCAGCATCTCCAGGCATTGACAAGTGGCTTCTGGGGAGAAGAATCACCCATGGTTGAGAACTGCTGAAATTAGACATAGAGATAAAATTGAGGATCAGTGCAGAAAAAAATCAGAAAGGTCAGGAAAAGACCAAGACAGTGGACCTGAGTTCCAATCCCAGCTCCGCCGCTTCCCGGGTGACCTTGATTGAATGACTTCCTATCTGGGTCTTAATTTTTTTTTTCACTTATAAAATGGGATTATAATTAACCATGCCAACCACATAAGATATTGGTGAGAGTTGAAACATTATTCGTGTCCTGTCCTCAGCACAAAGCTTGGGGCAGAATTTAAAAATCAAAAATCACCCATTATTATTGTAACAATGTTTATCAGCGTATGCAAAATAGTCTCTCTCACAACCTACCACACATGAAGGGTTCCAATTCCTCTGACCAGTGTGCTTCCATTCATCCCAAGAAGCCTTTGCTGTGTGGAGGCCGATTAGCAATTACCTCCCACCCCCCTTAAAGTTATATTCCAGGAAGACCTGATGCAGAGACTGAAACTATTTGCATCAGTCATGGTTGGTTGTAAGTGACTGGAACCCACACTTAAACAGAAGAGGAGTGCCCCAGAATGCTGAGGATAGCTCCAGATCCCAGAATCAAAAAAGAAGGCCGTGGAGCCTGGCTTAGCACAGGGCAGAACCAGAGCAAATCTGTGCCCCTGACAGCAGAGACCAATCCATGCCACTGTTGGAGTATGATCTCTGGAATTAGTTAGTGCCAGTCTTTTTTTTCTTCTTTGTTCTCACATCTCTCTGCTCAAGATTCACAGTCCCAGGAGGCATCTGGGTGCGGTGGCTCACACTTTTAATCCCAGCACTTTGGGAACCCAAGATGGGAGGATCACTTGAGGCCAGGAGTTCAAGAACAGCCTGGGCAACAGAGCAAGACTCTATCTTTACAAAAGATTAAAAAATTAGCCAGGCATGGTGGCATGTGATAGCTACTCAGGAAGCTAAGGCAAGAGGGTTCCTTGAGCCCAGGAGTTTGAGGCTACAGTGAGCTGTCATTGCACTGTTGCACTCCAGCCTGGGTGACAGAGCAAGAGCCTGCCTCGAAAAAAAAAAAAAAAAAAATCCCAGGAGAGAATGTGATTGACTACCTGGAGTCTCATGCTCAACCCTGACCTGGGTGAGTAGCAGGCACTTTGATTGACAGGTCTTCTAAGCCCTACCTCAGGAGGAAGGGGGAGGGTCATTTCTAATAGGAAATTGGAGTGCTGTTATCCCAAAAAAGAAACAGAACATGGAGAGCTGATAAAAGCAACACTCACTCACCACACTTCTGTACTTTAGAATGTACCCATTTGCTCTTTGCTGGGGCAATAGCTGTGTGTTTCTTTAGCACAGAGAGCAGAAGCACTCCACCTGTTCAGTATTCACTTTACACTTCATCACGAGTTCCCAAATAAGACTTCCAGCCTTTAGGCTAGTCTGACATCCCAATAAAAGGAGAAGGCCATAGTTAGAGAAAATGCATATGATAAAGCTTTCATTTCCCCCGGCTGAGAAGGCCAGGGCACACTGCGCTCTCCCCAGAAATGCGACCCAGCATCATTCCATCCTCCACGCTCACAGACCTATGCCCTTGTGCCCTCTCCCGCTCCCATTCCTCACTTCACCCCAGAGGGACACAGCCTGGCTTCTCCACTCAGCCCTCTCCCAACCCTATGCATACTTGATTCACGACTCCAAATATGAGTACGAGCTTGATTACACCACACCTGGAAAGAAGGCCCTGGAACTAATTAATCTACAGTTTCCTTCACGACACAAGCCCACCGTGGAGAGGAACAGGAGTGAACATGGCCTCCAGGAGGCTGCAACTCTACACTAAGCCAGGAGACACTGAGGACTGCCAGGGTGGGAGCTATCGATTTGTCAATACGCAAAACACAACCGGAGAGTCATTTTTTCTGCTGAGGTTACCATTTATCCCGGAAGATGCTCTTGGCATTAAAGCATGGCATGAAAGCTTCCCTTAGATGGCAGGATAAGGGAAATGTTAGACACCCAGAGAGAGTAACTTGGCACCTGAGATTTATTAATATTTTAAATGTGGAAGGCATACATTCCAGGGCTTACTCATTGCTTCTGGGGAAGGATCCAGGTAAACAAATCCACAACATCGCTAGAAACAAAAACTCCACCTTTCCATCCTGTTCCTGCATGGGAAAATGAGGATGAGCTAATTATTCAGATATAAGTAGTATCTTTAGGATAAAAGGATCGAAGGCCTTCGCTGTTATATCTGGGGTTTCTCCATCATACCATCCTGGGAGAACAAATTGAAATTATAATTTTATTAATGACACTCGGAAGAGTGGATCAATTTTTCCATGAACTCAGAACTTGGCAATGAAGAGACCATACTGGATCATTTGAGGTCAGGAGTTCGAGACGAGCCTGGCCAACATGATGAAACCACGTCCCTACTAAAAATACAAAAAATTAGCTGGGTATGGTGGCACCCATCTGCAGTCTCAGCTACTCAGGAGGCTGGGGCAGGAGAATCACTTGAACCCAGAAGGCAGAGGTTGCAGTGAGCCAAGTCACTGCACTCCAGCCTGGGTGACAGAGGGAGACCCCGTCTCAAAAAAAAAAAAAAAGTAAACTTGGGTCAATCTGTTCCCCACCTAGGGCCTTTTCTACTTGGATGAATCTGAAAGAAAAATAAAAATGAAAATCAGAGGTCATTTTATGGGCAGATTCCAGCACCAGGATTCCCTGTGATTTGTTCAAAGAAACCTGCTCCTTTCCACGTGTCCCTTACAAAAAGGGCTCTTCCTGCTTGGACCCCCTGCACTAGTCAATCCAGGTGACATGAACAGAAGTCATTTAAGGCTGTGGCTTCAGACTCCACCAGTTTCTCCAGTCTCCTAATGAGAACTGAAGAGAAGAGTCATGAGAACTGAAAGAAGAGAGAAAGAAAAATCCATCAAAACTTCATTTAGCCAAAGGAGCAAAAACTCAGGCACAAAACCGGTCAGTTAAATAATCAGTTTGCCTTGCCTTTTTGTTGTTGTTGTTAGTTTGTTTTTAACTGATTTTTTTTAATCTGCCTTTAGCAGAACCATTAGATTCTGGCCAGGAGTGGTGGCTTACACCTGTAATCCTAGCACTTTAGGAGGCCAAGGCAGATGGATCACTTGAGCCTAGGAGTTCGAGACCAGCCTAGACAAAATGGTGAAACCTCATCTCTGCAATAAAGAAACATGCACAAGTTATGTTCATTGCAGCACTATCCACAATAGCAAAGATATGGAATCAACCCAAATGCTCATCAACGATAGACTGGATAAAGAAAATGTGGTACATATACACCATGGAATACTATGCAGCCATACAAAGGAATGAGATCATGTCCTTTGCAAGGACATGGGTGGAGCAGGAAGCCATTATCCTCAGCAAACTAACACAGAAACAGAAAACCAAACACCACACATTTTTACTTATGAGTGGGAGTTGAACAATGAGAACACATGGACACAGGGAGGGGAACAACACACACTGGGGCCTGTTGGGGGAGCTGGGGGAGGGAGAGCATCAGGATAAATAGCTAATGCATGCTGGGCTTGATACCTAGGTGATGGGTTGATAGGTGCAGCAAACCACCATGGCACACGTTTACCTACGTAACAAACCTGCATGACCTGCACATGTACCCTGTACTTAAAATTAAATTAAATTTTAAAAGAATACAAAAAGTAACTGGACATGGTGGTATGCACCTGCAGTCCCAGCTACTCAGGAGGCTGAGGAGGGAGGATCACCTGGGCCTGGGGAGGTTAAAACTTCAATGAGTCCTGGTCATGCCACTGCACTCCAGCCTGGGTGACAGAGCAAGATCCTATTCCTTAAAAAAAAGAATAGAAAAAGAAAAAAAATTCTTACAGGCTTCCAAAGAAGATCTGCTGCCAGACCGTCAGCTAAAAGCAGGTGCCTTATTAAGGATAATAGGCTAAAGAGAACCTCTAACACTGTATTTCATAATTAGACTTTGCATTCTTTTCATATTATAGCACTTCAGTAAAGGATAAGACCTCAAAATAGTATACTTTCATTGTTCCCCTTTTGGACTTTATGCTATGATTGTCATACACTTTATTTTTACCTAGATTATAAATGCTGGAGTCTATTACCACTTTTATTTAAACAGACAATTATCTTTTAGAGAGAGTTAACTAACAAGAAAAATATTCTCTACATTTCCCCTTATAGTTACAGTGGAGCTCTTCACTTTCTGTCTAGATCCATATATGATGGAAATATGGATCTTGACTTTGCATTTTTGACATACTTCCCAGACAGACTTTATAATTTGACCTAGAGATTAGGCCTGGGTCACAGAGCCCCCCGGCTGTTTCTCTGCCCTGCAGCTCTCTCTGAGGGTGCTCCCGCCTGCCAGAAAGCCCAGGTTGGAAAGGCGTCTTCTCAGAAGACTTCTCCAATCCTTTCTGCACCCATGCTCCCTCTCCAGGCATGGTGCTCCCTCTTGGTATCCGCCCACACTTTGGATGGGCCTCTCATTGCTCTTTTCATTGTCAATGCCACGTAGACACCTGCTTACCCTACTGGGCTGCCAGCTTCTGTGTGCTGGAGCTCATGAGGTATCCATCTCCAATACCTGGCCCCGAAGGTGTTTATGTTTTTTGTTGTTATTTATTTATTTATTTTTGAGAGGAGTCTCACTCTGTCACCCAACCTGGAGTGCAATGACGTGATCTCAGCTCACTGCAACCTCTGCCTTCCTGGTTCAAGCAATTATCCTGCCTCAGCCTCCCAAGTAGCTGGAACTACAGGCACCCACCACCACACCCAACTAATTTTTGTATTTTTAGTGGAGACGGAGTTTTCCCATGTCAGCCAGACTGGTCTCGAACTCCTGACCTCAGGTAATTCACCTGCCTAGGCCTTCCCAAGGTGTTGGGATTACAGGCATGAGCCACTGCGCCTGGCCATGAAGAAAGGTATTTTCAGGTTTGCTTTCTAAACAGTCTCTAGCAAATCACTCTCCATGGTTACTGTGGCGCATATTTGCCTTTCTTCTTGAAACATCCTTTCCAAGTTTAAGGCATTCTTCTCAAAGAGATGCCAGCAACTCACTTTACCAACATAACTTGCAGCTCGAGTGTGGACTTGTGACCTAGATCCTGTATTCAGGCACCATAAAACTTCACTCTAAGGAGGCAAAGACACAGCCCTGTACAGAGTCTAATCTGGTGGGCTGACTGCAGATACTTCTCACTTCTAGACACAGTGGTGGCAGTCATGCCTTATTCTGGAAACTGCTGCTGTAAGACAGGGATATCTTATCAACATGTCAGTCGCAAGAATTGATTGAACTTGTCTTTTTTAAAAAAAAATTTTATTTCCATAAGTTTTTGGGGGAACAGGTGGTATTTGGTTACATGAGTAAGTTCTTTAGTGGTGATTTGTAAGATTTTGCTGCACCCATCACCCAAGCAGTGCACACTGAACCCAATTTGTAGTCTTTTATCCCTCACCCCCCGCCACACCCTTTCCCTGAGTCCCTAAAGTCCATTGCATCGTTCTTATGCCCTTGCATCTTCACACCTTAGCTCCCACTTGTAAGTGAGAGCATACGATTTTTGGTTTTCCTTTCCTGAGTTGCTTCACTTAGAATAATAGTCTCCAGTTCCAGCCAGGTTGTTGTGAATGCCATTAATTCATTCCTTTTTATGGCTGAGTAGTATTCCACTATATATATATATATATATATATATATATATATATATATATATATATATATATATATATATATATTCTGACACTTATCAGGTGCCCTATAAACATACAATAGGAGTGGCAAATAGCAGCTTGAAAACCAAATCTAGCCTGACTGTGCACTCCCTCTGGTGACCCAGTGCCTTTATCTATCTATCTATCTATCTATCTATCTATCTATCTATATGTATATATATATGCCACAATTTCTTTATCCACTCATTGATGTATGGGCATTTAGGCTGGCTCCAGATTTTTGCAATTGTGAATTGTGCTGCCATAAATATGCGTGTGCAAGTATCTTTTTTTAAATGGACAAAGAATCATTTTTGTTTACATAAAATATTCAACATAAAAATTATTTTTTATTTATTTAAATTTTTTAAAGATCAAGAAAAATAACTAATGGGTACTAGGCTCAGTACCTGGAGGTGTTTGTTATCAAGTAAATGGATTAAGCTGCTTGGTGTGAACACAAGGGAAAAAGCCCAGGCCTACAAGAGAAAAAGCATTAGGGGACCTTTCCACTGTTATCACAGGTGGGCCCGGCTGATGGTGGGAATGTGTGGGAAGCCAGGAGACTCCAGCCAGGGCAGCTGGGAGGGGCACTGCACTGTAGACCCAGGAAATTGGAGACAGGTCTTGGTTAATTTAGAAAGTTTATTTTGCCGAGGTTGAGGACGTGCGCCCGTATATTGATGTTAATGCTGGAGAGGTAGAGTGAGGCCTGTCCAATCCCACTTCCCTTTATGGCCTGAACCAGTCTTTCAGGTTAAATTTTAAGAGCCCTGGCTGAGGAGGAAGTCCATTTAGATGGTTGGGGGGGCCTTAGAATTTTATTTTTGGTTTACACCACAGATAGGTCTAGGCCATCTCATAGGATCCTGCAGCAGGTTCACCTTGGGTCTAGAACTGATTCAGACTTTTCCAGGAGTCTCCTCACTAGCTCTGATGCTACCACTTCCCAGGGCCCTCTTCATAAGGACCTGGGTATTCAGAGGGAGCTATAAATCAGCTCCAAGACAGAGAGGAAGAATGAATGGCAATCAAGGAAGGCTTCCCTGAGTAGGGGCAGAGCTTGTGGGCACCATGTTCCCAAGGCACACACCTAGAAAGCGCACATACCTCTAGAGTGTGCACCCACCTCTCCAGCGGGCCCTCTCCAGGGCAAATGCACCTCCCTTGTCTCCCATGTCTGACACTTACCAGGTGCCCTATAAACATACAATAGCAGTGGCAAACAGCAGCTTGAAAGCCAAATCTAGCCTGACTGTGCACTCCCTCTGGTAACCCAGTGCCTTTATCAATTACCTTTGACTGCCTCAAGATCAGGCAGCCCCTCTCCAGTCCCCCAGAGTCCTTGCCACTCCCTTGTCTTGCTTATTTTTTCACATTACATGAATAGCCCTGCTAGGCATTTAGATTCACCACCTTTGGAATAAGCTAAGGAAAGCAAAAATGGGATTCTGATAAAAAGAAATGAATATAGGGGCCATGCAGATGGTAGGAAAGCAAGAGTAAAAGGATGGATATAGGGGCCCTGCCCAGTGTGTTAGTGAATGATGAGAAGTCAGCCACTGCTGCTATGCAGAAAGAAGGTAGTGAAGCAGGAGGGGAGAGCCTGATTATAAACAGAGGCAGGAAGGGAGATGCACTCCGCAGCCAGAACCCTGGAAATCGGACCTTGACCCAGTGTTCCCCAAAACCATCATTCTCACTTCGTCTTGGCAATTTTTGCCATATCTGCATACCATCTGTTCAAAACTTACTTTTTAAAATGTTTGCCTAACTTAAAAAAAATTAAACCTCATCCTAAACAATGCTCAACATCAAATTCATGAGTTTTATGTACTAGTTTTGTTTCTTCTAATACACATTAAAATACAAACATTACCAAGAAAAGTCTCTGATATTATTTAAAATTATTTAACCACTGTTTCAGGCCCCCAGGTTCCACACTGAGAATCCTTTCTTAGTGTGTCTTTTGTCTAAAAGCAAGATTGAGACAAAACCTTTCACTTGAATGTAGCCACTATTTTTTTGTTTTTTGGCAAACAAATAAGCATCAACGAAACAGGATGCCTTTTCATAGTTTTTCAGGTTTGGGACTTATTAGAATAAGGCTAATAAATCTAATAGAATCAGTCTATTCCATTAGAATAATAGGGTCCCCTTTGACATTTCATCTCAAAATCCCAATGAGTCTCCAATTGTGTTCGTCTTTCTCAATCTATTCCCTCATCTCCCTTCGTCTTCTAACCACTCTCCACTGACCTGGACACCACGAGTGGGGTGGGCCAGTGTCACCAGAGAGTCAACCTGTCAACAACTGAACTTGTTATGAGTTGACTCTGGGTCCAGACTACTGCATTCAAAAGCCATTTCACACCTAACACCTGTGTGTTCACAAGCACATTGCTGACCTTCTTTGTGCCTCAGTTTTGTTATCTGTAAAATGGGGATGTAAACACTACCTATCTGATAAAGTCATTGGTGAAATTGACAAGTTAGTGCATGGAAACACTTTGCTATGTTGTAAATGTCTCCCAAAGTTCTTGGGTTGGGAACTCTATCCCCAAGGCAACAGTGTTGAGAGGTAGAACCTTTAAGAAGTAATTAGGTCACTTCTTAATGGATTAATGGCCTGACTCATGGGAGTGGGTTATTGAAAGAGAGGGTTTCTGATAAGAGGATGAGTATGGTCCCCTTCCTCTCTCTCTCTCACCCTCCCACTTTCTGCCATGGGATGACACAGCAAGAAGGCTCTCAAAAGATTCCGGTACCTTGATATTGGACATCCCAGCCTCCAGAAACATGAGAAATAAATGTCTTTCCTTTATAAATTATCGAGACTGTGGTATTCAATTACGGCAACACAAAATAGGCTAAGGTACACCTAGAACAGTAGCTGGCACTCATGAGCCACCATGCTGGCCTGTACCAGCTTTTGACAAATTGCATCTTCCTGGACCTCCCTCCCATCAATCCAGCTTGATCTGCTGTGGAACATCCAACATTTCTCTGTATCCTGGCAGCTCAAGAACAGTTTTCTCACAGGCTTCCAAGTCATGCCATATTTGGCTTCAAGCAATCCTGTTGGCTGGATCCCCCAATGTCTCCACACATTGTCCCTGGGTCATATCTTCCCACCCTAGCTGGGTGTTCCGAGACCACCTGGGTGCATTCCCAGAGAGAGACCCTCCCTGTCCTATTCACATTTCACAGCTTTAACCCAGTTAAAGCCCTGCCTTTTCTTGGGGGCCTTCCCTGATCACCTCTTTCAGAGTTATATGGCTGAGTGCCCTGTTTAAGTCACAGATGTTCTCATGGCTGTCCATAGGGCCCAGGGAGTTGTCGTGAAAATAGGACTCACTTATACCGTATCCCCTGTGGTCTGAGGGGTGAGCAAATGACCCAGCTAAACCACTCACAGTTAGTCCTTTGGAAGGCCATATTGATTGGTCCAAGTAGGTCAGCTGAGCCAATCAATCAGA
The DNA here is from genome assembly GCF_000001405.40 of Homo sapiens. Classification (NCBI taxonomy): domain Eukaryota; kingdom Metazoa; phylum Chordata; class Mammalia; order Primates; family Hominidae; genus Homo; species Homo sapiens. Next base: position 31,814,988 of record NC_000019.10, read on the forward strand.
GTCCTTCTGGAGACCACAGTGATTGGTCCAAGGAATCAGCTGAGCCAGTCAGAGTTATTCCTAAGGAACTTCTGACTGGAGTTGGTGGGAAAAGCTTCTTTCCTCTGGCAAGGCAAGCTCAGAAGACCTGGGATGAGGTGTCAGCCTTGTAGAGAAGCGAATGCTGAGGGAAGTGAGTCAGGGAGGTAAAGACAGAAAGTCCTGAGAGTATTGAGTCTCAGACTCCAGATTCCCTGCCCCGTCTGTGATTTAACATGAAAACAAGCCCAGAATCCTGACAGTGAATAAACACCCTGCCTTTTTGTTAAAGCTATCCAGAATTGGTTTATATTTCTGGAAAGTAAAGAAACTGTAATAGGCTGTGCTTCCCAGGCTAGCCTTTGTTATGTGTGTATATTTTTTAATTTAGTTGTTCACATGTTTAAGTCATCCCTGTCTATATGAGAGAGAGGAACATATCCCATGCTTCCTTCATTTCTCTCCCTACACTTGGCACAATCTTGGGCACAAAATAGATGCTCACTAAATACGTAGGCCCACAGAGGATGCTAGAATTGGCTGGTAGGCCCAGCTGCAAACAGGAAAATTCTGGATCACCTAGAGTCAGCCTACAAGAGTGCCCATCACAAATGTGCAGGAATCGAGTCACAGAGAATTATGGTTTTCTCAGTAAAGGTTGCTTAAAACAAAAGCCCATTCATCTGCCTGCAGAAGACATTTAATCAATTTACATGAGGGATTTCAAAATTAGTCAGACTGTAATGAACTATGAAATACTGATTAATGCATTTTTGCAATGTTTGATTAGAAACTTAACATGTATGCGAGCACATCTTTACCATTACAGCATTTCTATGTTAATATTTGGTTCTTAACCATCGGCAGAATAGATATTCTGAATTACAGAACCAAAGTGTATTTGTGGTGAACAATATATGCACAGTTTTCCTGCTGGAAAGTGCTTCTTGATGTTCAGGAGGTGTCTCACATTTGAGGGGGTGAGTGGGAGGAAGTAGTTCATGGGATGCAGTCATTATGAAGTTGAGTATGAGCTGCTAAATTATTTGAGAGTTCTCCAGAAACCACTAGGGTAAAAGAGGCCAGCCATGTCTCCCACCCCAGCCCTCCGCTAACAACAAGGCATTCTCTGAAAGAGGAAACAATCCCAATTTTACTAAGGCAGAAGAAGCCAAATTCTTTTGGCCAGAATTTAAATATACCACCTCAGTCAAAAATGTTTGTTAGGTTCCTCCTCAGGACAAGCAAATTATTAATTGAAACGCTTGAAAATCTTCTTGAACCTATAGAGGCCACAGTTTTAACACAGTTTTAACGTTCTTTCCTTCTTTCTCTCTTTCTTTCTTTTTCTGTCTTTCTTTTTTTTTTTTTTTTTTTTTTTTTTTGAGACGGAGTCTCGCTCTGTCACCCAGGCTGGAGTGCAGTGGCGCAATCTCGGCTCACTGCCAGCTCCGCCTCCCGGGTTCACGCCATTCTCCTGCCTCAGCCTCCCGAGCAGCTGGGACTGCAGGTGCCCGCCACCACGCCTGGTTAATTTTTTTTGTACTTTTAGTAGAGACGGGGTTTCACTGTGTTAGCCAGGATGGTCTTGATTTCCTGACCTTGTGATCCGCCTGTCTCGGCCTCCCAAAGTGCTGGGATTATAGGCATGAGCCACCACGCCCGGCCCTTTCTTCTTTCTTTCTTTCTTTCTTTCTTCCTTTTCTTTCCTTCCTTTCTTTCTTTCTTTCCTTACTTTCTTTCTTTCTTTCTTTCTCTTTCCTTTCTTCTTTCTTCCATCCCTCCCTCCCTTCCTCCCTCCCTCTCTCCCTTCCTTCCTTCCTTCCTTCTTTCCTTCCTTCCTTCCTTCCTTCTTTCTTTGAGATGGGGTCTCACTGTCTTGCCCAGTCTGGAGTGCAGCAGCATAATCTCTTGGCTTACTGCAACTTCCACCTCCAAGACTCAAGCCATTCTTCCACCTCAGCCTCCCAAGTAGCTGGGACTACAGGTGTGCACCGCCAAACCTGGCTAATTTTTTCTATTTTTGGTAGAGACAGGGTTTCACCATGTTGCCCAGGCTGGTCTTGAACTCCTGGGCTCAAGTGATCTGCCTGCCTTGACCTCCCAAAGTGCTGGGATTACAGGCATGAGCCACCGCTCCCAGCCCACACTTTTAAATTTCTGAGGACACCTCCAAAGATTTTTGTGTCTGTGTATTTCACAGAGAAGGCAAGTTAGTCTCTTTCGTATAACTGGAATGCCCTTTCTCCTGGCAAGATCAACAGAACTCCAAACATCAGGTGATGCTGGAAGTCATAAAAAGGGAAACATGCTGAATTGCAAAAATCCAATCAACTAGAAGTATGATCTTCTTAAAGTTACTTAAATCTTATTTGCACACATGCGGAAAACATCTAAAGAGGTGGATTGACATTTTTAAAAAAGATGTGTTAAAAATTAGCTATTAAAGAATTTGAAGATAAATTCCCACAGTAGGTTTCTAAGAGCACTGATATGCTGAGCCTGGCCCCAGCCATAAGATTATCTGACAAAGCCCAGGCATGGTGGCTCACGCCTGTAATCCCAGCACTTTGGAAGGCCGAAGCGGGCGGATCAAAACCAGCATGGCCAACATGGTGAAACCCCATCTTAACTAAAATACAAAAATTAGCCAGGCGTGGTGGTGCACACCTGTAATCCCACCTACTTGGGAGGCTGAGGCAGGAGAATCACTTGAACCCGGGAGGTGGAGGTTGCAGTGAGCTGAGATCGCCCCACTGCTCTCCAGCCTGGTTGACAGAACTGGACTCTGTCTCAAAAGAAAAAAGATTACCTGACAAACACTGGTTTCAAAAGGTGCTCCTGTGGAAATCCAATCACCATAGAGTGTGCTAACTCCAGAACAGCAATATACAAATTTGTTCACATACAGAAGAAGAGGTCACATATGTGAGTGCACGCGTGGGTACACACAGAGAAACATACTTCATGATTCTTACAAGTGCAGGCAATTATCTCACATTTAGATTTTAAGCCTCCCTTAGAATTTTAAAAATCATTATTTTGCAGGATCGCCATTATTCTGATTCATTAGCAAGGCATACTTATGAGGGTCTTAAAATAACCAGGATGCTGGACATGTAAAAACATGCTTCTTGCTGTCATGACAACTAAATAACAACAATAATGCTCACATCCGAATGACTACAGGGAACAAAGTTATTGTGCCTGAATATAGATAAGTTAATTATGGAATCATCAAAAGAACAGCAGCTCTGTCAATGCAAAGATGATTCCAAAATAATCAATAACAACAATCTTGTTTGGTAATTGGCTATTTGTTTCCAATATGGGCTCTACCTTTGGTCTGCGTGGAAATGCAGCAGGCTCTTTAGCCAGCAGAAGAGAAAAAAAAAAAAAAGGAAAATCTTTCAGTTTAGGGTTGGTGGTTGTCAGTAGCAACAAATAATGGAAAATTGCCATCTGGCTTCTTTGTTTAAATGAGATTTGAATAATCAATTTAATAATGGATAGAGCACTTGCTTACAGAAGTAATCCATTGTCATTGCTCAGAAAAAATAAAAACTTTGTCACCAGAGACAAAGCTCTGCGGTGTGACTATAGGTAAAGCAAATAAACGTCTACGTACATGCCACAATTTTTATTTTCACTGCTGACTTTACATAAACTAGAGGATAACTCTTCCTTCTCTATGCTTAGCTTTTCACATTCTGTGTTTAATAATCAGGACAAAATCTACAGAGCAGTTGGCTTGCTACAGGCATTCAACTCCACTGATGGTTAGTGGAGAAAGAGACACACAAATGGTAGATTTTTTTAGCACATTTTCCCCCATCATCATGTGACATATTGTGGAACAGGCCTGATTTCAGCAGAGCAGAGGAAATAAAAATGCATCTGGCTATGGGGTGTGTGTGAGTGTGAGAATGTGTGTGTGTTTCCTTTACACAGCTGCACAGCTGCAAGAGGAAAAATGCTATTCAGAAAGGAAGAACAGGGTGACACCAGGGATCACGATGACTCATTCATTTACATGATAAAAATGAAGATAGCAGGAAAGGTGTTCCTAACCCGAGCAGAAGCAGGAGTGATGACATCCAAATATGGGGCTTCTGTCATGTCGTTTTGCGTGTGTGTTTGTGTGTGTGTTTAATGAAACATGCATGTGCAGTATCCCATTGGCCTCAAAAGACCCTTGAATCTTTGACTAAAAAATTTACTGGTCAGGCACAGTGGCTCATGCCTGTAATCCCAGCACTTTGGGAGGCCAAGGTGGGTGGATCACCTGAGGTCAGGAGTTTCAGACCAGCCTGGCCAACATGATGAAACCCCCGTCTCTATTAAAAACCCAAAAATTAGCCAGGCGTGGTGGCAGGCGCCTGTAATCTCAGCTACTCAGGAGGCTGAGGCGGGAGAATTGCTTGAACCTGGGAGGCAGAGGTTGCATTGTGCTGAGATTGTACCAGTGCACTACAGCCTGGGCCACAGAGTGAGACCCATTCTCAAAAAAAAAAAAAAAAAAAATTCCATGTGATTTGAAGGAGAAAAAGGGATGAAATCCAGGCCCTGTCGCATTTTGGAAAGTGGCATTCAGGATTCAAACAGCACCATCTGGGCTCTACGGACCTACGGGACTGGAAGGCGGGGGCTTCTCCTGGCCTCCACTGCTTGAAGACTAGAGGGTATTAAGGGAGGATCATCCTGGTGAATCTGGCCTTAGGCTCCTGTTTCCCCAGAACTCCCGATCCACTCGGGGCACATTCCCTTTCACCCGGCACTGGTTTTCTCCTCGGCCTGTGTCACTCGGAAATACCCCCTGTGAGGTTTCAGGTTGTTTGCCTCTTCTCTGACTGAAGACTCATTACTGTTCACCTCTGCCCCTCTCCCAACCCAATCCACTTCTTATTTACTCTCCCAGGACATCCAATGACCAGGTCCCTCCCCAGGTCACAGTTTCATTAACCCCCTTCCTTCAACAGGGAAGTTAGATCTGGTTGACTCTCATCCCAGAGACTCCCTCTGGGACCCAACTTGGCCCCAGGGTTACCAGCACTTCCTTGACACCAAGGCATCCCACCATATCACCTCATCCAGTCCTGCCTTGGGCCACAGAGCCTTTTATAAAGTCTTAGATAGTTTCTCAAGTCCTCTCCACATCTAGGGGACAACTCCATTCTGGCCCCTCTTCCAGCTGGGTCTTGTGAATTCCCTAGACAGAGCCCCACAGAGACTGAGCACATTTTTCCCTGTTCTTCCCAAGACCCCCACCCTAATTCCTGGAAAAAGCAAAGCCAGGAGGCTTAACCTCTTTCACTTTTCCCCAATTATCTGAGCCATCACCTGTCACCCATACTCTATATAGGGGTATCTTCTTGCCAGGATTTCCACTGCAACATGGAAGGAAGACTTGGGAAAATTGCAGACACGTGGTTATGTGCTCATCATCGCCAACACATTCAGTCCAAACAGAATCTCCTGCGCTAAAAAAAGGAGGTGTTCTCCACCTTGCCAGCCTAATCCTGTCCTCTCTCATTTCTCCAGAACTCTAAAGGTCCCCCTTACCCCAGCAGCTTCAATCTCCTCCTCCCTACTTGTTCCTTCTCCTGTATCCTAGTGTGCCCAGATCACCTTGTCTTGAAAAGAAAAAAAAAAATCCCTGGCCTCAGTATCCTCGGTGTCAAGCAGACCACTGAATACTCAGGTCAGGAGTCCAAGAAAGACATCCGTGGTTCCTATGCCCTCCATGGTTCAGCAAAGGACATAATTTCATTCTTTTTTGTGGCTGCATAATATTCCATAGGGTCACTTCCATTTCTATTCTTGTTTCAAAATCCTGAAAGCTCAGAAGGCAGGTTCATCCATGTGCTAGGGTTGCCACAACAAAATACCACAGATGGAGGCAGGGGCTTACACAGCAGAAATTTATTTCTCAGAGTTCTAGAGGCTGGAAGTCCAAGGTGAATGTGTCAGCAAATTTGGTTTCTTCTGAGGCCTCTCTCCATGGCTTGTGGATGGCCGTTTTCTCACGGAGTCCTCTGCTCTGTGGCTTTCCCTCAGTGCTTGTGAGTCTTTGGTGTCTCTGTGTGTGACCAGCTTTCCTCTTCTTAGAAGGACACCAGTCAGATCGGATTAGAGCCCCACTCTAAGGGCTTTATTTTAATTTACTCACCTTTTAAGAGGCCCTATCTCCAAATACAACTGCATTCTCAAGTACTGGGGGTTAGAGGTGAATTTGGGATGGAGGGTACAGTTCAGCCCAGAACACCAGGTGAGAATGTCCAAGGGTGTGCACTAAGAGAGGAATGCAGAGAAGCAGGTCACATCCCTGGGGGGCCGGGGTTGTCAGGGTCAGGAAAGAAAAAGGAGAGAGTGGATCCTAAAGGAAAAGATCAGGGTTTGGAGCAGGAGAGGCTGATCCACAGAGACGAGGACTACAGGATGGGCTGAGGAGTGACAGCAGAGAAGAAATCCTGAGATCCAGCCATCTCCCCTCCCTTGTACCTCTGTGAAAGGGAGTGGAGCAATACTGGACACAGGCTGGATTCCTGTGGTCTGAGCAGCAAACAGGAGAGAGAAAAGCAGAGGCCAGATGCACATGGAAGGGTGATAAGCTGAGTGAAAGATAAGAGAGGCCAGGCCAGCACAATGGTTCATAGCTATAATCCCAGCACTTTGAGGAGGCTGAGATGGGAAGATCCTTTGAAGCCAGAAGCTCGAGACCAGCCTGGGCAACATGGCAAGACACTGTCTCTATGAAAATTTTAAAATGTAGCCAGGCATCGTGATTTGTAGTCCTGGCTACCCAGAAGGCTGAGACAGGAGGATCCCGTGAGCCCAGGAGTTTGAGGCTGCAGTGAGCCATGATTGTGCCACTGCACTCCAGCCTGGGTGACAGAGCGAGACCCTGTCTCCAGAAAAAATAAATAAATGAGGCTGGGCGCAGTGGCTCATGCCTGTAATCCCAGAACATTGGGAGGCTGAGGCAGACACATCACTTGAGGACAGGAGTTCAATACCAGCCTGGCCAACATGGTGAAACCCTGTCTCCACTAAAAATACAAAAGTTAGCCAAGCATGGTGGTGCGTTCCTGTAATCCCAGCTACTCAGATGGCTGAGGTAGGAGGATCGCTTGAACCCAGTAGGTGGAGGTTGCAGTGAGTAGAGATTATGCCACTGCACTCCAGCCTGGACGACAGAGCAAGACTCTGTCTCAAAAAAATAAGAAAAATAAAAATAAATAAATAAAACTAAGAGAGGCCAATGCAGAGGGTCAGGTTGAGGATACTGAGAGTGAAACAGCCAAGGGTAATTGTAGAAGAAACAAAATAAAGAGACAAAACCTGTATTATTTACTCAATGTGTACACACTGTGGCTAAGAATCAAAACCATTAGCATACAAGAAAGCATTTAGAAATTCAAATCAATTTATCATCACTGTCACTGTAATATTGACAATTATTATTTATTTGTTCACCAGACATCCTATGAACATGTTACAGTTGTCGCTTCATGAAAGGACCAGCTCTGCCTGGATTTCTGCTGTGTAATGGAAGATGGAAAAACTTCAAACATATTTTTATGTCCTCATAATGGATGCAGTTCAAGCCACTGCTCCTACTTAGCTAATGACTTAGCAGGGCAATGGAAATACAAGCAGGTCCCTGCACTTTAAGTGTGGTCATGGCTCTTCTCAAATTCAAACTGGCGTTTCTGTGCAACTCTTCCTGGCATATGAGCTCATGGTGCTGCTGGAACACATTTTCGGTGGGCACCCAGGGAACCATTAATCCTAGTTGCCACATTCATGTGTATATTCAGGCTTGGAGCATGTGAACTGGCTTGCTTGGAGTTTGAACCAGGACATCAATTACTAACATGTCTGAGAAATTAATCTTCCGTCAGAGGATAACTCCTACAGGCAAAAACACTTTGGCTACTGCATGTAAGGACAATGTTCGTGTTCTCTGTTCACATCAGAAAAGAAACCCTTATTAAAGGAGGAGGAGGCCTTTGTTAATGGTGCTGATACTTTGTAGACCTTAGGAAAAGGGTCCTCTCTGCCCCAAGACCTCCAGCTTATAGAAGCTGCTTATGCAATGGTAGACCCATCCACTCTGCAATAATGAACAGACAGATAAAGCTTTGCTGGGGGTAAGATAACTCAGATTTTGCTGTTCACATGAAGACACTGTCAACTTCCAACCCTTGGCTCCCTGAGCTTCATTTGGAAATCTCAAATCATCACTTTGTAAACAGGAAAGACATTCCCTGAGAATAGGGTGGTTACCAGCACCTCTCCCCAAAAAAACAAAATGCAGAATTGTGTGGGAAAGAAAGGCATAGCATGCTGCCATTCTGCAAGGAGAGGGTGATTGACTCAAGATAGGGTGATAAAGATCAATTGCCTTGGCTTGGAGTTATGACACCAACAAAGTTACAATGACATTAGCACAAAGAGAGAGACACAAATCCATTACAAAGATACAATCAAATATTCAAAAAAGCCTGGCATGCTCCTTACTTATTCATGCTAATACAAGTATATTAAGAAATCTAAACAGTGTTAGCGCTCAATCACTCACAAACCAAATGAGGTTTTGCATTTATCAGACTCCAGTCATCAGGGCCTGTACAAAGGTGGTAATGTGAAATAACTGGAGATATTTATATCAGCCTACATGGACGGAGAGATACACCAGGATTTATTAAAATGAGGAATGCCATCACATTTACACAGCAATAAAAGAAATAACTGTGCAGAAGTCATTTCCCCAGACAATAAGATTTACCTTTGCAATCTCTTAAAGATTTTGTATGTTTTCAAAGGGTCGCTGGCAGCATTTCCGACCTTAATAAACTATTTACGGATTAATTTCTTCCACAAAGGACTGGATGCCCAAAAGTAGGTTCCCTCCTCGAGAGCCAGCAATAGACTCTAAACCTTTCTGTTTCTGAGGATGCTGCACACAGACACGTGTATTCCATCTTCTCAGGGACTGCTCTTTGATTAAGTGACATGTCCTCAATTTTCAATAAAGAGAAGTCTATTCAGGATACTGGGATGGGGGTGGGTGGTGATGTCAGTAATGATGTCCTAGTTCAATTATCCAGTGCTTGGGTTTTGGGGAACCTGAGAGGATATTTAAGAAGATCCACAAGTTTTACAGTGAGGAGTGCAATGGGAAGCCACAGAAGATCCTTGAAAAGGGATTATGCTCCAGCATGAGAGTTGCCTCACCAGCTTTGCTCTTCTCTACCTCCCAGGAGTTTTCTGCTCCCCTGGTTTCTGAGAAAATCCTCCTCCCCATCTTTTCTTCCTCCATTGGTGTCTCTTCCTCCCTAGGTTCCTAATGTTGCTGTCAACTCCATTTCTTTCTTTTTTTTTTTTTTCCTTCGCTCTGTCACTCAGGGTGAAGTGCAGTGGCACAATCTTGGCTCAATGCAAACCTCCACCTCCAGGGTTCAAGCGATTCTCCTACCACAGCCTCCGGAGTAGCTGGGATTACAGGCACCCGCCACCATACCTGGCTAATTTTTTGTATTTTTAATAGAGATGAGGATTTCATCATGTTGGCCAGGTTGGTCTCGAACTCCTGACCACAGGTGATCCACCTGTTTTGGCCTCCAAAAGTGCTGAGATTATACGCTTGAGCCACCACACCAGGCTTTTTTTTTTTTTTGAACAAAGATATCTTCATCTTTAATAGGGGTATTGCTAGCCAGTATGTGCGTGTCTGTAATCCCAGCTACTCCAGAGGCTGAGACAGGAGAATCTCTCAAATCCGCCAGGCGAAGGTTGCAGTGAGCCAAGATCACGCCACTGTAATCCCACCTGGGTGACAGAGTGAGACTCTGTCTCAAAAACAGAAAACAAAGAAACACAAAACAAAAAACCAGAACTTAAATAGGGATATTGCTTTTCTTGTTAAAGAACATTTACTGTTACACATTTTATTTCATTTGTTAATAATTTTTTTTACATTTCATTTTCTATTCAGAGGCTACACATGCAGGTTTGTTACAAGGGTGTATTGTGTGATGCTGAGGTTTGAGGTCCAATTGAACTTATCACCCAGATAGTGAACGTAAGTACCCAATAGGTAGTTGTTCAGCCCTTACTCTCCTTTCTTCCTCTCCCTTTGGAATCTCAGGCGTCTATTTTTCCCATCCTTGTGTCCATGCACACCCTGTGTTTAGGTCTCACTTACAAGTGAGGACATGTGTTGTTAAATTTTCTGTTTCTGCATTCGTTTACTTGGATATGCAAATTGCATCCATGCTGGATTTGTATCCCTGTTTCTGTAAAGGACATGATTTCATTCTTTTTTGTGGCTGTGTAGTATTCATTCTTTTTTGTGGCTGGGTAGTATTCCATGGGATCACTTTCATTTCTATTCTTGTTTCAGTCTCTTCTCCCCATGGCTGGTCTCATCCATGCCCATGGCCTCTAGAGCACATGGCCTCTGGCACCCCAGTGATTCTCCAAATTACAATGTCCCAGACCTCTCGCTGGAATCTCAGAGCTTCATATCCAATTGCTCACCACAACACCACCCAGAAGCCAGACACTCAGAGAGCCTGAGTCTGTCTTGATTCTTCTTCACCTAGAACAGACAGTGAGTCACCTGCAAGGTATCTTCATCCCCTCCATTCCAACCTCACTGGAAATGCCCTGGTACGGGCCCTACACCTCCTTCTCATTCATGGGTGCAATCCCAGCCCATCTCTCCTTCCCCCAGAGTAATCTTGCTGAAACATGCCTTGTACTTCATTGCTGTCCCTCTTAAACGGGGCCATGAATGGCCTAGAGAGTGAGGTCCAAACATTTTCCCAGTGCCACGGGGCCCTTCCTGCTGTCAGCAAGAATGTGTCCTTGCTGATGTTAGGCATTTGCATGAAGCCTAAGTTATAACCACACTGTAAGCACACCCTCCCACCAAGTGGCCCGTGCACTCTCTTTCTGTTTGCTTGCTTGCATATCTGATGCCTGGGCAGCCTTCTTTTGCCCTCTTTCAGGGTCTTCCTCAAAAGCATCTCTTGGGGAAACAGCCAGAATCAGGCACCCCTCCACCTGTGCTCCTCTGGCCCTCTGTGTCCTCCTTCCAATTACTTCCAGGGAGACAGTGGGCTGCTAACCATCTGGCACTCAGCCTCCTTCCTGCAGTTCAGGCCTGGAAGGATTCATGATCCACAGCAGAAGCTGCCCTACTTGCTAGGATGTCTCTTTTCCCTCTGTTTCCCTTTAGTGTGCAATGGCCAGGATTGGGATCAAAGTCTAACAAGGTCTTGCTGGGCACCAGGCAGAAGGATAATTCTCTCCCAGTAATCCATATCATAATCAGTTCAGGTCATCTCAAGGAACTACATAGAACTGTGCTTATCACTGCAAGAGACACAGGAAAAGGAGAGCCAGCCGCTGCCTCTCAGAATCTAATAGGACCATCCTAAGAAGCAATTTCAAAGGACGTAAAAGCTGGCTTGTGCCAGATGCAGTCAAATGCCACCTGCTGAAGGGTGAAGGGTTGAGGGCTTGGGTTTCAAATTCTGGTTTCTTTGTGCTGATGGTGTGTCCCCACTTCCGGCCTTAGCATCCTCACCTGAACATGTCCTCCAGGGGAAGACACTAGCCTGACATCTTAAGTGTTGTTAGAAGGTAAATGCCATGTCGGCTGAGACACTGTCTGTCCCATTCACTGGCATATCCCCAATGTCTGGCACTTAGTGGGCACTCAGCAAGTATTTACAAAGGAAGAAAAGAAGGATGAAAGGAGTAAGGAAAGAAGACAGGGAAGACGAGGTGGCTGTCTGCCCTTTCTTGGTTGACTCCCTCATTTGTTTTTCAGTTTTAGAGACAAGGTCTCTCCCACTATGTTGCTCAGGCTGGAGTGCAGTGGTGCAATGGTGCAATCACTGCTCACTGCAGCCTCAACCTCCCAAGCTCAGAGGATCCTTCTGCCTCAGTCTCCAGAGTAGCTGGGACTATGGGCGTGCACCACCATGCCTGGCTAATTTTTTAATTTAATTTAATTTAATTTATGTATTTATTTATATTTTGTAGAAATTAGGTTTTGCTTTCTTGTCCAGACTTGTCTCTAACTCCCGGCCGCAAGCAGCCCTTCCACCTTGGCCTCCCAAATCACTGGGATTACAGACATGAGCCACTGCACCTGGCCGACTCCCTCATTTTGATGGAGCAAGTCTTCCTTAGCTTCTGATACATAGAAAGTAAATTGGTTAAGAGCTTCTATGACTGAAAATGTCATTATTCTAGCCTCATACTTGATTGATAGTTTGGCTAAGTAGAGAATTCCAAGATGAACAATTTGGAAGATGCCTTCTAGTTTCCAGTGTTTGTGAAAAAATAGAACTCCCCCGTCTCTCTCTCTCTCTGTCTGTCTCCCTCTCATTTCTCTTTCTCTCCTATGCATGCACACATGGAGGTACACATCTTATAGATTGTCTTTCTGTTTCCATTATTCATAAATTTCTCAGTGCTGGGCTTTAGATGTGGACATGTGCCTATCCATTGGCCTGGGCACTGAAGTCAAAGGAAGTTTCAAGGGAATCATTTTCTCCATGACCTCCTCCCCTCCGGTTTCTCTATTCTCTTCTTCTGGAACTCAGATCTTTACTCAGATCTTTGGTTTCCTAGAGCAGTCCTTTAATATTTGTTATTATTTATCTCCTATTTTACATCTTTTTGTCCTTTCCCCCATCTTTCTGAGTGATTTCCTCAAGTATAACTTCGCTGCATGGGGTGGGGAGAAATTGGGAGATCTAACAGCTTCTTCAACAGACTGGCTAATCCCTGAGCCAGTGGGGTATTCCATGGTGTACATTTGTGGACTCTCAGCTTTCCCCACTGGCTTGGGAGTTAGTACTCTTGACTAAGGTACCCAAGTCCCTTACTACTCACACATTTATTTCCTACCTTCCAAAATTCTTCTGCTGCAATTTCATCTGCTGTTTCTCCTGTTCATGTGCCTTTCAGAATAGGCAGTGTCTTTCCAGTGGGGTTGGAGAGAAGAGATAAAAACCTCACTTTGTTGTCTATATATTTATTTCAATTTTTTTTGTTTTTTTGAGAAAGGTCTCACTCTGTCACCCAGGCTGGAGTGCAGCAGTGCAAACATAGCTCACTGCAGCCTTGACCTCCTGGGCTCCAGCAATCCTCCTTCCTTAGCCTCTTAAGTAACTGGGACTACAGGTGCTTGCCACCATTCCTGGATAATTTATTAATGTTTTGTAGAGCCTGGGTTTCACTATGTTGCCCAGGCTTGTCTCGAATACTTGACCTCAAGCGATCCTCCCACCTTGACCTCCCAAATCACTGGGATTACAAGTGTGAGCCATAGTTCCCAGCTACAAAGATTGTCTATAATATATATGCTGCAAATATTTTCTTCCAGTCTAAAAGTTGCCTTTTGCCTGTGTTTATCATGTCCCCTCTAAATGGAGCTGCTTTTGATTTTTATGTAGAGAAATCTGTTGCTCTGTCTCTTGAGTCTGAAATCTTGCAGAAGAATTTAATCAGCAGTACTTTCCAGTTTTTGTTCTTTTAGGGGTTCAAGGCATCCTCTGGCCATTAGTCATTCTTAATGAAGAAAGCCAGAACTCTGAAAATGCACCATTCCCTGCCCTGAGTAGCTTCATTCCACTGGGTAGTGATCAGCCCCTAGTAATTCTTGGGACTTCCAGTGGACCTGTGTGCTTCCAGCTCCCCAGTCAGACATGCAAGACTCCATTCTCTAGGCAGGGTGCCTGTCAAGTCCTCACCATGAGGGCACCCATCCTCAATTCACTGCATGGACTTGCTTCTTGGACACTATCCTCGGCATCTCCCTCCCCCAAGACTGCCTCATTAGCCGGGTTATTCAAGGCCGTGTTCCCACAGGGCACAGCTCTGCGCAGGAGCAATGCAGACCCCAGGTGCATACAGACACAGCTCTGGCTTGATGCCATTTATAAGCAGTGACTGATAAATCCAGAGCTTTGGATCAGATAAAACTTCGATAAATGGCCTCTTCACGTGCTGGTAGCAATACCTACTCCTGTCCATTCTGAGTCACCTGCTGCAATTGGCTTCGTTTTGTTTAATCAACAGCACAGGCAACAATGCTTGAAAGTGATCGCACTGGTGAGAAACGGTGGAGATAGTCCCCTACCAAAGGGGACCTGAGACAGAAAAGTACAAAAACTCACAGCCCTGTTCAGAAGCCCCCATGCCTGGGATAATGCAGCCCATCTTCCTCTATCTTGGCTGTTTGAAGAGGAACAAAGGTGGCATCCTACAGTAGACCACAGAGGTCACTGGGCCTGTGCACAAATGCAAGGCATCACCCCAAGCATCCCCTTTGCTGGGCACGCCTCACCTGCCCTTAGTCCACCTGCATCTGGAGCAAGTGGCTCACCAGCCCTGGCTACTTCTCAGAAGGAAGTAAGCCGCCTCTCTCCCTCTCATGTTTGTAAAAACACAACTCTGTCTTCACCTTGCCTACAGCATCAGGTCCACAAAGCCACCCCTTCCCCCACCATGAATCAGAATCGCCCAGATAAAGGAGTTGTGTTGGCCTAGCAGATAGGCAAGCAAATTGGGCCTGTTTGCAAGGGATAGAGCATTTGGAGAGCTGAAAACTTCTCTAAAGCTGTAAGAACACCATTCAGTCCTGTTCAGGCCACTCAGCCACACGGGACAGTTCCATGCATGTAGCCCCCCGCTAATAACCATTCCCCACCCCCCACCCACCCACACCTCTGCAGATCAGGACTCTCAACTTGGCAGCCCTTGTTGCTGTCCACAAGAATGAAAACAAAACAAAAAAACAGTTTTCCCAGGAGGGAAGCTGGGTGAAGAAGACATGAAATGCATAGAGCCTTCTCCTTCTGGCCCATGACAGACATGAAAACACAGATGCAACACAACTCTGGTCCAAACATCCCTGAGCCTGCACATTCTATGAATCTGTCGCTTCCTTTGTAAAATGAGGAGAAAGTGACTCAGGCTTGAGAGACAGACAGTGAAACCAGATTTCAAAGCCCAGTTCTGCCACTGACCTGCTGTGCAACTCAGGGCAATTATTTAATATAATCTACTTCTCTGAGCTTGGTTCCTTATTTGTAAAATAGAGATTTACATCTCAAGGTGTATTCATTTACTCAGTCATTCAGCAAATATTTATTTGACTTGTACTGAGCTCCAGGCAGTGTTCTAGGTGTTAGCGATGGTCGTGAACAAATGAACTCTGTAGGGTATGGCACAGCACACAGGTGCTAAGTAAATAATGACTGTTATTACTCTCACTATTGCTAATGAGTTTTGTCATGAGAAGCAACTGGAATTAAAGTATGTTAGTGTATTTTATAAGTGTAAAGCTCTCTGCAGACATTAGCTGATATTATTTCTTCCATGGCTCATGCTCTAAGAGAAGGCCAATGGGTTGCTCTCGGCCCCTTTCAGAATTGCAAGAGAGCTGCCACCAGTTCTTGCCACATCTCCTGTCTCATGTACACAGCTATCTTAGAATTCATGCTCTGAACAGGCAGCAAGAGAGATCAAACTTTTTCTTTCTCCAAGTCTCAAGGTGCCTCTTTTGTCTTGCATTTCTCTGATCATTGGAGCTTTAAGCATAACTACCAGGTTTTCAAATTAGTCATATTTGTCTGTGTGCATTTGTACACATACTAATCAGCATCAAACACATCTCGGTGGATAGAGATAGATAGATACATAGATAGATACATAGATAGACAAATGATAGGTAGATAATAGACAGATGATAGATAGATAGAGGTTAGATAGATACATAGACTGATAATAAATAGATGATAGGTAGATAGATGATTGATAGATAGATAGATAGATAGATAGATAGATAGATAGATAGACAGATAGATCTGTGATTGCTTACCTACAATAAAACCTCTTTAAGGAAGGTCCCCAGGGGTTGGGTGTTCTACGAAACTAAGCTCAACCATTTCTGCCCCCAAATGAGGCCATGAAGAGTAGGAAAACAAAAGGAGGGGAGGGCCAGCTGGTGCTACTGATTTTAACCCAGCAGGCTATCAGGTTGCACTAGCCAAACCCTGGGTTGGATAAGCCATGGCAAGATCAAGGTTGGGCTAGGATAACTGTGAATGGCTCAGCAGTCCCTCTCCATAAGTAGTTATTTCTCTCTTTGGAGAGAAGAGCTTTGCTTCAGGACCTCTGTCCATGTGTGATGAATGGTTGGGACCAGAAAGACATGCATGTGACAAAAATAGAGTCAGCTTGTATTCCTGCAGAAGGTCAAGTCAAGTATATGCCTGGCCCTGGGCAACACCAAACTCACCACTGCTGATTCCTACAGAGTGTTCTCCTGTCCTGACATCATGGCTCTCAGGGCCCTCCCGTGCCCAGAAACTAATCAGTATCAGACACATCTAGGAGAAATTCAGGGACTGCAGCCTCCCTTGAAGGTGGCAGAGAGAACCAAACCCTCAACCCACCCCCAGTCACAAAGGTAAAATCAGGATGGAAACCAAAAGACTCATTTTTGTACTTAATTTCCATTGATTAAAAAAATATGTAAATGCAAAGATGTTGACACGATTAAGCCATTATGGGCTTATTGCGCAATTATTTCTTTGATAGTTCATGACGGCTCAATTGGAGGCATAATGGACTATTATGCAATGACATCTTTGCTGAGTTTTTTGCTTGTTTTCCTCTTTTCCTTAATTTTCTTTCTTTCATCTTTCCTCCTTTAAAAAAAGAGAGAGAGAATTTTTCATTTGCAGATCATTGACTTTTTAATGTCAGATTATTTACTCAATAGTCAATAACGATGCCTTTGGATTCATTATGGGCTATCGTGTAAATAGCTAATTGCATTAATAACAGCCTTTTTACAAATGTTTAGTTTGCAGCTCATCACACCCACGGACTGTGTAATTGCTGCTATCGGGGCTGATGGGCAGGCACAGCCCTGGGTGCCTGCATGGTGACAGGGGGACGTCTGTTGCCTTTGTTCTAACCTGACCAAGTTAGAACCACTAACCACATCTGTGCATGCATGTGTGCCTGTGTGTGTTTATGTAGAGGGGAGCTATGGCATGAACATTTGTCAGTTATTTCACTTTATGTTTATAAAGATGAGGAGGGATTCTTAGGTGGCTGAAAATTTTGCTTTGAAAACCGTCGTGCTAATTTAAAGGAGGAAAAGTCTATGAGTTGGAAAGACTAACTTATTAAGAGGCAGTGTGTTCTGTGGGGCATTTTTCTTTCATAGATTGGAGCTAGTGATTTTGAGAGCAGATTCAGATCCTGGAGTGCATACAGAACAAATCTCCCAGGATCTGGCCGATGTACTCACGAGGCTCATTGTCTTCTTGTCAACAGGGCTTTGTGTTTGTGAACAGGGATTCTCATATGCATAGAGCCTTTGTGGAAGCCATCTAATATCTTTTGCATGTACATTTGAGGAAAACTGAGGCAGAAGATAAACACGGTCAGCACTGGGTCAGCTGGTGTTCACTTGTAGTGGGGCAGGTGGTTCCTTGGATCAAAGTGATCATTTTCCACTCCTTCACCTGCCTGTTTTCTGAGCCCCGGGGCCAACCACAGCATCTTCCTTCATTGTCCCAGGGGGCTCCTTTCCTTCCTTCTTGTACCCTTCCCAAGCATCTCTTCACAGCCTTCACTGCTTGGCATAGACCATCCCTGGCCAAGTTTTCAGTCCAGATAGATTGCTCTGCATGTCAGGGGTTCAGCAGTATATTCAAAATTGAAAATATAATCTCGATCACTTTTTAAAGACAATTCAGGACACCTACCAGAGATCAGACTGAGTTAGCATTTTGAGTAAAGGGACACAAAAATTGTGCTCTGCCCCCAAACTGAAAGGTCTTCCTCCACAACTACAGTGAACCCCACAGTATACTGGGCAAGGGGTCTTATCTGCAAGATGTCCATCCACTCATCATCCCTCCCCAATACAGAACGTACAGAAGAACCAAGACCAATCTGCATAAACCATTTAATCCAAAGACAGCATGCACTTGGATTGCGAACTTGGATTGTGAACAGCACCCTGTTCGCTTGGTCAGTGTTGACAAAATGCTGAAAGTCCTCAGGCCTTTGCCATTTCAACTCCTAGAACTTGAACTTGTGGGCTGGTGAAATAACGCATAAATGTCTCCTGTTAGCTGCACATCTCTTTCTCCACCTTTAGAATGCTTTCCTCTATTTGATCACTTTTCAAGTATTAATGGTAAGTCATAATTCCAAAATAATTTTGAGAGCAAAAGAAAATAAATACACCCAGCCTAGGAGATAAAAAAGAGTTATGGGACTAGTTTAGACAAGATTATGACACTTATCATTCAACTAAAACCATAACATAATAAAGAATTTTACGCATTACATGGTCCTCTTTTCTTAACATAAAGGGATAAATGGCACACTTCTCATATCTAGCAACATAAGGTACTCAAATCTATTCAGATGGTTCTACTAAAATTGGGAGAATTAGGAAAAAGAAAAGATGCTTACTAACTGGAAAAGTTCATGCATTTTTAAAGTTTTATTTTACATATGCAGGTTTGTTACATGGGTATATTGCCCCCAGGTAGTGAGCATAGTACCCAGTGGGTAGTTTTTTAACCCACACCCCCTCCTCCCTCTCCCCTCTAGTAGTCCCCAGCATCTATTGTCCCTATGTTTATGTCCATGTATGCTCAATCCTTAGCTCCCACTTGTAAGTGAGAACACATGGTATTTTTTCTGTTCCTGCATTAATTAGCGTAGGATTCTGGCCTCCAGCTCCATCCAAGTTGCTGTAAAGGACATGATTTTGCTTTTTAATGGCTGCATAGTATTCCATTGTGTACATGTACCACATTTTCTTAATCGAGTCCACCATTGATGGCCACCTAGGTGGATTTCATGTCTTTGCTGTTGTGAATAATGTGGGGATGAACATACATGTGCATGTGTCTTTTTGGTACAATGATTTGTTTTCTTTTGGATATATACCCAGCATTGAGATTCCTGGGTTGAATGGTAGTTCTGTTCTAAGTTCTTGAGAAATCACAAAACTGCTTTCCACAGTGGTTGAACTAATCTACATTCCCACCAAAAATGTATAAGCATTCTCTGCAACCTCACCAACATCTGATGTTTTTTGACTTTTTGATAATAGCCATTCTGACTGGTGTGAGATGGCATCTCACTATGGTTTTGATTTGCATTTCTCTGATGATTAGTGATGCATTATATCATATGCTTGTTGGCTGCTTATATGTCTTCTTTTGGAACATGTCTGTTTATGTCTTTCATTCATTTTTTAAGGGGCTTATTTGTTTTTTAGTCCAGAAATTTCTGAGTCTTGGTTGCAAATGTCAGAAACCAATTTCAAGGTGGTTTAGGGTAAGTGGATTTATCAAGAACATCCTCCAGGTGCCCCATAGAGCCAAACAGAGCAGTGGGCTGGATCACAGGAGCCCTAGGAGGCAAAGCATTCAGGGCTCTCACACTCTCTTACCACTTCTTCCCCCTCCCTCTCTCTGCCAAGGTGAGAGCACCATGGTGAGGGCACCAAGGTGAGGGCACCATGGCAGCCAAACACTCCCAAGATTCTACTGCTGAAAAGAAAGTCTCTCTGGATCCCAAATCCAAAAAATTATAATTGTTGAGTATCCACCACTGAACTTAACAATGGTGCCAGGAGATCATTGGAATCATAGCTAATCACCCAAGACCATTTGAATGCAGCAGAGAGAGTGGGGGAATGATGGAACAGATTATATGAGAAAAGGGAGAAAAATTGGGATAAGCAGTGAAAACAAAATGTATTCTCTACGTACAGGCAGGATTTCCCATGGTAGTAATTATGACCCTCTTTCAGTTATCCATGCCTTGGGCATAGCTAATGAGCAGCAGCTGGGGTAAGCGGAAGCAGAGTTACAGACAATCAGCAAGCATTTGCCAAACCCTTGCAACATGGACTGTGATATAGTTTGGATGTTTTGTCCCCTTCAAATCTCATGCTGAAATGTGACCCCCACCTGATTTCAAATTATACTACAGAGTTATAGTAACCAAAACAGCATGGTACTGACATAAAAACAGACACATAGACTAATAGAACAGAACAAAGAACCAAGAAACAAACAAATCCACATGCCTAGAGTTAACTTATTCTCCACAAGATGTCAAAAACATACACTGGGGAGACTCAGTCTCTTCAATAAATAGTGCAGGGAAAACTGGGGATCTGTATGCAGAAGAATGAAACTAGACCCCTATCTCCTGCCACATAAAAAAATCAACTCAAAATTGGTTAAACACTTAAATTAAACATTGGAGACACTCTTCAGGACATTGGTCTGGGCAAAAATTTCTTGAGAGTACTTGAGAGTACTAATAAGCCACAAACACAGGCAACCAAAGCAAAAATGGACAAATGGGATCACATCAAGTTAAAAAGCTTCCGCACAGCAAAGGTAACAATCAACAAAGTGAAGAGACAACTCACGGAATGGAAGAAAGTATTTGCAAACTACCTATCTAATGAGGGATTAATAACCAGAACATACAAGGAACTCAAACAACTCTACGAGAGAAAAATCTAATAATCTGATCAAAAATGGGCAAAAGTACATACAAATGGCAAACTGGTATGTGAAAAAGTGCTCAACCTCATTCATTATCAGAGAAATGCAAATCAAAACTACAATGAGATATCATCTCACCCCCGTTAAAATGGCTTTCATCCAAATGACAGGCAATAACAAATGCTTGTGAAGATGTGGAGAAAGGGGGAACCCTTATACACTCTAATGCAAATTAGTACAAATACTATGGAGAAGAGTTTGGAGGTTCCTCAAAAATCTAAAAATAGAGCTATCATATGATCCAGCAACCCCACTGCTATGTATCCAAAAGAAAGGAAATCAGTATATCAAAGAGATGTCTGCCATCTCTGTTGCAGCAGCATTTACAATAGCCAAGATTTGGAAATAACTTAAATGTCTATCAATAGATGAATGGATAAAGAAAATGTGGTACATATACACTATAGAGTACTATTCAGCCATTAAAAAAAAAGAAAATGAGATCCTGTCATTTGCAACAACATGGATAGAACTGGAGATCACTATGTTAAGTGAAACAAGCCAGACACAGAAAGATAAACATTGCATCTTATCACTTACTTGTGGGATCTAAAAGTCAAAACAATTGAACTAATGGAAATAGAGAGTAGAAGAATTGTTACCAGAGGCTGGGAAAGAGAGTGAGGGTTGTTGGGGGAGGTGGGGATGGTTAATACATACAAAAAAAATAGAAAGAATGAATAAGACCTACTATTTCATAGCACAACAGGGAGACTATAGTCAAAAATAATTTAATTGTACATTTTAAAATAACTAAAAGAGTATAATTGGATTGTTTACAACAAAAAGGATAAATAGTTGAGGTGATGGATACCCCATTTACCCTGATGTGGTTATTAACACATTGCATGCCTGTATCAAAATATCTCAAGTAACCCATTAATATATATACCTACTATGCCATCACAAAAATTACACAGGAAGCGGCAAACACTTCCTGCATGCAGACCACCTGGGGTTTATGGTACAGAAAGTGGATCCACCTCCCAAGGGTAATGCCACATGTCCCGTAACATCTCTGATGAAAAGGTACCATCTTTATATGAATATTCCAGCAAGTGCTAATAATGCTATTGTTCCTGTCACTTATGACAATTCCTTATATAACTTCCCAGAAAGATGGTCTGACCTGGACCTGGAATTCTGGGAGGTTCAGAGAAGCAAATATCCTTATCCAAGGGATAGCACGGGGACCCCAGGACTCTGCCTTAAGACATCAGACCATCATCTCTGCCATCCATAGGTCTGCGCTGGGTGCAAGTCACCAGATCCGTTATCGGGAAACCAAAACGGCCACTTTGTGAGAATCACCCTTCTCCTTGAGCACCCCTGCCAGGTGTGCTGGGAGATTCACATGGACCTCACTGGAGGAAAATCCAGTACTAGTCGATCAGTGGCAAGTGGACAAGGCACTCATATTACAAAGGATTCACACCATGAATAATTTATTTCGGACTTCTCTTCAATAACAAGATCCCATACATATTCTTTTCTTCTTTGAGAGAGAGTTCCGCTTTTGCTGCCCAGGCTGGAGTGCAGTGCTCACTGCAACCTCCGCTTCCTGGTCTCAAGCAATTCTCCTGCCTCAGCCTCTGGAGTAGCTGGGATTACAGGTGTGCGCCACCATGCCCGGCTATTTTTTGTATTTTTAGCGGAGACAGGGTTTCACCATGTTGGTCAGGCTGGTCTTGAACTCCTGACCTCAGGCAATGCACCCGCCTCAGCCTCCCAAAGTGCTGGGATTACAGTCGTGAGCCACCACGCCTGGCCACAGATTCTTAAATGAATCAATTTCCAAAAGTTTGTTTCCCATATGAAGTTTCAGAAATATGCAAAACATGCCATATAATTAGAGTCCGTAGAACTCTAGGAAGACTGGAGCTGGAAGTGGCTGCAGGCATATGTAAGCCCAATGACTTTTCTAACTGAAGTGTGTAGAAGTATCACCTATGACACCTGTCAAAAAGACCTCCATGTGCCTTCCCCAGGCAGTCTGATTCTGAAGACCTGGGGCAGACCCAGCAAGCCTGATCCTGGACATCCATGAATCCCACTGCTGGGGAAACAGAAGCAGGATAGCTTCAGTGACTCCTGGAATCACACAAAGCCTGGACAGACCTGGGACTAGAACCCAGAGCTCTGATGCTCAAAATGCTGCCTCTAGTTCAGTAACTGCTTTTCTAGAATGCCTAGATGATGAATGGCTTCAACAACTGGAATATTTTATCTCTAATTCTGATAAGCAACAATTATTTCCCAGAGGGTGGGGCAAATAGAATATAAGGCAGAAGATAAGGATGTTTTATAAATTGGAAGAGAAGCCTCCAGCCCCTCATTAATCCACTCTGCTTTGCTCTAAACTAAAGAGGATTGCATTTCCTTTTTTTTTTACTTTGAAATAATAGACTGAAAGAAAAGGTTCCAGAAGAAAATCCAAATGAACGCCCAAGCCATGTTCTCTCACAAAAGAATACTGAGCAAACTTTTAATGCAGATGATCCTGGAACAATTTAATAGCTAAGTGATCCATGATTTTTCTTAACATCTATCCTCATTAAAAGAGAGAGAGAGAGAGAAAGAGAGGGAGAGAAAAAAGAAGCTGAGAAATATCTTTCAAACCCGATGAATTCAATGCCACTTCTTTTTCTTTTACTTAATTTTCCAGGTATCTCAGCATGATCTGAATAAATTATGCTGACAATAACATAATATAAATGATAAATCATCAACACAATTTTAGTGATATATTGCGGGAAATGTAAATAATAACCAGGGCTGCTAATTGGCTTGCTTCTTGGGAACAAAGCTGTGACCGCGTGGCTGTGCCAGTCTTGGCTCCGTCATTAAGTATTTCTGCTGGTAAGTTGTTTCTGCTGATCTGGAGAGGAAAGCGCAGCCTCGCAGGCAAACCTTTGTGTGAAACTTCTTCTGGCAAGAGCAAGGGCTTAAGAGAGAGAGACCGTGGTGAGTTGCAGGCGATACTTTCTTTGTTCCTCCAGAGTGCCTGTGGGTTGCAAGTTGGCCTCGATTCCCGTGCAAAACTGTGTTCCCCTAGAAGCAGCAGTAAGACTGAGACAAGGGAAATCTCTTCAAGTCAGTTAAGTTGCTGAATCTTTCCAAAAACTCTTCTGACTCATTTTGATTTCTTCCTCTCTTTTTTTTTGCTTTGATAACGATTTGATTACAACTTCATTTGACCAGAAACATAAGCTGTTTCTATGTGCTTCTTATTTTGAAAATACCTTGTTAGCATTCATCATATGTTTATGGAGCTTAAAAATATATTTTGTTTCCTTTTCCCAAACAAACCCTTCTGCTTTCTAACAGGGTTGGGCTTCTTATCTACAGTGTTCCCTCTGTGTCAAACGATGTCTTCAGAAAAAAAATAACCTGGGGTGTAGTGGGTATATTCATTCATTTACTGAGCATACCAGACCAGGGTTTGAGTCCTGAGGGGACACCATATGAATCCCAGGGGCAGGTTTCCACTCTTAGGTTCTTACATCCTAGTGGGAGGGCCAGGCAGAGAAAGAAGAAACATAATACATTTAAAAAATTGATTTGAGATCATGTTGTTTAAAACAATATAGAGCCATAAGACAGAGAGGAGCAGGTGTGATAGATGGTTCCAGGTGGCCTCCACAAGGAAGTGACATTGGAGTTGGGGCTTGGGGGACCAGAAGGAGCTGGCCATGCAAAGGTCTAGGGAAACTGTGTTCCGGACAGAGGGGCAGCATGTGCAAAGGCCCTGAGGCTGGAACAGTCTATTAAGTGTGAGGGAGGGAAAAAAAAGGCAGCAACTGGGGAACTGGTTTCTCACTGCAGCATGATGGTACCCCAGGGGACCATTTGAAAAAAGAGGAGTTTCTTTCTGCCACACCAGGGGTCGCTGCACAAGACTTCACCCCCATAGCTCCCACTTCACATCATACCTTTCATCAGTGGGGCTGTGACTTCAGAGCTTCCAGGAATGCCGCTCCCATAACCGGTCTTCTCCCAGCTCCTTGTGCTCGGGATTTGAATGTGTTTCCTCCTCCAACCTGCTGGCTTCCTAAGAGTAGAGTCATTCTCCTTAAAGATTGGCCAGCCCATCACTGATGTGATCTAGCTCAGAGTGGGTCCTGGAGGCCACTGCCGGGGACTGGGCCTGGAGTGTGGTTTCTGTGTTCGTAGCCACTGTACTATTCCATTCTTGTGCTGCTAATAAAGACATACGCAAGTCTGGGTAATTTCTGAAGAAAAAGAGGTTTAATGGACTCACAGTTCCATGGGGCTGGGGAGGCCTCACAATCATGGTGTAAGGTGAAAGGCACGTCTTACATGGTGGCAGGCAAGAGACAGTGTGTGCAAGGGAACTCTCCTTTATTAAACCATCAAATCTCGTGAGACTTATTCACTATCACAAGAACAGCACGGGAAAGACCTGCCCCCATGATTCAATTACCTCCCACCGGGTCCCTCCCATGACATGTGGGAACTGTGGAAGCTACAATTCAGAACGAGATTTAGGTGGGGACTCAGCCAAACTATATCAGCCACTTTGGGTTCCAGACACAAAAGCGCCCAGCCAGGAGCCTCTGATGGGATGCTTCTTGCTACACCCGGGCCCTGGCCTGCTGCCCCTTGTTTATCGGCCAGCAAATCTGGCAACTCACCACCCTAGGAGTATGAGAGCACAATATGTGAGGTCCCTGACCCCTGAAAGTGAAGCCACCAATGCATTCCCTGGAGAGATCCCTTAAGTGGCTCACAGCAGAGAGCAACTGCTTTGATGAAAAGTTCTGAAGACTAAAGAACTGCCCCTAAATATTCCTGTCTCAAATGAGCTGGCAGCTCTACTTCCTTCTAAGAGTTAACTTGGACACTGGCCTGCACCTTAGAGAAGGTCCCATGAAGTCAACCAGCAGCTGAATAAGGGCAGCTTTTACTGTCAAAAATTATCAAGACAGGGACTGTGGCCAAACAGAAGAGCTGCGGGTTTAGCAACTCTCTTCTTGCAGCCGTCATTTCTAGGCCTCCATCCCACCATCATCAAAACCATTTATTAAGCACTCCATCTGCATAGAGCTCCCATTTAGGCCTGGGACAGAGTGAGTCTGTTAGACAAAAGGTCCCCATCACAGAGTTATGGGCCCATCACAGACAGACAGTGATGAGGCAGACTAGCTAATTAAGGCAGGCATTAAGCCAAGAGGCAGAGTTACAAAGCATTTGCACTGGACACAGGCAGAAGAGTCCAAAGGTCCTAGTGGGGAGGAGAGGTGGGGAAGGAGGGCCTCATGCAACTCTGCCATTTGGATTTCAAAGGCTTCCTTATCCAATGAAGAGCCATGTCCATTGGATTCAAAGTCAAAGGATGATCATTATTGTTTTTTCATTTCAGTAGCTTTTGGGGTTCAATAGGTTTTTGGTTACATGAATGAATTCTATAGTACTGAATTCTAAGATTTTAGTGCACCCACCTGTCACCCGAGTAGTGTACATTGTACCCAATATGTAGGTTTTTAAATCCCCCCACTTCCCACCCTCCCCCTAATCTCCAAAGTCCATCATATCACTCAGTCTTTGTGTTCTCATAGCTTAGCTCCTACTTGTAAGTGAGAACACGCAGTGTTTGGTTTTCCATTCCTGAATTACTTCACTTAGAATAATGGCCTCCAGCTCAATCTAAGTTGCTATAAAATACATTATTTAGTTCCTCTTTATGGCTGAGTAATATTCCATGGTGTATATGTACCACATTTTCTTTATCTACTCATTGGTCAATGGGCACTTAGACTGGTTCCATATCTTTGCAACTGTGAGTTGTGCTGCTATAAACATGCACGTACAAGTGTCTTTTTCATATAATAACTTCTATTCTTTTAGTTACATACCCAGCAGTGGGATTGCTACATCGAATAGTAGATCTACGTTTTGTTCTTTAAGGAATCTCCATATCGCTTTCCATACAAGTTGTACTAATTCACATTCCCACCAGCAGTGTAAAAGTGTTCCCTTTCACCACATCCACACCAACGTCTATTGTTTTTTGACTTTTTAGTTATGTCCATTCTTATAGGAAGGAGGTGATAGCTCATTGTAGCTGTAATTCGCATTTCCCTGATAATTAGTGATGTTGAACATTTTTTTTCATATGTTTAAGAAATGGCTTTCCTGTCCATTGCCTTTGTTTGAGTTCCTTATAGATTCTAGACACTAGTCTTTTCTCACCTGCACAGTTTGCAAATATTTTCTCCCCTTCTGTGGGTTGTCTGTTTACTCTGCTGATGATGATGATGATGATTATTATTATTATTATTATTATTATTATTATTATTGTGCAGAAGCATTTTAATTTAATTATGTCCCATTTATTTATTTTGATTTTTGTTACATTTGCTTTTGGGGTCATGGTCATGAATCCTTTGCCTAGGCCAATGTTCAGAGAGTTTTTCCAATGTCATCTTTCTGAATTTTTGCGGTTTCAGGTCTTAGATTTAAGTCTTTGATCTGTTTTGAGTTGATTTTTGTATGAGGTAAGATATGGGGATCTAGTTTTATTCTTCTACATGTGGCCTGTCCATTTCCCCAGCACCATTTATTAAATAGGTTGTCTTTTCCTCAATTTATGGTTTTGTATGCTTTGTTGAAGATTAGTAAAAAAAAAAAAAAAAAAAAAAATTGTGTACCAGACTTCCACTTCAGGAGCAACATGGCATAGCCTCACCCTCCCCTTCCAATGACCTCTAAATATAACTAAATACTGTGGAATTTATTCAATAGACAATGTTAGAAGGACTCTAAAGACTGGAAAGAAGAGGATGGACTACCTAGGAGACTTGGAGCTTGAATGCCAATGTGGTGAGTTCCTCAGATTTTCTTTGCATCTTCCATATACTACTACACTAGGCTTCAGAGGAGCTTGCAACCCAGAACTGCCAACAAGTACACACACACAAACCTGCACGCACAAAAGGGAAGCCAAGGCACTGGGCATGAGGAAAGCCAACAAAGACCATGTGGGAAATTCCAACCCTGCTGCACAACCCAGGCCCAGAACAGTGGTCTGTTTGTTAAGCACAGTGGCAGCAAAGCCCAGTCATGCCAACCCTTGTCTTACAACCAGGGTCCTGAAGGGTAGTCTGATCTGTCCTCAGTGGCAACAGCAAAGCTCCAGGATAGCCTAGACTCTACTCCATAACCAGACTTCAGTGGACAGGCCAATCTGCAATCAGCAGCCAACAGCAGCAGCAGTGAAGCCCCATGTCTCCCTGGTCTCCAACCAGGAGCATGAGGAGACTCAGGCCCAGCATCTCCTGCCTTTCCTCCCCAGAAGGTCACCCAGTAACAGCAGCCATCCCAGAGAAGCAAGCATCTTATTTTTTCTACATTTGACACCATCAGAAATTGCTCAGGAGCCCCAGCAGCACCTGAAGCATGAAACAGACTAGAACAGCATCACAGGGCTCAAAAATCTAAACTGTCACTGGAACTAAAGTTCACAAAAGTGTGCCAGAAAGTGCACACTAAACCCAAACAGAGTGACTGCCCACTGAAATAGAAGATTGAAATATGATTATTAGTGCTCTGCCATAATAATCAAAATATACAAGATACAATCTAATTCACTCCTCATACCAAGAACCAGAAAAATCATAATTAGAAAGAAACAAGGCAATCAACTAACACCCATACCAAGTTGCATCTGATGCTGAATTTATCTGACAAAGAGTTTAGAACAACCATGGTAAAAATGCTTCAACAAGCAATTACAAATTCATATGAAACAAATGAAAAAGTGGAAAAAAATACAAGTTGTAAAAGCCACCAAATTGAAATTATATAACTGAGAAAAAAATCCCAAATAAAAAATCCATTGGTAAGTTCAGTAGTAAACTGGAGATGACAGAGGACAGAAGCAATGAACATAAAGACAGATCAATAGAAGTTACTCATTCGGAACAACAGAGGGACAAATTTAACAGAGCCTCAGGGATCTGTGGGAAAATAACCAAAGGTCTAATCTTTATATTATCAGAATCCCAGAAGGAAAAGAGACAGTGGGACTGAAAAAGTATTTGAAAGAAATAATAGTTAAAAACTTCCAAAATTTGGTAAAAATAAATAAATAAATAAATAAACCTGCAGATTTTTGAAGCTGGGTAAGTTCCAGATATAAACCTGAAGAAATCCACTCCAAGACACATCACAATACTGAAAACTAAACACAACAAAAATAACATTAAAGAGAGAAATAATGTATTACCAAAGGAAAAAAACACCAATTTAAATGACAATGGATTTTTTTTTTTATCTGAAGCTATGGAGGCCAGAAGAAAGTAGCACAATATTTTTCAAGTTTTGGGAAAAAAAAAAAAAAGAAGAAAAGAACTGTCAACCTTAAATCCTATATCCAGCAAAAGTGCCCTTTAGGAATAACGAAAAAATAATGATTTTTTCAGACAAATAAAAACTAAGATAATTTGGAGCACACCTACTGTTTGAGAAGGGGTAAGGAAAGCTGTCCAAACAAAAAGAAAAGAACAACAGAAAAAGAATATAATATTTGAAGAAGAAACAATGGAATGGGCAAAAACAGAAGTCAACATAATAAGACCATCCTTCAACTCATGAGTTTCTTTGTGGTTAAAGCAACAGCTACAACACCATCTAAGGTGGTGATTAAGGTATATAAAAGAAATACTTTAAAACAATTATATTTTAAAAGTGGAGAGGATAAGGGTGCCTAAATAGAAGTAAGGTCTATATACACTTCACTTTAGGTGCTAAAACCTAAATATCTTACCATTATGTCTATGGTAAGATTTACAGTAACCACTAAGAAAACTGTACAAGGTGACATATTCAAAAATATTAGAAATAAATCAAAATGGAACTGTGAAAATTTTGAATTAATCCACAGAAAAGGAAGAAAAATAAAAACAGAACAAAAAAATACCACAGGAACAAATAGAAAACAACTAATAAAAAAGCAAACCTAAATCTTAACATGTCAATAATTACTTTATGTGTACATGGTCCAAACACAGCTAAAAGATAGTGATTTAGCAGAGTAAACAAAAAATATGACCCAATACATGCTATCTACAAGAAACTCACTTTAAATGTGACAACTAGGTAGATTGAGTGTAAAAGAATGGAAGGAAAAAAATATGCATATATCTTGGAATAAATAATCAAAAAATCACAAGAGTAGGTATTCAGATGAAGGGACTTTGAAGCAAGTGTGTGTGTGTGTGTGTGTGTGTGTGTGTATGACAAAAAGAAACATGATGTAATGAATCTGCAAGAAGATATAACATTCTTAATTGTGTATGCACCACATAACAGAACATCAAAATACATGAAGCAAAAACTGATAGACTTGAAATGAGAAATAGAAAAATCCACAATTATAGTTAGAATTTCAACATCCCACTATTGGCAACTGATAGAAATACTAGATAGAAAATGAGGCAGGATATAAAAGAACTGAACACCATCAACCAACAGAATCTATTTGACATTTATAAAACATTCCCCCATCCAGCAGCAGCAGCAGAATACATGTTCTTTTCAAGCATCCTTGAAAAATTTACCAAGGTAGACTATATCTTGAGTCATGAAACAAACCTCAGCAAATTTAAAAGAATTTTAAATTTTAAATTCTTTTAAATCATACAGACTATTTTTTTTACCATGATGGAATCAAACTAGAAATTATAAGAGAAAGGCAACAGGAAAACCTCCAATAATTGGAAATTAAACAATGCATTTCTAAATAATCCATGGCTCAAGAGGAAGTCTTATTAAAAATACATAACACAGGCCAGGCATGGTGGCTCACACCTGTAATCCCAGCACTTTTGGAAGCCGAGGTGGTCAAATCACTTGAGCCCAGGAGTTCGAGACCAGCCTGGCCAACATGGTGAAACCCTGTCTCTACTAAAAATATAAAAATTGGTCGGGCATGGTGGTGTACACCTGTGCACCTGTAATCCTAGCTACTTGGGAGGCTGAAACATGAGAATCACTTGAACCCAGGAGGCAAAGGATGCAAAGAGCTGAGATCTTTCCACTGCTCTCCAACCTGGGTGACAGAGGGAGACCCCGTCTCAGAAAAAAAAAAAAAGTAGAACAAAATTAAAATAAAAACAAACCATATCAAATTTATGAGATCAAGCTAAAGTAATAGTAAGAGGAATATTTGTATTAGTAAATATAGTTGACCCCTGAACAATATGGGGGTTAGGGGTACTGGTTCCCCAACCCGTGCCATGTAGTAAAAAAAGTGTGTATAATTTTTGACTCCCGAAAAACATAACTACTAACAGCCTGTTATTGACCAGAAGCCTTACCAATAATATAAACAGTTGATACACACATTTTATATGTTATATATATTATATAATGTATTCTTACAAGAAAGTATGCTAGAGAAAAGAAAACATTATCAAGAAAATCATAAAGAAGAGAAATATATTTACTATTTGTTAAGAGGAAGTGGATCATTGTAAAGGTCTTCATCCTCATCATCTTCCCATTGGGTAAACTGAAAAGAAGGAGGGAAAGGAGGCATTGGTCTTGCTGTCTCAGGGGTGGCACAGGCAAAAGAGGTGGAGGAGGTAGAAAGGGAGCAAGAGAGGCAGACCACACTGAGTATAATCTTATGGAAATAGATCATGATTTCTGTCTGACTTCTTTGCTTCTTCATTTCTCTAAAAATGTTTCTATATGGTATCAATTCTTCTTCTACCATTTGCTTTCATTTCATTGCCCCTGTCACAAAAGAGTCCATGTTGTTAAAGAAGTCAACAGCAGTCTTAAATACTTGGAATCCTTTCATCGGACTGCCTAATGTCAACCTGTTTTCTGGCACTGCTTCTTCTATGTCTTCCTCATAATCTGGCACTGGTTTGGAAACACCTACTGCAAGCCTTCTTCTGTTAACTCCTTTGATGTGGCATCTATTAGTTCTTGAATTTCTCCAAGATCTGTATCTTGGAACCCTTCATGCTTCCCCCACCATTTTGGCCATATCCACAGTCTCTTTCAAGATGTCCTTGATTGGCTCTGTCACATATCTGGTGAAGTCATGCATAACATCTGGACACAGTTTTCTCCAGTAGAAATGTATTGCTTTGGGCTGGATGGTTTTCATGGCTTTCTATAACAATGATGGTATCTTCATGGAATGGTATAATCTTTCCAGACTTTCATGATGTTCTCTCTATCAAGGTTTCTCTCTTCCATAGTATGACAATCCTTTCTACAGTGTCATGTTTAATAAGCTTTAAAGGTCCTTATGTCCTCCTGATCTAGAGGCTGAAGTAGAGACATTGTGTTTGGGAGCAAGTAGGATGCCTTCAGTGTTGAACTCATTGGGGTTCTGGGTGGCTAGGGGCATGGTTCAATTTCAAAATAATTTTAAAAGACAGTTCCTAACTGCCAAGGTACTTCCTGACTTTAGAGACAAAGCATCTTTGGAACTAACCCCCTCTACTGCCCCCCACCCCCCAAAAAAAAAAGTTCTCATTGTCCAGGCTGTCTTGTTACAGGACAACCAAAAGACTGGTAGCTGGTGTTTACCCTTTCCTTTCAAGGCTCAGGGGTTAGTAGCTTTATAGATAAGAGCAGTCCTGATCATAAATCCAGTGCATTTTCATAAAACAGTAAAGTTAGCCTGTCCCTTCCTGCCTTAAATCCTGGTGCTGGGGCTGGCTTCTCTTCCTTATGAATAGATGCTTTTCAAGACTTTTTTAAAAATCAGAATAAGGAGCTTTTGTCTGCGTTAAAAACCTGTTCAGGCAGATATCCTTTCTTCTCAATGATTTTGTTAATAGTTCCTGGAAACTCATCTGCTGCCTCTTGGTCAGCAGAAGGTGCTTCTCCTGTTATCTTTATATTTTTTAAGCTAAATCTCTTTCTAAAATTATAACATCATCCTTTGCTGGCAATAAATTCTCCAGCTTTAGATTATTCGCATTCCTTTTGCTTTAAGTTGTCACATAATGATTTCCCATTTTCTCGAATCATGTTAGAGTCTATAGGTATGCCTTTTTTATAGCAATCCTGCACCCACATAAAAGCTGCATTTTCAATACAATAATAAAAAGCATTTCACAAAAAATTACCAGGTTTTTGTGCCTACTAGTATAGCTGAAAAGACAGCTTCACAAGTTTCCTTTTCTTTTTTTGCTATGGTCCTTTGCCTGGAATCATTTATCTTGAAATGGCAGATGACTGAGCACACTGGCACATGCCTGAAGTCCCAGACACTTGGGAGGCTGTGGCAGGAGGACTGCTTGAGCCCAAGAGCTCAAGTCCAGCCTGGGCAACAAAGCAAGATCCCATTTCTTAAAAAAAAAAGAAAGAAAGAAAAAAAGGAAGGAAGGAAGAAAATGGTGGGCAACAGCAGCTTTAGACCTCAATCTATGGCACCTATCAAGCAATTAAACTTTTTCTTGTAATGTCGTGACTTTTTTCTACTTCTTGGGAGCACTTCCAGCATCACTAGTGGCACTTAGAATGGGCCCCAGAGTGTTATTCAAGGTTTAAGGTATTGCACTAAACACTATGGGAAATAGATGAGAACCACAAGAAATCACTTTTTACTGAGACACAAACTGCTCATGGGGAGATGATTAGCCTCTCACAGCACTATAAGTAGATACCCTTAACACTAGCTCACCACAATAGCAACAAGAGGAGGCTGCTAAATTATTACAATAGTCTAACACACGCTACAATTACATTTTATGCAGGTATAATTTAATATTGCATCCTTACATTTGTTTACATTTCTCTCAACTATGAAAGGTGTCTGTGTTTATGTA
This sequence comes from Homo sapiens, assembly GCF_000001405.40. NCBI lineage: Eukaryota > Metazoa > Chordata > Mammalia > Primates > Hominidae > Homo > Homo sapiens. Next base: position 31,848,478 of record NC_000019.10, read on the forward strand.
TGTAAGTTCTGATAAATTTTAACTTTTTCTAACAGATGTGTGTATATTTTATGGTAGTAAGTGATAAAGTAGACTAGTATTTACATATATTTTATGCATGCATAATATACTGAACTTTAAAAAAATGATATTTCTATCTCATACAGTTTGTGAATTTTTTCAAATTGTTGCAAATTCCCAAAAAATTTTCCAGTATACTTATTGAAAAAAAAATCCACATATAAATCACAGTTCAAAACCATTGTTCAAGGGTAAACTGTGCTTACATTAGAAAAGAGAAAAGTTTTCCAATCAATAATCTAAATTCTTACTTTTTGAAACTAGTAGAAGAACAAGATAAACCTAAGGCAAGCATACAAAAGGAAACAATTAAATGAAAAGCAGAAATCAATGAAAGGAAAATAAGAAAATAAAGGAAATAATTAGAACGAATAGCTGGTTCTTTTTTTAAAAAATTAATAAATTGATAAATGTCTAGGCAAGCTAACCAAGAAAAAAAAAGAGATGACACAAATTACCAACATCAGAAATGAAATAAGACTCATCACTACTGTTCCTACGAAGATTAAAAGAATAATTTAAAAATTCTGTGAACTATTCCATACTCACAAATTTTTTAACTTAGATGAGATGGATTGATTCTTGAAAGACACAAATTACTAAAACTTACACAAGAAGAAACAAATAATCTAAGTAGGCCTACATTTATTAAAAAATTGAATTAATCATTAACAAACTTCCAAAAAGAGAAAGCATCAGGCCTGGATGGATTCACTGATAAATTCTACCAAATATTTATGGTAAAGACTATGCCAGTTCTCTACAATCTCTTCCAGAAAATAGAAGCAAGATGCTTAGTAACAGGCCAGCATAACCTTTGACAAAATCCAACACATAATCACAAGAAAACTCTCAGCTAGCTGGGAACTGCCTTAATATGATAGAGAACATCTACCAAAAATAAATAGCACCATACATAACAGGGAAAAAACAGACACTTTCCCTATAAAGTTGTCAACAAAGCAAAGATATCCTGTCTTGCCACTCTTATTCAGCAGGATACTTGAAGTCTTATCCAGTGCAATAAGAAAAGAAACAGAAATAAACTTTATAAGACTGGAAAGGAACAAGTAAAATTGTCTTTGTTCAAAGATGACATTATTATCAATGTAGAACATCCCAAAGAATTGATCAAAAACTATAACAAAACAAAGCAAAACAAATCTCCTGGATTTAATAAGTGAGTATAAAAGGTTACAGGATACAAGATTAATATACAAAAGTCAATTGCTTTCCTATATACCACAATGAACAATTGAAATGTGAAATTCAAAAATACTATCAGTCAGGTATGGCAGCTTAAGCCTGTAATCCCATCACTTTGGGAGGCCAAGGCAAAAGAATTGCTGGAGTCCAGGAATCCAAGATCAGCCTAGGAAACATAGTGAATACACTATCTTTACAAAAAATAAAAATAGGCATAGTGTCACATGCTAGCAGTCTCAGTTGCCCAGGAGGCTGAGGTGGGGGAATCACTTGAGCCCGGGAGGTAAAGGCTACAGTGACCCATGATTGCATCACTGTACTCCCGTCTGGGGAACAGAGTGAGACTCTGTCTCAAATAAATAAATAAATAAATACGGTTTATAATGGCACCCAAACAATGAAATACTTAGGAATGAAATTAATAAGATACATATAGTATCTGTGCAGAAAACAATAAAACTGTGATTTTAAAAAATCAAAGATCTAAATAAATGGAAGGATATTCCATGTTCATTGACTGGAAGACTCAATATTGTTAAAATGTCAGTTCTTCCCAACTTGATCTATAGATTCAATGCAATCCCAATCAAAATTGCAGGAAGCTGTTTCACAGATAGTCACAAACTGATTCTAAAGTTCATGTGGAAAGGCAAAATACATACAATGGCTCATGCAATACTGAATAAAAACAAAGTTGGAAGACTCACACAACCAAATTTTAATACTTATAATAAAGGTATGGAAATCAAGACAGTATGGTATTAATGAAAAAGCAGACACATAGATCAAGTGTAATAGACTAAAAAGCCCAGAAATAGAGCCACAAAATATAGTCAACAGATCTTTGGCAAAAGAGCAAAAGCAATTCAAGGGAAAAGAAGTATTTTCAACAAATGGTTCTGAATCAATTGGATGTGCATATTTAAAAAGAGAATATAAACACATACCTTACACTTTTCATCAAAATTAATTCAAAGTTGATCATAAACCTAAATGCAAAATATAAAAGTATAATAAACATCCAGAAGAAAACATGAGAAAAATCTAAGTGACTTTGGGTTTGGCAATGAGTGTTTAGATACACCAAAAGTATAATCCAAACTTAATGTTATATAAAAATTAATAAGTTAAATTTTATTAAAACAAAAATTTGTAAGATACATATAGTTTCTGTGTATAGTCTGGGATAAAATATTTGCAAAACACATCTAATGACTTTGGGTTTGGCAATGGGAGTTGACAAATGTATTTCCTATTTTCTCAACTATAGGAAAATAACTCAACTTTTTTTAAAACTAGTTTAAAAATACAAGGAGAAGATCTGAACAAAAAACTCACAAAAGAAGAAATACAGATAGCAAATAGGTAAATGAGAAGGTACACAACATAATTTATCATTGAGGAATTGTAAATTAAAACAACAATAAGATATCACTATGTACCTATTAGAATGACTAAAATCTAAAAGCGTGATAACATCAAATACTGATGAAGATACAGAGCAACAGAAACTCTCATTCATTGCAACAGGGAATGCAAAATGGGACAGCCATTTGAGAAGACAGCTTGGCCACTTCTTACAAAGCAAAACATAACCTTAGCCATACAAACCAGCAATTGCACTCCTATGTATCTACCCAACTGACTGGAAAATGTATCTATGCAAAAAACTGCATGTGAATGTTTATAATAGCTTTACTCATAATTACCAAAAACTGGGAAGCAACTAAGATAGTCTTCAATATGTAAATGGATAAACAGATTGTGGTGCATTCATACAATGGAATATCAATATAAGTAATGCTTAAATAAGTAAGTATATGGGAATAAGAGACAAATCTGTAAGAAGAATTCCAAATAATGTACGTAGATACTCTGCCCTCAAAGACAGGGAGAGCACAATTCCTCATTCCTTAGAGATGGATTGTGCTTAGTGACTTCTTTCCAGCAAAGTATACTATGATAAAATGGTGGTGGGTGGGGAGAATCAATAACTTTATAGTGGGGAAACCTGACACCCAACTTCAACAACGTTATGAAAGTCAGCATCAATAACAATAGAACATGTTGATAGTATGTACTGTTGACATGATGTGATGAAAATGGCCCTCTACCTCTGTGGTCTTCTTCCCCAAAACCCATTTTAATTGTGATAAAAGCTACCCAGGCAAATCATGATAAAAACACAGAACAATTTCCAATAGAGGAGCATTTGACAAAATTCTTGACAAGGACTTCTGCAAGCTGTCAAGGTCATCAAAACAAGAAAAGCCTGAGAAACTTTTATATCCAAAGAAATCCTAAGGAGACAGGATGACTACATGTAACATGGTATTTTGGATGAAACAGAAGAAATTTTATAAAACCTAAGAATATATGAATATAGCATGGGCTTTAATTAATAATACTGTATCAATATTCATTTAGTAATTATAACAAATGTACCATACTAATGCAAGATGTTAATGACAGAGGAAACTGGGTATTAGGTATGTGGAAACTGTCTGTAGTATCTTCTCAATTTTTCTCTAAATCCAAATTTGTTGTAAAAAATAAATTTCTTTTTAAAAAATAATAGTCATTTCACATTACTCCACTATGTCCAACTCTCCAGCAGCTTTCCTTTGGATTTAGAATCAAATTCCAACTAGCTTGCAGCCCTTATCTGAGTGCCTTTGTGAAGCCTTGTTTACTACTTTTCAGTCAAACTGGTGTTCTTTCTGTTCTACCAACACTCCACTCTCATTAGCCTTTCAGGGACTTTGCGTACCCACATTTCCCCATATCTCCTTGTTTCTTTTGTCCACTATTATAATCCTCAGATTTCAAATAGTACCTGAAACATAGTACATGACAACTGGTTGGATGGATTGATGAGGAGATGGATTAATGAACATGACTGTTCCAATAACAAACCAATGATAATTGAGTCTTATGACCTTGAAGAAGCTTATCTCACTGCAATTGTCTACTGATACATTTTGAAGACTCACAAAATACTCAACTGAATCGAAATATTCGTATAATTTTAAAAAATTGTTTTAGAAGCAAAAATGTCCACATGCCCTACAAATGCTACTAACCTGTGTGTACATCCCTCTTATCCTTAGACCTTATACTACCTTCTAGTGACTTCTTAAGTTAATGGTCTAATCACTTCAAACTAACACTGAACAATTAAGGTAAACTTACATTAACTGAATGATGTCCACTGGACCTCAATAGAATTTCCAATGTCATTTTAGACACTTTTCAGACAATGTCACTTGGAATTAAAAGGAAGAAGTTTTACAACTATGTAGAAAATAAAATTTATAATGATCCACAGGGCATAGCTTGACCTCTAGCAGCTTGCAGTCAGGAACAGAGACATGGACAAGAATGAACATCCAGATAATTGAACAAAATCCAAACCACTTCACAGGTAACAGTCAAGGTTAAACATATCTTATGTATACAAGCCAACATAGACCCAGTACTTACTACCTGCAGTAATTTAACACTTCTTAAAATTTCATAATCTCTCTTGCAGCAAATATCAATTTTCTTTTTCTTTTTTTTTTTTTGAGACAGAGTCTTGCTCTGTTTCTCAGGCTGGAGCACAGTGGCACATCTCTGCTCACTGCAAACTTCACCTCCTGGTTTCAAGTGACTCTCCTGCCTCAGCCTCCCAACTAGCTAGGAATACAGGCGCCTGCCATCAATCCAGCTAATTTTTGTATTTTTAATAGAGACAGGGTTTTGCCGTGCTGGCCAGGTTGGTCTTGAACTCCTGACCTCAAGTGATCTGCCCGAATCGGCCTCCTAAAGTGCAAACATCAATTTTCAAAATTATCTTCCAAAGTGCCTCGGGGTTTTGTGTTATAGCTTACATAAAGGTGGATCTGAGGAACATAAGTAAGCAAGTCAACTTAATTGGATTTTAGGAGGTCTCAACCACTGGATTTTGGAGGTCTAACCAGCAAGAAAGATTTTATTTTGAATAATTACAGGAGAGATAATTTTCTGTGCAAAGAAAAAGTATGGAAAAAATAACGAAAATGGGAACCACTATTACTCTGCCCACATTAAATGAAAACTCAGTTGGTTTCTTGACATACAAGCAAGCAAACTCTAAAGAAAACTTTGCACATTAGCAGGATAGTCTAGATTCTTGAAGGCTTAACTTCTTTGCACTTCAAACCCCAGTCTTGCATGCCAAACATTTGATATTACATCAACATCACCTTGAAAGAATTCTAACTCTGGAGACAATCAGTTAATTAAAAAAAACACACAGGGGCATTTTTTTTTCTTTTTTTTTTAGACGGAGTCTTGCTCTGTCACCCAGGCTGGAGTGCAGTGGCACGATCTCAGCTCATTGCAAGCTCCGCCTCTTGGGTTCATGCCATTCTCCTGCCTCAGCCTCCCAAGTAGCTGGGACTACAGGTGCCTGCCACCACACCCGGCTAATTTTTCCTTTTTTTTTTTTTTTGTATTTTTAGTAGAGACGGGGTTTCCCCATGTTAGCCAGGATGGTCTCAATCTCCTGACCTCGTGAACAACCCACCTCGGCCTCCCAAAGTGCTGGGATTACAGGCCTGAGCCACCATGCCCAGCCAGGGGAATATTTTTTATGTATAATTATTTTACATGCCGATCTCAGGACCTTGATTGTCTCTTCTACATGGGAACTACCATGGATATCTAATTTTTTGGTATAAAGGAATACAGGAATATACATTCTTCTCAAGCTCATATGGAACATTCACCAAAATAGACTACATTCTTGGCCATAAAATACACCTGAACAAATCTAAAAGAATAAAAATAATATATTGTCTGCTCTGAGATCACAATGGAATTAATCTAGAAATTAATTACAGACAGATAGCTGGAAAATCCCAAAATATTTGGAGATTAAAGGACACACTTCTAAATAACACATTGGCCAAAAAAGAAATCTCAAGAAAAATTTAAAATATTTTGAATTAACTAAATAAAATAATGAACTAAATAAAAGTAAAACCACTACATATTGAAATATGTGGAATGTGGAAAAAGTGATGCTTAGAGGGAAATTTATAGCATTGCATGAATATATTTAAAAAAAAGAAGAAAGATCTAAAATTAATTATCTAGGTTCCCACCATAGGAAACAAGAAAAAAAAAGAGAAAATTAAATTCAAGGTAAGCAGAAGAAAATAAATAATTTTTAAAAAACAGAAAGCAATGAAATTGATAAAAGGAAATAGAAAAAATTAATAAAACCAAAAGGTGGTTCTTTTAAAAAAAATCAATAAAATCAATAGACTGCCATCCAGTGTAACTATGAAAAAAAGATAGAAAAAACAAATTATGAACATCAGAAATGAAAGAGGGGACATCACTACAGATCCAATGGACATCAAAATTATAATAAAGGAATGGTATGAACAACTTTATACCCATAAATTTGATAACCTAGATTAAGTGGACCAAGTCCTTGACAGACACAGTTCGCTGTGTCTGTCACGCAAACTCACATGAAAGGTAGGCAATCTGAATAGGCCTATGCCTATTGCCAAAATCGAATCAATAAATAACTTTGCAAAGCAGAAAGCATTTGGTCTACTGGTAAATTCTACCAAATACTTAAGGAAGTAATTACACGGATTCATTTTTTTTTACAATCTCTTTCAGAAGACACTGACAGAGGGAATACAGAAGGTCTCTGACTTATGTAGTTTTACTTAAGATTTGTTGACTTTATGATGGGTTTATCAGGGCATTAAATTCATTTTTGACATACCATGGGTATCAGAACACAACCCCATTGTACATCAAAGAGCATCTGTACTTCTTAACTCATTCTATGAGGCCAACATTGTTCTAATACAAAAACCTCAGAGACGTTACAAGAAAACTGCAAACCAATACCTCTCATGAGCATAGATGTAAAACTCCTCAACAAAATACTAGCAAATTGAATTTAACAATACGTAAAAAGAATTATACACCATGACCAGGTGGAATGTATCCCAATTATATGAAGCTTGTTCAATATTTGAGAAGCAATTAATGTAATCCAGCTTATCAACAACCTAAAAGAATAAAAATATTGCATAATTATATCAATAGATACAGAAAAGGCATTTGAAAAAATCCAATACCCATTCATGATAAAAAGCACTCAACAAACTAGGATAGAGGGGAACTTCCTCAATATGACAAAGCATATTTACAAAACACTTACAGCTAATATTATAGTTAATGGGAGAAAAAACCCTCTTAGTAAAATGAGAAACATGGCAAGGATGTCCTCTGTTACCACTGCTTTTTAAGGTGGTGGTAGTGGAAATGCTAACTAATGCAATAAGAAAATAAAATTTCTAAAACGATATGCAGATTGGGAAGAAATGAAACTCTGTTTACAAGTGGTGATTGTCTGGGTATAAAGTCCAAAATAACTGACAAAAAAATAAGTAATTTTAGCAAAGTTGCAAGATACAATATTGACATACAAAAGTCAATCACTTTTCTACATACCAGCAATGAACAAGTGGAATTGAAACTAAAAACATAATGCCTTTTACATTATCACCCACTAGATGAAACACTCAGGTATAAATGTAACAAAATACATAAGAAATATGTATAAGGAAAACCACAAAACTCTGTTGGAAAAGTCAAAGAATAATTAAATAGAGATATTTCATGTTTATGGATAGGAAGACTCAATATTGTCAAGATGTCAGTTCTCAACTTGACCCATGGATTTAATGCAATCCCATCGAAATCCCAGCAAATTATTTTGCAGGTATCAATAAATAATTCTGAGGTATATGAGCTGAGCATGGTGGCAAATACCTGTAGTCCCAGATACTCTGGAGGCTGAAGTGAAAGTATTGCTTAAGCCCAGGAATTCAACTCCAGCCTGGGCAGCATAGTGAGACCTCATCTTTAAAAAAATAAAATAAAATAATAAAGTTTATACGGAGAGGTCAAAGACCCAAAATAATCAGCACAGTATGAAGAACAAAGTTGGAAGACCGTCTCTAACCAACTTCAAGTTTTACTGTAAAACCACGGTAAACAAGATAATGTGGCATTGGTGAAAGAACAGACAAACAGCTCATTAGAACAAAATAGAAAGCCCGGAAATAGGCCCACATAAGTATAGTCAGCAGATTTTTAGCAAAGGAAAAAAGGCAATAAAATGGAACAAAGATAGTATTTTGAACAAATGGTGCGGAAACAACTGGACATCCACATGCAAACCAAAAAAAAAAAAAAAGAGTCTAGACACAGACCTTACACCCTTCAAAACAATTAACTCAAAGTACATCACAGCCCCAAATGTAAAATACAAAACTATGAAACTCCTAGAAAACAGTATAAGAGAAAATCCAGCTAATCTAGAGTTTAGCAATGACTTTATAGACCAAACACCAAAGACACAATCCATGGAATAATGAAGCAATAAGCTGAACTTCATTAAAATTAAAAATTTTAGCCCTATGAAATATGCTGTCAAGAAAGTAAAAAGAGAAGCCACAGACTGGGAGAAATATTTGCAAAAGACACATCTGATAAAGAACTATTATTCAAAATATGCAAAGAACTCTTAAAACTCAATAATAAGAAAATGGCTCATTTAATAAATTGTGCCAAAGACCTTAACAGACACCTCAACAAAGAAGATATGCAGATGGAAAATAAGCATATGAAAAGGTGCTCCATGACATATGACATAAGGTAAATGCAAATTAGTACAGCTGTGATATACACTACACACCTGTTAGAATGGCCAAAATCCAGAACACTGAGACATTAAATATAAGGATGTGGAGCTAAAGGAACTCATTCATTGCAGGTAGGAATACAAAATGGTACAATCACTTTGGAAGGTAATTTGGTGATTTCTTACAACACTAAACACACTCCTGCCATACTATCCAGCAATCATACTCCTTGATATTTACCCAAAGGAGCTGAAAACAGATACACAGAAAAATCTGCACACAGATATGTATATCAACTTTATTCATTCATATGTGCCAAAACTTAGAAAAAATCAAGATGTTCTTCAACAGATGAATGGAAAAATAAACTGTGGTACATTTAGACAATGAAATATTATTTAGTGCTGAAAATCAATGAGCTATCAAGTCATAAAATGAGCTATCAAACCGTAAAAAGACAGAGAGGAGTCTTAAATGCATATTACTAAATGAGAAAAGCCAATGTGAAAAGGCCTCATACTGTATGATTCCAACTATATGACATTTTGGAAAAGGCAAAAGAAGGTAGACAGTAAAAAGATTAGTGGCTGCCAAGGGTTAGTGGGAAGGCATGAACAGACTGAGTGCAGAAGATTTTTAGGATATGAAGCTGCTCTGTACAATACCATGATGATAAAGACGTATCATCATAACCGGTCTGAATCTGTATAATGTACAACAAGAGTGAGCCCTAATGTAAACTATGAACTTTGGGTGATAAGTATGTGTAAATGTAGGTTCATCAGTTATAACAAAAATGCCACCTTGGCAGGGGTTGTTAACAATGGGGGAGGCTGTGCACATGTGGGGACCGGGTTGTATGGGAAATCTCTGTGTTTGCTGCTCCATTTTGCTGTGAACCTGAAACTGCTCCAAAAATAAATAAAAATAAAATGAGATTAGATAGAAATAGATGTAGATAAATAATTACAGACAGTTACAGACACAGATAGATACAAGTACAGATAGATACAGATACTGGTATAGATAAAGATACAGATAAAAATACAGATACAGATAGATGATACAGATACAGATACAGATAGATACAGATATAGATACAGATACAAGTATAGATACAGATATAGATCCAGATACAAGTATAGATACAGATACAGATAGATGATACAGATACAGACAGCTACAGGTACAGATTGATGATACAGATACAGATACAAATACAGACAGATACAGATACAGATATAGATAGATACAAATATAGATACAGATACTGATAGATGATACAAATAGATACAGATATATATACAGATACAGATATAGATACAGATACAGATAGATACAGATACAGATATAAGTACAGATACAGATACAGATGTAGATACAGATAGATACAGATACAGATATAGATGCAGATACAGATACAGATAATGCAAAGTGAGTTTAGAACCAACGTCTGCACCATAAGCATATTATTATGTGACTGTGTCCACATTAAAGGAAAAGTGTGCCCTACAGAAAACTTATTGATGCCAATGTGGCTATGATGAGTTATCAACAAATAGAATCTATGCTGAACTATCATATTTTGCCCTCCAAGGCCAGTGACCAGTGCCAAGTTAACCTGTTAAATCCCAAAGCAGAATTATGTGACCAGATGGAAAATTCCAATTGAACATCTGTGTTACAGAAAGAATGGGGCCTTCCACAGCCTGGCTGAAGATGCAGAATAATACTTGTTAGTAGTCATATCTCAAAATGAGAAAAGTGGCTATTCCCTTTGTATGGAGCTGTGAATCCTGAACTTTTCTTCATCAGCAACTTCTTAAACATCTTTTTCAGTGAATCTCCTGCTTTGGAATACTGCATCTATGACACAAAGCAAAGTAACAAATAATTCATTTTCTCACTTTTTTTCCTTTTATAGGTACATAATATTTTACATATTTATGGGGTAAGTGTTTGTTACACATGTATAATGTGTGATGATCAGGTCAGGGTATTTGGGGTATCCATGGTAAGTACTCAAGTACTTATCATGTCTATTGTTGATATCGTTTTAAGTCCACTCTTATAGTAACTTTGAAATATACAAACTACTGTTGCTAAGTATAATCACCCTGGTCTGCTATCAAACATTAGAACTTATTTATTTCATCTGACTATATATTTGTACGCAAACTCTCCTCATTCCCTCACTCCTACTCACTCACCTCCTCTTCCCAGTCTCTGGTAGCTGTTAGTCTATTTTCTATGTCCATGAGAACATTTTTGACTCCCACATATGAGTGAGACTATGCAATATTTGTCTTTCTGTGCCTGGTTTATTTCACTTAACATAATGGCCTCCTCCAGTTCCACCCATGTTGCTGCAAATAACATAATTTCATTTTTTATGGCCGAATAGTACTCCATTGTGTGTACATACCACATCCTCTTTATTCATTCATCTGCTGTGGACACTTAGGTTGATTCCATATCTTGGCTATTGTGAATAGTGCTGCAATAAACACGCAAGAGCAGGTCTCACTTTGATATACAGATTTATTTTCCTTTGGATAAATCCCCAGTGGTCGATTGCTGTATCTTATGGTAGTTCTATTTTTAGTTTTTTGAGAAATCTCCATACTATTTTCCATAGTGGTTGTACTAATTTACATTTCCACCAGCAGTGTATGACTTCCCTTTTCTCCACTTCCTTGCTAGCATCTATTACTTTTTGTCTTTTTAGTAATAGCCATCCTGACTGGTGTGAGATGCTATATCACTGTGGTTTTAATTTGCCTTTCCCTGAATGATTAGTAGTAATATCGAGCATTTTTTCATAGACCTGTTGGCCATTCATACATCTTCTCTTGAGACATGTTTGTTCCCTTCTTTTGTCCATTTTTAATGGGATTATTTGTTTTTTCACTATGGTGTTGCTTAGTTCCTTGTATATTCTGGGTATTAGTCCCCTGGAGGATGTGTAGTTTGCAAACATTTTCTCCCATTCAAGAGGTTGTTTCTTCACTTTTTTGATTGTTTCTTCTGCTGTGAAGCTTTTTAGTTTTATATAGTCCTATATGTCTACTTGTTTTAACTCTTCTTTAATCTAAGACATGTGGTTGTCAATCAGAGCTGCAGATTATCCTAAAATGACCACCACTAGCTGAGTTGATAGACTTCAGAACAAAAACTAGGCCCTTGATGGCCTCTTCAGCCTTCAGATACCTCTTAAGAAAATTCGTTGTTCTCCTTTAAAGATTTTGAAGTACTGAAAATAGTTGGAGGCCAGGCATGGTGGCTCACGACTATAATCTCAAAACTTTGGGAGGCCGAGGCAGGCAAATCTCCTGAGGTCAGGAGTTCAAGACCAGCCTGGCTGATATGGTGAAACCCTGTCTCCACTAAAAGTACAAAAATTAGCCAGGCATGCTGGTGGACATCTGTAGTCCCAGCTACTTGGGAGGCTGAGGCAGGAGGATCACTTGAACCCGGGAGGCAGAGGTTGCAGTGAGCCAAGATCACACCACTGCACTCCAGCCTGGGGGATAGGGCAAGACTCCGTCCCCCCAAAAAAAAAAAGTTGGAAAAATTCCCATCCGTATTTTTAAAGTTCTCTATGAGTTTGAAGATGTCCAGGTTAAGAAATATTGAAATACTTGAGTCAAGAAAGTAGAAAGAGAACCTGTTATTTCAGAAGGATTCAGATGTTCCAAGGAAAATTGATGCATAGTGACACAGTCTGTCCAAGATATGGGTTGACTGTTACCTGGATTCTGGGATATAATACTGTACAGTTATTAGTTAACCAAAAAAAGGCATTTATGGTTGTTAGCAGCAAAGAAATATATGATGTTGTCTCCAAATGTTACTAAAGTATCATTCAATCCCAGAAGAAAATGGAACAATATTTATAAAATTCTGAAAGAAAAAGTAAAACAAAAAATTGTCTTTTAGCCCATCACAAACAGGTTGTTTTATTAAGAACAGATTAGTATAATTCAGCAAGGTTGGCTAAGGGTTTTAGGACATAATAACAACGTATTGTGTGCTTAGAAACCACTAAGAGATATTTTAATTGTTCTTACCACAAAAAAATGATAAATATGTGGGCAATGCATATGTTAATTAATTTGATTTAGACATTTAATAATTTATACATGTTTCAAAACATTATGTTGTACACATTAAATACATGCAATTTTGTCAATTAAAAATAAATAAGTGAGTTTTAGGACGTAGTCTGGTTACAATAATGGAAGACAGTCATAGCTGCTAAAATAGCAGCTCATCTTTCCTGTAGTTTTTGATTGCCTAATATTCAATCTCAAGTACATGGTAAACATGGATCCTTCTTATGGAGATGAATGGAATTTTTTATTTTAGTGAACTTTCCTTACATAAGTTTACCTCCTAAGAGTTTACAACATGATATCCAATCCATTGTTTCAACTGATGAGGAATTATAGTCCAAAGTGTACTATGGAGTTCTGAGATTTTGACTTACATGGAGTAGCTTATAGAGCATCCGATCTCCCATTGAACTAGAAAATCTAGATAAAATACACAAAGGGATGTCTTCTAGAAGAATCAGAACGTTACCAAAGCAATCAGGATTAAGAGGCCATGACCCCGGAAGGGAGGGAAGGGATGTGAAAGTTAGCCCAACATTACATCTACTAATTATCCCCTTGGAGGATTTACCAATCCTCCTTGGCTGCAAAGAGCAAGAGGCCTGAGATGGCATATTTAATTTTTCCTTAATTTCACAGGCTAAGAACATAAAAATTGGAATTCAGGACTGTCACTCTAGCTAAACATAAACAGCCAAGTTTCCAGAGAGTAGGAGTCACAGACATACATCTGGCACTCTGCACCTGTTTTCTCCTTGAGACATTTACTGATTCCAAAGCTTTGTGGGGCTAGAGTCCCTGAAGCCAAGCAAAGAGAGGAAGAAAAGCTGAAGGGAGGTTTTGGCTATCTTACCATGCTAGGAATACAAAAATTAAAGTTCAGTGCTCACCAATGAAGCAATACACTGGTAAATATTCAGGCTTTCAGCTGAGATGCCTGAAGGACAAACCAGAGATAGAATCAGCCTTACAAACAGTGAAACCCAGACAGGAGTCAGCTCAGTTCTGGATTGAATCAAATTGGTATGTTTATACTCTCACTGTCATGTAGAAGAAGATAATCACTGAAAGCTTCTACAATTTTTCAGAGAGTATGTCTGGTATAAAATTTAAAAATTATCAAGCACAGAAGGAAACAAAACCAAGTGGGGGGTGGCTAGAAATCATACAAATAGGAACATCTTCATAGATTTAAGGTTATCAGACATTGACTAAAATAACTATGGTTAGCATGTTCAGGAAAATAGGCAAGATGAAGTTCTCCCAAGAATACTTTTTAAGAATAAAATGTAATTCTAGATCTGAAAAATTTTAATGGCTGAAATTGTGTACTCAATAGAAGTGTTTAGTAGCAAATTAAACACAGCTTTAAAAAATAAGTAAATTGGAAATTAAAACAGGAGCCAATTCACTTAAAATATAACAGAGAGGAAAATATATGAAAAATACAGAAGAAAATGTAAGGGGAACATGTGGTACAGTAAAAATGTTTAATATACTACTGATTAAAGATAATGAAGAGAGGAAAGAGGGAAAGGGGCATGAGCAATATTTGAAGAGATAATGGCCAGTAATAATTCAAGAAAAGAATTTGCCAACACAACATCATAAATGGGAAAAAGATTTCCAACTGAAAATCAAGAAACTCTGCAAATGTTAGGCAAATAAATATGAAGAAACTACAACTCAGAATATGAGCGCCTAACTGCTATAACAAAAAGAAAAGTCCCTTAAAAACATCCAGAAAAGAAAAGAAGTATTACCTTAAAAGTAGCAATGGATGGACTGACAGCTGACTTCTGCAAAGAAATGATGGAAGCCAGGAAAAAATAGAAGGCTATGAACAACAATTGAGTCAAAGAAGAAATTAAAACATAAATTTTAAAATATCTTGAGACAAACGAAAATGGAAACACAACGTACCAAAACTTATGAGATGTAGCAAAAGCAGCTCTAAAAAGAAAGTTTATAGCAAGAAATGCCTATAACAAAAAGAAGACTGAATATAAATAGCTTAATATTTCACCTCAAGGAACTGGAAGAAAAAGAAGCTCAGAGGAAGGAAATACTAAAGATCAGAGCAAAAATAAATAAGAGAGACTATTCAAAAATAATTCAAAAGATCAACAGAACTGAGTTGTTCTTTTTTGAAAAAAATTGATAAACCTTCAGCTAGACTAAGGGAAAAATGAGGACTCAAAGTCAGAACTGAAAGAGGAGACATTAAAACCAATACCACAGAGATACAAAGAATTATAAGATTACTATGGACAATTGTACATCAACAAATGAGATAATCTAGAATCGAGAAAATTCTTAGAAACATGCAATCTACCAAGACTAAATCATTAAGAAACAGAAAATCTGAACAGACCAATGAGTAAGGAAATTGAAACAGTAATAAAAAGTCTCCCAACAAAGAAAATCCCAGGACCAGATAGATTCACTGCTGAATTCTACAAAACATTTAAAGAACAACTAATACCAAACTCTACCACAAAATTAAGGAGGAAGTACTTCCAAATTCATTTTAAAAGTCCAGGACTACCCTAATACCAAAGCCAGGCAAGGACACTACAAGAAAACAAAATTGTAGGCCAATATCCCTGATGACCATAGATGCAAAAATCTTCCAGAAAATATTAGCAACCTGAATTCAACAGTGCATTAGAAGGATTATTCACCATTATTAAGTGGGATTTATTCCTGGGATACAAAGATGGTTCAACATATGCAAATCAATGAATGTGAAATAGCCCATTAACAGAATAAAGGACAAAATCTATGTGATTATTTCAATAGATGCAGATAACTCGTGGCAAAATTCAACATCATTTTATGGTAAAAATTCTCAACAAATTAGTTACAGAAGGAATGAACCTCAACACACAAAAAAAGGCCACATGTCACAAGCTCACAGTTCACACAATACTCAGTGGTAAAATTTGAAAGCTTTGTCTCTAAGATCAAGAATAAAACAAAGATGCCCATTCTCACCACTCCTAACCAACATAGTACTAGAAATCCTAGCCAGAGCAACAGGCAAATAAAAGACATCCAAATCAGAAAGGAAAAAGTGAAATTGTCTCTGTTTGCAGATGGTGTAATTTTATGTACAGAAAATGCTAAACGTGTGAAAAAATTGTTAAAACTAATAAATACAGTAAAGTTGTAGAACACAAGATCAGCATATAAAACTCCATAATATTTCTTTATAATAACAACAAACCTATTAAAAAATTCAAAACAATCCTGTTTACATTAGCCACAAAAAATTTAATAGCTTGTGAATAAATTAACCTAAGGAGGTGAAAGATCTGTATGATGAAAACTACAAAACATTGATAAAATACATTGAAGAAAACACAAATAAATGGAAAGATATCCTGTGTTCATAAACTGGAAGAAGGAATATTATTGAAATGTGCATAACACCCAAAGCAACCTACAGATTCAATGCAATCTCTGTCAAAACTCCAATGACATTTTTTACAGAAGTAGAAAGAAATCCTAAGATGTGAACGGAACCACAAAGTACCCCAAATACCCAAAGCAATCTTGGGCCAAAAAACAAAGCTGGAAGCAACATGCTAAATGATTTTAAAATAGGATACAAAGCTATAGCAATCAAAACATCATGGTACTGGCATTAAAATAGGCACATAAACCAATGGAACAGAAATGAGAGGCCAAGAATAAATTCACACATTTATAGATTTGGTCAACAAATATTTATTTATAAATAATTGAATAAATATAAATGTTTATATTGGTCAATTGATTTGTGACAAAGGTGCCAAGAACACACAATGGGGAAAGGACAAACACTTCAATAAATGGTGTTGGAACAAATTGCATATCCACAGGCACAAGGATGAAATTTGACTCCGATCTTGAAAACAGCTTTGCAAAGATTATGACAGTGACAGAAGTCTAGCAAGGCTGACTCTGTCTTGCTTCTAACAAATGATCCAGCAACCCCACTACTTGGTATAGATCCAAGGTAAGTGAAATCAGTACGTTGAAGAGATATCTGCACTCCCATGCCCATTGTGTTCATTGCAGCATTATCCACAATCACTAAGATATGGAATCAACAGAAGCATCTATCAACAGAGGAATGGATAAAGAAAATGTGGGATATATACACAATGGAATAGCATTCAGCCTGAAAGAAGAAAATCCTGCCATCTGTGACAACTTGGATGAACCTGGAGGACACTATGTTAAGTGAAATAAGCCAGGCACAGAAAGACAAATATAGTATGATGTCACTTCTACATAGAATCTAAACAAGTTGAATTCATAGAAGCAGAAGGTAGAATAGTGGTTGCCAAGGCAAGAGTGAGAAAGAAAGACAGGTTGGGAGATAATCAAAGTATACAGAATTTCAGTTAGACAGGAATTATTTCATGACATCTATTGTGTAACACAATAACTATAGTAAATAACAATGTATTATATACTTGAAAGTTGCTAAGAGATTAGATTTTAAGTGTTCTCACCACAAAAAAGCATGTGAAATAATGCATATGTTATTTAGCAAAATGTAGCAATTTCACAATGTATACATATTTCAAAACATAAATGTACACCATAAATATATACAATTTTGTCAAGTAAAAATTGAAAAATTCTAGAATGAATAATAAGAAAAATTTACACTTTGATTTTGAATTACAACAAAAAACTAGTAAGTAAAAAAGAAGATAGAAAGTTAAGTATAAATGTCAGAAAGAATTATCAAACTAGACTTTATAACCACTGAAAATAACTTTTAAGAGATTGGGCCACTGCACAAAGCAGGACTCTGTCAAAAAAAAAAAAAAAAAGAGTGGAAAGTTGGTTCCACTTGTGATAAAGATAGAGTAACAGAAACTGAATTTACCTTCTGGCCTTAAAAATTAAAAACAAAACAAAACCCAAAATTTGTATCAAGCAAGGTATTTTAGACACTGGACAACAGGCAGCTCAGGACAATGATTCCCAAGTGGATACAAACAAATGAGGTGACCCCTACAGTAGCTTAAGACAAAGATTGTCAGAGTGAATTTAAAAATATAAGCCAATACTTATCTATACTCTATCTCAAAGAACCAAACTTTATATAAATGATAGCCAAGGAAAATTATAAAATATTTTGAACTGAATGAAAATGAAAATCTTTTGAACTAAATAGACAATATATTAAGATGTATGGGATACCACTAAAGCAGGTATTAAAGGAAAATTTGTAGCATTACATTCTAGCACAAGAAAGAAGAAATGTCTGAAATTAATAACCTAAGCTTACACTCTAAAAAGCTTTGAAAGCTTTGTCTCTAAGATCAAGCTTCCACTCTAAAAAGTTTTGAAAACTTTGTCTCTAAGATCAAGCTTCCAGTCTAAAAGGTTTTGAAAACTTTGTCTCTAAGATCAAGCTTCCACTCTAAGCTTAGGTTATTAATTTGAGGTTACTTCCTGGAGAGTTTCCAGGTCATACTGCAAGAAAGGGAAATCCAAAGAGAGCTCAGTGAGCTCCCTGAGTTAAGGAGACAAAATTTTCAAGTTAAAAAAAGAGGCCAGAATCCACAGGGCAGGATACAGAATAAAAGATTTCTGCACAAAGAGAGTTCTGGAGATCTGGAGAGAGTTCTCCTCAATTCTTCATCTCAGCACTGATCAGCATATTTGTGTGAGGAAAATGCACAAAGCCAGGGAAAAACCAGAAAGGATCACGTTTTAAAATAATAAAGATCACATATAGCTAGAAATAATTCACCTTCACAGCAGCCAAAGTGGAGAAGCTTCAAAACACACAGGGCTTTGGGTGGAGCACTCAGAAGGTATTGCCTCGGTATTGGAGCTATAGGAGCCCTAGACTAAAGGCTGCTCCTGCCCAGTCTAACAAAGGTTAAGAGTAAGGATATGAAAACAGTGATTATTAGTATGTTGCATCTTTCAAGAAGACAAAACAATGCATGAGTATGTTAAGAAGAGACATGGAAGATATTTTTTTAGACTGAAGTAGAAAAATAAGTACACTATCCAAAACAAAACACAGAAAAATAAAAAGACTGAAAAAACTTACATTGCAATGTGGAAAACTCTAAGTGGACTAATATTGGGGGCCCAGAAAGCATAAGGGCAGAAAAATATTTGAAGACATAGTGGCTGAAACTTTTCCAAATTTCATGAAAATTGTGAACCTGTAGATTAAATGAATTCAACAAAACCCAAGCACAATAGGTATGAGGAGCACTATAACAAGATCTAACATAATCAAGTTGCTTAAACCAGTGATAAAGAGATAATCTTAAAATCAGCCAGACAGCAAAAAATACATTATATACAGAGAAATAAATAGAATGATAGCAGTTATGCTCAAAAAGCATGCAAAAATAAAATACAGAATATAACCATTAAATATATATGTCAGAAAACAGTACATCTTTAAAGCACTGAAAGAGAAAGTCTAACCTACAGTTTTATACCCAGTAAAGCTCTTTTGGATAAATAAAGGTGAAATAAAGGTCTTTCAGACAAAGACAAGCTGAAAGAACTTATCATCAGAAGACTAGTATCATAAGAAATGTTAAAGAGAAAATCCTTCAGGAAAAAAAAACTGATACCAAATAGAAATCAGAATCTACACAAAGGAATTAAGATGGGAAGAGTATGTATGAGGGTGAAAATTAAAAACTTTTCAAAAGTTTTGCAAATCTTTTTTAGAAGATAATCGATTGTTTAAAACAAAATAATAACAATGTATAATGGAGTTTATAACATAAGCAACATGTTATCAGAGTAAAATATATTATGACAATAGCAAAGAGACTTGGAAAGGAAGAAACAGAAGTGATTGTGTAAGGTTCCTTGCCATAAGAAAAGTGTTATAATATCATGTAAGGCAGAGCATGATAAGTTACAGATATAGTCTGTAAACCCTAAAGCAGCCACAAAAATAGCACAACAAAGTGTTATAGCTAATAAGTTAACAAAGGAGATGAAATTGAATCATGATATTTTCAATTACTACAAACAAAGAAAAAGAGGAGAATGGGAAGAGAACAAAGAAACTAATAGAAAATAATTATCAAGATGGTAAATTTACACATGACTGTATTAATAATCACATTACTCATAAATGGCCTAAACACTCCGATTAGAAGGCAGAGATTGTCAGAATAGATTAAAAATATAAAAAATACACATCTACACTCTATCTCAAAGAATCATACTTCATGTAAGAAACAAATGGGTTAAAAGTTAAATGATGGTCAAGGGAAGTTATAAAATATTTTGAATTGAATAAAAATGAAAATCTTTTGAACTGAATTAACAATATTTTAAAATGTGTGGGATACCACTAAAGCAAGTATTAGAGGAAAATATATAACATTAAATGCTAATACAGAAAATAAGAAATGTCTGAAGTTAGTAATCTAAGCTTTCAATCTAAGAAATTAGAGAACAAAACAAAACAAAAACAAATTAAACCAAAGGCAAAGAGAAGAAAATAAATAATAAGTGCAGAAATAAATGGAATTAAAAACAGAAAAATAATCCAGAAAAAACAGAATCAAACTGGTTTTTTGAAGATATCAATAAAGCCAATAAACCTCTAGCCAGATGTACTAAGGATAAAAGAGGGAGAAAGAGAGAAAGAGAAAGAGAATCTCCTGTATCCGGACTAAGAAGGAACATCATTACAGACCCTGCAGACATAATAGTAATCATAACAATAAAGATTAGCCTGTGAGTAACCTGTGTCTGAATCCACAAGGAGCTAGTCAATAGTTTAGATTCCTGGGGCCCATCCCAATCATAATGAATAAAAATTTCAGGGCTAATCAGAAGAAAGGAACATAATAATAATGATAATAATAATAGGGTTTGACATTTTTGCAAACACTCCAGATGACTGATGCAAAGTTGAGCTCAAGGTGCACTGCCTTAGATTAAATAGAGTCAGCTAGTCTCCAAGATTCATGACTAGGAAAATTAAAAAATAGGTCATGCTCTACTGACTTCCCTGTGAAGTCTAGATCTGCACTGTCTAGAAACAACCTGTCAGATAAAGGGGAAGCTGATGTGACCAACAATGACATACCCATGAATTTAAGACTCTCTCCATTTTCTCTTTACAAGTTATGCATGTTGAAAGTGAAGCTCAAATAGGTGGCACCATCCCAGGCACATATTCCAAGAAGCAAAAGACTAAAATTGTCTGCCACAATAAAATAGAATACCACAATGATACATTTTGGTATCTGTCCACAAAACCTTCTTCAGGTTCTGCCTGATTACTAGATTTCTAACTGTAACATAAACCCCTTTTCCTGGAAAACAATTGAAAGCAAGGAAGTTAAAACAATATTATGTGGGACAAAATATAAGTCTGCTTGACATCTTTTAAGTAAATCACATACATACGTATTTGACTCTCATTAGTGACAAGTGATTCTTAAAACTTAGAAAGATGCTTTAGCTAATCACGATACCCTCACTGCAAGCTCACAGCAGCCAAAGATTGGCCTATCTGCTGTGCAGAGAAGGATATTCTCTGGTCACAGCCCACTCCTCAAACCCCAGGGGTTCCCAGTGGCCCAGGCCGACCAGCATACTGGCATGATACAGCCTATTACATACCGTTTAAATAAAGATTTGCAAGGAAAATGAATTCATGGCAACATTCATTATTGATCATTCTCAAAACTGTCTGGAGAATTCCCCCAGAGGGCTTAGGGAAGAAATTAAACATTGTTTTCCTGAATTGTTTCCTGCTGTTTTCCCACTTCACTGGTTTTGCTCCCGTAATTGTGTGTGATCCTATAGCCACAAATTTTAATATGCCTGAATTATTTCATACAGCTTCTGGATCACATGTCAATAATTTGGGTGTGAATAACTATAATAATGATGTTAATAATAATCACCATGATGAGGAAAGATCCTTAGAGTTCCCTGTTTACTGTTATCTCTTAACTCTTTAATTACGTTTTGTCTGACCTAAATCTACTGCATCAAAATCTGCAAGTAATAAATTCCAAGTTATTTCTAGTCTCACCTGCCCACCCTTGACCACTGCCTCTTTCCTGGAGCTCATTCCCCCTTTCTTCCCCCTACTATTGGTCTCTTATGGTTTTCCTTCTATTTCTCTGACCTTCTAGATCCTCGTCACCATTTTTATGAGTTCAGAAATTTGGACTTTTTTTTTTTTTGAGACAGAGTCTTGCTCTGTTGCCCAGGCTGCAGTGCAGTGGCACAATCTTGGCTCACTGCAACCTCCACCTCCTGGGTTCAAGCGATGCTCCTGCCTCGGCCTCCCTAGTAGCTGGGATTACAGGCATGCGCCACCACCCCAACTAATTTTTGTATTTTTAGTAAAGACAGGGTTTCACCATGTTGGCCAGGGTAGCCTTGAACTCATGACTTCAAGTGATGTGCCCACCTCGGCCTCCCAAAGTGATGGAATTACAGGCATGAGCCACCATGCCCAGCCCATTTCTCAGAATTCTAATCAGTGTTTTCTCATGTCATTTCAAACACTCTCCTTAGCCTCTCACCTCCTTGCCTAGCTTCAAACAACATCAGTCTACATATCCAGAATTCACATCTTTGATGCAAGACTCCAGGTGTCATGCCTCCACAGCTCAGTTAACCATCTGATGTCACCTCCCACTACTGTCTCATGTGCCCTATGCTCCCAAACCAACTCCTCTGCTCACGGCTCAGCCAGCTTTCCCAGTGCCTTTTTATACCCACAGCTTTGACTTCCTGGTCCTTCTTCCTAAAACGCTTTGAAAAATCATATCCAGCAGTATATCAAAAACAGCAAATTATCCATTATGAAGTTTGTTTAATTCAGGGAAAGTAAGAGTGGTTCAACATTAGCAAATATAATTTTAATATAATTTAAGATATCAAATATGACAAAGGAACCAATATATCTATTGTTGAGGAAAAAAAATTGAAAACATTCAATCGTCATTCCTGATTTTTTAAATGTATAGAATACTGAATATAAAATGCTAACTTCCTTACATGATTTAAAGAAAAAAACCTGTCTTGAACCAATCTTCATTCATTATACCCAGGAATAAAACATTTGCAACATCCCTTCAAAGGGAAAATCTTTATAAGAACATTCATTATCACCACCACTATTTAATATTTCTCTGAAAGTTCTATCTAAAGCAGTGAGACAATAAAATTATGTACAAAATATAAATGTAGGAAAGAAAAAACAGGGGTTGATATTTATATATTTTATGATTATTTCCCTTAAAAAATTATCTAAAAATCTAGTAGAGCTAATAATATAATTTAATAAGGTGTCCAAATAATAAATATTAACAATGAATCACTTTCATGAATAAAATAATGATCAGTTAGAAAATATAACCAACAACCTATCAGAATGACCAGGATCAGTTGGGGTAAAAAGAAAATTCCAGACAGAAATACTCTATCTATCTATCTATCTATCTATCTATCTATCTATCTATCTATCTATCTATGTTACCTATGTCTGAATCCATCCACCCATCCATCTGTCTGTCTATCTGTCTACCTATATACACACAGCTAACCCTTGAAAAATGCAGTGGTTAGGGAGAACCCTAACCACTCAATCAAAATCCACTTTTAACATTCAACTCCCCCAAAACTTACTTAACTCCTAATACCCTCATTAATCTATCTATCTATCCATCCATCCATCCATCCATCTATCCATCTATATCTATATATCTATATCCATATCTGTATCTATGTGTATAGATAGATATACACACACATATAGCTGAC
This sequence comes from Homo sapiens, assembly GCF_000001405.40. Lineage (NCBI taxonomy): Eukaryota > Metazoa > Chordata > Mammalia > Primates > Hominidae > Homo > Homo sapiens. The sequence goes on from NC_000019.10 coordinate 31,872,353, forward strand.
CCTGGAACAATGCAGAAGTCAGGGGACCAACCCCTCACACAGTTGAAAATCCACATTTAACTTTCGCCTCCCTGAAAACTTAACTACTGATAGCCTGTTAACCCAAAGCCTTACCAATAACATAAACAGTCATTATTTTAACACATTGTCTAGTATCTACATATATTTTACCCATTCATGACCTGCCTTTTTCTTGTTTTTTTCAATATTTCTAGAGTACATGGCTCACCTGTGGGTTTCTTTTTCAAATTGTTGCAAATCTCCCCTAAGTTTTTCATTAATTATTGAAAAAAGAATCCATATATAAACGCATCCATGAAGTTCAAACCCATGTTGTTCAGGGGTCAATTGCATGTGTGTGTGTATGTATATACATATATCCATCACATATACTCAGATATAAAGATATTCATGCCAAGATTATTTCTCTATTCATCTGAATCATGACTATAAAATTTTTTTGAAAATACGATAAATAGTAAAGGATTTTCACAAAAGTTCTTCCAATAAGTTGGTTTGTTCTGATGAGAATAAAATAACAGCTTTATGTTGGATGACAAGTTTAAGGCCAATGAATTATGCACTTTAGAAGGATGAATTTATGATACGTTAATTATATATCAATACAAAATTTTAAAATTAAAATACTACATGTACTACCTCTAAAGAGGGGACTGCTTATTCTCACATGGCATTCTGCTTACCCATGCATAGGGCAGCACAGACATAGACACATACAGCTCTACGTATGTGAACCAACTCAACACAGCTTCCCAACTTGGTACTGGCAATAATGAGATCTTCACCTTCCATGCAATTCCCCATGGTACCTGGTAGAATTCCACTTTATACCTTTATATAAGAATCTCACTTTATAACTCATCCTTTGACATCTTATATGGCCACACGCCATGCTCATTCGTGTGTGAAAGTGCACGTGGTACTATGATTTTTTGTACCCCGTAGTGCCTTCTTTATGCCTCTCCGATTCTGTTTTGAGGAAACAGAAGCTCTGAGAAGGCAAGGGGCTTGCCCGAGTTCACAAGAATAGCAACTTCCAGACCTGGGACTTGAACCTAGGTCTCTAGATTGCATGCCACGGTTGACGCAGCCCTATGGCCCCGGGCATGCGCTTCTCTTCTTCCTACATGAAAGCCCTCCTTACAAGCCTTCCTTGTACCCTATGGCTCCAGGATCTGGCCCCTTCACCTCCCCAGAGTCAGAGTTACCACGGTGCAGTGGCGCACCAGTGGGCCTCCGGCAATGCTGCTCCCGCTTCCCACCTTCCAGTGGCACTTACCAGAGACACCCAGTGGTAAGAATTAACTGGGGAATGGCCCTGCCCCTGCTCAGGCCAGCTAAACAGAAGCATTTAGAGCAGCAAAAAGGGCGCTTTCGTTCTGAAGACCCCGCAGGCCCTTCCAACGAGGCCAGTTTGGGAAGGAGGGCATCCCCTTAGTGGACCTTCACAGCCACACTCTCGACATTGGCTCCAGAGAATCCATGACGGGGAAAACTCATGAAAGCCTGGACAACAGACAGAGAAATCTAGCCACGTGATTCTGAACACGAATTCAATTTCCAAAGATTATTTCTAGGGGGCGTAAGAACCTGAGGCGCACCCCGAGGAGGCCAGTAGTGAGTGATGTCAGACTTCCGAAAGTTCTATGTAAAGCAATGAGACAATAAAAGTAAGCACAAAATATAAATTTAAGAGAGAAGAAAAAAGTGTTCATTATGTACGTATTTTATGATTGTCTTCCTAAAAAAAATTATCTGAACATCAATTAGGGCTAATTATAGAATTTAATGAGGTGGCCATATAATAAACATTAAAAATTAATCACTTTTGTGAAGTAAAGCAATGACCAGTTAGAAAATATAACCAACAACATAGGACGATCAGGAGGAGTTAGGGTAAAAAGAAAATTCCAAACACAAACACACTATCTATCTACCCATCTGTCCGTCTGCCCATCCATCCATCCATCCCTCCATCCGATTATCTGTCTGTCCATCCATCCATCCATCCATCCATCCATCCCTCCATCCGATTATCTGTCTGTCCATCCATCCATACATACATCTATCTATCTATCTATCTATCTGCCCATCCATCCATCCATCATCCATCCATCCATCTATCCATCTATCCAACCATCCATCCATCCATCTATCTATCCACCCATCCATCTGTCCATCTATATATTCATCTATCTATCTATCTATCTATCTATCTATCTATCTATCTATTTATCTATATCTATCTATGCATTCGTCCATCTGTTCATTCATCCATCCATCCATCCATCCATCCATCTATCTATCTGTCTACCTATATACACACAGCTAACCCTTGAAAAATGGAGTGGTCAGGGAGGACCCCCCTCACTCAGTCAAAAATCCCCACTTTTAACTTTCGACTCCCCAAAAACTTACTTAACTCCTAATACCATCATTAACAAATAAAAGCAAGCAAATTTGAATAAGGTAACGTTTGGGGGCATATCTAACTAGCAAAGATGTCAACAGCACCCAGGATTGATGAGAGCACAGGAAATGAACACTCTGAAGGGAAATAAAAGTCCAGGCAAACTTTCTGCAGTGGTCCCATTGTTGCTCTCCCAGGAATGCGTCCTTAGGAATGGTCACATGTGTGCAGAACTGAATTTCCAAGTCCGTCTAGTGTTGCAGTATTTACAGTTGCAAAAAGCCACAAACAATCTAGGAATCTAACAGAAGGGGTTAAGGCGACTAAACTAGTGGGTGGATTAATAGAAAAAAATACTGTATAACCATTTTTCTTAATGTGGACCTGTGTTCATGGACTCAGAAAAATATCCGTAATATAAAATTAAGGGAGAGAAGAAGGCTGTAAACAGCACATGCGTGAGCCCTTTTTGTTTTAATTAAAAATTACATATATAACATATATGCATATATTATATTATATTATATTATATTATATTATATTATATTATATTATATATATTTATGTATTTGTTCTTCTTGGAAACAAAGATGTCAATGAATGAATACCAAATTACTAACAATGGTTATCTTTGAATTTATTTTCTTTTCTCTTATTCATTCTTTCTCTCTCTAGATTTTTCTTTTATTTTTTGAGTGTCTGTGTTTCCTTTCTATGATTATTTTTATATTTATAAAAATATGTAAATATTTTTACATATATGTATATCAGATGAGCTTTCCAGAACCTTCTGCCACTCTCAGGAAAGAGCACGCTGACCAACAGCGGGCGCAGGTGGAAAGTGAAGGCTCAGAGCATTGCTCTGAGACTTGTCCTGGGAGGCTCCTGGTCTCCTCTCCAGCTTCCTGCTCACAGAGAGGCGAGGCTGGCTCAGGCCCCGACGGTGACGCTGACGACGGCGACAGGGAGGTGTGCGAAGCCGGGCGCGAGCTGTGCCAGCTCTCGCTAATCCTCTGCAGTATGGTTCGCTGCTAATTTGTCATGGCACATATTTGCCTTATGTCTAATTAGCATCAAATTGCAAACTGCTATTTGCTAACAATTTGTTGCATCAATCTGCTTGAAAATCTATAGTTTAGAATTGGATTACAACTTATCCTGTCTATCAAAATTCTAGTTCACACATACACAAAATAACTTCCCCTTCCCGCCAAAAACGTCGCAATGTTTGCAGTGGCACAAAAGGAGAGCGATGTGTTTTTTTTTCCCCAAAAGAAAGAAGAATAACTATGGGGTGTCTCATTTTGAATGTCCTGGCTTTGGTTTCCCATGGCCTGGGAAAAGAGCTGGAATAGTGCTCACACTCAAAAAGGGTGCTCCAGGCCTTTCTCAGGGACTTTCCAGGAAAGTCAAGACATAAAAAAGGCCCAGAAGCCCAGTCTTCTCAAGTCCCAGACATAGAACTCCCAGGCAAAATTGTGCAAAGAACAAGCCCATACCTGCTGAGGGACACAACCTCACCCCAGGGTTTTGCCTGCATTCGCTCACATAATGCTAGCAACCTCCTAAGGAAGTAGGGGTTAACATTTTTCTTATTTACAAATTACGAAACTCAAGTTGAAAGGCTAAATCACTCAAGGTCACATGTGTGGCAAGTGGCAGCACAATAATTGAAGCCCAACCGTGATGTTTCATTGCTAAGGTGACCCTCTAAATATCAAAAAATAGGCAGTAGGAATAACAATGATATAAAAATTATAAAATGAGATATAAATAAAAATAATAGAAAATGAATGAAATAAAAAGGAAATAACAATTAATCATTGCATTTCACTTGATAGTTTGGCCTTATGGAGACATCATCTAGTTGGATGTTGAAGATTTTGGTTTGGCAACATGCCCTGTGGACAGATGGAAGACTCCGGGCCTCACATGCTCATAGCCTTCTCGTGGTCTCAAAAGCTACCTCCTGTGGTCCATCTAGAAGGAAGAACTGAGATAAACTCCCTCGCAGAGGGACGATGCCTATGGGTTCCAAAGAGAGTCAAAAGGTGACATTGGGTTGAGACATCCCTTCTTTCCTGTTTCTTGGGCAAGGAGAGACATGTTTCCAACAGATGGAAGTTGGAGCTCTATTGCAGAGCACAGGCACAGAAGTCGTTACATTCTTAGCCCAGTAGCTAGTTGACTAAAGATGTGCCATCCATTAAAACTCATTGACCTCACAAGTGGTGACCAAGGGGCAAGAGGCTTTCATGGTGTCCACTCCAGCTCTCCTTGGCACCCCCAAAGAACGACTTTGCTTTGAAAAACAATTCATAAAATCATTGTTATTATTATTATAAATATTCAAAACCTAGCTGAACACAGTGGCTCATGCCTGTAATCCCAGCACTTTGGGAGGCCCAGGTAGGCAGATCACTGGAGGTCAGGAGTTCAAGACCAGCCCGGCCAACATGGTGAAACCCCATCTCTACCAAAAATACAAAAATAAAATAAAATTAGCCAGGCATGGTGGCACAAGCCTATAATCCCACATACTTGGGTGGCTGAAGCAGGAGAATTGCTTGAACCTGAGAGGTGGAGGTTGCAGTGAGCCAAGATTGCACCACCTGCACTCCAGTCTGGGTGACAAAGTGAGATTCCGTCTCAAAAAAAAAAAAAAAAAAGAAATCAAAACCTCTCCTTTTGTAGCTTCTCCTAATAATCCTTTGGGCTGGAAATAAAAGATCATCTAAGAGCATCTTCAAAAAAGACCTAGAGAAATCACAAGGAAAATTTAAAAAGCAGTTATCTTCCCCACACCCACGAACATGGTCAGTGGCCATGAGTTTGATATGCAGGACTGATATTCCTGCGAAAGATGTTTGTGGAGTACCTGCCAGCTGTCACAACCTGTGTTAGGTGCTGAGGACATGGAAAGGAGTAGGGTGAACCAAGCCATCACAGAACACAGGACGCAGAGGCATGAGGAAACTCAAGGCCCTAAGACGAGTTCTTGATAAGGACAAAGTCTAGTGAATGCACGTCAGTCTAGAGACAGACAAACAGAGAAGGCTTCCTAGAGGAAAAGATGCCTGAGCTGAAACACAAGGACAGGTGCATGGGATGAAAGGATCCTTCCAGGCTAAGTGATGCACATGTGCATGCCATTCCCCAGGAACTGAAGCATCTGTGAGTTGCAGAGGCCACCCCCTGGATGAGCAGTGTCAAGGTTGAGACCAGGGTCCCCAGACTGTCTTCTGCCAGTTGAGGAATCCCTTCCAAAGAGCAGGGTCTTAGGATGCCTGTAAAAGACATCCTTTCTCATCTCCCTTGAGGGTAAATCAATCTCTCTGTTGAGCTCACTAGAGGAGTCAAGCAAAAGGAAGAAAGATTCTAAGCCAACTCAGCAAGACACAGGAAGCAGGTTAAGAAGCTTTCTTCACTTGTGTTCTTGGAATGACTCTTTCACATAATAAGATGTTCAGTGAGGGTTTGCCCCATGCCAGATTCAAATAGAAATGATGCTACCAGCCTCTGTCCAGATGCACGTTTCTCTATATTTTGAATGGAAGGAGGCCAGACACTGCATAGATCTGTAACCAGCAAGGAAGCAAACCAAAAGGTGCCCAGGAAAAACAAATAATCCCCAAACAGTTGCCTCCAGAAGGAAGAAGTTCATGCTAAAGAACTGTGCTTGGGGCTTGTGTGTTCAAGGCCAGTCAGTGGGGCAGATAAACCTTCAGCCTCCCCCCACCACACATAGACATACAAGCTCAGGAACTAGGACAGGCAGGGAACTTGGGGTTTTGAGGCAGCCAGAGAGGATGATCAGAAGAGCTGTCCAGAGGCTAGACACAGTCGTCTCCCCAGGACAACAGGGTCACCCTTGCTCAGAGCGTGCTGTGTAAAATCCATACCATAAGACTTCCTTTGCCAGCACAGCAGAGTGACAGCACCAGCCAGCAAGCCCAAGACATGGCCACACTGACCTGGCATCCTAGAACACAAAGCCAGTATGTCCTTTAATCAAAGTCTGAGTAATCTCTTTGGATTCAGTTTAAGTTAGCCTGTTCTCTCACTACTATAAAGGAATACCTGAGACTGGGTCATTTGTAAAGAAAAGAGGTTTAATTGGCTCATGGTTCCAGAGGCTGTACAGGAAGCATGGCGCCAGCATCAGCTTAGCTTCTGGAGAGGCCTCAGAAACCTTACAGTCATGGTGGAAGGCAAAGGGGGAGCCAACAGTTCATGTGGCCAAAGCAGGAGGAAGAGAGAGAGGAGGCAGGTGCTACACACTTTTATTTTTTTCCAAGATGGAGTCTTGCTCTGTTGCCCAGGATGGAGTACAGTGGCACTATCTCAGCTCACTGCAACCTCCGCCTCCTGATTTCAAGCAATTCTCCTGCCTAAGCCTCCCAAGCACCTAGTATTACAGGCATGCACCACCAGGCCCAGCTAATTTTTGTATTTTTAGTAGAGACAGCGTTTCACCATGTTGGCCAGGCCGGTCTCAAACTCCTGACCTTGTGATCCACCTGCCTTGGCCTCCCAAAGTGCTGGGATTACACTTCTAAACAACCACATCTTGTCATGAGAGCAGCATTAGGAGATGGTGTTAAACCATTAGAAACCACCCCCATGATCCAATCACCCCCCACCTGGTGCCACCTCCAACATTGGGGATAGTGACTGAACATGATATTTGGGTGGGGACACAAAGCCAAATCGTATCAGGCATCCAAAAACAGCACTCCTTAGAAGCCAGAGGTACTCCAGCCTGGGCAACAGGGTGAGACCCCGTCTCTACAAAAAACTAAAATGCATTAGCCAGGTGGCATGGTGCGCACCTGTAGTTCCAGCTACTTGGGAGGCTGAGGTGGGAGGATCCCTTGAGCCCCAGAGTTCGAGGCTGCAGTGAGCTGTGATCATGCCTCTGCTCTCCATCCTAGGCAACAGACTGAGATCCTGTCTCTAAAAGAGGAAGAAGAAAGCCAGAGATACAAGCCTTTCAATGACCCATTAGCCCACCTGTAGGATCCGCTATATGCCTCCAGATCCCAGCAGAGGACTGAGAGGTGGATAATCTCCCGGTATTTGTGTGTGCCACTTTTGTGTGAGCAAAGACCCAAGGTTGCAACAACAGTAGGTGTGTACACAAAAAAGGACCAGGTCCATACTGGTGCATACTCTCCTTATGGCATTAAAAAGGGACATGCTGAATCCTGGACAGAAAGGAAGAGGCCCCCCAGAACTGCCTCCAGTAGGGCCAGCCTGTGTTGGGGGCCAGCCCAGCATCTCTGCGTCCCATGGCATGCCCCACAGGGGGACCACCTTTGTGCCTCCCTGTTGCCAGTAAAGCACACTGATCTTTAACCTTTTCAGCAACTGCAAGACATCTCTGGGACCTCCACACAGCTCCTGTCAAAATGTCGGGCTGCTAACTATAAACTTTATTTTGATGTCTTGCTTTTCGGGAATAATTACCTTGTACCTAAAATGTTAGCCTATTTACTGCTTGTGCAAAAAGATGACAATAAAATCAATGTTGCACAATTCCCCAAAGTGCATCAAAGTCTTTTGCAATGTTAATGGACTGGCAGGTCTGAGAGGTGTGAGCTCATGTTGGCCTGCTTGGGCCCCCAGCTCTAGCAGGAGAACAGCTCTCTCCTCATCAACCTGCAAGCCCTTGTCTGCCAAATGTATTCATTCTAGAGAGTTGGCTCAGTCCCTGGGGTGAGAGAATGGGTGAAATGGGGGAGGGGTGATGAGAGCAGATTGGCAAGTACATGAAGTCACAAACTGTGTGAGCTGAAAGACGCTTGCAGGGACTGACATATCCAATTCCACCTCCCAGAGGCAGGGAAGCAGTTTCAGAGAGCGGGAGTGGATCCCCTAGGGCCCCACAGCAGATAAATTGTGATGCCAGAATAAGAATCTATATCTCCATTTTTATTAGTATTTTTTTAGATGGCGTCTCACTCTGTTGCCCAGGCTAGAGTGCAGTGGCCTGATCTCAGCTCACTGCAACCTCCACCTCCCAGATTCAAGTGATTCTCCTGCCTCAGCCTCCCAAAGTGCTGGGATTATAGGCATGAGCCGCTGCGCCTGGCCAGAATCCATATCTTCTAATTCCTGGTCTAAAATTATATCATCCACTCTGCTCTTTGGGGGACTGAATGATTTTTCCTCCCTCTGGCATTCCCTCCTAGAACATAGACCAAGTGATGTCTTCAGGCAGGAGGGCAGCTAAACAGTGTCTACTGGTCATGTAGCTAATACAGGCACCATGTCCTAAGAAGTTTGGAGAAGGCATCATAAAAAAATAAAAATTCAGTTCCATGAAGTCATAGTGTATGCCGGTAAATTAAAGGTTCTGAGAAGTCTTACAATTTGCAGCGTGTTTCGTTTTGTTTACCCAGCATTTCTAAAGTGTCTTCAAATAAGTTATTTTGGTGGGGAGAGGTGCGTAATATCGGTTGGAGAATTTAATGTGGCAAAGGCAGCCTTAAATATATTCACCAGCATCACACTGGTTTTTTTGATGGCTGTGGAGAGGCAGGCCCTACAGGAACAGGTGTGGGAAAGTCTCCGTGTAGCATAGCCAGGTGAGGACAAGAAACAAAAAGAGGATTGGTGAAAACAGACTCCACTATGCCATCATCTACAGCCCAGGGCAGCCAGATGTGTCTTCTTGTCTTGGGCCATTTTGCGTTGCTATAAAGAAATACCTGAGGGTGGGTAATACATAAAGAAAACGGGCTTATTTGGCTCACAATTCTGCAGGCTGTACAAGCATGGCACGAGCATCTGCTCAGCTTCTGGCGAGGAATCTTCCAGTCACGGTGGAAAGAAGGCAGAGGGGGAGAGGTGTGTCACACGGTGACAAAGAAAGCAAGAGAGCCAGACTCTTTTAAACAACTAGCTCGTGTGTGAACTAACAGAACAAGAACTCACTCATTACCATGGAAAGGGCACCAAGTCATTCATGAGGAATCCACCCCCCATGACTAAAACACCTCCCACCAGGCTCCACCTCCAACATTGGAGGTCACATTTCAACATGAGATTCCAAGGAGACAAACAACCAGACTTTATCACTTCTTCTCCTGGCATGTGTTGGGGGCATGGGTGGGCTGGATAGAAGCCGAGTACAGGAACACAGAGGTTGGAAATTTGCAAAAAAAATAGCTGTAGCAGAGCACCAACCCCCCGCCCCCAGTCTGTCCAGTCTAAGATCACATTTGACTGAACAAGGTATCGGGGAAGGGAACAGTGGAAGGCAGAAGATGGGACCCAAAAGTCATTTGGGAGGGAGCAGTGCAGTGGGGCTCCACCCAGGCAGAGCTGATCCTCAGGCAGCTCTGGGTATCTTTGTGAAGACGCAGAGGCCCAAGGCCCAAGACGCAGAGGCCCTGGTGTGACTGCAGTGGTCACTGGGGCTACATCCATTGGGCCTTCTGCAGCAGGCCCGGTGCAAACGGAATGTGCTCTCTCTGGGGACTGACTTCATGCAATGAGGCCGATCCCTTGAGAAAATGGACAAACCCTGTGTTGGGCAGAAGTGGCATGCCTTTGGCTTGGTTTTCATCTTCCATTGCAGCCTTTTGTGGCCGCATCAAGAGAACAAGCTGGCGAAACACCCTCTTTACTGGCCATTTTCCTTTAACCACATTCCTGGACATTTTTACCCTAGAAGTCTGCCCACCTCTTTGCTGCTGGCTCACCTTGGTTTGGGGATTTTCTTGCAGCCTTTCCCATAAGCTCAGCGGGCCACTCTCTGCAGAAATGTAACTCTGCATCTAAGACGTAACTGTTAAACCCTACCTTTTGGTTTCTGTCCCCAAAACCAATGTATTTTAATGCAGATGCCCTGCAGCTCAAGGGTTTTTAACAATTTTTGGAGGGAAAAATGTCACACAGCTTTTGAAAATCTGCCATGAGACCTACTCCCTGAATTCTCCATTCGTTTACTCAGAAAAACTCAATTGAATCAGGGAGGCATGATTCCCCATTAGAGGAATCATTTTTTCTTTCCTCTGGTGGGTTAGATTTGTTTAGGTGTTCACTGATCCCTCACTTGATTAATCACCCCAGCTGCCTTCTCCTTGCTCACCAGGTGGGGCGGTGAAACACCAGAGTGGCATGAGGGTCCTGTAGTCCTGTTGCCATGTGGGGACCCACTGCATCTCTGGGACAAAATTCCACCATTTTTCATTTGAATTTCTTCAAAGCTCCCAGGTATGAGCCAATTCCAGCTTATTTCCAAATTATTGTAGACTTATCTGTGAATATACTTCACCCCCATTTCCTGCAATCTACATGCTCAGCCACACTTGAACAAATCCCTCCAGTCTGCCTTCCTGAAACAGGATTGGATGAGGGAGGCTCTGGGAAAAAGCAAAGAGAGAGACCACAAAAACCAACAGGAAGAAGAGGTGGAAGAATCAAGGAAGGTGGTGACAGTTTAATCCAAGATGGTAGAAATGGGAGATGAGACGGAGAAGTAGAAGAGAGAAGGAAAAGGCATAGTCAGAGAGAAAGAGAAGTTTTCCTGTTCCTGCTCCTACAGCAGGTCCCGGACCCAGGCATCCATCACCAGGCACATGATGGAGGAACTCTGTCCCCTTACCTATGACCAGCAGCGATGTTTTTTCAGTGATTCCGCAAGAGTCAAAAACCCAACAAAGCGCATCGCCGGCGCTGTAAAGGGAGCATGCTGCCGGTGTCTGTGACCACTGTATGCAAAGCTTGGCATTAGTCACAGCCGGGCCGGCTGTGACAGGCCTGAAGTGAGGGAGATTAATGCGAGGCTGGGACACTTTATTATTGTCATTCTGTTCTTTCAGACTCTGCCTCTGACTTTCAATTTTGCTCCAGAATTAATTGTCTGCTCCCTGCAGTATGACTGATGGAGAAGGATATGCGGAGCCCAGGCACCTGGCTCTGGCCTTGACAGTCTCAGGCCCGGTGTGGGATGGATTGTGTGCGGTCAGGGCGGGGGACAGACGGGCATCCCTCAAAGAAATCGGCCCAGGCCACAACTGACTTCAATCAGATGTGACCAGAGATTATCCTTTGCCAAGAATCATTTTGGCTTGTAGGGTTCCCAGCAACCTGCCCATTCCCTGTCATGGACCCTCCCTGGAACCCAGAGCTCAGTCTGTTGGTGGAGCCATTCCTAGTCTTTCAGGTTTCTGATTCTCTTCCTTTTTTTCTGGTTCTGGGCAATAAATTAGCAGTGCAGTCTCCTAGGTCTCAGCCCTCCCAGATGTAAGCATTTTTGTGAGCATGTCAAGCACAGAATCTCTGACAATGGGAAACGCAGTGGGATTCCAAAACGCTGGTGCCATTTTCCAGTTGGCGTTGAATACCCACCTCCCTCTTCCTCATTACTCACCCTTGCCCCATTTTCCTTCATTTCAAAAAAAAAAAAAAATCAAATCATATATTTAAACAGAAAAGTCTTCCTTAATAGCAAATCCTGAAGGAAGCCTCCAACAAAATAGCAATGTTCTCTCCGCTTTAGGAGTTTGGCACACAAGAAATGGTTGTTGACTGAATAAATGAATGTGTGAAGGCATGCAAGAATATTTTCATGGATAAATGAATAAGTGGAGTTCCTAAAAAGAATGAAACATAGAAAGGCATATCTTCCTTTTACAAATAAATAAAAATCCTTTCCAGTCATTTTTAAGCCAAATTCAGCTGCTAACCATTTTTCTAAACTTTGGTCAGCCTCATTCCCCATTGCAGATATGTTCATGAAAACCTAGGTGTAATTCTTTAAAAAAAAATAAATGGAATCCCACTTTAAATGTTTAAGAATGCAGGGGAGGAGGGAAAATGTCTTTGAGAAATACATTTCCAGTGCTAATTTTTATGCTCTGGTCTAGCTGTGTGTGTGATTTTCAACTTGGGGTCTAGAGGTGACAGTTTCAATGCATGAGATACAGATTTCCCTAGCCCTCCCAAAACAAAGTTTCACTAGAGGAAGAGCTTATGTTTTCCAGGCACCTCTCCCTCCAAACTGGATAAGATTGACACGTGAGATGAGGAAAAACCAACCAATAATAGAAAGGGCAAGTGTTGATGAGCTGAGAACCATTTAAAGGCTGGTTTTCTGTAGAACTTTCAAGAGTTCCTTCTAAATATGCTGTCTGCCTATAACCTGCAATAAATTACTACAGCTTTAACTCATCTGGTACTTTCATACGATTACGGTATTATGTTAAAGGGTACAGAAATATATAATATGCTCAACTGTCTCTATAGTTGATACCAGAGGGAAAATTACCACCACTCAGTGAAGAAGATTCAACCTCATTACATTAATGATTTATCACAATGGGAAAATGTGAAAAGTAACTAGTTGCTTTTATGAAAAGAGGCAGCTTTTCCCACTGGCAACTCCTGCAGGCTCTCCAAGAAGGAGAATTTAGAAGGAGCTCCAGACGGTCACACTCTCCCACTCCCTTCCAAAGCTCCCTCTGCAACATGAAGGAGAAGGTGCACTGGCAAATGTTGGAATATCCTTCAAACTTGACATTAAGTATTCAAATGTTACTTAAGCAAAGTGTGAGCAATTAAATTAATCAATCTTCCCAGCCATGTACAGAACAGATGTTCAATAAATCCTCTTTGCTTACAGTGAGGGGGGGAAGAGTCCACTTTTAACTGTCCTTCAGCAGTGACACTGCTCAGGCGTCCTCTGCCGGCCTCCTGGGCTACCGTCAGGTGCTTCTGCTGCACTTTCCTTTATTATAAATAACAACAGGCCACCTGGACTACCTGTGCTACCTGGGAGCCTCAAGTTTAATGATCCTTCCAACACAGGGCTCTGCTCGCGCCTGATCCCAGGTAATGGGGCTGATGGAAATGGCAGTAGAGTGACGGTTGGCAGTGACAGATGACTGCTGGCCAACTTGTGCTGCTGACAAGCGGTGAATATGGGCCAATGTTGCAGAAAGGTCAGGATAAAAGTATTTGCTCGACTTTCAAAGTTTCTCCAGAAAAAAAATAAGCAGATGAGCCAAAACCACATAGACCTCCAACAAGAGTGCAAAGAGCTTTGCACCAGAGGGGCTGGCTTGTTCTGGGCTCTAGAAAAGAAGGCAGTCTCCATTGGAAGCTGTGGGTTAGATGAGGAGAGAAACTCAGACACTAGGGAGAGGGAGCCTTGTTTTCTTTGCATGAACAGTTCCCAGTGAGGAACTTCACCTCTGGGCTGCCAGGGAACATTGAGGGAACGTTCAGTAAACAATTCTCTCCCTAACCCCTCAAGATGATCATATAGAGTCTCCCTGTTACATCACCCAGACCCTCTAAGTATCCCTCTTTGCCAATACTCTGCTGCAGAGGCAGCTAACCTCCAATTTACAAAATAATAAAATCAATGAATGTGCCAGATTACCAAAGATCACAGGATTTGACCTGTCCACTGTGGCTTCTCTAACTAAATCTACCATCCTAAAGGAGAGGACTGGGGAATCCCAAAGCATGGGGAAGGCACTCAGCCCTAATCCCACAGTGCCAACCATCCCCTGGTCCACCCCCAGACCAGGACCCTGCCCAGCCAGAAGCCTCTGATCACCACCCACTGAAACCCACAAGGCCACTGTCATTCAGAAGTGGAGGATACAATTCCTGCCCTACAGATACATAACTTCAACCTTTTGAAGGCTGCCTTTCCATATATGGACTTTATCCACATTTTAATGAGGCTTTAAAATCTCCAAGATTAAGCTGGTATTTTATGTAGAACTGCCTGCTTTTTATGATATCCTGACATGTTGTACAACATTTGGTGACTATATTGATCCTTATAAATTCAGCATCTATATATATTCATGAAAAGTACCTTTTCTCCCCATTCGGGCCACAAGATGATCCAGACACACATTTTCCTGAGTGGAGACAATAAAACTGCAATTGTCATGGTTTTGAGCGAACACGATGTTTCAGTGTTTTCAAATTAAACCCCTTTTACCATCTGCTTGCAAACTCTTCAGTGAGGAAATGACAGCTCCTTTCTAGGTATCTGATGGTGTAAGTGCCCCTGAAGTTTCTCCTTCAGGTGAGCTTGTTATAAATCCTGAGGGGCCCGGCAAGGGTTTCCTCCCGTGTGGGACATTATATATCTTCATGCCCTCATGTTTGCCCGACCAGAGGCCAACCTTCTCCCATTTCTTTGGGCCATTTTATGCTTTTAATCTGAAACAAATGATTGCAGGGGGGAGAAAGAGCATTATCACCTTGGCGAAACATCGGGAATATAAAAAAGAAAAAGAAGAAGAAGAGGAAGAAAGAAAGAGACTATGGGCAAATTCATCTTCTGCCGCTACAATCAATCTCTCACCTAAAGAAATACACAATAACTAGGCAGGAAAGAGGCAAGATTTATGACTTAGAAACATCTACACTGACCAGCATATACCTAGTCTTCTTGGCTCTCTCCCTACCCGAATGGCTCTCTTTAACAGTTACAATGATAAACTGTCTCTCCCTACTGTTTTACAAGTACATTAGCTTTATTTAATGAGATCTCAGAGTAATTTAACAGATGTATATAGGACATAAGACTAGGGAAACTCTTGCTACTAGGATACTTTTGCCAAGGTATTCTAGGACAGCTAATCTGAGAGATAGCTTTATATTCTTTGAGAAAGCATTGTTTGGAAGGCTTTTAAAAATGATTTTAATGGAAATATTATATTACAATCAATGAGGAGAGAGCCTCTTTCACATTCACTTGCATTCGGCCCATGAAAACGCAGGATGAATGGGCTTTGTGAAGTCGTAGGAACTCACTTACATATTGAACTGTCAGGAAGGATGTCACCATCAGAAATTAATACTTGTGTTAAAAAAGTTAATATTTCACCCACCCACCTTCCAAAAAGAGTAAGAAGATACCTGGGTGTGAGGAAACGGAGAGAGGGTAGGCAAAGGGAGAGAGGAAGAGACTATTTGAGAAGGAGGTGAGGCACCTGTTTCAGCCAATGTCGTGTTTCGGGGCTGGGGTCGAGGGTTGGAGACAGGTGCAGTTTCCTCCCTACCCTCTATCCCTCTGTGCCTGGCGTGCTCAGGCCAGGACCTCCCCTTCCTGGCTGGCTGCCTTCTTCCTTCCCTGACATTCCTTAACACTTGGTTCTCTGAGAACTGTAATGGAGAAATGACAATGGTATTAACTTTTCAAAAATTGCTTTAATAAACTGCCAATTAATAAGTGAGAAGAGGAAGCCATGGGAAATTACCTGGTCATGCTTAAAATAAAATTAAAGGGGGAAGGGGACGTTTTTCCTCTTCCTTTCTCAGAAAGCACAAGGCTTGGGCTCTCATACCCCAGGATGTGATTTCCAGAACCAAATTCTCCTAAGTATGACAAAATCTACACTGCATGGCACCACATCTTGGTCTATGATACAGTTAACTCAGCTTCAAAATGGAGTGTCATCCCAAGTTTAGTAAATATTGGCAATACAATACATTTAAAAACCAAAATGGAACAAAATAACAGCAACTCAAAATTTCACCCAATGGGGATACCAGTTTTAATTATTAGTGACTCTTTTTTTTTTTTTTTTTTTGAGACGGAGTCTTGCTGTGTCACCGAGGCTGGAGTGCAGTGGCACGATTTGGCTCACTGCAACCTCCACCTCCCTGGTTCAGGCAATTCCCCTGCCTCAGCCTCCCAAGTAGCTGGGAGTACAGGTGTCCACCACCATGCCTGGCTAACTTTTGTATTTTTAGTAGAGATGGGATTTCACCATGTTGGACAGGCTGGTCTGAAACTCCTAACCTCAGATGGTCCACCTGCATCGGCCTCCCAAAGTGCTGGGATTACAGGCATGAGCCAACACGCCCGGCCAACTTTTTTTTTTTTTTTTTTTTAACAAAAATGGTCTTTTAAACTACAGGTTGCTTTTGGTCGAAAAATATTTTTGTTTTTTAAATCCTTTAAATGGTTTGTAACAGACTGCAGTTGATATTTACAATTCTGCAAAAGTGTGGCAGATCCTTCTCCTTAGGATTGCTAGCTCCCTCATAGGCACCTTTATATGGAGTCACCTCTGAAAGTATAGATGTTACAGTGTGTATGTGACAGCAGGTGGAAGTGAGTGCAAGAGCTACATGTGTGTCTTCTCAAGGTAAACATACTTAACAACATCCTACCAAACATATACCACTTTATACAGTGTTCATGGCTCCTTATGAATAATTTAGGGTATCCAATGCAGTCTTTTTAAAATACAACATTCACAGTGAGCATAAAAACTCAGTCCAATGAAAGGTTATGAAATTAGTGGTGACTGTACAAAATTGCAAAGAGAAATCACAATGAACCTACTCACTTAGGAGGTGAGGGGCTCAGAAAAAAAAAAGCGGGGGGTAAGAGAGAGAGAGAAAGAGAGGCAGAGAGGTATGTGGTGTTCTTGCACCAACGGGGCAAGAACAAATCTATTGCATAGAATTTCATTTATTGAGAGCTATACATCAAGTTGTATTTGTTTAATGAGGTTGGCACCAGAAAGATGTATAGAACATGTCAGACACCCAGTACCAATGCGTAGTGGGGAAAAGATAACATCTCAGACTGCGACCACTCGCTTCGTCTTCCAGCCAGTGTCTCTATCTGTCGGCTCTTTGGGGAATAATAAATGAGGGGGCAGAAGGAACAAGAAGCCAAATAATGAAAAACACACACAAAAAGGAAAAATTATAACATGGGAGAGCAAAGTAGAGCCAGATTTACTGACCTCACAACTACATAATCAAGAAAAAGTTATCACTGAAGAAACTTTTACTAAGCGGAGTGATCTTAAATAACAGGGAGTCCTGTGAAATTTACAGCGCTCTTAAGATATGCAAATTGAATGCAAGGTATAGACATAAGGGTAATTAATTGTAAATCTAAGAATAATGTTTCTTTGTCAGGCTGTCTCCCTGTTGTGGAATACATTCTAATGTGCCTTAGCTTGGAATACTTTTTTCAAGGCTGCTCTAATTACAAGATGTTCAGAATTTCAAAATACTAGTTATTCTTATCGTTTAATTTAGCAGCTGTAACATTTAATAACAGAATTTACTGATTGCATGACAATATTGTAATCTTTCAAGGTTAAAGCGCTTGTTCCCAAGTCCAGCCCATCAGGATCCATGTGCAGAGAGAATGTTATGGATAAAGCACTTTCCACAGGTCCTCAATGAGTGTTGCGGGTGGAAGCGTCGCAGGCCAGCTGAGCCCAAAAATGGGGCTTAGCCCACAGGGTTCTCGGCTTCATCCAGAAAAGAATTCAAGGGCAAGCCAGTGGTAGGGTAGAAGAAAACAGCTTTACTGAAGTGGCAGTGTTGCAGCTCCGTGACTGACCCTGCAGAGCAGGGCTACCCTATTGGCAGTGTGCTGAGACCAGCAGCTCAGGGCAGTTTTGCAGTCATATTTATACCCACTTTTAATTACATGCAGAGTAAGGGGCTGTTTATGTAGAAATTTCTAGGGAAAGGGTAGTAACTTTTGGTTCATCAGGTCATTACTATGGAAAGGGGTGGTAACTCCCGGCTGTTGTCATGGCAACGGTAAACTGACATGGCGCACCGGCCAGCGTGTCTGATGGAAAGTTGCTTCCACCCAGGACCTGTTTTAGCCAGTCCTCAGTTTGGTCATGTGCCTGAGCCCCGCCTCCAGAGTCAAGTCCCGCCTCCTGCCTCTGAGAGATCCCAGTGGTTGCTCACTGCTGCTTAGTTGCCTCACTTCATCCACTGGCACGTGCTTCTGGGTCTTACAGTGATTTCCTTATCATGCTGGGAACAATGTACTGATTTGTGCTCTTAGTGTTTAGCTCTCTTCTACCTGCCCGTGAAAACCTCCCACTTCTTGTTAATGAAAGTGATGGTGGGATTCTGCAGATGACGGATTCTTAGAAAATTATAAGCAAGAAGACAGGGATAGAAGTTTTCAAATCAAGGGAACGTGACTCTTGACTGTCATCAAGAAAGCTTGGTTGTCGTCAAGAAAGCTCTTAGTGAAGAACCACTTGAGGAAAGAGCTGGGCAAGAAGGGGTGTGAGGGGATTCCACCAAGCAAATAAGGAGTGACGGTCCTGCTCAGGAAGGAGACCACTGAAGGGATGGGATGCCGATTCCATCTTCAATCGTTTCTCAGAAAACATTTGGCCAAGAGTGGACTACACAACTAGAAGGTCTGGGAGTGGAGAAGTGGGCACGAGATTGGCCCAAGGAAAGTGCTAGGAAAGATGGGTTAAACTCTCTCTTGGGTTAAAGCCGCAAGGGCAGGGGGCCCAGGCAAGTGCTCTCTCGCCCTGAATGCTTGGGCTGTGTGCATGCCTGGCTGCTATGACAACGCCCACTCTTGCCCTCCTCCTGCTCCACTGGCTTCTCCTCTCTGCCTCCTCCACTTGCTCCTGGTCTATTCAATTTCCTTAAGACAAACCTCTGATGCTCCCCTGAGCTCTGTCTGGGGCCCTTTCCTCCTTTCCCCTCCACACTCATCCTGCAATCCCATCCAGTCCCAAAGCACTAAATGCCATCTCTGTGGGTTGACTGCCCTGAAATCTCCAGCCCAGACCTTCCAGGGGCTTATAGCTTCAATGACATCTACTTTTGAATATCTGGTGGACATTTCCAAACTGCTGCATTTCAAATGGAGCTGCTTCTGCCGGGAATGTTCTGCTCCTACTGAGAGAATCCTCAGGCTTTGGGTCACAGCTCAGGGGTCAGTGTCCTCGGCTCACTCATCTTACGCAGGGTGCCTCCCTCATTTCTCTGTCATATCGCCCTTACTTATTTCCATCAGAGAAACTTACACAATTTATATTGATTTCAATTGCATGTTTATTTTATGCTGCCTGTGTGATCTACTAAAATCGAAACTGAGGTGGGATGGGGAGGACAGGGGGCCTCTTGGCTGTGTCCACTGCTCTGATATCTCTGTCCTGCTGTCAATGGCAGGTGCTCGATAGATCACCAGTGAGTGAAGTGCTCTGGTTACCAACTCAGAAAGACAGCGTGGTCTGTGCCTCTTCCTAGGACTCCACAATAGCCCCATAGTGAAAGTCCACTGCATGCAGAGAGATACTGCAGATAGACAGCATATCTAGGCATCCTGTGCCCATCCCTGGGCATCTCAGTTGAGAAACTGAAGCTGGATCAGAACAGGGCTGTGAGAACAGCAAAGAGTTTGGAAAGTAAGCCAGTCAAGGCTTGGTGTTAGGAGACCCAGAACATTGAGCCTAGAGGGAAAGGATGATTTAACATTTTATGGCACTTATTTACTAGATAGTCTGGAGGGAGAGGGATTTAAATTGCTCAGTACAGCTGCAGAGAGCACACTTAGGGCCCAGGATGTGGATCTGAGGAAGCAGTGTAGATTGGAAGTCAGACTTGGGCCCAGAGCAAAACAGCCGTGGACTCAGTCTAGGCTCTACCACTTGCTACCTTGTGGAATTCTGAACAACTTACTCCATTTTGCTATGCCTGAGCTCATTTCCCTGTTGAGAGGATTTAGTGAAACATTTGCAAAGCACTTAGCCTTCAAATGCTAAAGAGAGGTTTAGGAAAACAAACATCCCCCAAGCTTTGTATTTGTAGAAAACAGTGAGGTTCCATTCAGACTAATTGTGGAATACTGTTAATCCCTTACCAGCTCGGGCAATAACTCTAGTCTTCAGCAAGGTTGTAGCATTCTCTTCCCCACCCTCTCAAATATATCTGGGATTTGTCAAAGGGCTGTCTTCACTGTCCTCATAAGCCATCAGCCTGCCACCACTGGCCTTGGTCACTTTCAGAAAACTTGGCTCCAGGCCCCGATTCCAATGTAACCATCCCAGAAATTTATCCCAGTTACTGAACATTCATGCTTTAAGAACAGCTCTTGCAAGGAAGAAATCTGAGTTTCCCTCTTCCTGCCACAAAAATAAACAAAGAAAAGTAAAAGTCAAACCAAAGCCTGGGAGAAGATATGCATGCTGCATATATCTGACAAAAGACTTAGTTCTGTAATATGTAAAGAGTTCCTACAAATCAATAATTTTAAAAGCCAATCACCTCAAGGTATAAAATGGGCAGAAGACTTGAATGGACACTTCACACCCAAAAAAAGATATGAGTAGGCCAGGCATGGTGGCTCACCCCTATAATCCCAGCACTTTGGGAGGCTGAGGCAGGCAGATCACCTGAGGTCAGGAGTTCAAGACCAGCCTGACCAACATGGATAAACCCCGTATCTACTAAAAAAATACAAAATTAGCCAGGCATGGTTGTGCATGCCTGTAATCCCAGCTACTCAGGAGGCTGAGGCAGGAGAATCGCTTGAACTAGGGAGGCAGATGTTGCAGTGAGCAGAGATCACACCATCCCACTCCAGCCAGGGCAACAAGAGTGAAACTCTGTTTCAAAAAAAAAAAAAAAAAAAAGATACAAGTAGACATTTTGCACATGAAGAGACGTTCAACATCATTGGTCATCAGTGAGATGCAAACTAAAACCATAATGAGATGTTATTTCATATCCAGTATAGTGGCTAAAATTGAAAAGTCTGAGAGTCCCAAAAGTAGACAAGGATGTGGAACAACCAGAACTCTTGTATATTGCTGGTGGAATGTAATATGGAACAAACACTTTGGAAAACTGCTATAAAGTTAAACAAACACTTGCCATTTGACCCACACAATTCCAGTCAAAGCTTTTTTCAAAGAAGACAAAGATGACATGATGACAATGAAGAAGAAGCAGAAGAGGAAGAAGAAGAAGGAGGAGGAGGAGGAGACAACAATGATGACGATGAAGAAGAAGCAGAAGAAGGAGCAGAAGAGGAAGAAGAAGGGGGAGGAGGAGGAGAAGGAGGAGAAGGAGGAGGAGAAGGAGGAGAAGGAGGAGGAGAAGGAGGAGAAGAAGACAACGATGATGACAATGAAGAAGCAGCAGAAGAGGAAGAAGAAGAAGGAGGAGGAGGAGGAGACAACAATGATGACGATGAAGAAGAAGCAGAAGAAGGAGCAGAAGAGGAAGAAGGAGGGGGAGGAGGAGGAGAAGGAGGAGAAGGAGGAGGAGAAGGAGGAGAAGAAGACAACGATGATAACAATGAAGAAGCAGCAGAAGAAGAAGCAGAAGCAGCAGCAGAAGAAGAACAAGAGAAAGAAGAAGAAGAACAACCACAACAACAAGGAAGAGGAGGAGGAGGAGGAAATGAAATGAAAACTTATTTACAAAAAGACTTATACAAAAATATTCATAGCCACATTATTCCTATAGCCAAAAACTGAAAACAGTCAAATGTCCCCCAACTGAGGAGTGGATAAACAAGTTGTTTTATGTTGACAATATGAGATACTATTTAGAAGCAAAAATGAAAAGAACAAAACCCTAATATATGAGGGAATAAGAGAATCTCAAAAATGTCACATTGAGCCAGACACAAAAAAGTGTGCACTGTATGACTCCTTTCTACGGAGTGCTGTACCAGGCAAAGGCCAGCTGTGAGGACAGAAATCAGATCGGTGGCTGCCTCTGCAAGGAGTATAGAGATGGACTTAGGAGACGGAAGGAATTCTCTAGAGGGACAGAAATGGTTTATATCTAGAAGGGAGGGTGTCTACGTATGTCAAAACTCATCAAATTGCACCCTCTGTTGCATATACATTTATTTTAATAAAGTAGATTATAAAAGGAAAGAGAAAAGACAACAAAATATGTGTCTACTTTAATTATGCTCAGTTGGAGAGAGCATGTCCTATTGCAGGCTGGGCCCTAAGTGTTAAGAGCTCAATGAAGCATCTCTTTAAGACCAATCATATTGGCTCTTCTCTCCCCTGAGTATACCCCAGGCCACCAAGTAATCAGGTCTACTTCAGTTCTGTTACACTAGCCCCAAGAAAATCAGTTAATGCAAACAGAGAACAGAGACAGGAGGACCCTGCAAAGACCTCCCAAGGGGCAACCACGTGGGTTGACTGTAAGAGGATCCCCTCAATCTTGGTGGTGATTTCTCCATTTCATTTGACCTGGGTGGAGCTGGGGTAGTACCTGTTACCCCATCACTTAATCTAGGGAGCTGGGATATCTCAGTGCATCCCTAAAATGTATGTTCATAATGAAGGAAGGGTTTTATTCTCTACCCCAGGAGATGCCTTAGAGAAACAAGAAGCGCTACACCACCACTCTAGCGTCTGGAGCCCTGTCTGGGAGGTTAGGCAGACATGGGGCAAATCCTGGCTCCACCTCCTCATAAGCTGTGTGACTTTGAGTGTGTTCCTGAATCTCTCTGTGCCTCAGTTAACTCCTCTCCGTAATGGGTATAGTCAAAGAGTGTATCCGTCTCAAGGTTGTCATTAGAAGTAAATAAACTAGTAGAGGTAAAGGGCTTAGCACTTTATTAACTCTAAGCATTGGGAACACTTCATAAAAGTTAGCTATGATTATTATTACATGAACATGAGGATAAAAGAAAGTCTGAGATTCAGAGGTAAATGGATGGAAGGGGAAAATAAGAGATTCAGAGAAAGAGAAGGAATCAAAGAAAAAGACTAAGGTGAGAATGAAATAAAGGCATACGAGAAAAAGGTAGAAACAGAAGAAGAATGAACCCAAATTATACTTCTCTGCCTAAAGCTTGCCGAAGCGTTCTGCACAGCTCCCTGAGCATAATCTGGGCTCGGTTATTTAAAAGGCTGTGGGATAATACAGTGGGAAGACAGGTCTGCACGGTAACTCACACAATTTATCACACAGGGAAGAGCCACTAATCTTTTTAGGAAACAAGGTATTCATAGTTATTTAAGGCTAATATTTATGCATGACCACACATTGTGAACACAGCCCAATCTCCATCCTCACCCAGCCAAGATCTGGGAAGGTCTTTAGCAGCAATGTTCCATATTTTAAGCCCCCTACAGAAGTCTCACCCAGTAGTCTGCACCGGCTCTGTTATTAACTGCATCCATACACCAGATATATTCATGCACACCGCTAATTGAAAGAGCAGATTTTCCCGAGGTGGGTGAGTACTAAGCCGAGG
The DNA here is from genome assembly GCF_000001405.40 of Homo sapiens. NCBI lineage: Eukaryota > Metazoa > Chordata > Mammalia > Primates > Hominidae > Homo > Homo sapiens. The sequence goes on from NC_000019.10 coordinate 31,895,797, forward strand.
TGGGTGGATACAGCCTTGCGTGAATTTCTTATGACCAAAACCACAGTGTTACCTTGCAAAAGGTAATCAATTATTCAAACTCAGAACCTTCAGAATATGCATAAATATAGTCCAGGCACAGTCCAGCTGGTCTATTTCATTAGCCTACTCTTTACAGGGTGCTGAGAACAAAAGGCTGGATGTAACAATACGAGTGACCCCAGCAACAACTAGAAAGATGCCCGTTTCCTGCCCAACCCACAGAGGACCCGATCTTATCTGCATTTGGCCAGAATATGACCTTCAGGGACGTTTTCTCCAGTCATGGCTGAGGCTGCCTTCTTGTCCCACAGAGGGCCCCTTTCCTTGTCTCTCTCGTTCTTCTCTTTTCTACTCCTCCCTGCCAAGGGACCCAGCTTCATCCTGCCTCCGTCTAGCTGGGTCATGCCATTGTCTCCTGATGTTTCACCAGCATATGCTGGGTCGTCATGCCCTTGCCATTTTAATCTGGGTTACTTGTCTTCCTTAACCCTGGGTGCTCAAGATGGAATCTCTACTGGATCAATAAACTTCATTCTGGTCCATGTTCAACCCTTCTTACTGACTACTCTCAATGCAGTATTATCCTCAAAGACCTCTTCTCCAACCAGGAGGAGAATGAGGCAGCCAAGAGGAAGAGGGGAGCCTGAGTCATGGCTAAACAAAGAGGCTTACAAACAAACAAAAATTCCAGAGAACTATGACCTGCTGCATCTATCCAAGACCAGGATTTTTGAAGCACAGGAAGAGGTACGGTGTGCACTGCACTGTTGTCTTGGGAAACAGTTACTTCTTTATGTCTCAGGATGTTAGGACGAGGTGAGCAGCCAATCCCTTCTAGATGGAATTACAGACCCTCCACCTTTCTTCATCCTTCCTGGTTCTCCTTCACATGCCCATGAGGACCCACCCACTGGTTTTCCAACCATCTGTTGTTTGGTTTTTGTCTGGAAGCACCTGGACATTAAAGTCCTCCCCCGAGTCACCCTCGCGGCATCTGCCATGTGCAAAGGAGCTTGCAAGGGACCTGCCAGTGAATTTGGGCAGGAGGCACTGGGGAGGGGTCTGCAGTGATTCAGTGATATTGTGAATCAGTGATATTGTGAATGCAAACCTGGCTGGGTATCAGAATCACCTGTGGAGTTCAAAACAAAATGAAACCAGACCACAAGGATGCAACTCAAACGTTCAGAATTGGTGGCATCTGTGGCAGGTCGAGTTCTCTGGGAAAGAGGGCAACTCTGAGGTGGGGTTAAGGGTGCAGGAGGTGTATTAAGGTCCACCCTGGACATCAGCACCTGAGGAGGGGACACAAGCAGGAGTGAACAACAGGAAAAATCAACATGCAATGCAAGCCTAACAATGGCCTTGGCTCCTTGCAAAACTCAGGAGCTAGAATGGCCCTTCAGAGTTCTCCCAAGCTGTCCAGGCCTTCATGGTTCTGGATTGATCTGTCATTGAATGTGACCCACCCTGGTGAGCCACCCATCGGCAGCTGAGGCAATCCCTGAAGGGAATAGTAACTGCAGGCTGCCTGCCTGCCTGCCTGCTGGGAATGAGGCGCTATGTCTCCATTGAAGGTGAATCTGGGCAGCACCCACCACAACCCATCCTTTGCCAAGATGGTAACTCTTTCCCTTGCCTGCGGGTTCTTTGCACAAGGAGTTCAAGTGTTCAGGTGGCAATTACTGTTTATTCTGGCTCTGTCTGTTGGCAAAGGTGCTTCCTCTTTGGGACCCAGGACCTATAAACCTGAAGAACACAGAGTTGTGGGTACAGGAAGCACAAACTCCCCAAGTGAGTTAATGGGTGTGACAGCAAGGAAGACAATCCTGCTTCCATCCCTTGGTTCCTAGGTGTGTGGATATTTTCCAACTTTTGGGTAAATATAATTTTATATGTATATATATATATGTTAGTAAAGCATCAAATAAATATCTTAAAGTGTTTTTTGCATCCTGGAGAATGATTGCTGCCCCATCCTTACAAATGATCACATCTAAGCTGGTACCTTAGTTGTGCTTCGTACAGACCTTTTCAACACTTTATTAGGCAATTTTTTTTCTTTCTAATTTTTATTTTAGGTTCAAGGGGTACATGTGCAGGTTTGTTACATGGGTAAATTGCTTGTCAAAGGAGTTTGGTGTACAGATAATTTTGTCACCCAAGTAATCAGCATAATGTCTCTATTGGTCTATTTTCATACTGCTATAAAGAATGTCTGAGACTGGGTAATTTATAAAGAAAAGAGATTTAATTAACTCACAGTTCCAAATGGCTGGGAAGGCCTCAGGAAACATAATCATGGTGGAAGGTGAAGGGGAAGCAAGCACGTCTTACATGGCAGCAGGAGGGGGCGGACTGCCAAACACTTTTAAACCATTAGCTCTCATGAGAACTCCCTCATTATCATGAGGACAGCATGGGGAAAATGACTGCCATAATCCAATCACCCCCAACCAGGTCCCTCCCTACACACATGAGCATTACAATTAGAGATGAGATTTGGGTGGGAACACAAAGACAAACCATATCAATATCCAATAGTTTTCAGTCCTTGCCCTCCTCCAACCCTCCACCCTCCAGTAGGCCCCAGTGTCTGTTGTTCCCATGCTTATGTCCATTGGTGCTCAATGTTTAGCTCCCACTTATGAGGACATGCATTGGGTGTTTGGTTTCCTGTTCTTCTGTTAATTTGCTTAGGATAATGGCCTCCAGCTCCAACCATGTTTCTGCAAAGGACATGATTTTGTTCTTTTTATGGCTATGTAGTATTTCATGGAGTATATGTACCACATTTTCTTTATCCAATCCACCACTGATGGGCACCTAGGTTGATTCCATGTCGTTGCTATTGTGAATAGTGCTGCAATAAACATGTGTGTGCATGTTAGACTAGCAACTTTGGATGGTACGTATATGACATGACAAGGTAATCTTGACATTGATTCCATGTCATTGCTATTGCGAATAGTGCTGCAATGAACATGTGTGTGCATGTTAGACTAGCAACTTTGGATGGTACGTATATGACATGACAAGTTAATCTTATGGCCATGGACCCAATCCCATAACTTCCTTTGCTTTAAAGTGGGTCTCCTGGACCAATGTGACACTATATGGGATCCTATCCCAGTGTATCAAGCCCTCTGTAATCGCGCGAATGGTGGCTGTCACTGAAGCTTAATGGGAAATAAAGTCCCATACATGAAATAAGAACCCCGCTCCCACAGGAATGAGTCACTGGTCCTTCCAGGGTGGAGGACCCCAGTGTAATCAACTTGCCAACATGTATCCAGGTGGTCCTCTTGAGGGATGGTGCCATATCAGAAATTCAACATGGGTCCTTGTTACTGGCATTTTGGACAGGCAATAGCAGCAACAGCTAGATTGGCCTTGGTAAGCCAGAGCCTGTGCTGTTGGGCCCATGCAAGTAGCCATCCCTGCCACCATAGCTACTTTGCTCATGTACTTTGCTATCATGCCATCATTGGGGTTGCTGATGATACAGGGTGGCTAGCATCAGCTGACTAAGTCAGTTTGTCTACGTGATCATTTAGTGCCACTATTACGCTGAAAGCTCTCTGTTGGACATTAATACACAATACACAGATCTTCATACTTTGTGCCTGCTCCAAAATGCCCAGCCTCATGACTCTGCCTTGAAGCTCCCAGGTGCAATCTACTCTGGCTACTTCTAGGCCCTGACCAGACAACGGAGCCATTCACCATTCAGCCTATGGCATCATATGGATATTCTAACCTTGAGCAACTTCTCTTCCCATACACAGTGGATGACCAGGATGGTCTGAGCTTTGCCCCTTGGAAGAATGTTCCCTCATCACTGTCTTTCAAGGCAATCCTTGAGAGGAACCATGGTGCAGCCACCATCTGTTTTCAGCCTGCACCCTCATGCAAGTCTAACCTTTCTGTGAACCAAGCTCAGGCCATTTTGTCTTCCATCAGTTGGTCACAAGGGATCCCCTCTACAGCAGGAGGAGCTATCTGAGGAAAAGGTGCTGACATAACAGTGGAGGGTGACATGTGGATCTGGACTACCTGCTCATGCAAATTCCCTGTGCCATCCAGTCCTCCTCATACTGGATCCCAGGTGGACCCTTTCTACCTTCTGATAGTTTGTTTCCAGGCTTGACTAGCATTAGGAGTTGCTGAGTCTGACAGATGAGCTCCTGATGGGCAGCTATGGCCACATGTTCACCTTGTGTCCCATGATCGGGTGTGTCATCTCTACCAAGGCCCATAAGACAATCAGAAGTTGTTTTTCAAATGGTGTATAATTTTCCCTAAGCAGATGCCATGGCCTTGACCCAGAATCCTAGTGATTCTCTCACTGGAGCTTGCCATAAACTCCACATGGTGTGTTTTCAAAGTGCTGGGATATACCTCTACTACCAATGGGTCTGCTGAGTTTTATAGCCCAAATGGCAGGGCTGCTCACACCTGTAGACAGAACCTGTTATAGAGTTCTTTCTTGTTCTAGGTCCCATTCAAATCTGGCAGCCTTTCAAGTCACCTGGGTCAGCGCAGTATAGGTATACATTTTGTTGCTTCCAGAATCCAGAGAAACAGAGAACCTACCAGCCATTGTGCTTCCTTGTTTTTTGTTGTTGTTATTGTTATGTGTTTGTTTTGTGAGACAAAGTCTCACTCTGTCGCCTGGGATGGAGTGCAATGGCATGATCTTGGCTCTTGGCTCACTGCAACCTCCACCTCCCTAGTTCAAGTGATTGTCCCGCCTCAGCCTCCGGAATAGCTGGGATTAGAGGCATGTGCCACCACGCCCAGCTAATTGTGATTCCTTTTTCACAGCAGGAGATGCAATGTGCAATCATTTCTTCTTTAGTTTGGAGGCAATGTTGTAATATTTCCTTGACCACTGAACTCTTAAAAATGTTTACTGATGCAGCAGACTCCTGAATTTTCATAGGCTTTGTCTCCCTAACTCTGGCTCACATATGACTTACCAAGGCCTCCAACACGCTACATATCTTGCTTATCTGGTCCTATTAGCGTATTCGCTATGGAACGGATCATTGTGATTTTCTGTTGGATGTCAACATGGGACAGATTACTTTGGACCACATTATGACAGAGGGCAGGAAAGTTAACAGAGCCTTGGGGAAATCTATGAATGTATCCTGTTGTTTGTTCCATGTAAATGTAAACTATTTCTGATCATTTCTGATAGGTATGGAAGAGAACACATTTGCTAAATCAATGCTGCATATCATGAATTGAGGCCATGTTAATCAACTCCAGCAAAGACATCACAGTTGCATGGCAGCTGCGATCAGGGTTATGACGTGGTTGAGTTTGTGGTGCTCACTGTTATTTTTCAGGATACATCTGGTTTTAGCAGGGGCTACACTGGTAAATTAAATGGATCTCTGACAGAAACCACCACCCCTGCAACATCTGTTAGGTTTGTAAGAGTGGGGCTAATGCTTCCCATCTCCTTCCCCCTGAAATAATACTGTTTTTATTGTCTTGGCAGGAGCAGGGTGAGGGGCATTTTCAGAGTCTTCTCTTGGCTCCCCTCACTATGACAGTTTTTACTCTACAGTCTAAGGGCTCAGCAAGGAACTTGCACCAACTACCAAGTGCCTTTATTCTGATTTTACATTTGGAGGTTAGGAAAATAACCAATTTACTGGGCTTAATGCATTATCATGGCCTTACTATATGACTGGGGGTACAATGGGACTAAGTAATAAATGGAGCCCTGTTCAAAACCACCCACCCAGTTTCTAGGTCCCATTCAAATCTGACAACCTTTCAAATCACCTGATAAATGCGTAATGCTTTAAGCCAAGTAAATTGGTTATTTTCCCAAACCCTGAATGTATAATCAAAATAGATGCACTTTGGACTAATATAGACCAAAGTAATCGGTCCTATGTTGACATCCAGCAAAAAATCACAATGATCTATTCCATAGCAAATACGATAATAGGACCCGATAAGCAAGACATATGTAGCATGTTGGAGACCTTGGTGAGATATATGTGGTCTAGAGTTTGGGAGATAAACCCTATGAAGATTCAGGGGTCTACTACATCAGTAAACCTTTTAGGAGTTCAGCCGTCAAGGGCATGTCAAAACATTGCATTTAAATTAAAGGAGAAATAATCGCATTTTGTATCTCCCACCATGAAAAAGGAAGCACAATGTCTGGTAGGCTTTTTGGATTCTAGAAGAAAAAAAAAAAATTGTATACCTGGGAATTTTGCTATGACCCAGGTGACTTGAAAGGCTGCCAGACTTGAATGGGACTTAGAACCTGGGTGGGTGGTTTTGACCAGGACTCCATTTATTACCTAGTTCCATTGTACCTCCAGTTGTATAGTAAGGCCATGATAATGCTTTAAGTCTTCAAGTATTAATGTCCCCTGACACTGCTTGAAATGTTTGCCTACTTCCCTTTTTCTGGAATGTAGTTACCCAAGTATATGGCTAAAGTTCTCTTTGAGGAAGAACTGGATGCTCGTAACAATCAACACTTGCCATAGTGCTCCAGGGTCCTCCAGGGTCCTTCCTCTTGAGTATATATATGGTGTGGTATATATATAAATGGTGTGTGTGTATGTGTGTGTGTGTGTGTGTGTGTGTGTATATATATATGGTGTGTGTATATATATATATATGGTGTGTGTATATATATATATATGGTGTGTATATATATATGGTGTGTGTATATATATATGGTGTGTGTGTGTGTGTATATATATATATATATATATATATATATATATATATATATATATATGAACTAGTATATTTTTGCATGGGGAACCCTTCCACTGAAGGGTTAAAATAAAAAATATTTTTATATTGGGTTATGGTCCAGTATAAAAAATATACTGGACCATATATTTTTTATGCTGGACCATAACCCTTGGACTGAAGGGTTCCAGTTCCAAAAAATAGCTCAGATCCAAAAACCGGGCACAGTATTTGGTCATTTTATTGTGGCAATTCCTCAGCCTCCTTAATCAATCATTCTTGATTTCTTTAGAAATCAAGAAAAACTGAGTAGTAGTAATTGAGTAATACCTGTGTTGGCTGCCTTTAAGGACAATCTTGCTCTATCAACCATCTCCATATCTCTCTGTAGGACAGGCCAACCTGGCTGCCCTGCCACCATGGCTACTCATTAAGATAATTGCATCTTCTTGGCTTCTGGTGTTTAAGCATCACCATCTGGACTCTATTGTTTTGAGGAATCCTAACATCCCCATTACTCTCAGTGAGCCTTATTCTGCAGCGCCTCTCCTAAAGTCTGCCCTGGCCTGCTGAGGCATGCCACCACCAAACTCCTCAGTGACACTGGTGCCTTTGCCACCAGGGCATTCCTGGTGGCTTTGGGAAATTGGGAGCCTTCTGGGTCATTCCATGGGACATCATTCTCTGGAGGGTTTATCTGTCTTACATGGTACATGCTCTCAGCATGTCCCCCTCTCTAAATTGTTAAATATTTTCTATTCTCACTTTTGCAAAAATACTCACATTTTAACCTTAGTGTGAACTATTCTTTTTTTTTTTCTCCTGGGGTCTTTCTCAGGCAGACACATATTTTCCATGCCTGGGAGAGTGCTCCAGTATTGAAAAAAAGGTCTCCCTTACCCAACCTTCTCATTTAATCTGGTTCTCTTGACAACCCCTTTCCGAATGCAAGCCCTGCCATTCTCCTCTAGCTTATGTGGGTACACACTGCCTAGGGTGGGGGTACATTGTCCCATTCTCCCTCTATCAGGCCAGCATATTCCCCAGCTGAGTTACTTATGCAAGAGCTCACCAAAATGAGTAGCAAAGCCCAGGGAAGAATCCAGTTCACCTGCATTCCTCGATCTTCCTGGTATATCATTGTGCCCTGCAAAAAAATATGCCCTAACCCTATGCATTTGGCATGCCTCTGTTGGTCTGGAAGACAACAGTGGTAATCATATTCACCAAAAAATATAGTTAATTCTTCAACGTTCCATCTTCTACGTAAATATAAAAGTGCTCCTGGGTATCTCTAAGGACATAGCTGAACTCATCCAAAAGGCTTTCAAACCTTATTTCAGAATACTGTTTTTAAAGCATTATTCTCCTCCCACCTACATTTCAAATCAAACCATGCTTACTTTGACAAGGATGCTGTTTTTCCTTCAAAGAGCCACTCCCCAAAATGTACTTAGAAAGAAGGAAAGAACATCACTGTTGAGTTGTAACACCAGCTTCCCTGGAGAGGATCCCAGAAAAATGCACGGATTTTCAGCCTTTATGTAAAAGCCCAGGACTTCCCAATCCTCAGTATGTGAAATATCTCAAACAATTAGTTTGTGAAAGTGCTGTCATGTGTAAGCGAACAAAAGCCCTAGACATAAGAATGTGCTCATCCTTCTTTCACCCCTGGAGCCTTTGTTGAGCATGTAGTATGCACAGACCCCACATCAGGGACTGTGGGAAAACAGGAGTGATGCAGCCCTGTGATCCAGCAGGAAAAGAGGGGGTTGTTGGGTCACATTCCTGAATCTGAATCCCTGCCAAGACTCTCTGAATTGCATCTGACAATGTCCAAGCCTTGGTTAATTCTTCTGTAAAATGGAGATGCTTGCCTCAAGGGGTCCTTGTAAGGAGCCAATTAGATCATAAATACAAAGGTACTTTCTAAGTAGTGAAGCACTTTCTGTAGGTTAACACTGGCTACTGAAAGAAAACCCAGGTTGTGCTTCCAAATAAATGCCTATCTAGAAGAGAAAGTAAGACATTGAACAATTAAGGAAAATGTACTATAAAAAGTGAGCCAGGATAATGGCTTCCAGCTCCATCCATGTCCCTGCAAAGAACATGATCTCGTTTCCTTTTTATGGCTGCATAGTATTCCATGGTGTATATGTACCACATTTTCTTTATCCAGTCTATCACTGATGGACATTTGGGTTGATTCCATGTCTTTGCTATTGTGAATAGTGCTGTGATGAACTTACATGTGCATGTATCTTTAAAATTGAATGATTTATATTCCTTTGAGTATATACTCAGTAATGGGATTGCTGGAAACAGAAAACCAAACACTGCATGTTCTCATCTATAAGCGGGAGCTGAACAATGAGAACACATAGACACAGGGAGGGAAACAACACACACTGGGGCCTGTCAGGGAAGGGGTGGGGCAGGAGGAGGGAGAGCATCAGGATAAATAGCTAATGCATGCTGGGCTTAATACGTAGGTGATAAGTTGATAGGTGTAGCAAACCACCATGGTACACATTTACCTATGTAACAAACCTGCACTTCCTGCACATGTATCCCGGAACTTAAAATTAAATCAAATTAAAAAATGTTTTAAAGTGAAACAGGACCCAAAGAGAACAAACAGAAGAGCTCTAACTTTGCCCAGAACAAAGGGGGAAGATGTTATGTTAAAGGGGCCCTGCAGCATGATCAGTATTTACATACTGATCATGTTACATACATAACAGGCTGTGGGATGTGGGGATAGGACTCAAAAGCTGGGTTTGGCAGGTTTAAGGATGCTATGAAGTTTGGATGTTAATTTGTCTTTCCCAAACTTCTGTCATTTAGACACTATCCCATTATCTTTGCCAAACCCATGCATTTCCTATCATGTTATCAACTTAATAGCTCCCTTTCAATTTTTACATGAACACACTTGTGCTCATTGCCATATCACAGCAGTAATATCTGTCAATGTACATGTTTAATGTGCTAGGTGAACACTTTTCTAATACACATGAAAATTAATTTAAAAAAAATTTTTTTGAGATGAGACCTCGCTCTGTCACTCAGGCTGGAGTGCAGTGTTACCTCGACTCACTGCAACCTCCACCTGCCAGGTTCAAGCAATTCTCCTGTCTCAGCCTCCTGAGTAGCTGGGATTACAGGCATCCGCCACCACGCCCAGCTAATTTTTGTATTTTTAGTACAGACAGGGTTTCACCATATTGGCCAGGCTGGTCTCGAACTCCTGACCTCAAGTGATCCACCCGCCTCAGCCTCCCAAAGTGCTGGGATTACAGGCGTGAGCCATCGCGCCTGGCCAAAAATTAACTTATAACTATAAAGTGTTCCTTTGTATCCCACTGAAAATCCTATTGTGTTCATCCATGGTAAATGGGCCCCACAGGGCAAGGGGAGCCACTGGGAAGGGTTTGGAGGGAAAGAATGATGTAATTAGCATGTTCTCTTTTCTGGTAGCCCATGTAAAAAATACCAGTTAGGAAGTTATTTCGATTGCACCCAGGTGTCTTTTCCTGACCTGGGGACAGAGGAGTGGGGATGAGAAGGAGAAGTGAACTCTATAGGGACACTCAGGGCTGGTTCCCTAGAAGGGAAGTGTGGGGCCAAGGAGATAGGAAGGAGTCCAGAATTTTGAAACCCAGATGCAGAAAGCCCTTGAAGCTCAGGAACTTCCCTCAGTTTTCACTGATTAACTGAAAAGCGGAAGTTAACATAAATTAAACCTGGAGTAAACATAAACTCTGGGTCACTTCTTTGGAAAATGAAAGTAAATGCATAAAGTTATTTACATCTTTATGTTTAAAAACTATCTAAGGGAAATTGGCTTCTGAAACACCATGTGTTTTCACTCATCAAAGACCTATTTAGGGACATGACCACATCCGGAAAGCATTTGTAAAGCATTAAGATATTACCGAAAAATGGGTTAAGAACAGGACAAACAAGTTACAAAAGGAGAGCTACAACTTGCCAAGAAAATATGAAGAAATACTAAGGCTCACCAAAAAAAAACTCTTGTCAAATAAAGCAACGTGTTACTATTTTCAACGATCAAATGAGCAACTTTTATGACTGTGTTAGTTATTAGGGCCTTCACCAGCTATTTCCAGCTCTCCCTTAAGGACTCACAAAGGACTCCGCCTCCTGGCTCTGTCTGGGTGGATGGGGCCACGTGATTCGTTTTAGACAATGAAGTCTGAGCGGAAGTGACATTTGTCACTTCTGGGCTAGATGGCTTAGTTGCCAGTTGGAGATGCCCCAGAGCTTTCTTTCCTCCTGCAACAGTGACCAAGCAACATTCCAGATGGTGGCTGCTCAAGCAGGGGTCCCAAGGTGATGGACGCCTGGAGCAAAGCCCAGCTGATGCAGGATGGACATGGAGTTTGAGTGGAGGGTGAACTTGGGATGTCACAAGCCACTAAAAATGGGGGTCGTTAATAACCCTACCAACGGATTCAATGGCAGGGGTCAATGCTGGCAAGGGGAAAATACAACAGGAATGGAATGCACATTCCTCTAACTCATGTTAAAAATGGTTACCCCCTTTGACCCAAAAATTCCACTTATGGGGATCAATCCAAAAATGTAAAAATGCAAACAAAATATGGAAAAAGCTTTATGGTGAAGGGATAGACTAATGACCAAAAGCATGGCCTTTAAGGCTGGGCACGGTGGCTCATGCCTGTAATCCCAGGACTTTGGGAGGCCGAGGTGGGCAGATCACCTGAGGTCGGGAGTTCAAGACCAGCCTGGCCAATGTGGCAAAACCCTGTCTCTACCAAAAATACAAAAATTAGCCAGGCATGATGGCAGGTGCCTGTGATCCCAGCTACTCGGGAGGCTGAGGTAGGAGAATCGCTTGAACCCGTGAGGCGGAGGTTGCAGTGAGCTGAGATCGCGCCATTGCACTCCAGCCTGGGCGACCGAGCAAGGCTCCATCTCAAAAACAAACAAACACGCAAACAAACAAAAAAGCATGGCCTTTGTCAAACTGCTATCCATTTGAATTCTGGAATTGCCCCTTACCACCTATGTAGGTGATTCGTAGCCTTGGGTGATTTGTTTAACTGTCTAAACCTTAGTTTCTTTATCTGTAAGATGGGGGAGATATTTCTTTACCTCATAGTGTTACTGTAAGAATAAATTAGATGCTGTATGTACAAACCTTAATGAGGCTAGCTGTGTGACTAGTATCACACACACACACACACACACACACACACACACACTAACACATCTCAATGTTACTTTCTTAGTCCAACAAGAGAAAACTTGGATGCAACCCAGTAAGCCACAAAAAGGACTAATAAGGGATAGTAAACCCACGAGATGGAAAATGTTTATGTGATAATACTAATTTTAAAATCATAAGACAAAATTGATTACACAATATAATCACAATTATGGAAAAATAATGAATAGAAACATAATGAGCAGAAATATATCAAGATCATAATGAGTTGTGTTTGAAACATAAAATTATTGTTTTTTTTCTACTTCTCTGTTTTCCAAATTTCTTAAAGTGAGGCACATGTGTGGACCCTGAAAGGAGACTTCTCTAGTTTTGAAGCCTAGGCCTCCCACCTCTCAGCTGTGTGACCCTGGGCAACTTACATAAGTTCTCTGGACAGGGTTCCCCACTTGCGAAATGGAAATCACAATGTTGTTTCAGTAATGAATTAGATAATCCCTGTAAAGTTATAAGTATAACGCCTGGAACAGAGTAAGCAGTCAATAATTATTATCTATTTTTGTTGCCATTATCATTGTATGTTCCTTTTGTAATGTGGGAAAGAACGGTATTTCACAATCTATGATAAAGCTTTTAATAACAGAAGGTTGTCTGTAGCAAATACAATGCTCTTCACTTGGGAAGTTCACAGTCCAGGAAAGATAACAAGGCAAAAGACAAGCAGTTCAGGGCTACAGAGAAAAGCAGAAAGCACTCACCCCCAGGTCGGGACAAAAGAGATGGCCTAAATGCTGTCCCAAGAAAGGCACTTGGCTTGGAGCCTCCACATCCCCAAGGTCAGGGCCATCTTGTCGGGACGCATGCAGAACTCTCTCACTGACAGCTGCCCCTGCAGCAGCTGGCTCACCCCCATGATAGATGAGAATTACAGCCATTTTCAAGAGACCAACAGAAGGTGGGCCGTGTCCTGATAAGCTATAACAACAGTAGTAAAGTTCTAAGGAGACCAGAGGGTCCCCACAACCACACACTTCCTGCAGCTGTGGCTGCTGTAATTATGGCCGTGACAGCTGGGCAGCCGGGGGACATGACTGGAGTAGACTAAGGCATGGGCATATGGCACTGCTGGTGGGCAAGGCCAGCCCACCCCTCCCTCAACCAGTGCCCAAGTTCAGCTGCATCCTCGAGCCTGACTGTCAGGATGCCATGAAATAGGTCCCCAGCGCACCCAGTGGGCAGGTGCAAGAGAAGGAAGAGCTGGAGTGCATCTTTCTGGTGCCCAGGCTTTACTGGTGCCCAGGGCCAGACACACAGTGGGCGCTCCACCCTTGCCAGCACTGTCTGGAATGGCAGAAACACATTCCAGAGCTCAATGCTGCTGGCAATGTGTTTGAACTCCCCAGCCTTCCACGGGAGGCCCATGCTAACAGAACACCCTCTAGTCACTCCTCCGAGGACTTGTTGGCTGGTTCCTCCTCTCTGAAAACCACCCGGAATCATCTGTCCTCAGACAGAATTAATCAGTCACCTCTCCTCTCCTATGGCTGAGTCTTCAGTGCACATCTATCTAAGACCATCCCTTGAATCCATAACCACATATCTGTCTCCCCTCTAAGCTTCTTCCAAAGAGAGGCTGTGTCCTTCTCATTTTATGTTCAATCATTAAAGAACGATTCATGATTAATGAATCATTTGTTCAATAAATAGAGCATGAACCATACAAGATAGACACGCCATCCTGGGACCAAGAGTCCAACTAAATAAGAAATTACAAAGTAAAACTTTGGGATTATAATAGACCATGTTAAGGTGCATTACATGTGGCAATGAGACCTAATCAAGTCTTAAGAAACCAAGGAAGTCTTCCTGCAGGAAGCCTGAATAGGTGTTAAAGAAGTTCATGAAAATTAATTGTGGAGAGGGGGTGATGATGGAGGAAGACCCAGAGAGCTGCAGGAGAGACAAGCCTGGGTGAACTGTGGGGGCCTTTGCAGGACTGTTAAAGGCCATAGGAAGTCACATTGATGGCTTTAAGCCAGGAAATGGCATGATCGGGTCTGCAATTTATAAAGAGCAGTCTGGTTTTCTTTGGAGGGGAAAAAATGGGGCAAAGTAGCAATAACAGGCTAGGTGTGTCGCATCTTAGCACAAGGCCTGGAACATAATCACTACCTTCTGTTTGTTGGCCTGAACTAAAGGAGGTGGAAACAGAATGGACAGGTGCCCAGGTGGCACATTTCAGGGTTTTACTCACCCTATTATCCAACATGCATCAGGTCAACCCCACAGGCCCCTGTCTTGGGAGCCTCAACCCCACCCTGAACAGCCTTTGAAGATAATCCATTTCCTTCAAATATCTCCGTGTGCACCTTCCTTGCCCTCTAAGATAGCAACACCTACCTGCAGACGTGAATGTGCTGAGCTCCACACCCTCCATCCAGAAGGGGATCACCGGGATGGCAGGGAAGGAGTGCTGCCAGGAAGTTTTCCAACTCCAGTTTCTAGGTCTGTATTTAATTCCGGATCTATCAGCTAAGCATTTAGGGTGCTGCCACTGAAGCTCTGTGTTTACACAGCTAAATGCCTCTGCTCCTATTGACACAATGTCGATGAAGAGGGATGCGTCAGGCTCCGCCACCACCAAGCACGTCATGTGTCCCAGATTGATGAAGCTTCCTGACCCACTCCAGCCCCAGCAGCTGCATGGCTCCTGCCACTCAGCCCAGCAAGCTGTTCTCCATCATCTCCATTAATTAAGGACTGTCATAGCAGGGAGGTGAGACAGCAAATCCTAAATACTTGCCTCAAGTCTCAGCTTCCAAATTCCCAGGAGTCTTACCCTGAAAACAGAAAAGTCAGATTTAACAGTGGGGTTTTTATCTTTCCGTTTACAAAATTACTACCAGCTCATTATAGCAAATGCTAAGAAATGCACAAACACAAACATACCCAGAAGAAAATAATAATCACTCATGATCCCCCCATTCAGAGGTAAATGCTGATAGCTTTTAAATTCTTACATATATTTCTTCCATGCATATATACACATGTTTAATCCTGATATTCAGGGACTAAGTTCATGTCAGTAAATTGTTTCCTACAACATTATTGTTAATCGCTACGTAGTTTTCTGCCTTGTGACTGTCCTGTACTTCAACCAATCTTCTATTGCACTCAATGTCGTGCTATTATAATCAATACAGTAATGAACATCCTGGAAATAAATCCTTAGAGAAGAGTTCATTAGACTTCATTAGAATAAATATATGATGGAAAAATAACCTACCAAAAGAAATTTGCTTTTTTAATACTTTGGCTGTGCATTGTAAAATCAATCACACTTTAGAAATGTATCAATTTATTCCTCCACCAACAGAATAACCCCTACAACACAACTGCATATGCAACTAACATAGCAACAGCAACTGTATAGTAATCCTGATCACTATCCTGTTACAAAGAGTTAATGCTTACCTAGAACTCTCTATGCTCCTGGTACTGAGCAAAATACATTAAATATATTGTTCCTTTTCATGTTAGCTTTTTACTTTCTAGTGAGGGTGAACTTTTTTCCCTTACATTCATTGGCCACTGTGATTCTTTGTTATAAAATTTCCTGCAATTTTCTTGGCCTATTTTTTAGTGTGTTTGTCATTTAATTATTGGTTTGAAAGCAGTCTGATTTAATAAGGATGCTATACACTTGTGTTGCAAAAATGCTTTCCCCCAGGTTGTGGTTTAACATTTAGTTTTGTTTATGATCATGTTGACATAAAGAATTTTGTCATTTTGGAGTAGTCAAATGTGTTGGTCTCTTATTTTACAGATTACGCCTTTACATACACTCTGAGTACTTGCATACCACAACATCAGATAAATATTCATGTGTTTTCCTTAAAATCTTTCTATGGCTTCAAATTTTATATTAAATATTTTATCAATCTGAAATTTGTTAGTGTACGTGGTGCTGTAAAGATCTATTTTTTTTCCACACGGTCAGCAAATTGACCTAATTTGACTTACTGAATTCCTCATCTTTTCCCCACTGATTTGAAATGCCACATTTATCTTATATGAAATTCATATTTACATGGGCCTGCTTCAGCTCTCCTCGTACTGTTCCATTGATTTATCTGTCTATTCCTGCAATTAAACCAGACTATTTAAATATATACGAAGCTACAAGGACGTCACTGCACATTGCTTACCCAGTAGTGCAAGTTCCTCCTCACCCTTCTACTTTTTCAAAACATTCTCAGCAATTCTAAAGTGCCAGATGAATGTCAGAATCATTTTATAAAGCACCACCCCTCCAAAGTCCCACTGATATTTTCATTTGGATCCCATTAAACGTCTAGATCATGTAGAGCGAATCGGTAACTTTATGTTATTTTAATTTTAATTCAATAACATGGCATATTTTAAATTCATATTCCTTATTTTAATTTCATCACATTTCTACATATTTCTTGTAAACTTTTCCCTAGATATTTTATTGTTTTGTTGCTAATGTAAATGGCACTTTAAAAATCATCATACCATTGGTGTAAAGAAAAACTAACTTTTTACTTATGTGATTATGTTGACAAAACTTTATCTTTAAACTTGCTTGATAGTGTAGTAATTTTTCAGTTTGTTCCCTTGAGTTCTCCAGGTAGACAATTCTCCTTCATCCAAGTGTCAGTAACCGTATAATCAACTACTTTCAAACAGTAAATCCTCTATTTTGTAGTCTTGGTTTATTCAATTGGTCAGAATTTTTAAACTGTGTTAAATATGGCATGGATAGTAAGAATTCTGTCATATGTAAATAGAAACGCCTCTAGTTTTCCATTCTAAAATATAATTAAGCTGTTGACTTGGGGGTGAGAGCCTCTTTCTTGATAAAGAAGGTTCAATTTCTATCATACTAATATTGTTTTAGATTTTGTTTCTTGGGAATGAGTGTTGAATTTTATTATAAGCCATTTCAGTAGGAGATGTGTTTAAATCTTCTCTCTTGACATACTAATATATTTAAATATATTATTATACTTATAATTAGCATTATTATATTATAATTAGTATTATAATTAGTATTATAATTAGTATTATTATATTATGATTACAATTAGTTTTATATTATAATTAGTATATTATCAAATATACCAATATATTTAAACATATTGGTACATTTCCTAATATTAAATTATTCTTGAATTACTTAATGGAAAAAAACTGAACCAGAAGATATTGTTCTTTTATTCCACTGTCAGATAGTTTTCACGTATTATTTAGCATTTTCACAATTTCACATAGTATTCACATTTTCACATAGTATTTTCACAGTTTCCTTTTTTGAACTATCTTCGTCCAGCTTTAATATTAGAGTCACCACTTCATAAAATGAATTAACTAGTGTTTTTGATGCAGGTCAGGTGAGCCCCAAAGTGAGACTTAGCCTGCGAGGGTTCTTGGCTTTGCCCAGAAAAGAATTCAAGGGCAAGCCGGTGCTAGGGTAGAAGAAAGCAACTTTACTGAAGCAGCGGTGTTAGAGCTCCGTGACTGCCCCTGCAGAGCAGGGCTTCCCCACAGGCAGTATGCTGAGAGCAGCAGCTCAGGACAGTTCCGCAGTCAGATTTCTATCTACTCTTAATTACAGATAGAGTAAGGGGCAGTTAATGAGGAAATTTCTAGGAAAAGGGTAGTAGCTTTTGGGTAATTGGATCATTGCCACGGAAAGAGGTAGTAATTCCTGGTGTTGCCATGGCAATGGTAAACTGACATGGTGCACTAGTGGGAGTGTCTTATGGAAAGATGCTTCCACATTTCCTCTGTTTTAGCTAGTCCTCAATTTGGTCCAGTGTCCAAGCCCCACCTATGGAGCTGAGTCTCACCTCCTACCTTATTTTTAGGGGTATCTATGCTCCGAAACTATTTGTATAAAAAAATACATTTCCCATAAAAGCATCTGTGGTTTCTTTTGTTGTTGTGGAAAGTAAACTTTTGATAACTTTGAACAGTTCTCTCTTAGTTACTTATTTGTTCGAGAGTTTCATAGTCTTGAGTTTCCTTAAAATTTTCTAATATTTATTGTAAAAATAATATTAAAATGGGATTTGATTATTTACTCTCATTTTTCTTATAATTTTATGTTTGAGGGGAATTTTATCCTCATTTCCTGGATAAATATATTAGAAATTTACTTATATTTTAAAGACACAGAACTTAGATTTATTTGTTGATCCTATTTATTTTTGTTTTGAAAATAATTTATTTCATTGTGGTTAATTTAATTTTTTTTTTTTTTAGAAAGAGTCTCACTCTGTCATCCAGGCTGAAGTGCAGTGGCACGATCTCCACTCACTGCAAACTCCTCCTCCCAGGTTCAAGCAATTCTGCTTCAGCCTCCCAAGCTGGGTATAAAGGCATGCACCACCATGTCAGGCTAATTTTTGTATTTTTAGTAGAGATGGGGTTTTGCCATGTTGGCCAGTCTGGTCTCGAACTCCTGACCTCAGGTGATCTGCCCACCTCGGCCTCCCAAAGTGCTGGGATTACAGATGTGAGCAACCGCGCCCAGCCAGTTAATTTAAGGACAAAGGATTCATAACGTAGCAGTGTTGACTTGTGGTCTGTCCTTATCTTCCTCAATATATACATATATACAAAAGCTTTTACATACATAACATATAGTATTATATATATATATATGTTTATGTACATATATATCATACATGTGAAAGGTCTTAAATTTGAAATGCGTTAAATATTGTGTATTAAATGTTTAATACATATTAAGGCTTACACATTAAAGCTTTTAACTTTTTAATTCCTTTCCCTTTCTTTTGTACTCTTTATTTGCAATTTCCTTCCTGGTATTTATTTACATAATTGCGTTTATCACCTAATTCCTTTACATTTACACTTTTAGATTGAATAATGGAAGTAGACTATGAATTTTCCTATGTTCAGCTTTGACAGCATCCTATGAGTTTTGCTTCTTCGTGCCTCTTTGTCAGTATTTTCCATTGTTTACTATGATTGTGATCCACAGTCACAAAAAAAGTTAGAAAGAGAAGTTTTAAACCATCAAAATTATATCACCAACATTTTCTATTTTAATTATTTGTTTTTCTAGATAAACTTATGAATGTATGTTGTTCATAAATTCAGTGTAGAAATACATAGACAAAATTAGTAGATCATAAAATAATGATCACATAAATAATGATTTCTATGGCAAATGACACCATGAACCAAGTTTTAAAAACAACAAATTATGAAATTTTACAACCTATGACAAAGATATTTCATTTCAATCAATAAGAAAAAATAACTAAATCTGCAAAAATATACACAGAATATAAACAGACCACTGGTCAATATCACTAAACCTGTGCTTTTAAACACAAAATAAAGGAAACGGAGGACTAACGATGATTCAATGCAACTTGTTCATGCCCTTCCTCCATTTTTGAAATTGCGTTGTCAATTTTTTGGGGGTTTTTTTTGGAGGCAAGGTCTTGCTGTATTGCCCAGGCTGGAGTGCAGTGGCACCATCAGGGCTCACTGCAGCCTCAACCTCCCAGACTCAAGCAATCCTCCTGCCTCAGCCTCCTGAGTACAGGAGACTACAGGCACACACCACCACACCAGGCTAATTGTTTTAAATTTTAGTGGAGATAAGGTCTTACTATGTTAACCAGCTTGCCTTGAACTCCTGAGCTCAAGCGGTCCTCCCACCTCCCAAAGTGCTGGGATCTCAGGCATGAGCCACTGCACCCAGTCATGTTGTCTTTTTACTTATTGATTAAAAAAAACTTTATTTGTGATATTAATGCTTTATTGTTTATTTTGAAAAGTCTTTTTCATGATTTGTCATTTACATTTTAATATTAAGAACAATTTGCTATGTATTTCTTAAAAAATTAGTCAAATCTGCGGGTCTCACCTGTAGCAAACACATACTGAGTGTTTAATATTAATACTTATGTACTAAGCCCACAAGATTTAGCTCAGCATAGGTTTCACTCAATTACTGTAGCCAAAGACACTCAAACTCCAGCAGCTTCTCGAAAATTCTGTTTGTTCATTAACGCACATTGACTCTAATGTGGAGTCAAGCAAATAAGTCTTTTTAATAAGAATCATCACAATTCATCAGTCATTATTTACTTAGAGTTTCAAAATCAATTTTGCAATTTCTATCACATATATTAAGCACATGCCATCAATTTTTTAAAAATTTTTTCTTTTCGTGTCATCAATTTTTATCTTAAAACAATACATAGTAGTGTCATAAGAATTACATGTTCTTCTGAGGACAGGCCTCTTAAAAAAAAAACTGCCTATCCCTCTTAAATGTTATATTTAAATCCGAAGAATGCAAGGATATGATTGTTGGATTTATTAAGTGCAGTACTTGAAAAATATGAAATTTCCAATCACACTTAAAATGAAGTATGTGAATAAATAAAATGTGTTAATTTGTATTAACATTTTTAGGTCTGCGGAAATGGCATTGAATATGTTACACCTGCTATAGCTAGGACACCAAGTTTCTTATACACTCAGCTCATTTACATCTTTCCAAAACAATAGCTAACATTGAGCTTAATGGCAAAAAAATCAAAACATTTGTAATAAAATGAGTAAGAAAACATAGGTGTCATCTTTCACTACCATTATTTAACATTTCACAAAATGTTAAAAGCTTCTCCTAATTTTTTCTGTAAAATAGATATAGATGTATCTTTCCCTAACTTGATTAACAAATATTCCTCTCTCAAATTGACAGCACCAGGTGAGGCACTAAAGAAATTCTTTAAAATCGGTAATATAATAAGTATGTGCTCAATCTTTGCATTCAATTTCATGGATCTCATTGTGTATTTAAGGAGAAAGTACCACATTAGTTTGATTCTAGTTGCTTAATAATATACTTTGTTAAATATCTCAATATAATACATTTACTTCCCTCCACTCCCATCCTCATTACTCTTTATTCAGAGCATTAGTTCTACTCTTCCACTTTTACTTTTCCAGATAAACTTTAAGATTATTTTATCAATTTCAAAAAGTCAGTAAGGAGAGAAGAGATTGAGAATGGAAGGGATTGCATCAGGGTGTTTTGGTTTGTTTTGTTTTGTTTTTGAGGTGGAGTCTCACTCTGTCGCCCATGCTGGGGTGCAGTGGCACAATCTCGGCTCACTGCAACCTCCACCTCCCAGGTTCAAGCAATTCTCCTGCCTCAGCCCCCAGAGCTGGAACTACAGGCATGCGCCACCACGCCCAGCTAATTTTTTTATTTTTAGTAGAGATGGGGTTTCGCCATGTTGACCAGGCTGGTCTTGAACTCCTGACCTCAGGTGATCCACCCACCTTGGCCTCCCAAAGTTGCATCAGGGTTTTGACTGGCGTTGCATTCACGTTGGAAGTAACTTAGGGGAGTTGCAGTCCCTTGCCTCCTTGCCTAGCACAACATCCTCATTGTTCTCCAGGCTCTTCCCCTAGTTGGTCTTTCCTTGTAGTCTCTATCAATACATGATGTTATTTACAGGAAAGAGGTCCCGATCCAGACCCCCTGGAGAAGGTTCTTGGATCTCACACAAGAAAGAATTAGGGTGAGTCCATATAGTAAAGTGAAAGCAAGTTTATCAAGAAAGTAAAGGAATAAAGAATGGCTACTCCATACACAGAGTAGCCCTGAGGGCTGCTTGTTGCCCATTTTTATGGTTATTTCTTGATGATATGCTAAATAAGGAGTGGGTTATTCATGCTTCCCCTTTTTAGACCATATAGGGTAACCTCCTGACGTTGCCATGGCATTTGTAAACTGTCATAGTGCTGGTGGGAGTGTAGCAGTGAGGACCAGGTCACTCTTGTGGCCATCTTGGTTTTGGTGGGTTTTAGCCGGTTTCCTTACTGCAACCTGTTTTATTAGCGAAGTCTTTATGACCTGTATCTTGTGCCGACCTCGTATCTCATCCTGTGACTTAGAATGCCTTAACCATCTGGGAATGTAGTCCAGTAGGTTTCAGCCTCATTTTACCCAGCTCCTATTCGAGATGGAGTTGCTCTGGTCCACATGCCTCTGACAATTACATTATACACTTGTTGGTTTTTTTCTATGCCACTTGCCATGTCCGCAGCTGAAACACAAACTCCAGGAGAGCAGGACTCTCTCCAACTCACTCCTGTATCTCCAGTGCCACAGACGAAGTCTGTACCCACCAATATTTTGCAATCAAGGGCTGAGGCTCATAGTTTTTCAGTTTTCTTAGGCTTTTCAGCTACGTAATCATATCATCGACAAATAGTGATGTATGCCTCTTGCTTTTCAATATATATTCTTACGTCACTTTCCTATCTAATGACATTGCCTCACAATTCCAGAATTCTGTTAAATAAAAGCAATGATTAAGCACATACTTGTAATATTGATTTGAAAGGATTTCTTTTTATGTCTTTTATATTTTTAAATTTATTTTATTTTATTTTTATGAGACAGAGTCTCACTCTGTCACCCAGGCTGGAGTGCAGTGGCACAATCTCAGCTCACTGCAACCTCTGCCTTCTGGGTCCCAGAGATTCTCCTGCCTCAGCCTCCCGCGTGGCTGGGGTTACAGGCATGCACCATCACAACCAGCTAATTTTTGTACTTTTTAGTAGAGACGGGGTTTCACCATGTTGGCCAGGCTGGTCTCAAACTCTTGACCTCAGGTGATCAGCCAGCCTTGGCCACCCAAAGTGCTGGGAGTACAGGTGTGAGCCACCACACCTGGCCTAAAGGATTTCTTTAGTGTCTCACCTGGTGCTGTCTGTCATTTGAGATACAAATCTTTGTTAATCAAGTTAGAGAAAGATACTTCTATATCTATTTTACTGTGAAAATTCAGGAAAAGCTTTTAAAATTTTGTTAAATGTTAAATAATTATAGTAATAGAAGACACCTGTGTCTTCTTATTCACTTTACTGTAAATGTTTTGATTTTTTGCCATTAAGCCTAATGGTAGGTATTGTTTTTGAAAGATTTATTTATGTTCTTTGTGTTATGAGAATTCTCTTGAGAGAATTATCTTGATTTTTCATAGATGTGCTTTGAAAGTTTAAAAGAAGGAGAATGCCTACGCCTACAGCTATATGAGAGTGGCTCTTTCGCAAACGTTTACCATGGTATTTGTCTATTTAGCTTTTCTCCTTCTTTAATCAAGATTAATCTGTATCTTTGCTTATAAAATTATCCATTACATCCACGTGTTCAAAGTTTTTACATCAGAATTTTACAAATAGTCTATTCTGTCTTTCAATTCTCTGTGGTTCTTTTACTTTCTTTTACTATTAAAAAGCATACTTTTTAATAGTATGCTTTTATATTTTTAGGTTTTATAGTTTATTTATTTTACCATAGTTTAATCTGGCTCTTATTTTTATTTTATTTATTTATTTGGTTCCCAGTTCATCACATTTCAGCTTTTATCACTACTTGGGTCTAATGTGTTGCTTTTTAGTCCCCCTTTTGAGTTGAATTCTTAATTAAGTAATTCTTAATTCTGAATTACTTAATTTCATGTCTTTTTTGTTTTGTTTGACTCTTAAAGGGTAAAGAATACGAATTTTTCCTCTCGATACTGTACTGAGTACAAGATACTCTATAATTGCAGTTTTGTTTTAATCTTCAGCCTAAAGGTTTAGTTTTGTTCTGATTTTTGAACACTAGTGTTATTGTTTTAATGGATAAATGGTTAGAATAACAAAAGGGCATTTTCTATTGTTATCAGATACTATTCCTAAATTGGTCAATGAATATAACTTGTAGTGTATTTAGTTTTTGAATCTACTAACAGTTTGATGGCCTAATTTGTATTCTGTGAGAAGGATGTGGACTCCCCTGTAGAGGTCCATGCATTGGTGTGGGGCCAGTGGCTAGACTTCTTTGGTCAGCTTGGTGAGTCAAGGGCTAAGAGATGCACTAGGCACCATGGTTATAGCTGTAGAGTTTGTCATTTCTCCTTTGTCCTTTATCAAAGTTAGTATTTTGTAATTTTGTTCATAACCACCCAAGACAGTTGCTCCTTTGTTTTGAATTGTTATTTACACCACTCTGAGATGCTCTTAGACCTGTTTACTTTTTACATGTTAATGTAACAACTGTTATATAGTGCTAGCTATGCCAGGTGATATAGTTTGGATGTGTCCCCACCCAAATCTCATCTGGAATTGTAGTTCCCATAATCCCCACGTTTCATGGGAGGGACCTGGTGGGAGGTAATTGAATCATGGGGGCAGTTACCCTCATGCTGTTCTTATGATAGTGTGTGAGTTATCATGAGATCTGATGGTTTTATAAGGGGCTTTTCCCCCTTTTGCTAGGCACTTCTCCTTGCTGCTGCCATGTGAAGAACGACATGTTTGCTTCCTCTTCCTCCATTATTGTAAGTTTCCTGAGGCCTTTCCAACCATACTGATCTCTTTCTTTTATAAATTACCTGGTCTTGGGTATGTGTTTAGTAGCAGCATGAGAATGGTCTAATACACCAGGCATCTTATAAATATTAAGTCATTTAATCCCTGCAACAACCAATGAGCTAGGTATTATTATTCTCATTATACAGGTTAGGAACTAAGATACAGAGACATTCAGTTACAAGCTCTAGGCACCATAAAGAGAGGGTCAGAAGTGTTCTTCATCCCAAGTTCCAGATTTTCTGTTCTTTTTAAAATTATTTGTATTGAGATAGAATTCACTTATAAAATGTGCCACTTTAAATATAATATAATTCAGTGAGTTACAGTATATTCACTGTGTTGTGTAGCCATCACTACTAACTAATTCCAGAACATTTCCATTACCCATAAAAGAAATCTTGTACCATCAGCAAAATACTGACCTCACCCCCACATCCCTCACCCCCTATCAATCACTCATTTGCTTTCTCTCTATATAGATTTGTCTATTCTGGACATTTCATATAAATGGAATCACATGACTGTGGCCTTTTGTGCCTGGCTTCTTTCATCTACCGTAATGCTTTCAGGCTCATCCACATTTTAGCAAGTTTCACTACTTTACTCCTCGCTATAGCTGAGTAATATTCCATTGTATGGATATACCACATTTTATTTATCCACTCATCAGCTCACGGATATTTGGATTGTTTCCACTTTGGGGCTAATATGAATAATACCTTTATGAACATTCATATACCCATTTTTGGGTGAACATATGTTTTCAGTTCTCTTGGATATGCACTTTGGAGTAAAATTGCTGGGTCATATGGTAAGACTATGTTTAACTTTTTGAGGAACTGCCAAACTGTTTTCCAGAGTGGCTGCACTATTTTATATTTCCACCAGCAATGTATGTGGCAGAATCTGTGCTGTCAAGGGCTGTAATGTATTACTAATCAGCATTTAACTTGAATTTAACTCGTTCAGATATTATTGTGTTTACCCCCACTTTATTTCTGCTTGTATTTGTATGACATCTCCAAACTTTTACCTTCAGACTGGGTCATTCATAGTTAAATATCTCTCTTTAATACAACACCTGCAAAACTTGTGGGTTTTGGACAAGTATAAGATTATTTAACTATTAAATCAAGATTTGTTGCTACAGCAGATATATTTACTCTTACTTTGCTGTATTTATTTTATGCTTTCTCTTTTTAATGTTTTCTTCCTCTTTATTTTTTTCTCTTTTGCTCTATATGAGGTCTGTTTTATTTTTTTCCCATCTGGTAATTTGGACGTAGTACAGTTAGATTATATTTCTGGTGGTGGCTATGTTTTAACTTTATGTAAAATCTTTAAACATGTATTATCAATTATCAGTTTCAGATATGAAGCAAGATGTTTTAGTATTTTCTACAAAAGATGAAGATTCTGCATACTATCATTATATCTGGCGCCATCCTCATCGCACACTGTTCTCTAAATTGCTATGCTCTGATATTTCTGACCCTACTAATTTTAGCTATATTATAATTATTTCTATATTGTGCAGCTTTTCTCCCTAGAATAAGAATATTTTGATGCTGTCTTGTAATGTTAATTATCGGTGCTATTTGGCTCGGTTCTATGATCAGTCCTTTCATAAAACAGCCTCTTCTTTTGTGGATCTTTTGGTTTGCTAAAATAAAAAAGCAAATGGGTGATACATCCTCTGAGTCCTCGCATGTTGGAGACTTGTTCCTACAGCTTTTACTAAAGACAAACAAGTGGACTGAATATAGTATTCTCAGATCACATGTTTTTCCATCACAAATTTTCTTGACCTATTTTCTCAGACTTTCTGGGATCTGATGTTGCTGAGGAAATTCTGACCAAACCAGGATTTTAAATTTTCTTTGTGATTTGTTTTTCAGACCTGGGTGTTTGTTGGCTTCATCCTTGAATTTTAATAATTTTCACCAGGCATTATTGCATATATTATTCAGAACACAGTAAGCCCAGTCATTTTTGTCAATTTAGTTTTTCCTGCATTTCAGGATGATTTTTGTTGTATAACTGCATGCTATTTTGGTTTCCACTTGTTGTATGCTCTAGGTCGGTCAGCCCACGTGTTGCTATGGCGAGCATGCCCCAGTAGCCTTCCATATATGCCTTCCTTTCTCTCGTGGTTGTTATTTATTTTTCATTTTCCTTTGCATCTTCCAAGATTGTCTAAAGCCTGTTCATACTCCCAGCCCCTGACTCAGGTTTCTGCAGTATTAATTATCTTCTTTGCTACTTCTATTTTGTACATTCTGCACTGGTGTTATTTTTCCCTCAGTTTCTTTCCTCAAACCTGGCAAATGTCTTTTCTTCTCAGTCTGTTCTTTGATCAAGCTTCCTGTACACTTGCAGCTGACCAGCAGAATAATACTGGATAAACATCTCAAAATGGAACTAACATATATACCCTCTGCTTTTTTATTCCCTTCCCCATGTCTTACAATTATGGCATGTTATGTTGGTTTTTCCATTGGTTACCTTTTAAAGCTTAAGTAATGTACTACTACTTTTATTCCTGTTTCATCTGTGTTTGATGGTGGCTTCTAATCCCCCACTGTGTGAAGTCAGGACATCTGTGTCCTTACTCCTCCTTGTACACCTTCCCCCGACACATTTTGATCCTCCAGTCAAGTCTTCCACACATCCTTCTTAGGGTGACTCTAAAACATGAAAACCATGAATCAGTATTATCACAATGAAACTATTCAGTGCAGGCCAAAAAATGTACCAGAATTCTACCTTCTTCTCGGAAACTCAATGCCATAGACCCTGGAGATTCAGAGAAGAATATTCCTAGCTCAAAAATGAAGTGGAATCTAATTTTTTGCATCAAGTGTTTAAAATAACAGAGCAATTTTGTTGGCTTCCTATTCAATATATGACATTCTTGCAGTCTTTTTGTTTTTGTTGTTTTATTTCTGTTTTGTTTTTCTCCTGGAGTTTATAATTGCATTTTTTGGGGGGGTGCTTTTTGCTTTTGTCATATTTATTTTTTTAAAAACTTTTCAGATACTTTTTATTCTATCATATTCTGACATTCTCCTTCCAAATCCCTCTCCTCTATCCCCTACAATAAACCACTTGCCTACTTCAACTGCTGCATGGCTGTCATCCAGGGACCTCAGACCAGTGTCTCCCTGTTTCCTAGATAGATATATATCTTTCTCTTCTTGATTTAGTTCCTCATAGTCCTAGAGACATATCCATACCCCTTTTTAAGGAGGGGCTTGCTTAAACATTACAACATCACGAGAAAGCTACAAGCCAATTTTCCTCAAAAACGTGATAATGCTTTAACAAATACAATCTAGTAATATATACATATATATATACATATATATATACACACACATATATATTTGTGTGTATACATATTTGTATGCATGGGAATATATACATATTTTGTATATATATATGTATGTGTGTATATATAGATACACTATATATATACACACACACTATATATATATGTATGTATATATATATATATAAAATGGGATTTATCCTAGAAATTCAGGATTGCTTAATTGTCAAAAATCCATGTATTTCACAGTGTTAACAAATTAAATAAGAAAAATCATGATCTCAATAGATGCACAAAACAACAAATTCTAACACCTATTCTTGGTAAAAAATAAACAAAACAACAACAACAACAATAAAAATCTCTTAGCAAACAAGAACAGAAGGGAGCTTTCTCAACCTCTGAATTGTGAAATACTTAATGGCAAAACACTGAACATTTTTCTGCTAGGATAAATTAAAAGGCAAGGGCATCAAATATCACCACATGTATGATAAACACTGGTCTAGACAGTAAGACACTGCAAGAAAAGAAAAATAGTCATACTAGTGAAAAGGAAGAAACATAATTGTCTTTATTTGCAGAGAATATGATTATCTGTGTATAAATATTAAAGACTCTACCAAAACAAGCTAGAACTAATATGTGAATCCTTTTGCCAGTGGTGGGTCTTGCTTCCACGTTGATGGCTACTGACTGATCAGGGTGGTGGATGCTGAAGGTTGGGGTAGTTGTGGCGATTTCTTAAAATAAGACAACAGTTAAGTTTGTCACATCGATTGACTTTTTCTTACACAAAAGATTTATCTGTAGCATGTGATACTGTTTTATAGCATTTATCTACAGTAGAACTTCTTTCAAAATTAGAGTAAATACTCTCAAACCCTGCCACTTGTTTCTCAACTAAGTTTATGCACTATTCTAAATACTTTGTTGTCATTTCAACAATATTCACAGCATTTTCACCAGGAATAGATTCCATCTCAAGAAACCACTGTCATAGCTCAACCGTAAGGAAGCAATTCTTCATCCATTCAGTTCTGAGCATGAGATTGCAACCAATTCAGTCCCATCTTCAGGCTCCACTTCTAATCTTAGTCCTCTTGCTAGCTCCACCACATCTGCAGTTACTTTCCCCACTGAAGTCTTGAACCCCTCAAAGTCAACTTTTTCCAAACTCCTATTATTGTTCATTTTTTTACTTCCTCCCATGAATTACAAATGTTCTTAATGGCATCTAGGTAGGTGAATCCTTTCCAGAAGGTTTTCAATTTATGTTGCCCAGATCCATCAGAGGAATTACTGTTGATGGCAGCTATTGCCTTACAAAATGTATTTCTTAAATAATAAGACTTGAAAGTTAAAATTACACCTTGATTCATGGGCTGCAGCACTGATGTTGCGTTAAACAGGCTGGAAAACAACATTAATTTCTTTGTACATCTCCATCAGAGTTCTCAGGTGAACTAGTGCTTTGTCAATGAGGAGTAATATTTTGAAAACAAAAAAATCTTTTTTCTGAGTAGTAGGTCTCAACAATGGGTTTAAAATATTCAGTAAACCAGGCTGTAAATGGGTGAGTTGTCGATCATATTTTGTTTTTCCATTTCTAGAGCACAAGCAGAATAGGTTTAGCATAATTCTTAAGGGTCCTAGAATTTTCCGAATAGCTGGTGAGCCGTGGTTTTAACTTAGTGTCACCAGTTGAATTAGCCCCTAATGATAGGGTTAGTCTGCCCTTGAAGCTTTGAAGCCAGGCATTGACTTCTCTTCTCCAGCAATGAAAGTCTTAGGTGGCTTATTTTCCCAATAGAAGTCTGTTTTGTCTGCATTTAAAATCTGTGGTTTAATGTTGCCATCTTCATCAATAATCTTAGCTAAATCTTCTGGGTAACTTGCTACAACTTCTTCATCAGCACGTGCTGCTTCACCTTGTACTTTTATGTTATAGAGATGGTTTCTTTCCTTAAGCCTCATGAACCAACCTCTGCTAGCTTCCAACTTTTCTGCAACTTCTTTGTCTCTCTCAGCCTTCATAGTGTTAAAGAGAGTTAGGGGATTGCTCTGGATTAGGCTTTGACTTAAGGGAATGTTGTGGCTGGTTTGATCTTCTTACCTGACCACTAAAACTTTCTCCATATCAGCAATAAGTCTGTTTAGCTTTCTTATCATTCACATGTTCACTGGAGTAACACTTTTAATTTCCTTCAAAAACTTCTTCTTTGCATTCACAAATTGGCTTTCTAGTGTAAGAGGCCTAGGTTTCAGCCTATCTAGCTCTGCTTTTTGTCTGTCTTCCTCACTGAGCTTAATCATTTCTAGCTTTTTATTTAAAATGAGAGATGCACAACTCTTCCTTTCACTTGAACACTTAGGGGCCATTGTAGGGTAATTAATTGTCCTAATTTCAATATTGCTGTGTCTCAGGAAATATCTAAGCCCAAGGAAAGGGAGAGAGAAGGGGAAATGGCTAGCCAATGGAGCAGCCAGAACACATACAACATTTATGGGCTAAATTCATTGTCATATATGGGTGCAGTTCATGGTGACCTAGAACAATTACAATAATAATATCAAAGATATAATAATAATGAAAAAGTTTGGAATATTGCAAAAATTACCAAAATGTGACACCAAAACCTGAAGTGAGCACATGCTATTAGAAAAATGGTACTGATAGACTTACTCAACACAGGGTTGGCACAAATCTTCAATTTGTAAAAAACACAGTATCTCCAAAGGACAATAAACAAAGCACAATAAAATCAGGTATGCCTGCACAATAGCCTCAGAAATAGAAACTGCTGGGGAATAAATTTAACAAGGTAGGTGCAAGGCCTATAAACTGAAAACTACACAGTATGGCTCTAAGAAAGTAAACAAAAGCTCAACACATGGAGAGAGATGACATATCCATGGATCAGAAGATTTACTAGTATTAAATTGTCAGTTATCTTCAAATCAACCTATAGATTCATTGCAATGCTAATCAAAATCCCAACAGCAGTTTTGTTGAAATTGGCAAGCATACACATATGTGTGTGTGTGATATATATATATATATATATATACACACATATATATATATATATATATATATATACACACATATATATATATACATATATATATCTTCCCCCTGGCTATATATATATGTGTGTGTGTATATGTGCATACATATATATATATACATATACATATATATATGTATATATATATACGTGTGTGTATATATATATATATATATATATATATATATATATATAGCCAGGCACAGTGGCTCATGCCTGTAATCCCAGCACTTTGGGAGACTGAGGGGGGGAGATCATGAGGTCAGGAGTTCAAGACCAGCCTGACTAACATGGAGAAACCCCATCTCTACTAAAAATACAAAAATCAGCTGGGCGTGGTGGTTCACGCCTGTAATCCCAGCTACTTGGGAGGCTGAGGCAGGAGAATCACTTAAACCAAGGAGGCAGAGGTTGCGATGAGTGGAGATCACACCCCTGCACTCCAGCCTGGGCAACAAGAGCAAAACTCATCTCAAAAAAATAAAAGCTATATATATATATATATATATATAATATATATATATATATAATGTACATGTCTACATGTGTATTTACTTATATGGAAACGCAAAGATCCAGATTAGCTAAAGAAATTTGTAAAAGAACAAAGTTAAATAACTCATATTACCTGATTTCAAGCTTACTATAAACCTGCAGTAGTGAAGACAGTGTGCATTAGTTAAAGGACAGACTTACTGCTTAACGGAATGAAATAAAGAGGTCAGAAATACACCCGCTCAAACATGGTCAACTGATTTTTAACAAAAGTACTAAGAAAATCCAGTAAGGAAAGGATGGTCTTTTTAAAAAATGTGCTGGAAAAATTGAACATCCATGTGCAATAAATAAAAAAAGGAACTTGACATCACACCAGACACAAGCATTAACTCAAACTAAATTGTAGACCTAAATGTAGGAACTGATTGTGTATATTCTGGAATAAAATATAAAAGAAAGTTATTGTGACCTTAGATTAAGCAAAGATTTCTTAGATACACGAAAAGAAAGACCCCCAAAAAATGATCAATTGTATTTTATTATAATTAAAGACTTTTATACTTCATAAGGCACCATTATGACAATGAAAAAGCAAGCCAGAACTGGGGGAAAATTTTCACAAAACAGTATCTCATAAAAGACTTGTAACCAGGATATATAAAGAACTCATACAGTGCAATAAAAAATAAAAATTAGCAAAATTTTTTAATTGTCATTTCACAAAAGAATGTTTAAAGATGGCAAATCAGCATAAGAAAAAATGTGCAACATCATTAGACATTAGGGAAATGAAAATTAAAATCAAAGTGAGATACCATCATACACCTATTAGAATGGTGTAAAAAATGCCAAGTGCCCAGCCAGAATGGCCATTATTATAAAGTCAAAAACAAATAAATGTTGGTGCGGAGGCTGTGGAAAGGGAACATTTATATACTGTTGGTGGGAATGTAAGTTAGTACAACCTTTATGAAAAACAGTATGAAGATTTCTCAAAGAACTAAAAGTAGATCTACCATTTGATCCAGTAATCCCACTACTGGGCATGTACCCCAAGGAAAAGAAGTCACTGTATCAAAAAGACACCTGGAGGCATTTTTGTTGCTGCACAATTCACAACTGAAAAGACATACAATCAACCTAAGTGCCCATCAACCAATGAGTGGATAAAGAAAACGTGGTATATACACATCATGGAATACTACTCAGCCATAAAAGGGAATGAAATAATGTATTTAGCAGCAACTTGGATGAAACAGGAGGCCATTATCCTAACTGAAATAACTCAGGAACAACAACAACAAAAAAAAAAAAAAATATTGCATGTTCTCACTTATAAGTGGGTGCTAAACTATGGATACCCAAAGGCATACAAAGTTGTATAATGGACATTGGAGACTCAGAAGAGGGGAGGGTCGGAGGGGATGAGAGATGAAAAATTACCTATTTAGTACAATGTCCACTATTTAGGTAATGGGCACACTAAAAGCCCAGACTTCACCACTATACAAATCATCCATGTAACCAAAACCTCTTGTATTCCTGAAACTATGGAAATAAGAAAAAATTGAATGTCAAATACTGCCCAAAATGTAAAGCAACTGGAATCCTCATCCTTTACTGATGAGAATACAAAGTGGAAAAGCCACTTTGGAAAAGAGTATGATAGTTTCTTATAAAATTAAACATATGCTTCTATGCAGTGCAGCCATTTCACGCCTAGATATTTACTTAAACGCAAAGGAACATTCATTCACACAAAGACTAGTATACAGATGATCAGGGCATAATATCTCAAAATTGGAAGCAACCCAAACACGCCTCTTCCAGTGATAGAAAAGCGCATTCTCCTATGGTCTTACAATAGAATACTACACAGCAAGAAAAAGGAATGAATTACTCATCCACTAAACAATATGGATGAATCTCAAAAGTGTTACACCAAGGGAAAGAAGCCCCAGAAGACAATATTTGCCATGATTCCATTTCTATGAAATTCTCAGAACAAAAACCAGTAGAAGAAACCTTTTTGGAGTAATGGAACTGTTCTGTGTCATAATCAAGCATGCGTCAAAACTCATCAAATTCCAAGATTAAATATGGAAACTTTGATTCTATGTAAATCTTACTTCCATAAAGCTGATTGATTAAGAGGGTGCTTAGCAGATCAGCTTTCTGAGTCTTCACTGAGTCTTTGCCCTTGGACCAAATTCCACTTTTGAGTGATGGCTAAACTACGCATGGGATTTTCGGTCCCACTATTTCTTCTCCTCCAAATGTCGAAAGCATTGTCTTCTAGCATCCAATTGTTACTTTTGAAAACTCAAATCACAGTCTGATTCTCATGAGGTGACTTTTTTCTCTTGTTTTAATTTTTATGACAATGATGTTAACAAACACTTACTGAGAGCTGCAGTGTTCCCAGGCCTGTTCTCCACACCCTACTCCCAGCGCCTTGGGATTGCTGCATGATAAATCCAGCCATAACGTCTTTTTCATTGCTGTTCTGAGAACTCAGAGAACTTCTCCAATATAAAGACTACTATCCTTTGGGGGCGGTTTCTTCTATTGTTTCCTGACCATTATTTTCTTTCTCAGCATCTTCTGTTTTCTGCTGCTAGTACATCCAATAATAGGCATTAGAGCTCTTGGGATTGATCCTTTATTTCTCATATCTCTCATCTTATAATTTCTCCTCTTTCCAGACTTTTTATTGCTTCTTTTATTTTGGCAATCATTATTTTAATCTCTAAGACATTTTCTGTTTTCTGAGTGATCCTTCTCCCTAGGCTACTATTCTTGTTCTTGAATGTAACCTCTTCTTGAAAGACATTGAATGTGCTTTCAGAACATTTGTTTTATCTTGATCTTACATTGGCCTTTCTCTTTTACCTGCTACACAGACACACACACACACACACACACACACACACACACACATCTCTGATGATCCTTGGTTGTCTACTCATAGATAAGAAGGGTGAGGTAGGTGGGTGAGCTTCCTGCAAGGCAAGTTCTCCAAGTGAAGATTCTGCTAAGAGTTCTTTGGGAGGCAGAGAATGGCAGAAAAAAAATTGAATAACAGGTTTTGGATTAGGTGAGGAGGGGGTTGGAAGAGCGGGTAAGTCAGGGGAGGGTGGGGGGAGGAGACACCTGATACCTACCAAAATGAGGAGTTCAGTCAGTCCTATGCATTGTCATTCAAACAGAAAGACATAGCCTTTTTCAGGAAATATGTTCTGTTTGTTTGTTTGTTTTCTTGCCTGTGTTTTGGTGTAAGGGTCCCCTTTACCTCTCCCTGAAAAATAAATTCCGGCAACCTGAATTCAACTCAGCATGAAGAAACAGGAAAGGACCATCCTTAGGTTGTACAATGACCTCCAACAAATCCACCTACTTCTAGACCAACTCTACTCCCCTGTTCTCTGGCAGCCAGGTTGTCTCTGAGCCAGGAACCTCTCAGGCCACCTACCTTCCACCTCCTTGCCAATCTCTTGCTGCACATTCTGGTCCATGCTATTTTTGAATTATTCATGCACAAGCATACTACTATCCACTCTGATTCAGAATACCTTTTCACCCTGGTTGAAGACCTGCTCCCTACTCTCTTATATTCGACTTTCTATAGGATTTTTTTGTGTATTTGTTTTAACTTTTTTTCTTTTGTTTGTACTTCCATCTGGTCATCACTACCGGATCTAAGAAAAGTGGAGTGTAAACAACTGCACCTTCATTGTTTTAAGGTAAAAGTCCTCTTCACCCTTCATCTTTTTCCCACCAAAACTGCTTCTGCTAATGGAATCCGTATTAATCCGTTTTCACACTGTGGATAAAGACATGCCCAAGACTGGGTAATTTATAAAGAAAAATAAGTTTAATGAACTCACAGTTCCACATGGCTGGGGAGGCCTCACAATCATGGCAGAAGGCAAGTCACATCTTACATGGCAGCAGGAAAGAGAGAATGAAAGCCAAGAGAAAGGGGTTTCCCCTTATAAAACCATCCGATCTTATTCACTACCACAAGAACAGTATGGGGGAAACCGCCCCCACGATTCAATTACCTCCCACTGGGTCTCTCCCACAACACATGGGCATTATGGGAGCTACAATTCAAGATGAGATTTGAGTTGGGACACAGCCAGACCATATCAGAATCTACCACCACAGCCCTGTATAAGTCACTATGATAAAACGTGGTGAAAAGTTCTATGACCATTTTAAAGATATTAAAAACATTTATATATTCCTTATAAGTTCTACACATTTGTCAAGCAAATCAAGATGAATTTTATAATAACAAAGATGAATCACATAATCAATTTTTGTATATTCTTACTTAATACGGTTCTTGCTTTGCCAAAGACTGAATGGTCAGTTTTAATTGTTCACTATAATTTTGGTTTTCCAATAACAACTTTAAAAATTGCTTTATATATTTAGAGGTTGTTAAGTGGGGCATAAAAGTTCATGGTTACTCTAACTTTATAATAAAGTGGATCTTTTATTGAAGTAAGATAACTATAGTCCGTTAAATTTTTTTATTTTACATTTTATTTTCCCAGTACCTAATATTGTCAGTGCATCTTTCTTTGGTTTGTATATTCTTAGCATGCCCTTGTCTATCCCATTATTCTTACTTTTTCTCTGAAAATTTGATTTTGTTGTTTCTCCTAAGTAGTAAAAAAGCCTCTATTTCTATTTGGTTTTGATCGCTGAAAAAAATGTAATACCACTCATTCATTTAACAAACGTTTTTTGAGCAAATGCTGTGTGTTAGATCTCATATTCAAAGGTGGAAAGAACAAAAATTGTCCTAGCCATTATAATTGTTGCACCTTATTTTCTCTACTTAGGTATACAGACGTTTTGGTTTTTAGCTCATTCTTCAAATCCTTACCTTTGGATTAAAAGGAGGAAAAGAAAAATAATAATACATTACTTATTCATTATTTAAAAACAAATTTTCTTAAAAAACTAGAAATACAAGATCTCCTAGAGATCATAAATGACAAAAAGCATGCCCAATTTTATTAATTCTACTAAACATTTTAATGGAGGTTCTAACCAGTGCAATAAAGCAAGAAAAATAAATATAAGACACGTCAATTTTGGGGAAAAATATTACCATTATTTACAGATGACATGACTGTGTACAAAGAAAATCCAAAAGAATCTATATACAATTAGAATTAACATAGAACCTAGGAAAGGTGCTAAATACCAGGAAATACACAAAAATCAATTTTATTTCTATATACCATCAACAAACAGAAAATAAAATATTAAAAATTAATGCTTGCATTAGCATCAAAGTACAAGAAATATCTAGAAATAAATCTAATAAAAATGTGCAAGACATCTTCACTAAAAACTACAAATTATTATTGAGAGAAACCAAAGGGAAATCTAAATAAATGGAAGATTTGATTTGTAAAGACACAAAGCTTCCCAAATTGCCCTATTGCTCTACAAATGTACTACGATCCCCCAAAAATCTAAGCAGAGGTGTGTGTGTGTGTTTATATATAAATTTACAAGATGACTCTTAAATGTTTATGAAAATTCAAAGGGCCTACGATAGCCAAGGAAATTGTAAGGCGAAAAAAATAATCTGCAAAACTCACATTACCACATATTAAGACTTTTAATAAAGCTATAATAAATAGGTCAGTGTGATATTAGTGCAAAGATAGATCAAAAAACCCCAAGTGAAATAGAAGAAAGAGTTCAGAAACAAAACACACCAATATTCAGCCACCTGATTTATGAAAAATCAACTCCATAGTATAGCCTTTTCAATAAATGGTGCTAAGCTAATTGAATATCTAGAAGAGAAAAAAATTTATCTTGACCCCTATCTCACATCATACACAAAAATCAATTCCAGATGGACTGCAGCTCTAAATGTAAAATGTTAAACAGTAAAACTTTAAGAGAAAAACATCTTGCAAATGTGAGTACACACAAATTCTTTTTTTTTTTTTTTTTTTTTTTTTTTTTTGAGATGGAGTTTTGCTGTTGCCAGACTGGAGTGCAGTGGCACGATCTCGGCTCAGTGCAACCTCCGCCTCCCAGGTTCAAGTGATTCTCCTGCCTCAGCCTCCTGAGTAGCTGGGTCTACAGGTGTGCACCACCACATCCAGCTAATTTTTGTATTTTTAGTAGAGACAGGGTTTCACCGTGTTAGCCAGATGGTCTCTATCTCTTGACCTTGTGAAGTACACACAAATTCTTAATAAGGAGACACACACACCACAAATACGACGAATAAGAAGGCCAACCACAGCATGGTAGAAGAAACATACACACACACATATACACACACACACATCTCCAGCAAAGGTCTTTTATCGAAAAGGTACTAGTTAATTTGAAAAAAATATTTTTTAAATAGATAAATGGTCCGAAGACATGAACAGATAGTTCACAAAAAGACTTCTAACTGACCAATAAACACATAAAAAGGCATTTAATACTAGTCAGGGAAATGTAAAATGTCATCAGGGAAGTGTAAATTAAAATTAAAATACAATGCTCTAATCATCACAGTGGCTAAAATTGAAAGAATAGAAAATGCTGATGTATATTGATGAACTGGAACTCTCATGCACCCTTCTTGATGGTGAAAATTGCAATATTTTGGAAAAGTATTTGGCAGTATCTACTGAACCTGACCATCTGTGTATCTTTGCCTGAGCCATTCTACTCCTAAGTGCATATGCAACCAAAATGCACAGATATTTTTAACAAAAAAAAGTATTAGTAGATCCATGGCAGTGCCATTCATATTAATCAAAAACTGGAAACTCCTGAAATGCCATCAACAGTCGAATGGATAAGGAAATTGTGATGCATCATACAATGGGGTGCCCTCCAGCAGAGAAAACAGAAAATCGACAACTGCCTTCTCCAAAGAAATCTTACAAACATAATGTTGAGGGATAGAATCTGGAAGAATAAATGCATACTCTATGACTCAAAATTATTTTTAACAAGAGTCTGGATAGTGATTACCCTTGGCGGGGGCAGAAACTTCCTTCTTGGGAAGGAAGCAAGAAGTACCCTCTAGGTTTTAGTCATATTCTTCCTATTGATCTACAGTGCTTATTACACAGCTGAGTTCATTGTGTGCAAATTCATTGAGCTGATCGTACAGTCCTTTTCTGTGTGTGTGTTATACTTTCATAAAGTTAAACAGAAATAAAAGACAACTTACCTTTATTTTTTTATTTATTTATTTTTATTTATTTATTTATTTATGAGACAGAGTCTCACTCTGTCACCCAGGTTGGAGTGCAGTGGCACCATCTCAGCTCACTGCAACCTCTGCCTCCCAGGTTCAAGCGATTTTTCTGCCTCAGCCTCCCGAGTAGAGGGGACTACAGGCAAGTGCCACCATGCCCGGCTAATTTTTGTATTTTTGGTAGAGACAGGTTTTCACCATGTTGGCCAGGCTGGTCTCCAACTCTTGACCTCAGGTGATCTGCCTGCCTCGGCCTCCCAAAATGCTGGGATTACAGAAATGAGCCACCGCGCCTGGCCAACTTACCTTTATTTTTATAATTGTTGGTTCTACATGAACTGAACACAGGAGATACTATGTTTAGATCATCTTTGTAAAATGAGAATATGAATATTGTTCTTCTCCACCCTTTTTAGCTTTCTTCATTAGAAATATTTAAGCCCAAACTATTGTCATTTTTAGCAATTGTTATTTTATGTATTGCGCATTATTTTGCATTTTGTGTAATAGCCACGTTGACCCCAATTATATAGACTTAAACATTTAGCTGGATTTCTGTTCTTATTTTAGACTTTTTGTAGCTCATACTCTCTATTCCTGACTTACAGATTTTGATTCACCTCCCATTTAATCGGGAAACATCTTTCGAGCGGCTGTTATAGAAAGAATAGCTGATTCATGATTTTTGTCATATTTGATAGGATTGGTCTTTCTTCTACCTCCTTATTTAACACTTGTTTTCTGCTTATTACTTGTGGGTTTGTTTTTTGTTTGTTGGTTGGCTGGTTGGTTTTGAGACAGAGCCTCGCTCTGTGGCCTAGGCTGGAGTGCAGTGGCACAATCTCTGCTCACTGCAAGCTCCGCCTCCTGCGTTCACGCCATTCTCCTGCCTCAGCCTCCCGAATAGCTGGGACTACAGGCGCCCGCCACCACTCCTGGCTAATTTTTTGTATTTTTAGTAGAGACGGGGTTTCACCATGTTAGCCAGGATGGTTCCGATCTCCTGACCTCGTGATGCACCCGCCTCGGCCTCCTAAAGGGCTGGGATTACAGGAGTGAGCCACAGTGCCCAGCACTTGTGGGTATTTTTTTAAACTTTTGTTTGTGGACCTAGTTTCGTTTGCTCTTTTCAAAATAATTAGTAATATGGAAATTAAGCATCTTATTACTATACTCACATGGTTGGACTAAAATTTTGAGAAAATATATTTTTTCCTACTTATCAACATTGAAAATGTACAATATCTCTCTACTCACCCTTATGTAAAATGATAAATTCTGTGAACGTCTTATGTAAAATGATAATTCTGTGTACCCTCTTAATACCATACACTCTGTATTCTCAATCTTAGTTGATATATATGGAATTTAAATATTTCCACTAAATAACTTATTTTTCGCCTTTGCCATAAACTCCATAGTCATATTTAACACAATTATCCTGAATAAATATTGTTTCCTTTTTAGTGCTTTGTGCCATTTCATTTTCACTACATCTTCCCATTTCTTGAGTTCTGTATTATTTATATGCCCTTCATTCAGCTGGAGCATTTCTTTGAGTTTTTTTAAATGAAGGGCACGTGGGTGGTATACTTCCTAAGTACTTTCATATTTCAAAATCTTCAAGGTTGTCTCAGGAATGATAGTCTGAGAGGATGTAAAATTGTGTTTTCAATTAAAAATAACCTCTTATTATTACAAAGGCAGTATATGTACACAGTAGAAAATTAGAAAATATAGGTAAGTAAAAGTAAGATAATAAAACCACCATATTTCCACTACTAAAGAGATTACCACTGTTAACACTCAGATGATGTCCTCTCAGATCTATTGCTATGCACATAGATGTGCATTTTATCAAAGTAAGATTATACTGTGTACATTGTTTTGCAACGTGCTTTTATTCAATAAATAAATGTCTACTTGTCCATGGCATTAAACTGTAATATCATTGATATGGTTTGGCTGTGTCCTGACACAAATCTCATCTTGAATTGTAGCTTCCATAATTCCCACGTGTTGGGGGAGGGATCTGGTGGGGGATAATTGAATCATGGGAGTGGTTTCCCCCATACAGTTCTTATGGCACTGAATAAGTCTCATGAAATCTGATGGTTTTATAAGGGGTTTCCTTTTTCACTTGGCTCCCATTCTCTCTCTTGCCTGCTGCCATGTAAAATGTGCCTTTTGCCTTCTGCCATGATTGTGAGGCTTCCCCAGCCACATGGAACTGTGAGTCCTTTAAATCTGTCTTCCTTTATAAATTACTCAGTCTCGTGTGTGTCTTTATCAGCAGTGTGAGAATGGACTAATACGACCATTAAATGCCCAAGCTGTACTCAAATTTCCCCAATTGTCTTTTAAAGTGAGTTTGCCCAAAATAGATGCAATCTGGGTGGCTATTCCCTTATTTTATGTCAATCTGGAACAAGCCCTTTTTCACGATGATGGTTGTTGAAAAGAGTGGGACAAATGCTCATCTTCTAGATTTTTCTACTCAGCTCTTTCTGTACCATTATTGAGAAGCAATCATCTTTCTGCAAATCTCTATATTCTGCCTGGCCTCCTGTCATTTAGCATTGCAGAAGCAAATTCAGATAGCAACTTAATTTCTGCCCCTTCTTCCTGACTTGTATTGTCTACTCTTGAACTTCAAAAATGTCATGGAGCACTATCTCCATGGGGAGCTGTTCATTAATTATGACTGGTTCTCAGGTAGTCAGTGAGCTTTCATCTAAAAGCTAAAGTTTTTATTGAGCTCAAATACTTTTTTTTGTTTTTTTGGTCTGCTCTGCTATTTCCTTCTGGAATTTCTAGCGCATGTGATTTGAATTTTCTGGACTTACCTCCTGAGCTTGTCTCCTTCCTGTTCTTTGATTCATTTTCATCTCTTTTCTCTGAGTTATAAGAAAGCATCTTCCAGTTCATGGATCTGGGAATGAACACAAGGGTGGAATTCTCAGTGTTAACACATGACTCAAGGGCACGGGTATTAGCAACTCCAAGCAGCATCCGTTGAGTTCTTCCCTGAATCAGGTTCTAGTCTGCACACTGCAAGGATCATCTCAATCAATCATCACATCAAACCTATTAGGCGAGGATTCTCACTAAACCCATTTTACAGATGATGAAACTGAGACACCTAGGGGATACATAACTTGCCCAATTACATGGCTAATAAGTAGTCAGCCTGGGATTCAAACCCAGGCTTCTCCTCGCTCTCTGCACTGCTGGGAACCTGGATTGGTCCCACCCTGCCTGTCTCACAGCCCTATTGCCCCCACCCCTTGTTAGTGGGCTCCTACTTAACTCCTTTCCAGGTAAATTGTTCATATGAATGCTGCCAATGATGGACAGGCACATCACTGGTCTGCCGCTTTGAGCTCTACATTTCATAGAAATGTTGTCAAACTGTTGTGATGTGGCTGGCTACCTTCCCTGATTTCCAGTGTGGACACAGATTTTCCCCTATATACATTCCCTTGGATATTTCCATGGAAAACCTCATGCTTAGTGTACCTTTAGAGGTTTCTTTATCTCCCCTACCAAAATGCAAGCCAGCATGACCATTCATTCCTATTCCCCATCACTCTCATTTATCCTCTTTGGTTTTGCAAGAAATTGACCCATGTAATGCATTCATTGTGGCCTTGCCTCACAGCCCAGCACCATACTGTCCAAGTGAAATGCCCTTTCCCTCATCCTCCCCATTGAAAATCCTTATCAACCTTCCATGGGCAGCTCAAATGCCAACTGGCCCTTAAAGCGCTCCTTCACCCCATTCCATGTCCTGTGTCCTCTCCTTCCTCAGATGTCCCTTAGGAACCTCTACTCCCCAGTGGCCTGCTCTCAGTCAGGATCCCAGCACCAAACAGATGGTGCATCCCAGGGAAGATAATCCAGAGAGAGTTTATGCACAAAGGGGTAGACTACAAAGTGATAAGTGTCTGTTGTCTGGACCTAACAGAAAGAGAGAAGAAGTCGTCCCCGGGGCCTGGAAGGAGAGAATCCTGCATTGTTTTGAGAATGGCAGAGACTTTCAGTCCAGGGAGAAACTACCCCAAGGCCATTGCAGAGGGAGAGAGACTCATCCGATGAAATACTCTCACCTCAGTCCCTCTCTTCCTCCCTCCAGGCTCTTGCCATGGTTCCCCTTTGTCAGAAAACAACCAGAGGGCATGTGGCCCAGCACCCCTTGATATAATCATGCACATCAGCCACCTGGGGCTGAGAACAGGGAGGAGAAAGGAAAGGGGTGAGTGCTGACAGGCAAAGGAAGGTATCAGCTACAGACTCTGCCACTTGCATTGTTCATGGTAATCATTTACATCTTAACTTTCCCTCCAGCTCTTGAGGGTGGGCAATATGGCTCTGCATTTCAGTACCCCAGTGTCTAGCACGGCAGTGGGTATGCAGCCTGAGCTCAGTGAAGTTGCTTCCTCACTCATGAGGAAGCAGTCACGTTATGACTTCCTCATTTGCTTTGTTATTCTAGAGGTGGAAAAGGGTGGCCTGAGTCATCTTAACTCCATTCTTGTGGGATTGTGAATTCTGTGG
This sequence comes from Homo sapiens, assembly GCF_000001405.40. NCBI lineage: Eukaryota > Metazoa > Chordata > Mammalia > Primates > Hominidae > Homo > Homo sapiens. The sequence goes on from NC_000019.10 coordinate 31,938,927, forward strand.
GATTGGGGGGTTGGGGGATTCTGGTGAGGCCGTGGACAGATTCTTTGCAACATGTATGCCTGGCCCTTTCGATGTGAAACCCTGCAGCTGGCGTCACCTGTGTTGCATTCTGAATGGGTGAGCCAACCCAGGCTCCACCATCTGTACCAGGCACAGGGAGCACCAGCAACCAGCCACTGCCTTGTGTCATCCTTGTATTCCTTCATCAATCGATGTGTTCGTTCATTTGTTAAGCACTCATTCAGCAGCTACTACATACAGCAAGGGTTCCAAACCCATATGGCATCATGGGAAACCATTCCCCACTCTTCTGGTAACAAATCTCACACATAATCCAGGCCTAATAGTGCTCATGAGAAGGTGAGAGAATGGGAACAAGAGGGAAAGGGATGGGCCTGAAGGAGCACAGCTAATAAGCAGCAAAGCACAGCTTGAGAGCTAAGTACACGCTAGCACACTGCCCAGACACACATCTCAGGGCCCCTGGAATAAAGGTGACTGTGTTCACATCAGAGTGAATGTGTTAATGAGAAGAAAGAGGGCCTGGCACAGCAACTCACTGTTCTAATCAAAGCACTTTGGGAGGCTGAGGTGGAAGGATCACTTGAGCCCAGGAGTTCAAGACCAGCCTGGGCAACATAGCAAGATCCTTGTCTCTATAAAAACCTCCAAAAATTAGCTGAGCACACTGGCATGTGCCTTGTAGTCCCAGTGACTCAGGAGGCTCAGGCAGCAGGATCACTTATCAAGTGAGGTTGAAGCTGCAGTGAGTCGTGATTGCCTGCCACCTGGGGTGATCATATAATTTGTTGTGTCAACTGGACCACTTTACAGACAGAGAGGTGTGTGGTTATACCACGAAAACAAGCATTTACCTTCACTGACCCAGACCAGTCAGTGTGTATGGCCACCCTACCAGAAGCGCCAGGCATACATGTTGCAAAGAATCTGTCCATGGCCCCACCAGAATCCCATAATCAATGGGAACACCAAGAAGGAAGTTAAGATGACTCAGGCCACCCTCTTCCACCTCTAAAATAACACACACAGAAAAATGTCATATCATGACTGCTCCGTCTCTCAACGCAACCTCACTCAGTCCAGGCAGCACACCCACCCACCACCATGTTAGGCACTGAGTACAGACACTTCAGCCTGGGCGACAAAGTGAGACACTGCCTCTAAAAAAAATAAAAGAGAGAGAGGAAAGAAGTCCTCCATTCTGGTGTTCGTGCATGGCCCCTGTAAGACTGGATAACTGGGAGGCCGAGGCGGGCGGATCACAAGGTCAGGAGATTGAGACCATCCTGGCTAACACGGTGAAACCCCGTCTCTACTAAAAATACAAAAAATTAGCCGGGCGTGGTGGCGGGCACCTGTAGTCCCAGCTACTCGGAAGGCTGAGGCAGGAGAATGGCGTGAACCCGGGAGGCGGAGCTTGCAGTGAGCCAAGATGGCGCCACTGCACTCCAGCCTGGGCCACAGAGCAAGACTCCGTCTCAAAAAAAAAAAAAAGACTGGATAAGGTCCTTGGCTTTTCTCAGTTTCATGATGTGACCACATCATGTGAGCTTGTGGCAGTGGAAATACGTGGTCAGGGAGGTGGGGCATCCAAGCAGGGGAAAGGGAGCATTCCCATGGCCAACCCACCCACACAGCCTCCACCCAAGGGCATCCCAGCTTGGAAACTGACTTTGGAAACACAACATGTGAGACTGTGATTTTGATTAGAATGACATGGATCTGAGACAGCTACATTTTTTCCCAAGGAAAAACTCTCTCCAAACAAAGGGTGAAAGAGAATCATTGTTTACTTATGCTCCATTCTTCTTAATTTCTGATATTCTTTTAGACAACTGCCAAGTCCATGCAGAAACAGCTCTTCTGATGTAATAAATGTAGACTTTGATCTGACACTCACCAAAGCCATTCTGAAGAATTTCAGAGCAGAACAACTTGAGCAACAAGTCATAAAATAGATGTGAGCCTTGACTTTATTTTTTTTAATTTACCAATAAACTAGGTCTCAAGAGTTAAAATGAGCTTTTTTTCCCCAGAAGTAAACACTTGTACACACTTTAAGTGACATTTTTTATAACATTCCTTTTTTTTTAGGATGAGCATAGAGTTAATACCCAGGAGCAAACGCATCACTGTTACTGTCCTTAGAACATGTGCTGATCACGGCCTTGGCTGCACACAGATAACCCTGAAACAGACTCTTTGATCTCGCTTCTCCCAGTCTGTAACTTTTTTTTTTTTTTTGAGACAGAGTCTCACTCTGTTGCCCAGGCTGGAGTGCAATGGTGCAATCTCAGCTCACTGCAACCTCCACCTCCCAGGTTCAAGCGATTCTCCTGCCTCAGCCTCCCGAGTAGCTGGGATTAGAGGCACGCGCCAGCACGCCCAGCTAATTTTGCATTTTTAGTAGAGATGGGGTTTCTCCATGTTGGTCAGGCTGGTCTCGAACTACTGACCTCAGGTGATCAGCCCACCTTGGCCTCCCAAAGTGCTGGGATTACAGGCTTGAGCCACCATGCCCAGACCCCAATCTGTAACTTTAAGTAGGGTTTCCAAGTCACCTGGGCCAATGCCTAAAATGCCTGCCACTTGAGGTGCATATAATTTATTGTGCCAACCAGGCCACTTTGCAGATGGAGAGGGGTGTTATTCACCAGGAAAACAAGCATTTACCTTGAATAGCCCAGACCAGTCAGCGTGTTCCACCATCCCACCCTGAAAAAAAGATGGCTACATCAGCGTTGTGTGTATTTCCACCAACCTGGTGGAGACCTCTTTATTCAGGGTAATGATACAGGAAAAAGGGCAGGGAGCGGTGTCCTGTGTGGGCCAGCAGTAGCCTCAGGTCCCCCCACTCCAGGGAAAGCAGAGCAATTGCAGAGTCCCAGAGACTGTGCCTGGGACCCCCACATGTGGGAAGACCCACCCATATTCCCTGGCATTCATCACTCGGTCAGTTTCCCCAAACACTGACCCAAAACCCACTCTTGCAACAATATTTATGAGCATACTTTCTCTCTCTCTTGCTTTTTGACATCAATTAAATGAAGTATTGGCTGCAACTAGTTTGTCCAGCAGTTTCTATGTCAGCGAATGATCTGGGTAAGGAGATGACTGGATAACTCTTCACCTTCATTTTCAGCTGAGAAAATGCCAGTTTACCATACGGGTCACATTCCTGGGGCCCTTGGCTAGGAAAGAGTGGCTCCATTTTGCACACCTCCCACTGTTTCTCAGTGTCTACAATGCTCAAATATGTGCAAAGGAGTAGCACTGTTATTCACATCATAATGGATACTAACAATAGTAGCTATTACGCGTGAAGCACCCATACTGGACCAAGCTTTGTACCAGGCACTTACTTATAACACTCTCATACCCCGATAATGAAGGTATATCAATCTCCAGCCTACAGAGAAGGACACTGAGGTTCAGAGAGGCTAACTGTCTTGCTCAAGGTCACACAGCTCAGCAGTGCTGGTGTTGACATCCCCCAGAATCTGCCAAAAGGTGAGAAATTTCAAGTCACACATTTGCCTTTAAAAATCAGTTTGCCTCCCAAGTAGCCTTGCAGATCACTGCTATTGGTGACCAGACTTTATGCAGGAGACGAGAAAACAGGTTTATGTCTTTCTCTGTCCCTGAACATTGGGGAGTGAGTTGGTAAAGAGCATGTACCCTAAAGAGTACAGCGTTTTTGTTCTGCCATCAATGAGTGTGCTCTTTAAAATATCCCATTTATTCACCAACATGGTGCTGGATAGGTCAAAATGCAAAACTAAGAAAGACAGCACAGGAACAATATATTTTTAGTGCCTTTTAATTGAAGTAATAATGAGAATTGTATCCACAGCATGCTCCAGCAGGTTTGCAAGATGTAGGTGCTCTGCCTAGATCCTCTGTGGACACTGCATACCTGAGGGCTAGACACGTTCTGATCATGCCTGCTAAGCCCCAAATCACAAAGGTTCCCCAAGTACCAGCAACTTGGAGGAAACCCTGGGAAGAACCTGGCTGACATCCTTAGCAGAATTTTCTGGGTTCCAACAACTGGGTTAGCAGAATTTTCTGGGTTTCTCTATTTCCCTTCCATTCCTCCTCTCTGAATGAGAGATCCTACAGAGTGAATATTTAAGGCTGATGTTTTCCACCCAGTGTGCTCCTGCAGCTTAGAAATGGACATCACGGCTTGAAAGACCAGGGAAAATAAACATAGGGCCGAATTGAGTGAGTCCTGGCGTGAGTCAACATGGATGCCCCATCCTCCCATTCTGAGCACAAAGGGTGCTTAAAACTTTAATGAATTGAACTCTATGAGTAAGGGATGTTAATCATTTTAATTACCCAGCAGCTTGAAATCAGATATAACAGTCCAATAATGTATCTTTAAACGAATACCACCCTGCCCTATAAAAAATCCCTTCCAAACCATTCTAATAATTTCTATTTATCTTTTCTGACGTTAACTGTTATCCAGCCCAGCCGGCCAACAGACAGCCTTCCCCTCACATTTGGTTTAAATGCAATGCCGTCTAGTTTTTCAATACCATTAGCGTCCCCCTGGTGGGCAGAGAGCAAGGCAGTGGCACCGGTCACACTTCACTGCTTTATCTCATATGACAAAGAGCGATGATACGCTTCAATCCAGGCCAGCCCGGCAGAGGGAAGGTGGCCACACAGAACTCCCCTTGCTGCCGAGAAACGCCCTCTGTGTGACTTACTAACAGCATGAAGGGGCAGACAAATAGATTTTCCTCTATATTTATAACCAGCATCATTCTTCCTTTCAGGGCGTTCAGTGCAGGTAGCTGTTTTATATGAAATGAACAATCTTTATAGACGTACCAGAGCCATAACAAGCCTGATTTTCAGCGAAGCTGAGGTATATAACTCTTACCGAATTGTCAGGCTGCTTGCTCAACAAATCAAGCCTAACTTATGATGTTTGCAGTGTAATTTTTATTCCTGTTTGACTAGCCAACTACCCAGTGGTAATAGGATGTTAGGAAGGGCAGTGGCGATGTTTGTGCATGCCGTGATTGATAGGCCGACTCGGCATTTTTCATTTATATCTCCAGATTCCAAATCAGTTAAGTTTAGGAAAAATGAAACAAAGTGGCAAGAAAAATGTTTGCAGATTGCAGACCGGCGCTCCTGCCGATCTGAGTTCAGCCCACATCTGCCGGGATTGTCTGGAAACATTAAGATATCTAAATGAAAATCAATACTATATGTGCCAGGCATTTACTACCAGGAACAAGCATCAAGAGACCTGAGCTAATCAGACTTCCAGCTTGTGCCTCAGCCCTAGACTGAACCCCAGGGGTGTCCTAATTGCCCAGACTAATCATAGAAGAGTTAAATTTATAACCAAGAAAGACATCTTGTTTTTCTTACCAGTCATCATTTAGGAGCGGAAAGGCTCACCTGTGAAGTGGGTGCCAGATGTACAGTGGGAGCCCCCATTCAAGAGAGGATGGCTTCTCACCTGTCAGGGGAAAGGAAAGACAAATTTACTGTCAGCAGTAAAACCAGTCAGGCTCATTGAAGCCCCAGGTGGGAGAGTATTCCATCAGCTCAAACACGCACTGCAGTTCTCCTCATTGAAACTCTCCCCACTTAACCCCCATGTTCTGGAACATGAAAGCCCCTTGCACACTTTGATCCATGGCCTGGTTTTTATTTTAAGGAAACCGCTCAGAAAAGCAGCTGGCATCAGTGACATTAAAAATATATGTATCTGTTTCTCCCTGAGTTCCACTCTGTGCTTTTTTGTCCCTTGGAGTCTCCAGAGGAGCTAATAACACTTGGCGACATGTATCTCCCTAATATACTGTACAAACAAGTCACTGATATTATTCACACTCCAACAAACTACAAAGTCACACAATAGCAATTGGACGAGCCCACACTATACTGCTGAAAAACCATAATGTATCAGGGGACTGGATTCCTAATATTTGCATTCTAGATGCCAACTGTGAGCATATTTTGTACTATTTTCAACAAATTACACCAAAATATGCAAAATGTTTATAAGGCTCCATCTTCTATTTTTGGCTCCGATATATTTGCAACTTAATAGTCCTTTAGAGATTTGTTTGTCTCCTTGGGAGAAACAGGAAAGTGGGAAATGAAAAAAGCAGAAAGAGAGAGGGAGAAGAGAAAAGAAACGAAGACACTTTGTTCACGCAAGTTGAGTTCTGCGAGTTTTTCGTAAAGAGCGGAGCCACTCTCCCTGGAGACCTTCTTCGACAAGAAATTTAATAACATTATTTGGATTCCTTGTGTCCCAGATTTCAGATGTATTTTTAATGCATGTGTCTTGAAACAAAACAACCATTGTCAAATGCTGTATCCTCTTCTCACCAGTTTAAATGGCTTCCTAGACAGCACGATTCTGGGAGCATCTTGAAAGTGGTGATCAATGAAAAACTGCGCCTTGCTCTCTGTGGCTTCCCAAGGATGTTCACCCCTTACCACAGAAGGTTGTCAGCTCTCTTCCCAGGAAAGGTGTCTCTGGTCCTTGTGATGTGAACGATGACAGCCTCTTGCCTTCTGTTCCATCATTATTGCCTCCACGCTCTAGCAACTGGGTGCAGGCACACATCTGTCTTTCTTGTCTTCAACCCTGTGATATCACCATCCCTGACTGCACTGTGCCTGTGTAGGATTAGGGCTGATCTGTTCAGCAGAATCCAGGATAGGGGAGATTAAAATGTACATGGGTTGAAGAGGGCAGCAGTTTTCCTGATGCTGGATTACACAGCCAAGTTGAAAACTTTTCAATCCAGCTTCTCCCACTGGAAAAGGTGTCAGACAAAAAACTAATTTTTTTCTAACGTTATGCCTAATGAACTTAACCCAGCTTAACCTAGAGATTGGGCCTCATGCCCTTGGTTCCTAGAACCAGTTTTCCTAACAAGACTGAAGCTTCAGCCGAATTCATTACTTACTCAGAATGAATAAAGCCAGAGGAAAAGATATTTCATGAACAAATCTGTGTTCTTAGCTGGGCTTCAAGGTAAAAAAAAAACAAGTGAAAAAGAGTGCCTGGCTTCCCATGTCTTTGTACACACAGCAGGCCCTCAAAATGCATGTGTAGGTTGGATAAACCAACACATGGTGGATGAACTGGGAAGTCACTTGAGTTGGACGTACACTCAAAAAAAGGTAAAGAGACCAGGCACGGTGGTTCACGCCTGTAATCCCAGTGCGTTGGGAGGCCTAGCGGGGAACCAGGCTGGGGGACGAGGGTGGGGGGATAGCTTGAACCTAGGAGTTAAAGACCAGCCTGGGCAACATGGCGAAACCCTATCTCTAAAAATTTTAAAAATTAGCCAGGCACAGTGGCACATGCCTGTAGTCCCAGCTACTCAGGAAGCTGAGGCAGGAGGATTGCTTGAGCCCAGGAGGTGGAGGCTGCAGTGAGCTATGATCATGCCACTGAACTCCAGCCTGGGCAACAGATAGAGACCCTGACTCAAAGAAAAAAAAGAAGAGGTACAGAAGCATATTCAAATGGAGAGACTGAGGCAGAAAGGAGCCTCAGGACACATCAGGCTTCAGGCTTTCCTCTAGGAACACTCCACTGCTCTGCACACCAAGCTTGGAATCAGAGGCAGCCAGACCTTGATTTGCCCCCAGGACAAAAGCCAACAGCCTACGGCTGCTGGGCAGGATGACTTCAAACTCATTCCTCAGCCAAACAGGGCCTCTCAGGAAAGCAGGCTTGACAAAGCTAGGTGTGGCTCTCAACTCAGGGGAGCTGAAGCCTTCACAAGCCCTACGTCCTGTGTCCCAGCTCCACAGTCCTCATGGGACCTGCTCCTGTGGTCAGGCTCACGTGCACAGTGGTTGCTGTGAAATAGCCTGTGTGGTGAGAAAACTCCTGGGGTCTCAGCTAGAAACGCTGACTGGGGTTGCAGCTTTTCCAGCTGTGTTGATGGCCAGGCTGGGAAGCCTGCTAGAGGCCAGGGAGCAAGGCAGGGCCACCCAGACAAAACAGTCAGTGGAGATCTCACCCAGGGAGCCCAGACAATTCACAACAGAAACAGAGCTGCTGCTTCCTGAGGGCTTTCCACGTGCCAAGCACTATTCCTGGAGTTGTGTGTATTTTAACTTGATCAATCTTCAAAATGGCCCGGCAGGTGGACCCTATTATTAGCCCACAGGGGAGATGAGTAACTTAGCTGCAGTCACAAATTGCTGAGGGACAAAATCAGGGTCTTGTCCCTGTAGTCAGGTGTGGAGTCCATGCATTTTGCAGAAGGAAGTCTCCGGGGGGGCTCAGGAACAGAGGCCCTGCCTAAGTAGGTAAGATGGCAGAGAGTGGACCCAAGGTAGAAATCAGATCATATTTATATGATTCATAAGATAAATAATAATACTACCATAAAGCCACACTCAACAAAAAACTTTAATATGGAGGCCAAGCCAGAGCTGAGCTTCCTTAAGTGAGATCCATAGAAGAAGGAGGCTCAAACGGAAATGCAGTTGAAATAATTATAAGATAATCACTTGGGGGCATTCGGCAGTGGGACTCACTTGGGCTTTATCCCCCGTTCTGACACTGACCAAAAGAAACAGCAGTCAGTTACCAATGGCTTTGGCTTCGTCTCTGGTATTCCAAAACCCTGTGCTCTGACTGTCATCTCACAATCAGAAAACCAGAAAGACAGCTGCTTGCCACTCCCAGAGCCTGCCTGCCCAGCGCCCTGGCCTCCTCTGGGACCACCTGTGCACCCCTACGTCACCATCACAGCCCAGCAGAGTGAAACTTCATCAGCAATATTTTTCACAAGACAGAGGCCACATTTGTAAAGTGACCCTTCTTCTGCCTTTTGGCTCTAGAAGAGAAAGGGGCGAGAGAGCAGAGGAAGGACGAGGGGATGTTCACCCTGCGGACTGAGTCAGGAGGAGGACGTGACTTGTTTAATCCTAATAAATCAGAGCATCCCCGGGAGGTGGAAGCAACAGGGGTTGGTGTGCCAGCCGCGCTGCACATTGACCCAAGGCAGAGCTCGTGGAGAAATGATGTCCTCTTAAGCAGACTCCTGGAGAGATGGTCCGCATTTCTCCTGACAAATTAGAAGCGCCGTGAATGCAACCATTCCTCAGAAAATAGGCCTGATTTAGCAATGCACAAGCTGCATTATCTCGCTGCATAAAAAGACCATTTAAGCAGGGAAGCCTTTAGGACACTGGCCCTTTGGAGAAGCAGTTCTGAAATATTACCCACCTCGACTGCCACCTAAGCCAGTCACTCCCCAAGGGAAAAGCCACATTTACAACCTAGAAAACCAAGCAGGCTTTAGTCAAAGGAAAGGGTCATTTGTCTCTGGTATCTGCATGAGATTTCTTGTGCCCCTGTCCTGCTCAAGCCCTCACCTCACCTCCAGTGGCCAAGCCAAGTGGAGAGCTACTGTATGGGGAATACCAGTTTCATCCTATCCAAGGTGTGTTGCCCTGTTCATGGCAGCCAGAGCCTTAGCCAACCCGTTGAATACCAGAGCAATTACAAAGCAGATCTGGTGACAACAATGCTAAAAAGTTGAAATAATTCATTTGCACAAAGTGTGCATGTTTGAAAACTTTTCATGCAAAGATTACAACCTGTCATTATCTTCCCCAGAGACGCACTACCTTCTTAAAAAGTATCTCTAATGAGATCTACAAATCTGTTGAAGACAGCTTACTTTATTGTGTTTGTAAAGATAAAAATGTTTTAAATAGGTTATGGCTCCTGGGACTGACAGTCCCACCATGAGGGTAAGGTCATTTTGAAATGTTAATAAAAGTTTTCATAAAATATGACGGCGCTCAAAGAGTAATGTTTGGATGTAAAAATAACTATAAAAGTATAATTTCTACCAGGGTACACGTGCAGTTTTTCTGTGTCAAGATATTTGCCCAATTTCTCATTTGACTGGGGTTGCAGCTTTTCCAGCTGTTTTGACGGCCACACTGGGATTCGATCCTTATTAGAGAGGTTTGCAGCAGGCTTTCCGAGGCTTAGCCGGTTATATTAGACTTTCCCTTGAAGCAAAGTCTTGCACTGCCCTGACCATTATGCAAATACGCAAGCACTCAGCCTAGGATTGTCTCAGCTTGCAGTAGACATCGCTGTCCTCCCACCATAGGAGCAAGACAAGCAAGACTGGTAAAATCAGCAGGGAGGGGGACCCTGGGGGCGTAGCCTCATAGCTCCCAGTTCCTGGGCTAGTCAGGGGGAACATGCCAAATTGGAAACATTCAGCTGTTTCCTATTCAATGAGCTCCTTCGTATTTGAAGTTAACCAGCCCAAAGGAAATATCTCAGAAGGATTTTCTAGGTGATGAGATAACTAATGAGACCAATCCGTCCTCTCTGTTTGCCGGATCCCATTGACTCAAATCAACCCCGATATTTCTATTAAGGCACCTGGGACACGTGGGGTCCCCCAGGACCCAAGGTTGGGAACAAAACTCCCTGCAGACAGTCAGTTAGGGGAAACTTAAGACATGCTGGAATCAGGGATCATGGATTTGGGACAAGAAAGAGATGGCATCAGAGTCCTACCTACAAAGTGTCCTGGTTATGGAACATTCAGCAAACGATTCCTGTCCTCAGCATTATCCAGAATTTTAGGTACTGATACCTAACACATATAATTGTCATGGACATAAGGGGACACACTCCACCTTCTTCATCCTCTTCCCATTCTCCTACACACCCCAAGGAACATTCATCTGAGACCCAACAGATTGGCTGCTCTCCTCTCCAATAACTATAACATGCGACATAAATGTGAGGCCCTAAGCACTTCAGGACTATTACCCACAAAACCTGGCCCTGACAAATAAAAATGCTTTTGACTGTTTGAGCCCAGGAGTTTGAGACCTGGCTGAGCAACATAGGAAGAGCCTGTATTTACAATATAAAAACATATAAACATTAGGCTGGGTGTGGTGGCTCATGCCTGTAATTCCAGCACTTTGGGATACCAAGGCAGGCAGATCACTTGAGGTCAGCAGGTCGAGGCCAGCCTGGCCAACATGGTGAAACCCTGTCCCTACTAAAAATACAAAATATATATATATATATTAGCCAGCATGGTGGTACATGCCTGTAATCCCAGCTACTCAGGAAGCTGAGGCAGGAGAATAACTTGAATCAAGGAAGCGGAGGTTGTAGTGAGCCGAAATCATGCCACTGCACTCCAGCCTAGATGACAGAGTGATACCCTGTCTCAAAAAAATAAATAAATAAATAAAAATAAAAATGAATTGGGCATGGTGGCATGCACCTGTAATCCCAGCTACTCGGGAGGCTAAGGTGAGAGGATCACTTGAGCCAAGGAGGTCAAGGCTGCAGTGAGCCATGATCATAGCACTGCACTCCAGCCTGGATGACAGAGTGAGACCTTGTCTCCAAAAATACTTTAGAAAGTATTGGTTCTGCTCTATCAAGATTCTCTTGAAGCAGGGTAGTAGGATGCCACAGCTCCTGAGCTTGAAGGAATTTGGTTGGCAGGGGGTCAGGGAGGGAGAATCATGTAAGAAAATGAGGGATGGAAACAAAGTTTGGTTAATGTATCAGGTTCGGGAGAATTGTGATAAAATATTCTGAGATGGTCAGAAAACCCTCTCTGGGGGAGGTGGCATTGAATAGAGCTATGAATGACAGTCTCATGTAGAAGAACCCCCTCATTCTCTCCTGTTCACCTTCACGTTACTCTGCTTTCTTTTTCTTCTCAGCACTCATTTCTCCGAGATACTGCAATACAGACTGATGTATGAATTCTCACTGCACCCCCAGTATTAGAATGGAAGCTCCATGAGGGAAAAGACATTGCCTTGTTCACTGCGGATTCCAGGTACCTAAACCAATTCCTGACACAAAGCAGTGGTTCAGTAAATATTTGCGAATAAGCAAATAAATGAATGGATCATGTAACCAGGACACTGACCAACTCTCTGGCTTGCACAACGCTAAGAAGAGACTTAAAGCTGATGGTTAAATCTTCTTGTGTCTGCTCATCACCAAAAGGACACCTCTTGTGTCCAGTGTCTGGAGGGAAAAATTCAAATTCAAATGCGGAACCTGCTTGCAAACATAGCATTGTCTGTGATGTGGTCCTGTGGAGTCAATCAAAAGTCCTGTTCAGACAGCTTTTTGCTGTGTTCATCCTATAAAATTTCAGACTGAAGCCTGACTGAAAAAAAAATGCTTAAGAGATGTTGGAGTCAACAAGATGTTGAATACCTCATGGCAGTGGTGAACTTGCTGTAAGCCTATGAGCAGAAGTTCAATCCAAGGATGGATGCACACCTATTAAGAATGCCTTGGGGCTCAGTGCGGTGGCTCACACCTGTAATCCCAGCGTTTTGGAGGCCAAGGTGGGTGGATCTGAGGTCAGAAGTTCAAGAACAGTCTGGCCAACATGGCAAAACCCTGTCTCTACTAAAAATACAAAAAGTAGCCGGGCGTGATGGCGGGCACCTGTAATCCCAGCTACTCCAGAGGCTGAGGCTTGAGCCTGGGAAGCAGAGGTTGCAGTGAGCCAAGATCATGCCACTGCATTCCAGCCTGGGCAACACAGTGAGTCTCTGTCTCAAACAAACACACACGAAAAAGAGTGCCTTGGAAAGAACTCCAAAATGAAAATGAGTGAGAGGTCAGAAATTAGAACCTAAGGTTCCTTATGACTTTGACATGTTACAATCTGTGGTAGGCAGAATAATGGCCCCATCAAAATGTTCACACCCTAAGCCTGGTCCTGGGATTCTGTTAACTCACATGACAAAAGGGACTTTGCAGGTGTGATTAAAATGTAAATCCTTGAAATGGGAGTTTGCCCTGGATTATCCAAGAGGGCCCCAAATTACTACTTAAATTCTTTAAAAAAAAAAAAAAGACTCTTCCTGGCTTTGATCAGAGTGAAAAATATGAAGTGTCAGAGTGATGCGACATTGTCAGCTTTAAAGATGGACAAAAGGGCCATGAGTCAAAGCACAAGGGTGGCCCCTAGAAGCTGGAAAACGCAAGGAAATGAATTCTGTACTTGAGCCTCTGATGTGGTTTAGCTGCGTCCCCACCCAAATCTTGAATTGTAGCTCCCATAATTTCCACGTGTCATGGGAGGGACCCAGTGGAGGGTAATTGAATCATGGGGGCAGGTCTTTCCCATGTTGTTCTCCTGATAGCATATAAGTCTCAGGAGATCTGATGGTTTTATAAAGGGCAGTTCCCCTGCACATGCTTTCTCTCTTGCCTGCCGCCATGTAAGATGTCCCTTTCCTCTTCCTTCATCTTCCGCCATGATTGTGTGGCCTCCCCAGCCATGTGGAACTGTGAGTCCATTAAACCTCTTTCCTCTGTAAACTACCCAGTCTTGGATATGTCTTTATTAGCAGCGTGAGAACAGACTAGTACAGCCTCCAAATGGAACACAGCCCTACTGGCAGTCTTAGTCCAGTGGTACCTGTGCCAGATTTCAACCAATAAAACTGCAAGATGATAAACTTGTATTGTTTAAGCCACTGAGTTTGTGGGAACTTGTTACAGCAGCAGTCGAAAACTAATACACAGTCTTATGATTTCTTGTCCCAAACAAGGCAACATTGTTTATCAGAAAATTCCTGATCCCAAGGTTATTCCACTTTTGACCTCCAGCATGATAAAAATGAGTGCCATGAAGGCTGGTCTTACCCTAAGCTGGCAAAGTAACTGAAGAGACCAGAAGAGAACATGTCAAGTTTTAGAAGGGGCATTCTGACCCAAGGGAGTTCAGTATTCAATTTAAATCCTAGAAAGTATGTTCTTCCATAGAATTAAATTTTAAAATTTAATTTAAATTTACAAATGAAATTTTTCAGAGCAAGAAGCCAAATTGGGCCACCCTTTTTCCTCCTTTTTAGATTGGTGAGATTCAAGTGACTCCCCTGCGTTCACAGCCCACACAGCCACATGTGTTGCTTAAGATAAGAAGATGGAAACATCATATCTGAGGTGGGGACTAGGCTGGAGGAATAAGCTTGCAGGAAAAGCCCATTAATTCCTCTGCAGAAAGCTGTCCTTCTATATTTCTTGAATCAGGACAACAGAATAATTCCACCTTCAGACTTTGAGGAAGGCAATACTATAAAAATCCATCAATTTCCAGGCCATATTTGTATGGGAAACTTATTTTTGTCCCAACTCCCATGCAACAGGCCTCAGCCTGTCCATTTTGGAACCACAGCAAATATTCAAACATGTTGAATTGGAAAAGGAATAATTGTCCTACCTTGTAACTCACTATGATTTAACGTATAAATGTAATATCCTTATATTATTTAATATCATCTGCATGTCTTCCATGTTGGGAAACCCAAGGCTACTTCATCAAACCTCCTGCAGCTTTCTCAGACTGGGACCCAAATTGAACTTCTCCTATTCAAGATCTCCAGCTTCTCCCCATTACTCACCCTCAGTCTTCTTCCTAGCAAAATGGCCTGAGTGTACACACATAGGGGCTGGGGAAAAATAGAATCCAGGCCCAGATCCAGTCTGAGGAAGTCCACCTAACGGTAATTTCCACATCCCCAAAATGTATCATCGGAATAGACATCCTTGGAACTTAGCAGATCTCCAGAGTGGCTCCTTGGACCTTTGGGCAAGAACCATCATGGTGCAGAAGGTCAAGTGGTAGTCTCTCAAGTTGTTCCTGCACCATCCAACATAGAAAATACGCATATGATGGAAGGGTGGTAGGTTCCATCATACCGCATTAATTCACCAGTCTGATTCCTACAAAAACAAGGTAGATCATGAAGGGTGACAGTAGACAACCTCGGTGAGATGCATGCCCTCCAGAGGGTGGCAGATAAGCCCTAAGAAATTTCAGAGACCCACCAAGTCAATGAAGTTTTTGAGGATCCAATGATCAAAGACATACCAGGGACCCGGTGGGGTGGTTCACGCCTGTAATCCCAGCAATTTGGGAGGCCAAAGAGGGCAGATCATTTGAGGCCAGAAGTTTGAGACCAGCCTGACCAACATGGTGAAACACCAACCATCTCTACAAAAAAAAGAAAAAATAGCCAGGTGTGACATAGCCTGTAGTCCCAACTAGTCAAGAGGCTGAGGCATGAGAATCACTTGAACCTGGAGCTGGAGGTTGCAGTAAGCCAAGATCATGCCAGTGCACTCCAGCCTGGGTGATAGAAAGAGATTCTGTCTCCAAAAAAAAAAAAAAAGTACATACCAGAACATCCCATCTGTAGGGAAGGACACCTCACATTTCACACTGCATCTCACATTTCACTTTGTCAGCTACACCTCTGTGGGTTCTGGAAGCAGCTATCCCACATTTCAGAATATTGCTGCTATCCATGTACTGAGTGACAGGAGTGTCTTCCATTGAAAGGGGCACCAATCAGGAGAGGTCTCTGCAACTTGACCAAGACCTGGTGAATTCCTCATGACCCAGCAGACACAGGGTCACTGAGGTGGAAAACGACTATCCAGAATTTATGCAGTAAGAAAGTATGCACCATATGCAAATAAACAAAACAACAACAACTCATGGTTTACTTGTGGGCCCTGGTAGAGACAGATTTTCCGCCCACGGAATGCCTAGTTACCACCCAGTTACCAACCAGTAGGAGCTTTCCATCATGAACTGGGTTTTGTCAGAGCCACCAAGTTATAAGGTCAGGTAGATCCAGAACTTATCCATTGTAATATGGAAGAATTTTATCTAGAATTGGCATGAGTAGGACCACAGGGCACAGGTAGGCTGCATGAGCTGGTAGCCCAGACCCCTATGACACCCACTACTGATCCAGCAGCACCTCCTTCCTCAGCTAACACCTGCGGAACCCTGGTGACCCCTCTAAGCAGCTGGTGGAGAAAGAAAAAGGCTAATCTTGGTTCTTAGCTCAGTGTGTGAATACAAGCTGCAAACAGACCCCTGCTGTGATATACAGTCCCACAGAGTCATGGCTTTGAAAGACAGTAGTTAGGGAAAAATTCTTCCCCATAGCCGACCTTCAGGTGGTGAATCTGGTAATTTACTCTGTATGGAAAAATAAGTGGGCTGACATAAGAATACATGTAGAGTCATGGGTAGTAGCAAATGGCTTGGCTGGTTGGTCAAGAGCCCTGGAAAAGGAACAGCTGGAAGACTGAAGACAAAGAGACCTGGGAAAGAGAGGATTATGGATGGGTCTATGAGAAGGCACAAGTGGGATGATCCTTGTATTACACAATAATGCCATTAGGGAGCAGTCATCATGGAAGAAGCAGTAAACAATCAAGTAGAAAGAATGACTCGGCCCGTTGATATGGGACTAATTTCTGTCATTGGTCATTGGGCTTGCACAATGGCCACATGAATGCAGCAAAGACCTGATAGCACAAACATTATGCATGGGCCCAGTAGCATGAACCCCTATTCCCTAAGACTTATCTAGTTCCTAGCACCACCAAATATCCAGCTTGCCAGCCACAGCGACCAATGTGTTAATCCCTAATGTGACTTCATACCAAAAGAAGGCTAACCATCCACTTGGGGGCAACTTGATTACACTGGATCCCTTCCATCTTGGAAAAGGTAGGGATTCAAATTGATAGGAATTCACATACTCTGGATTTAAGTTTGCCTTTCCTGGCCACAAGTCTTTAGCTAGCACTACTATCCAAGAGTTTACACCAATACTAGATCCCACACAATGTTGCATTGTAGTTAGGGAAGATGTAAGAGTTGAAATATGACCATGAGAGTGGAAATATGACCACGATAGAGCCACACTGGCTCTATCACTTATCCCAACAAAAAGAAAACTGCCAACTCGGTAGAGCAATAGAATGGCCCTTTGAAGATTCAGCTCGAGCACCAACTTGGGGATGATATCCTGGAAGAATAGGACATCCTTCTCCAGAACTCAGTGTAAACTCCAAAACAATGAAAATTGTATGTTTGTGCATCCCCAACAGGTGGAATACATGAGGTCAGGATCCAAAGGGTAGAAGCAGGAGCGGCCCCGCTTTCCATCCTTCCCACTGATCCATTTACAGAAGTAGTGCTTAGCATCCTGGTAACGCCAGGTGCTGTGCATCTAGAGGTTCTGAGTCCTGGACAAGGCACTCTTCCACCAGATAACTTGGCAAGAGTCCCATTATATTTTTAGCTACAGTTGTCATCTGTTCACTTAGGATTCTTATGCTGAGAATCTAGCAAGAAAGGAAAGGAGGAGATAGAGTTGTTGTTACATGATGGAGGCAGCCAGCTGATCCACTAGGGTACCCTTTGTCACTGGGGCCCTATCGTGAAAACAGAACGAATGCAACAGCCATGTCGAGAAGGGCATGGTGTCCAGAGCACCATACACTTTAGAGAGGAGGGCTTGGTCACTGCACCAGCTGAGCAGCTCAGACCAATAGAAGTGTCAGCCAAGGATAAGAAGCAAATAATGACATAAGAGTATATAGAGAATCGTGGGGAGTAGCAAATGGCCTGGCACTACAGAAAGCAGAGATGATGAGTAATAGATGTGACCCAAAGACCAGCTGCAGGGGTGGGATTGTGGTTTGTCCCAATGACACTCCTCTTATAAGTCTCCCCTGAAGAAAAGAAACAACCAAGATCCTGGAAGAGCTGCTTATAAAATTTATTATACGAAACAAGTAGTTCTACATAATGCAGGGGGCAGACTGTAGTGTTCTCTGTGTGCCACTAATTCCAGCTCCTGAGAGTCTTGGTGGCTGGCAGCTCTTAACTGAGTTCCCTCTTGAAAATTGTCCTTAGCTGAAGAGAACAGCCTTATTCAAGATTACATCTCCTCCCCAGGGGCAGCCACCATCCAATGACTGGTTGATGCACTGGGGATCTGGTGGTTTAAAGCCCCAAACTCCATGGCAGGACATTTCTGCAGAGCCATGCTAGCTCCAGCATGTACCATAGCATTTGTTGAGGCCTCTTCTGCAACTTTATGATGGTGCAACTTCTCCTTATGCCCAGTCTTGCTTTTCTGACTCTTCACAGCTGTTGCTCCTAAAAGCATCCCCCAGGGAACACTCTACACAAATTTCTGAGGCTCGGCATCTGATTTCTTGGAAACCTGACTTAGGATAAATACTTCTTTTAAAAGATGGATCTGTTTGTGTTGCCATATGTACACACACACACACACACACACACACACACATTCCAAAACCCTTCCTGTGTTCTGTTCCTCTGAGGACAAAGACCAAATGTCTTACCCTGGACCTTGGAGTCCTGTTTGGTCTGGCATCCACCAATATATCTCTGCAGCTCCTCTCCCCACACCACTTCCTTCCATGCTCTCTTTCCCACCTTGCACTGGCCTTCTTTGAGTTGCCTGGGTATGACAGGCTTTCTCCTGCCCCGGAGCCTTTGAACATTCTGATTCTTCTGTGTAGAAAGACCTCGTAATCTCTATTCTTTATCCAACCTTCAGACCAAATGTCTTCTTCAGAGAAGCCTTTGATCTTCCCCAGATTTGATCAGATTCTCTGTTATGTGGACTCATAACACTGTGTACTCTCATTCATAGCACTTACGAGTTTGAATTATTTGTTTGTGCCACTGGTGGATTAATGTCTATTTTGCTCACCATTATAGTTCTAGCATTTGTACCATGCCCCACTCCTAGCTGACAATAAATAGCTGTTAAATTAGTGACTAAGATGTTAATTCTCCTAACCCAGACTTAAACCCCTCAACACAAAAATACAGCCTTTTTCACCATACTCTGTCTTTTGTGGGTATTCTCCTTGCCTAGTGACTTAAAAGGTAGTTGCAGGGGCTAGGACACAGCAGGACCTCAATGAACCAGCCCTGAGTTTACATCTTAGGTAATTAACGCATCTATGTTTTCTCCTGTTAGACTGTGAGCTCCTTGAGAGAAGGCGTTCTCTCTTGCCTAAACCTCAAGCCAGGAGCTCAGCGAATGTTTATGGCTTTAAATCTTCAGGAAGTATGAATGTAAACATCTGGCTATTTTGAAGTGTGTAGGTGGTTTGGTTTTTACTTCTTCCAGAGAGTTTGCATCACACAGGCACACAAATTGCTAACATAGGGTGTTAGAGGTCCTAGGGTGCCAATCGGCTCATATTTACTAATCATAGTCTGTGCTCCATAGGACCAAGGAAGGAGTAGCTCTGAGGGAAGTGTGCCCCTGGTATTCGCCACTGTGCTAAATTCACAAGTGTGCCAGAGAGGTCTCAGAGCAGGAAAGCTGTCCAGTCACACAAATGCCGCAATGCACTCTAGTATAGGGCTGACAAGCTCAAATGCTTCTTAGGCTGAAGGTGAACAAGTGAGGGAGGATTTCGCCCAAAGCAGGCAGCAGGGACTTCACACTGGCTAGATGCTGCCATGCAAGATAGGAGCCCTGTGTTGCTAGATATTCTGATTTTTTCAAGAGAATCCAGAACTGGATTGCTGTGGAACTTGCCCAGCTTTATATTTGTCCTCAAGAAAGAAAGAAAGAAAGAGAGAGAGAGAGAGAGAGAGAAAGAAAGAAAGAAAGAAAGAAAGAAAGAAAGAAAGAAAGAAAGAAAGAAGGAAAGAAAGAAAGCAACAAAAGACATTGTGCTTTCCAAACAAAATACACCCAAACCAGAGCCAAGTTCATGGGAAGCTTTGGGTTGAAAGTCAGAATATGCAGTCTCTTCAAACTCACTGCAAGACCAGGCACGTCCCTAGAAAAGGTGTGCCTCAGTTTCCCCATCTGTCAACTGAGTCATTTGGGCCAGATATTCCAGCCGTCACATTGTGGGTATCCTTCTGGATGTGAGGTAGAAATCCTGCTCCCTGCCTGGCAATTCTCTCACCCCAAAACAAATCATTTTCATTTACAATTTGAAGCCAGTGACTAGAAAGGTATTTTGCCAGGATTTCCATTTCTTTCAAGGGCTAATTACAAAAGACAGGGGGGAAAGCTCTCACCATGCTCTCTTTCACATCTCATTACATTTATTCAGCTTTATTACTAATGCTTTGTTCATATAATTTTCACCCTGGGATCTACACTTTTGTGCAGTTACCCCAAGTCAGGGAACCCGCCTTAACTCCAGAGGTCTTCATCACCTCCTCTGGTGTTCTTAGGATTTTAAAGTGACAATCTTTGTGTTCAGAAAAGCTTTCTGAGCAGAGTGTTTTTCAAGAGCATGCTGTCCTGCCCAAGGATGAGGCTGCCATCTAAGGTGGTCCAAGGGACGCCTGGGGACTTGCTCCCACCATCACCAAGTCCCTGTCTCAATCCGGGATGCACAGACGCTCCTGGGGTGGCCTGCGTTTTGGAGGCTGCCCAGGAGGAGCCGGAGGAAATAGATGGCTTCCAGAGTCATCCTACCCCGAATCTGGACTAGAAGCTATCGTGTTCTCCTGAAACTGTCCAGCCCCTTCCACAGATCGTCACACACCTTCTCCAGCACACCACCCCCGGCCACCTCCACGTGTTAGTGGGCAAAGCCAAGGCTCTGATTTTGGAAGCTCGTCTCGGATTGCTTCACATGGATTCAGGAAACAAGTCCCAAAAGAAGCCAAAAGGAAAACTACAGGAAATGTGCACACCACTCACCATGAAATACCAACCCAAAGGACAAACTCGGTAATCCCACCAATGTTGTCCCAAACCCGTGATGGCTAGCAGCCGACAAATACCCGCAGACCTCAATCCATTTTTATTGTATTCAGGCCTCAGTGTTGTATTTCCTGCCTCCCCTTAGCACCACACATACAGTGTACTTGAAAACAAAAATCTATAATATTGATCCCGCAATGTCACCACAATTATTCTTTTGAAACAGCCATTGAAAACAAATTACATCTGCACTGCCTTTTCATCCGCCCGCTGCGAGTGAGCAATGCTCACTGCGGTCTCCAGCACTGTGGCGTTGGCACTGTGTCACCGCCGACAGGACAGCCCAGGGAAAGGTGGCTGGGGGGGGGGGGTTCAGAATGAAAACCAGAGCGAAGGGCCGATTTAGGAGGGCACAGGGTCTCTGCCTGGCCAGGCAGCTCAGGAGGGGTCTGGATCCAGGATGGCTGCAAACTCGGTCAATCTGAGAAATTCTAGGTCTTCATATAGGGCTACTGTCAGGGCACAAGGACTCCCCAGTAGACCAAATGCGGTAGTTGGGATGATTAAATCAACAAAGATTTAGCCAAGGCCTTTCGGATACTCGCTTTAAAATCTAATGACAGTAAGTGTTAATTGAAGCAACATGGTCGTCATCTGAGAGCTCGTAATTCTACCGACAAATTAAACCTCCTTAAATAGACCATTGAGCTCAAAGCAGGAGAGATGCCCATGGTCCTAGCTGTCTGCCACCCCCAATTCCAACTGACTTCAAGGTGACCCTCCTGAAGAAGGCCATGTTGTCCTTTTCTTCCAGCAAGCTGCATCTCCAGAGCATCCAGAGGTAGCAGAGACCTCACCAGTCGCCTGCCATCCTGCCACAGAGCTGAGGATTGGCACAAATGTGGTGCCCCAGACCCCAGCAAGATCCCTGATCCCAGCTGTAACACACCAGCCAGTTGCCCTGAGAATGTCTGTGGTTGGGGGCCTGCTTGTTTGTTTTAGATTGTCATACTTGGAAAAATTCTCTCTGTGCAATAATTAAATTCCATGCCACCGAGTGGTGGGCAAAGGGAAATTCTTTTGTTAAGGTTTGACCACACAAGTCACAGCGGTGGCTCTAGCAGCCGGGAAGTGATAACTTTGGAGCATTAAAAAAACCAATAGCCTTGTTGACATGGACATGGGAACCTAACCCCTGAAGCCTCCTGGTATGACGCATTGATTTTCCTGTCCGTGTACAGTTCTAAAGCCATCCATTCTGTATGGTCAGGACTCAAAGGGCCAGAGAGAGGGAAAAAATCTGTTCTTGCCGCTGTACCTCCAGGCAAAGTTGAGAAATAAATTCTACATTTTGAGAGATGATTTGTTCAAGCCATGTTTAAGAGAATATGATTGCATTAAAAAAGGGAAAAAATATTTTGTTACCCTGACCCCCGTAACCTGTAGCCACTGATCCTCATGCAAAATCTAGATGCCATGGACAGCACAGTGTAGAGGGAGGATGGTGGTGGAAGGGCTGAAGAGGGCGTCAGGAACTGGGGTGCTTTTTTTATAATTCTCCAAATAATATCACCAAGCTGCCGGATAATTTCTCAGATAATCCTAGCATGTCCACCTGTCATTGCTCCGACCCTCTGCTACTGTTGTTTTGCAAGAATGCTTCTCCTTTTTGTTCAAGGGTCCCTTGAGAAATTGCCACATTCCCTGCTTGCTTTCCAAGCCTCTCTTTTTTGCAGCTAAAACAGGCCAGGCAGCTCACTCTTCAGGGTCTGCCTGAGAGGCACCCCGACCTGCTGTCCCCATGCCATGGCAGCCAGACAGGACAAGGCTCCCCAGAGAGCCTTCCAGCCCCTCCTCCCTTCTTCTGTGCACCATGGAGTCCTCATTCAACATGTCTCTATGTGACCAAAACCCCTCCCTGTTCTCAGTAGTGATGGGGAGAGGGATGCTGGGTGAAGGAGAGAGAGAGAGCCCAGGCTATGGGGAAATTTGCTGAGACACCGCAGGGGATTCCATGTGCGGTTGGCTTCGCATGTTCAGTACTTTTTGAGTGTTTAGCTATTTTAGTTCCAAATAAAGAAACCTTCAGTGCCGGTCAGGAGGTAGAGCTCACAGAAGTAGAAGACTACTGTTTGAGCTGCAAATTTGCAGTGTCGTTCTGCAAAGTATTACATACATCATTTCCTGGTGCAGAGGAATATTGAGCTATTTCAGTGAAGCCAAAAAGGAAAGACCAAAATCATGCAATTTTCCTGACCTAGACAGAACTACGGACGGAATACAGAAATAGCAAATGCTAAAATGAATGTTCTTACAAGATCTGTCTATATAAACATAGAATCCACATATCCCAAGTGTATGCAATGTGAACTCAACATCAGCATGCATGCACACTAGTTAAAGTCATAAACCCAGTCACACAAAACATTCCTACCAGATGATTCCATCTTGCCAGACCTATAGGAGTATTCCTAAATTAGGTTGGTGTGAATGTGTTTGTATATTTATTATTAAAATACTTACTGTTCTGCCTTTTGAAGTAGATGGACAAATGATTTAGGAGTGTAAATAGACTAGAAACAAAATTAATGCAAATAATGTGTTGATTTTTTTTTAGCTTGATTAGCCAAGCCAATGGAAAATTCTAGAAAACGTATACAATTATTTTAACTGTCACAGGCTGGCAATTGTAATTGACATGATTTGTACGAGATGCAGTGTAATAACTGAATATATTAAAAAAAAATCTCATGCCTTGATTACCAGGAGAACATTACTAGTGCCACAATATTATTAACAACACAATTATCGTGGCATCCCCAGGATACGCTCTTAGCACTTCAATGCATTAGTGAACCTTTGCTAACGAAGAAAAAATTAAAGTACAGCAAATTTCAAAGCACCAGTTGTACCCAATATCATTAAAAATTTATAAAACTTCCCCTGAACATGACAAGTGTTTGGTTTAAATGAAGATCAGCCACAAGGAGAAAGCAGAAATCTTGTTATTCTTTGTCTCCTTTCTTAGCCTCCCTCTCTCCCTCTCTCTTTTCCCCAAACCTCCCCCAACCAGCACCACCTCAATCCAGCTGAAATATGTAACCATTACAGAGTGACAGCTTGACACACAATGACCCGTCAGAACATTCATCTCGCAATGTTTTATTTTAGTGAGGAGCCAAACTGCAGAAAAAATAAGCAAGTTGTTTCAAGGCTTGGAAGGAGATCAAACATTTCTGGCATCCCCACTTACCAGACCTTTGATTTACAATGGACTTGTCAGAGCCCGATTAGACAGTGTGTGCTTAAAAACCTACAGAGGCTCCTCCATGCCCCAGCCCACCACCATTTCCCCCACCAACAGCATGCCTTTGTTCCCCGGAACCAGCAAGGCAGGCTAAACAGAGACTTTGCACCCTTGCAAGAGGACCAGGGACCACGTAAAAGCCAAATAGGCTGCAATTAAATTCTTCTTGCCAAGGTGAAAAAAGAAAGAGAGGGTCAGAGATGTGGGGGAGACAGGCACAGAGAGAGGCAAGAGAAAGGAGAGAAAAAGAGAGGATGAGAGGAGAGAAAAGGGATGAAGGGAGAGGAGAAGGTACAAGCTGAGTTCCTTCTGCTAGTCTCTTTACCTCTCCTTCCAAGTCAAAAGTTATCATCTTCCCCAAAAAAAAAAAAAAAAATACCCTGCCATTCCTACCACCAGTGAGCTTTCTCAACCTTATTCAAACGAGAACACTCAGCTTACAAAAAAAATGAATTGGACCAAAAGTGCAGGTGTGTAAAATATGTTCACGGTATTACGATTTTTGCTAGTAATTACAACTATGAAAATGGCTGGAAATATATTGTTTCAATTTGTATGGAGAACAATTGCAGGGAGAGAGAGAGCAGTGTGATCTGTGCCTGGCATTGGAATGTATAATTCCTTAACCCTATATGGCAGCATGGGGCTTGCTGGAGCAAATTATGAATACATGTGTTTGGAGAGTCTGAATAGTAAATTTGGGTTTTGCACATCCATAACAATGCAATCTGACAAGTGTGATTTATGGAATATTAAGTTAATACAGTATTATGAAATTAGCTTAATGTACTAAAGCTGTAATTTTAAAGTGAAAAACAATGCAACCAGATGTAAACAATATCAACATTAGCATTTTGTGAAAGCTGAAACCAACTCACTCAAAATGCGTCTGTAGAGTCATGGAGTTACCTCGCCCAACCAGGCCCAAGTTGTTGAAAGTTTCAGACACCAGAATAAAATTCCCTACTCAGTAGGTACAGCTGCTTTCTCTCCACCCAAAGCCTGCTGTGCCCGCTGCAATATTATTAACCACACCACCCCCACCCCTTGGGGGAAATCATCAGAAATTATTCTGAGCTCTTCAGACTAGAGGAACTGGTGATAACTCTGCAGGCTGAGCTCAAAGGGCCTCCCTCCTGGCACTGCCTGCCTCACCCACAATAACCCTGGAGTTGAACTCTGAGGAGAAAGAGCTTGGTGCCAGATGCAATCCCAGGAACTCAGGGTTTCAAGCCTGCAATGAAAGGAACTCCAAGGCCAAGCAAACCGTGTCGATGTAAAACAGCAAATCTAGCAGCGTAGTCCTAAGACTCCTCAGAGGGGAGGCCTACCAAAGCCACAGAGACTTATGACATAAAAGAGAACTAGAAACCTTTGGGCTACATCAGGATAAGCCATCCTGAAGCGCAGTGTGGCTGCGTGCGGGCCAGCCCAAGATGACAGAAACCGGTGAGCATGCACACAGTGGGCTTCCCCTGGGCTCTGCTATCAAGGACTACAGGCCAAGGGGATGGATTTGGGCCAGATGAAGGTTCCCCACTGTCCCCTAACCCTCTCCCCAATCCCATTTCACCTCTCATCTCCCAAGGACAGAGGATTTATTGGAACAGTGCCTCCACCGCAGACAGATGTCTGAAACTCCAGGACAGAAGGGAATGTTATGGTGCTTGAACAGTGTGAAGAACCCATTAGAAAATATTTCCTTGGCTGTCTTTGCTTTCAATCGAGATTGCTAGAAATGTCATAGATTTAAATGAGTGGATATGTCTGGAACCCAAACATGGCCACCCTTGGGCGCCATTTTCCTTCCCTGACCCAAGCATGCTACCCCTTGGAGAGCAACAGGGTTGTAACCCAAACACAGATCTCCGCAGATCCTTGAGGAAATAAGATTAAAGCACTGTTCCTGGGTTCCACTGGACATAAGGGCCTGGTCATCACAGTTTACTCAGATTCCCAAGACTTAGGATTAAATAAAGACCTCTAGGAACAGAGAGGCAAAACCATACATATTGGTTCCTGCCATATTGTTGAATATTAAGCTTATTTGATGAAAGACAGGATTCCTGTCTGGGACCAAAACCAGATTCATTTCTCTAGGAAGATATCTCATATGAAATACCTTATGGACTTCCTTGGCAAAGGTCAGACCCCAAATCCCATGCTGTGGTGACCTCCACTTCAGAGAAGGCCCAGTGCATATACACACTGATAAACACTGATGTTCGAGTAAGTATATCCACATTAGATTTTTACAGCATTTTCTTTTTAAGATTCCCTGTGTATGGCTTAATGTGGTAATCAGGATTATTTCATTTATCTAGCATGTCACAGTGCCTTCCTATACCCATGGTAAAAATAAGAGCATTCTATTTAAAATAAAGGAAAAGTATATGTCAAAGTTAGAGATGAAACAGTTGCCGGAGTCCACACTGGAGAAAATCAATTCACAAATCTTGCAGCGAGGTTCTGTGCCTCTCCTGCCTTGCAAAGGCGCCCGGCTGTTTTCTGCTGTTTATTGGGTTTTGTTTTTAAGATGCCCTGCATTTATAACAGGAGCTAGAGAACCGAGAGCTGAAAGCCAATACTAATGTTTTAATTCCATCAAGTATGTTTCAATTCCTATTTTGCATTTTGCATTAGGCACCCGGACTCAGTCAATACTTCACAGCACCGTGGCTTGCAGCCGGGCACAGGGGCTTCACCTAAGCTGACAAATGATTATGCTTCACAACGTGAGGATAAACAGGGCTTAGAGTCAGAAGCCTGCTCATTGCTCTTTCCTGCTACAAAGAACAAATACATTGTCTAGTCACAATATGTTTATTTAAAGAGACCACCGTGTAAGTTGCTTCTTCATGTGACTTCCTTTTCAGGAAGCCACCTTTCTTCCTCCAAAATTATTAATCTCCAAAAATAACATAATCCTCCATGGGACAGTGAGATGTTCTACCTCAGTGTTACAACCCAGGAAATGGAGACATAGATGGTTAGTGTCCTACCACCTCTGTGAGTCCTCACTCCAGTCCGAGGAGTTAGTCAACTCTCTCTTTTCTCAGCTGAAGAATGACACTGTGGGCAGCTTTCTTGATTCTGAAAGATAAAGATGCTACAAACTTAAAAAAATAAAATAAAATAAGTATACGTCTGCTCCAAGCTCAAATTGCTATTTTTGGTCCCCTCCTTAAACCAGGAAATGTTCGGTATCTTAGCCTCTATTTTTTTCTGCATTTATAAATCCAAATATTTTAACTAGAAAAAAGGGGTTGGGTAGTAACAAACTCTGACACAAAGGGTCGTCATTAAAGGTCCTCTAAATTCAAACTAATATAACTTTTAAAAAATTACACAAATAAACTCAATAAAAACTATACACAATACACAAATAAAAAGTGTGGGGATGGGGGTGTGTGTGTGCACGGGGGCGTGCATGAAACAGATGGGCTTCTCGAATTCTCTTTATTCTAATAAGACTTATGAAATAAAATCAGAATAGATGCTTTATCTCTAAAAAGCAGTTTTTTGATAAACCTCAAAATCAGTCCTCATGTTCCTACTTGCGTCACACAGTATCAGACCAGACCTTGCTAATTTCTCTGGAGGAGTCAATGATTCAACTCCAGGACTGACAGTTGTATAAGTAGAATCTTTCTGAAAATCTGCCTCTCAATTGCAGTCACAGGAGTAAACTGGTTTACTTGTTCTAAGAACAGTGGAGCAACATCTGTAGCTCAGAGGTGAGAAGCGATGGAAAGAAAAATACCCTAAGATGGGCTAAATGTCCCCAGACCCGAACCTTAAGGCCTTTCTCTCCCGGCAGGTACATGGCCCCACTCTCGCCCCACTTAGCAAATTATGTATAAATGAATTACCTTCCTGGGCTGGTTCCCTCTGAATTACTCCTTGGCTTCTGAGTGGTTTTCCATCAGGACGAACCTTTTCCTCTCCCTTATGCACCAGCAAACATACTGATACAATTTAAAGGTCATGTTCTTTTCAAACTGACAGAGCCCTCCAAAGTTTTGACGAGAGGCCCTCCAAACCTCACACCCTACAGGCGGAAAGGAATTAAGTAAAGCATCACTTGCTGGAGGCTCAATCATGTGAAATGATTAGAAAACGCATCCATGGAGAAGGGGGCTTCTCGAGGTGACTGGCTGCTCATCCCGAAAGGAGATGTCACACCGCGAGGCAGAGTCCCTGCCACTGGGGGTACCCCAGGAGGGTCAATGAAGATATAATTACTTTCCCACAAGAAGTCTCTTCTTTTCCCAGTCCCCAGTGGATGTCACTTAATTAGCCTCGCCTTTTTTATTTGATGATAGTCCACCTTTCCCCCCACACCCCAAGACTGAATTAATACTATCATTTCTTAGGCTTAGAAGGACTTTTACTTGATAACTACGGAAGCACCGAGAGGATGGATTCTGCATAAATGTGCGTTGTGTGTAGACATTGACATGTTTATTTACAGGTGTATTTGTATTACCAGGAGGATAGACGGTTCGTGGTGTCTTTTTCTCTTTCTTTTTTCTATTTTTTTTCTGTCTTTGGGACAAAAAGAGGATGACTGAAATGGCACCATGTTGTTGATGGCATGAGCAGATGCTGCCTTCTGGGAATCCAACCATGGCACTGGACATTCTTCTGATATCATTATTATTATTATTATTTGACATTTTTGCTTTGATTACTTTGTTCATCTTAAAACTGCCAAGGTTCACCTGAGATGTGACACTTGCTTGAAGGTCCGAGAATCACCAGATGCTCTGTCTTAAACTGTGTACATGCAATGACATTACCTGTCACAGAAAAGGGAACCTTGATGAAAACCCCAGACAGAAATGCAATGGGTGGCTCACACGCCCCCTAACCCTGCTGCAGAGTTCCAGGCAAGGCCCTTTGTCTCGGGTTCTCCTTCCTGCCTGGCTTCTCCTGATTGATCTGAGCATCCCTCCTCAAGAGAAGCCCTCTGTAACTCTAGGATTTATCTTTGGGCTGAAAAAAATGATGCTACCTCAAAACACTTATACACCAAGAACTGAAATAATTTAGCCCATGGAAAACAAAATAAAATCCTTGTTTTGTCATGATTTCACATGCATCCTTAAAGTCAGCCCAGGGCTTGTTAAGTTTTTACTGGAATGACTTTGCTTTGAAACTTCCCTCCTGCTTTAATTGACGGATGCACACAAGACCACAGCCTTGGTTGGCCCTGTCATGGAAAGCTGGGGCTGTGATCCTGGAATTCAGTCATCAAGTAGTTTTTTGGCATTGTTCTTCTGTTGACTTCGCCTCTCCCTGTATCACACCAGTTGTCTTTCCAAAAGGAAGTGTCCCTTTCCTTCCCTCTGCAAAAGACACAAGCTGCTCTCACCCACTTCCTCCAGCCATCGGCACCTCTGTTTTCAGACCAGCCCTCATGACCCCAGTTAGAGGTGCACAGCTGTTCCTGCCAGCCCTTCCTCCCAGCCTCCTTCCTACAGATGCCACCATGACTGTCACACCTTTAAGGTCTGTGTGTCCTGTGAATACAGGTCTAACTTGCGGGACACAGAGAGGACTTTGTTGAGCAGGTGGTCCTTAAGTTCAAAATCTGAATTAAGGCATGTACAGCAGCACAGTCATGGGAACCTTGTTCAGAAACCATAAAAAATCCACGGATGTTCTCGTGGAGACCACACTTCATGCTGTTAAAACTTGACCATCCAAATATTTCCTATCACACCTTTGCGTGGTCTTATTGTGTGAGTGGAGGAGTGGGGGCAAGGCAGTCAATTAAATGTGGATCAAATAATCAATCACCATTGACTGGGCACCTTTTGTTGCCCAGCACTCTAGCTATTGGCTGGAAATGCTAAAATAAGATCCTGTCCCACTCTCAAGGAGTTCTCCATGTGACCAATAGAGAGCCACCTAAACAAACCATTAATTGAGTGCTCCTCCTGAACCTGCCACAGCTTAATAGAAATTGACAAGGACCCCATGAGAATCTCGAGGAAAAGCAGCAAAGATTTTGGCCCCTCTATTTTAACTGGGTCTCTTTTTTAAGTGACTGCTGCACTGAGTCACTAATTCAGTAGAACGCTGTGACAAATGCTAGGACCAACGCAATCCAGACCTAGACCTCTATCTGCTTTCCTCCTAGAAAGAGGAGTTTCACCTTAAAGCAGGAGGGAAGGTGTTTCACACAAGTGGGCTCTTTGCAAACTTGCTAAATCAGTCTTCCTCCATTTCTGGAGGAAAAAATCTGCACGGCTGCTCACAAATGCCAGAAAGGGAAAGAATCCAAGACCTTGAAATAGCTGAGGCTCTTTCCTTCATTTAAAACTTTTGTTCCTGGAAGAAGTTGAAGGATGTTTTATAAATGTTTTAAATGCATCGTTCAAAGGCAAAGCTCCTTCCTTCTCTGGGGAGGTGACCCTTCTGTTCTCTCTGCTGATGTCAGGCCTGAGCTGTGACCTAGAGGGACAGCAGGGCTGGTGACGTCTTTTTACCTCCACACCCACGAAATGGCGCTCTGTCAACTGGGGGAAGAGGAACAGGGCTGTGGTTGTTTAAGGGGTCTTAAGAAGACAAACCCAGGCCACAGAGTTTCTACGTTTTAAACCTTTCACTGCACTTTTCCTTATTGTCCACATCTGCCTTTTAAAATACTTTTCATGGAAATTTTATCTAGCTGTTTTCATGACAGGCAAACCCACCGTGCAACAGCCAAATCTGAACTAAGCATTTGAGGAAAAACGTTCTCAGTTGTGTCAACGGAGAAATGATGAAATGAACACCAGATCATGTTAGTACAGCCCGTCTGTCTGACCGACACTGACAGCCCCATCTCTTGAACACTTAATGTGTACAAGGCCTGTTTAAGCCAAGAGGAAAGAACTCACAGGGGTAGACCCGGCCTTGAAAGGGGTTTCATTGAGTGGGGCTACACTGGGGATGTGTCTGTACCTTGGACAACGCTTGGCTGTGGCTCTGACACCCAGCATGTTTCCTGTGACCAAGCAAAGTGCTAGGGGCTGTTTATTTCACCTGCATGCAGATAGCCCGCCCGGACACCACCCCAAAAGGATGAGCACACCCTGAGACCAGCCATGTCTAGAGGCCAACAGGAAAGGGTCATCAGAAACCCACTGTTCTGGTGCTTCAGGATAAATCTTGCCTATTTCTTCAAAGATAGAGCATCATCGAACTGGATGATATTTTCTTCTCCTTTGCAAAAGCAATAAAAGCTGCCGGTCTGGGCTGTGTATCCTGCCTGTGCTGCTAACAAGACACATTCCTTTTTGTTCATGGCGAGTCATGTAAGTTTCTGTCTTATGTCACAATTTCTGACAAGTGCTTGAGCACAAAAACAGTATCTTGGCACCAAGAAAATGACCATCACTTAAAAAGATGAAACTCCCAAGGACACCAAAAGGGTAAGATTTCATGGGAGATATGCAATAGGAAAGCCAGCCCCTCCCATGTCCAGAAGACCATCCCTACAAATCATGTCAGAATCATTCTGCTCTTATCAAACTTCAAGGCAGCCACTGCTGCAAAACTTCCCTGGTTCAAACCAACCACTTGGCCCAGAGTTGATGTTTAACACTTCTACACATCTCATGGTTAGCTTATTGGGAAAGCCTGACTTGGTACAGCCCTGTTCTTTTTTCCACTTTTTAATTATTCTAATTCCTTGTTTTTCTTCTAGGTCCCTTAGAAGACTGATTTCTCAGCCAAGCATGGTGGCTCATGCCTGTAATCCCAGCACTTTTGGGAGGCTGAGGTGGGTGGATCATCTGAGGTCAGGAGTTCGAGACCAGCCTGGCCAATATGGTGAAATCCTGTCTCTACTAAAAATACAAAAAATTAGCCAGGTGCGCTGGCACGCTCCTGTCATCCCAGCTACTGGGGAGGCTGAGGCAGGAGAATCGCTTGAGTCCGGGAGGTGGAGGTTACAGTGAGCCAAGATCACACCATTGTACTCCAGCCTGGCCAACAAGAGCAAAACTCCGTCTCAAAAAAAAAAGAAAAGAAAAGAAAACTGATTTCTCAGTTCAGGCTATCTCTTCTCTCTGTTTGTAACACAAAAGACTTATGCCTCTGAAGGACGTTGTAGAGAGAATATTGCGATGGGAAACATACAACTTTGAATTTCATTACATCACAAACTTCCTTCTCAAAAATATAACACCAGTTAGTTTAATAAAACATGGCATCTACGGACATACTTATCATGCAGAGGTGCAATAAGAAACAATCATATTAACTGAAAACCATGGCTTATTTATGTATTAAAGTATATTATGTACATCTGCACCCAAGGCCTCTCCGACTCATTGCCAGATGGAAATGGGGAACATGGTGCCAGCCTTCACCCTACACTGGGAAGTTCTTTTCCCTGGGCGAATGTATCCCTTCTGCCTACCTGCTCACATTCCAGGACTCCTGCCAGTTTACCTACACCCATCTGGACTTAGTGACAACATGAAATCCAGGCTGGGGTATAGCAGAGCCCTCCCTGCTCTGTTCCTGGCCTTTGCATTTTCGAGGGTGCTGGGAACTTATCAGTCTAAAATCTATGATGATTTTATCATAGTCACTAGAAGGATCCAAGAGGAAGTGAAAGCTGAAAGGAAAGCACAAGTAAAATTCTCACTCCAACACCTGACCCAGAAAGCCTTTGGGTTTTGAGGGGTGAGCATGAGGGGGTTGCTGGTTCACCTAAGACCCTCTCCATTCACCATCACGTCCCTCGGTCTCCCCCGATGGAGCTGTTTCTGAGTCTTACAAGGCAAATATTAATTTGGAAGTCAAGGTCCTATTTGCAAAAGAACAGACAGACATTCTGAGATCAAGTTCAGACTTAATATACTGAGTCTTGGTGGTGTTGTCTGCTGACAGGATACACTGTCTTTAATATCTCTGCTTAAAATATTACCAACAGGCTGGGCATGGAGACGTGGAGTTTGAGACCAGCCCTGAGCAACATGGGGAAACCCCACCTTTACCATAAATTCAAAAAAAAAAATTTGGACAGGCATGGTGGCATGCACCTGTAGTCCCAGCTACTCGGGAGGCTGAGATGGGAGGATCACTTGAGCCTGAGAGGTTGAGGCTACAATGAGCCAAGATTGTGCCAATGCAGTCCAGCCTGAGTGACAGAGTGAGACCCTATCTCGAATATATATATATATATATATATATATATATATTCCAACAACTTAAATAAATAAGACCTAGTATTTGCTAGCACAACAGGGTGACAATAGTAAAAAATAATTATTTGTTTAAAAATAACTAAGAGTATAATCTAACTGTCTGAAACACAAAGGATAAATACTTGAGGGGATAGATACCATGTTTACCCGGATGTATTACACATAGCATGCCTGTATCAAAATATTTCATGTACCCCATAAATACATACACATACTATGTATCCACAAAAATTAAAAACTGAAAAAAATTAAATTAAAAAAAATTACCAACAATCAGATTAGGTCATCTTCTGCTCTGGCTGAGCTATACCCAAGATAGATAAAACTTCAAGGCTTCAGAGATTCAGGAAGTGCAGGCAGCTTTGTGGAGAGGCAGGGCCGTGTCACCCAACCATGCCTACTAATCAAGAGCCCTGACTCCCACCAGCCCATCCTCCCTGTTCCACTGCAACACCTAACTCAGAAGACATGGCCCACTAAACTGGGCAAAACCTAGGTGCACATCTGCACCCAGGCCTCTCCCACCCGTCGCCAGATGAACACAGGGCACACGGAGCTGGTCTTCACCCTACACTGGGAAGTTCTGTATCCCTGGAGGAATACATCCCTCCTGCCTTCCTGCTCACGTTCCAGGACCCCTGCCAGTTTACACACACCCAGCTGGATGCAGTGATGACAGAAAATTCAGGCTGGGCTGTGGCAGAGCCCTCCTACTCTGTTCCTGCAGGGGAACATGGCATAGACCCCCACGACGAGCAGAGCCAGCTTCCAGCCTGCACAGACTCCAAGCCTTTTATAAAATCAAAATGAGCCTCCCTTAAATAAGGGAAGCAAGGGAGGGGATTTCAGCTCTTCCTTTCCCAGAGGGCTGGAGCCGATGGCCTCGATGACAGCCTAGGCATTCAGTTGGCTTCGCCTGGAGGAAGAGGGAGGCAAACGTGCCTGAATGATTCTCCCCAGGAAAGGGAGAGAGTAGGACAACTTGGGGAAAAAACGTTCCTGCAGGGCTGCAAAAATCAGGGAGAGGCGGCAGGGCAAGGAGACAGGCGTATGTATGTCTGTGTCTTTCAGCTAGGCAGCTCAATCTCAGGTTATTTTATTTGACAAATAAAACTAAACTGCATATTTATGGACTAATGATGTGAGATATTGCTCTTTTATTCGTATCCACTGCTGTTTAAAGACCAACTGTAAATATTCCTGGGACTTTTTGCAAGTTG
Organism: Homo sapiens; assembly: GCF_000001405.40. Lineage (NCBI taxonomy): Eukaryota > Metazoa > Chordata > Mammalia > Primates > Hominidae > Homo > Homo sapiens. The sequence goes on from NC_000019.10 coordinate 31,973,261, forward strand.
GTGTGACTTAGGTAGGCAGCCCAGAGCACAACCTTGCAGCCCCATTGACAATAGCGGCACTGCCTCAAGGTCAAGGTCAAGATCAGGACGTCACCTCCTTTAGCAAAGTCAGCTACTCATTGGGAGCATTTCCTCTCAAAAGCCACAGATTCACGTATCCTTTCAGCAACACTCATGCCTGGCTCTGTGCTGGCCTGGGGCTTTCAGAGCCATCTGGAGGATGCTGGGCCCTAGTCCTGCTGGTCAAACACCATGAGGCGTCAGTGTTGGGGGCAGGAGATGATGGAGTGTGATGACCCTACCCCCAGAACGGGGATAACTCCCCACTCCTCTGTCCTTCGCCATGGGCCAGTGAGAAGCCATCATGCAGAAGGGCAGTTTGTTGGTTGAAGGCATACAGTGGCAAACATAATGTGTTCTCTGTCATTTGATTTAACCACTCCTGCCATCAAAAATAGGACAGGGAGAAGGAAGCCAGGTCACCTTGTCTTTGGAGGAAAGAAAGAGTTCTGGGAAATAGTAAGACAAGTTACAGGGAGGGTCTCCATGGGTCCATGCATCTTGCCCAGAGGACAGTGGGCTGGTGGGTGGGAGTGGGCAGAGGAGAAGGCCGACCCTCAAACCCAGCAGAGTCAAGGCAGCTACTAGGAGAGCACAGTGTTCTCAGACTTCAAGGGTTGCTAAAGGTGCTGCCTCCCAGCTCTCTGCAGGCCTGGGTGGTCAGAGCAGGCTGTGTGCTCAGAACAGGTAGGGCCAGCAAAATAAATGCTGCATGGTTGACCCCCGTGCCACCTTTATGGGCTGGGGCTGACACTGGGGGGTCCCTACTGAGGACAAGCTCAGTTTAGGGGAAATCCCAGCCAGACAACCACCTGGTAAATAGGAATAGCCCTTATGTGGGCTTAGAGAAGACACAGATGAGCATCATTCAAATGGAACCTCTCCCCTGCTGAAATCCCACCAAGGCTAAGGGCCTGCTCAGGGAGTCAGGCATATGTTGGTGGGGACAGAGGGCTTCATACAGCATTAATCTGTAAGAAGCTGCCTTCACAGCAGCTCCTGCTCAAGCATTAATTCATTTTTACTTCCCGTGGTGATAAAGACACACCTCACCATTGGCTTTTCTAATGACAGATGTCGTCCCACGGCCCTGCTGTGGTCCTCAAAGATTTGGTGCCCACAGCCAGGGATATTGCTCCCGCCTCTAGCCTTCTCCCTTTGCTCACCAGTCTGAGTCATCTCTTACCCAGCTGCTCACCCAAAACTAAAAATAACTGGGCAAATGCCTAAAACTGCTCCCACCCTAACCCAGGGCTCCTCCAAAGATCTAGAAGAAAGGTAGGAAGCCCAGCTTTGGCCTCCATCTCCAGCCTGCTGCTGGCTTAGAGGAAGATGCCTGAGTACATTCCATGCACCAAGTACTGAGGGGCTACAGAGATGGACATAGCATGGCCTCGGAACTCAGAAACACCACGCAAAGCCACAGAAGTGCTGCAAAGAGGGTGTTTTGTCCAACAGAGTCACGTGGGAGAGAAATGGATCCTGCCAGGGAAACTGAGAAGGCTTCATGCAAGAGGAGGTATTTCAGAGGAGCAAAACGTCAGTAGACAAAGAACAAGGAGGGTTTCTCAGGGAGGGGAGCTGTGCAAGCCAAGCTGCAGGCACAGAAGGAAGCTGCAGTCTGTGAACTCTCCATGAGAGACTGGGGTGAGAATAAAATCCAGTGCAGCTCCAGGTGGAAGACCCTGCCTGGCCCAGCTCTGCTGGCCTCCCAGACTCATTTTCAACCATGGGCCTCTGTGTCCTCTAAGCTTCTCTCAAGCTTCCTCCTCTCACCTTAGGGCCTTTGCAGATTCTCCCACTCTCAGCAGTCCTCCCACTCCGGGCCTTCCCTTGGTCGGCTCCCCCGGACTTTCAACATTCAACTCAAAGACCTCAGTAGAGCTGACCATCATGTTCATCTGAGGGATTTTCTTCATAGCACTTCCTGCTCTCTGAAATTATCTTGTGTTTGTTTGCATGGTCAGCATCTTCCCTAAAGTATATAACCTCCGTGAAAGATACCTTGCCTGTTTTGTTCAGAATCTTCAGAGGCTGGGACAATGTCCACTCACAGGAAACCCTCAGTGGCCATCTAAATACCTGATGAGTGCATGAGGGCAGGAGGGAGTGAAGGAGGGAAGGAAGGAATGGCTAACATAAGGTCCGTCAAGGGGCAGGGAGGGAAAACAGAAGGAAAGGCAAATGAGCCTCTTTGTGGACTTGGTGCTGGGCACTGGAATTTGTATCTGCATGGCCTCTCTGGGAGTTTGTAAAAGCAGTCTGAGAAACTCAGGGAGGTGGAAACTGGCCAGGGCAAAGCTGATGGGCTCTGTGCAGAAATCACTGATCAGCCAGGCATGGTGGTTCACGGCTGTAATCCCAGCACTTTGAGAGGCCAAGGGGGGAGGGTCACTTAAGGTCAGGCATTAAAGACCAGCATGGCCAACATGGCAAAACATCATCTCTACTAAAAATACAAAAATTAGCCAAGTGTAGTGGCATGTGCCTGTAATCCCAGCTACTCGAGAGGTTGAGGTAGGAGAATCACTTGAACCCGGGAGGTGGAGGTTGCAGTGAGTCAAGATCACGGCACTGCACTCCAGCCTGGGCAATGGAGTGACTCCATCTCAAAACAAAAAGAAGAAAGAAAAGAAACCACTGATAATTTTCCACTTTGGGATGGGGTAAGCCACAGTAGTTGAGACTTCCTGACCTACACAGAGAGGCCACTGAGATTCTGGAGCCGGGCAGTTGATGAAGTTGAAAAGAAATTTGCTCTCTGTGTCAGTCGATTTGCATTGTTATAAAGGAATACCTGAGGCTGGGTAATCTATAAAGAAAAGAGGTTTATTTGGCTTATGGTTCTGCAGGCTACTCAAGCACAGCACCAGCGTCTGCTCGGCTTCTTCTGGGGAGGCCTCAGGAAGTTTTCCTAGTGGCAGAAAGCAAGCGGGGAGCTGGCGTGTCACGTAGGGAGAGAGGGAGCAAGACAGCAAGGAGGAGATGTCAGTTTCTTTAACAACCAGATCTCCCATGAACTCATTACTGCAGGGTGGGCACCAAGCCATTCATGAGGAATCCACCCCCCATGACCCAAACACCCTCCACCAGGCCCCACCTCCAACATTGGAGATCACATTCTGACATGAGATTTGGAGGGGGGAAAAAACATCCAAGCCATATCAACCTCACTCCATCACAAGTGCTTGCAGGATGCTCTACCTAGCATTCCTATGGGAGTCTTCTCCAGGCCTCCAGGTGCCAGATCCTTCTGGAAAACAGGCTCTGGAAAGAGGCTGTGTTGGCTTCCCAGAGCAGGCTGCAGCACAGCCCAGCCACGGCACCAACCCCACTGCACGTGGGAAGTGCTAGTTCCCAGCGTGACCCAGCTCAGACTCACAGCCCCATCAGAACTGGCACATACCCCAAATCCATGTGAGAACCCAGTGATAGATTCCCCAGTTCATATGAGAGCTTCCAGTAGACTCTGGAAAGTCCGGGCCCTCCAGAGAAGGGTGATGTCAAGGATGCAGAGGAGGACACAGGGAGAGAAGCCACAGGTCTGTGTTCAAGCTACTGAGGACCCAGTGGGCAAGAGAGAGGTTCCCTTGTGCCTTAGGAGTGAGAATTTCCAGGCCACCTGTGGATGAGTTCACAGCTTACAGGAATACCTGTTGGGTAAAGAGTCTGCAATTACTCACACTTCTCAGCCACTCTGAGAAACTTTTAACCACAAGACCTTTGAGTTTGAGTTTAAACACTTTCAAGCTTTTTTGCAATGTTGGGCAAGACAGAACCTTCCAGTGACCTACTGTCTTAATCTGAAAATACTGAGGCTGTCACCCTTTTATGTCTTTGGACTGTTGAGAGAATGAATGAGGTCAGTGTGCACCTATACCAGGGGCTCAGAAATTCTTGACCCCCAGTTTGTGGTCATTGAGTACTCATATCCCTTCTCCCGAATATCTTTTGTGCCTCTCTTGCAATGTCCTGTCCGAGAAAAACCCAGCGAGCCCTTGTGTCCAATGGCTGAGTCCAGTTGAACATCCTCAAGCACCCTCATGACCCACGCTAGCTGAAAGTCGAAGCCACTCCCTGTGACCACCACTCACCCTCTGCCCTCTGGCCCTGGTCCCCTCTGACCACCACTGCCCCATGACTTTTTTCCTTCTCTCTCTGCATTTTTACCCTGATGAAATTATTTGCCTATTTCTTCTTCATCCCAGAAGAGTGGGTGTTGGAGCTTTGCAAAGTTTGCATTATAAGAAACCAATATTCGGGGCCACAGAACATCAGAGGTTTGGCCCACATGACAACATAGAAAATTCCCACCCACCAGGTTTCCTGCAGCTGCTCCCCTCCTGCAAGGAATTTGCCAAGGGATGTCGGCTATAGAAAGAGCATTCCAGAACCACGATGATCAAAGTTTCATTGGACCCAAGGGCACAAGGTGGAGTGGGAAGGGAAGGTCCTCTGCAGAACTCTTTGTATTTGGAAAGAAGAAACCACCAGGCAAGACTCCCGGCATCCTCCCAGCCAGGGAGAGGCTGAGGCTTGGGGAAGTTGGGTGTTTCCCTGAGGAAGTAAAAGATGAAGCGTTTGTGTTTTGTTTGAATTGATAATGATGTCAGTTTCAGTTATGGGCTCATTACAACAGACTTGGGACGTATTAACAGCTCTTTAATTGAATTTGGAAATAAGAAGGAGGGTTTTGAATGGTCTTATAAATAGTGGATGTGCCGGCCTCTGCAGCAACCGTCTTCAACATTAAACAGGGAGAGAGGAGACAGGGGATCCCCCAACGTCAGCCATTTCTTATCCTCCACAGGGTCCCCACATGCCCACTGTGAGACAATTGTTATCATTCCTGAGCTGAGCTTGTGGGTGCTAAGGAAGGCATTCGGACCAGGAAGCCCAAATTTGGACCCAGAGAGTAAAAACAGGGCTGGTGAGATGTGGAGATGCAACCTTTTATCTTCTCTTTTTTTATTTATTTTTATTTTATTTTATTTTATTTTAGAGATGGAGTTTCACTCTTGTTGCCCAGGCTGGAGTGCAATGGCACGATCTCGGATCACCGCAACCTCCGCCTCCCAGGTTCAAGCAATTCTCCTGCTTCAGCCTCCCAAGTAGCTGGGATTACAGGCACGTGCCACCACACCCGGCTAATTTTGTATTTTTAGTACAGATGGGGTTTCTCCATGTTGCTCAGGCTGGTCTCGAACTCCCGACCTCAGGTGATCCACCTGCCTTGGCCTCCCAAAGTGCTGGGATTACAGGCGTGAGCCACTGCACCTAGCCTATCTTCTCTTCTAAATCAGCAATGCAAGATAAACTGCTGACTGTCCAGCCCCCAGCCCCCTCCTATAATCTCCACAGGGCCCAAGGCACACGGTGATGGGATGGCCTGCTTTCCTATCAGCCAGGGGCCCTGGCCACCTCCTCTAGGAATCCTGGGTGCCTGCCCCAGGCCCTGAGAAAGGAAATCTAGACAATCCTTTGTAGAGTGAACAAGAGGATGACCTACCACCTTTGGGCTTTCCCTTTTGCCTTTTCTGTTTCCCTCACCCTTTCCTCCCTTCCACCTGCTTTCTCCACCACACGCTCTCATATCAACCCCTATGCAGCCTCTTCCAGAAAAATCCATGTTAATTATCCAGGATACATCCTTCTTTATTTACTCCATGACTATATAACCACATACAAATATGCATATTTACTCATACTTGCATGCATACATATAGACACACATATACATCACGTCCATATGCATTACCTGTCTGAGGGGAGGGGAGAGAGTTGACAGATTTTGCAAATAAAAACACAGGACATCCAGTTACGTTTGAATTTCAGATAAACAACACACAGCTTTTAAGTCATTTCTAGATTATTTCTTGTTTATCTGAAATTCAAATGTATTGAGTGTCTTCTATTTTATCTGGCAACCCCGGGAAGAAGGTGGCTTTATTTTTTTGTAAAATCTGATCACAGTATTCACACATGCACTCTTGAGATCCCATAGCTATCTTTCCAGGTCAACAGGCAGTGCCCTAGTGCATTCTTTTTAATGGATGCATAATATTCCATGTTGTGGTTATTCCTCAATTTCTGGATAATGCCCACTACGTTTGGTTAACTGTACTGCAGTGTTGCTCACCGTCAACAAAAGGAACGGAAGACAATATGGCTGGCTCTGTCATGCCTCCTTAAATTAGCTGTCATGGCAAAGTCAGACCAGAAGTCACAGCAAGAGAACACATCACTCAGAACAGCCAGCCCCAGGAGAGCCTGTGGCTGCATCAAGCACCCTGAGCGGGGAGGAGGGATGACAAAAAGAACTGTGAAATGCCCCTTTCCAACAAGGAACATAACAATGGAAACAGAGAGATGCCTCTGACTCCAGGCTGGAAATATGCTCAAATGTAGAAATTCAGACCAACTCGTTTGCCAAAACCCACACCAGCATAATTATTTTGCTCAGCTCCCCCCACCCCACCCCAAACTCCTTCTTTCATCAGTCATATCTTTAACTTCATCCTTGTTGCTGAAAACACAAAAATAAAAAATACATAGCAGCTCTGTTGACATTACAGCAACAGCATAAGCCTCATTTTACCAACCATTTAACTCTCTCTAAGGACCCCGTTCAGAGACACGGGCACGTTGATGGGAGCTGTACAAAGGTCAGTGATTTGGAGGCTCTTTTCGACAATTTGCCAGGATTTTGGCATTTGTAAGCATCCATAGGACAGCTCTCTAGCAAGCTGACCTTGACAGCGAATGGGATAAATAAACCTTCAATTTACCCCCTCCAGCTCTCCGCGAGCTGGGCCAGTCCCCACGGAGCCTTCACCTGTCCATATCGTTCAACTGCCTGCAACTTCCAACTGACGAACATCCACAGCTCCGCGGCCCAGTGACAAACACCATCTAACAGATAAGCCTTCTGAAAAGTCAAAGCCAATACTGCTTCCATTGAAAATTTAATGCCAGCTCCATCTTTGCCCATCATTCTTCCGACTGTTCCATGTTTCCCAAGAGGCCCTTGAAGCTAAAGCACTGCTCTATAACAGGTAATGACGTAGCATTTAATGATACTGTCCAAAGTGATCCCGGTCTTTGGGAAGTAATGTGCACTCATGTACCAGATAAGCACCGCCAAACGTACTGAGCCGCCATATCTTTCACGGCCCTGTCACCAGATACAATGTGACACATCCCCGGCCATCCTACCTGCTACTCCTCCGACCCCGCCATCAGACAAATTGTGCGTTTTCAGAGCAGAGCTCCAAAGCGTTAAGTGAATTCAGGCAAAGGTAGGATGGTAACATAGCCTTAATTAAGTATTCACAGCCTCTTTAATACTTCAGTGCTCTTGGATTCGCTACTAAAATCTGTGAATTATACCTCATTGAAAAATGTCCTTAATCGACTCTGACATGTTTTATTGGAGGCAGAAAAAATGTTTCAGTATGATAGATAAGGTTAAAAATGTTACTACTCTGATCATTTACTCTAGTGCCTTGCAAAAGAACTCCAAAGCCAAAAACCATTTACATCATTCATCGGATGCAATGGAGAAAAAAAGCCTTATCTGACAGCCCATTTTAGCTGATGGGACAAAGTGCACATTTTCAATTTTCTGACAAAGTTATGTTGTTTATGTAGATAAGGGTAAAAACAACTGTAACATTTCTACAGCATGCCATGAGGGCTGGAAATGTGGCTTCAAATGTGAAGTATCTCCAAGCCACACGGAGCGCCACGCAACCAACAAAAAGCCACTCTTTGGGCATCAGACGAAAACAGTGCATGGAGCACCCTCCATCTCAGGAGCAGCTGAGAGGAGCAGCAGAGGGTTTTCAAACAGCCCCAGAGCTCTGCTGAGATGTGTCACCTGACAACCCTATAAGTACCAAAAGTTTCATCCCAGCTTTAGCCCCATTAATTTGCAGTGGGAAACGCAGAAACCATCAATTGAGAGACCTTCTACAGGGGTGTCCAATCTTTTGGCTTCCTGGGCCACACTGGAAGAAGAAAAATTGTCTTGGGCCATACATAAAATACACTAACACTAATGATAGCTGATGAGCTAAAAAATAAAAATTAAAAAAATCACAAAACAATCTCATAATGTTTTAAGAAACTTTACAGATTTATGCTGGGCCGCATGTGGCCATGTGGCCTACAGGCCTCGAGCTGGACAAGCTTGCTCTAGATGTTGGTTGTTCATTGGAAACACTGAGTCTTGCTGTTTTCTCTGTACTCTGAATAATATGGCTAACCCTGGAGGTAGAGATTCACACTCCAAGGCCTCCACATGCCCTTCTGTGGAAGGGGCTCAGGCAGTTGAACCTGGGTATACCCTGGGCAGTGACCCACACATCCTGTTACATCTTCCTCAAGAGGCCATTCACATGCCACCTCCTCGCAGACCACACATGCTCCCCTATGCAGACTCATCACTGTCTCATTAAGGTGGTAGAGGCCCTCGGCATAGCATGGAGGCTATCAGGCCAGGTCCTAACCTAGACAGCCAGGAACAAATCTTTGGTCCAAAGCTAGATGGCTACATGATCTTGGGCAGGTGACTTAATATCCCTGTGTCACTGGGTCCTGATCCATAAGAGGGAGAGGATGGCAAGGGCTGAAGTGCAGATCTGCCAAGGCAGCACCCATGATGCCCTCCTCCCAGGGGTTGGCACATGGGTGGTGTTCAGGTAATGTCAGTTTCAACTCTTGCTACTGAGGGCAGATTCGACCTCGCATACCGGCTGCTCCAAAACATGTCACTAACGCTCCACTGGTATTTTCTAAAAGTCAGTCTTTCTTAGGCCAGTTATAGACAGGATTGTTTTCCAAGTAGCCTCCTGCCCTTTGGGATTGAAATTCATTATAAACCTGGCAGACACTCACCTGCTCAGTCCATGCTGGGGAAAAGAATCTTAGCAGAAGTTTCCTAATTAAAGCTACCAGAGTCAGATAAAGCCAGGAAAATGGTTACAGGTTAAACGATGGGATTAAACAGTGAAGAGTGCCAGAGCGGAGGAAGAACTACAAAGAAACTGCAATGATGCTTCTTCCAATGTGTTGTCCAGGATGTCCAGTGAATGTCCTCCACCTCTGAGCCATATGGCCAAAGTTACGTGGCTGAGTAGGGCTCATGGACGTGTTTCATCTGACAGGTACAGAGTACACGTGTTTTTTTAAATGTTCCTTTCATTGTTGTTACAGAGCCTTCCTTGACCACTGTGCCCAACCTTAACAAGCCAGCATTTCTCTATGTGTGTGTGTGTGTGTGTGTGTCAGAGTTTCTCTCTTGTTGCCCAGGCTGGAGTGCAGTCGCATGATCTCAGCTCACTGCAACCTCCACCTCCCGGGTTCAAGCGATTCTTCTGCCTCAGCCTCCCGAGTAGCTGGGACTACAGGTGCCCGCTACCACACCTGGCTAATTTTTTGTATTTTTAGTAGAGACGGGGTTTCACCATGTTGGCCAGGCTGGTCTCGAACTCCTGACCTCAGGTGATCTGCCCACCTTGGCCTCCCAAAGTGCTGTGATTACAGGCATGAGCCACTGCGCCCAGCACAAGGGAGCATTTCTATAGAATTTAAGTGGCATCTTCTAGAGTTGTGAGGCACTGCCTGGTATTAACACCATTTATAAACTAGTAACCAACATCTAAAATTAGGAAATGCAACAGGAAAACACACTGTCTTATGAAAACAAAAATCCCAGGATTTTTGTAGGCCTACCTCCTACTTCTATGAGAAGTGGGAAGGACATTCTAACTACCTGGCCGGTACACATGGATATTATGAAAGTCATGGGAACCATGAGGAACTCCTCAGACTGGATCCTGGGACAGAAAAGGGGCATGAGTGGGAAAACGGGTGAAATCTGGAGTTCAGTAATAATAATAATAGAACAATGTTGTTTCTTAGTTTTGACAAATGTACCCTGGGAATAGAAGTTTCTAATGTTAGGGGAACTCAGTGAGAGGTACATTGGAACATTCTGTATTCTCTTTGCAACTTCTCTGTAAATCTAAAATTACTTCAAAATAAAACATTTATTTTTTTAAGAAAGTGAGAAGTTCTAAACCGAAAGGAATGTGTGCTTTTGAGACATGCTTCACGTCACTCAACGCTTTTGGTGCCTGGAGCCTGGAGGCATTTGAATTTAGGACTTCTCTCTCTCCCCGTGAAAGATTATCTGCAAACACCCCAAGTGATATTATATCCATATTTTCTTCCATGGGGATCTCTGACCATCATGATCAAGCCGACTCCCTTGCCTTGATTTGGGGTCTATGTGATGGGAGGGAAAAAGGTTCAAGTCAGGGAACGTCCTGTTTTCTGGGGCTACTATTTCCCACACCCACCACTGAGCAGAAGGAAGGACATTGAGCACTACACCTGATCAGTGGAGTGTCTTTGACCCTCTGACAGCTCTTGCATCGACCACAGCTGCTTGCAGGGCTGTTCTCAGTGGCAGTCCCCATAGCCACCAGGCTGCACAGCCCCAGCTGAGCAAGGCTCTTCTACCTGCACCTGCCTGGGAGCAGAGCTGCTAGGACCCCTGGAGAAAGGCAGGGGGCAGGCAGCTGGTGGAGGGCAGAGAGAGATGTTGTTGATGGTTTTCCAATTCTCATCTGGAGGTCTTGTTAAAACCTCACCCCCAGAGTCTCTCACTCAGTTGGTTCGGGGTGAAACCCAGGAATTTGCATTTCTTACACTTTCCAAGTGATGCTGAGCCACTGTCCTGGGGTGGCACTTGCAGAACCACTGCTGTACACAATTGAATCCTTGCCTAATGTATGGATATCTTGTTCTTATTGTTTCCAGGGAATGCCTCAGTACAGCAAAAGCTGTCAAGGCATGCTGAGGTCTCCACGAAGGGAGTGGTTTGGCCTGTTCCAATGGGTAGTAGTACTGCCTTGCCACACAGGCAGTCCAGTGGTTAAGGGGACCAGATTAGGAGCCACCCAGCCCCTAGTTTGAATCCTGACATCACTGCTCACTAGCTGTGAGACCCTTCATCACTGTGAGACCCTTCATCACTGTGAGACCCTTCATTGCTGTGAGTTGCGTACCCTCTCTGGGGCTTGTTCTCCTCATGTGCAGATTGTACATAATAAATCTGTCTCTGCAGGGTAGTCAGCCTACATGCTGAGAGCACCTTGGCCGGATCTTCACTCAGGACCATTCCTCTGGACTGCAGATTCCTATGCCACTTCTTACCAAAGTAACAAGCATTGCACACTTGAATCTGTAAAGCTTAATTCCTACCACTTTCCTCCTCCAAACCTTCTTCTTCCACAGTCTTTCTCATCCCTCAGTCTTCCTTATCTCAGTTACAGGCAATTCATCCATCTGGTTGCTCAGCTCAAAATTACTGAGATCCTTCCACCAGCCAGTCTAAACCCTATGGTCTCAACACGCAATGTCCTAACCATCTCTCTACCTACAGAGCCTCTCAAGCTTCCAGCTCCAGTTGCACTGGACACCCTCACAGCCCTTCTGCAGAGCTGGGAATGGCCAAATCCTGCAGGCCCACTCATGTCCCTGCAAGAATCCTGATGTTGGGAGAGAAAGCATGCATGTTCCCTCCTTTGCTGCTCCCCAAACGAAAGGCCACCTGCAGCCTTATATTTGCAAGAAACTCATGCTGAGCATCTGAGCCTAGGAAGACACAGAGTCCTGTCCTCCAACAGCCAGCTCTCAGGCCTTCTCGAACCTCTCCCTTCCCTGCCAGATGTGACCTTGTACTCTGGATGCCTGTGGTTTGGCTTTCTCCTCCTCACAAACATGGATGCTGTCCTTCTAGCAGAGGGATTGATGTGTTTATGCATGTATCATACCTTCCCCTCTGAGGATGGGGGCATGCCTTGCCCAAAGCACCCAGCCAGGGCTGAGCACAGGGACTCAACTAGGAGGATTTTTGCTGACTGATAAGTCCCCACTGGACAGGTCTGAGGGTTCTCCCCAAACCATGCACTCTGGCAGTGGGCTAGTCTGACCACCTCCCCCGCCGTGTGTGTGAGACCCGCTGGTGGGCACTGTACACAGCATGGACGTGGAAGACAAGCCTGGAAGTGATGACTCTGCTGGAGTGAGCAGCACCACAACACAGAGCAGATCGCTGGAGGGAAAGATCACCTGGGGCGGCACTCCAGGGTGGAGTCAGGTGAGGGGCTAGAATTTCAGCAGCTCTTGGGGGAGGGGAGGGCATCATCAGACACAGATGGTAATGGGGGAAAGAGGAAGAGAAGGGGGACAGGGGTGGGAGAGAGAGATCCACATAAGGAAGGCAGGAGGGCAGGAAAGGGCAGTGGTATGTTCATGGAGTGGATTTCCATCCTGTGTGACTGCAGCTCAGGACAAGCTGGGCACTGGGGACAGTGATGGTGGCAGGAGTGGGAGCTACAAGTCAGAAGTTCCCTGGCTTCCTCCCTAGGAGGACATGGAGTTTTGGAGGCACACAGACAGCCCCGGAAGGCAAAAGTGTTCATCAAGCAACCTCTGACTCAAGGATATCCCTGGACCACACCCCTGGGAGTGAGTGCACCAGGGAGTCACATTAATCCCATAAACCCTGTTGTTGTCCTGTGACTGGCACCATTCATGCATGGCAGTTTTATACATTAAAAATGTCTATGTTTTGGAGCCAAGTGAAGTGGCTCATGCCTGTAATCTCAGTGATTCAGGAGGCCAAGGCAGGAGGATTGCTTGAGGCCAGGAGTTGAAGACCAGCCTGGGCAACATAGTGAGACCCCCATTGCTACATAAAAATGATTTTTAAATTAGCCAAGCATAATGGTGCATGCCTGTAGTACCAGCTACTTGGTGGGAGGCTGAAGCAGGAGGATTGCTTGAGCCCAGGAGTTTGAGGCTGTGGTGAGCTATGATTGCACCACTGCACTCCAGCTTGGGCAACAGAGCCAGACTCTGTCCTCTTTAAAAAAAAAAAAAAAAAAAGTCCATTTTTGAAAAGGCAATCATCTCAATAATGCCTCAGTATTTTGATAGTCTCCTGTTTTAAAATGATTATTACTGTTTAAACTTACATGAAGCCTCTGATCCTAACCCAGTAGATGGTCACCTCTAGCCAGAGCCCAAATGCTCATGTTTGAAGCTCGGGTTTGCCCTTACCTGTGGATGCTGGATGCCTTCTGTACCTCATTGTCCTCATCTGTAAAGTGGGGATAATAATAATAATAGTGTCCACCTCACAGGGGTTCACAGAAGTTCAATGAATCAATAAGCATAAATTGCTGCCCATAGACCCGGGTACATGGCAAACACGCATGAATGTTAAGGAGGAACCCCCAGCAGGAGAAGGCCGTGGGAAACAACTCCAGAAACAGTGGACAGAGGTGGGGGGATGTGCATGTAACGGAGCGCCTCAGGAGTCTCCAAGCAGGAGCAACCACATGGGGACTGTATCTCATGGGGGCTGCATCGCTGGAGGGTCAAATTAGGTCACAGAGGGCCCAGGGGCTGGCTCTGAAGCTCCAGCCATATCACACACTTGAGCTGCACCCTGGGGCTAATGGCAGAGCTGTCGATGGGAAGCTGGTAAGGCAGGGGACCCCAGGAATCAGCCCACGACCTGCCATGTTGGTCCCAGTACACCTCCCAGCTCTCCACAGCTCCCCCAAGCAGGGCTTCAGGTTTCTACCCACAGACCTGGCTTTGATGGAGCCTGCATTTTGTTTTGTTTCAGAAATACTATAGTAAAATGAGTGTATCTTTCTGGTTATTAATTTTCTGATTTTTTTCTATTTTGCTTATTTATCTAAATGGAAGATGTTATATTTCCCAACCAGCTGCTATATGAAGTGTGAGAAACAATTGGAAATCTAGCTCAGAGTAGCTGAAACTGTATCAGTTGGAGTTGAAACAAACATCTTTTCCCCACTCAGGAAAGAAAATGAGACAAAGCAAGGAAGAGAGGAAAAAAAGAGAGAGAGAACAGAAAGAGAGGAGGTGGGAAGGGAGGGAAGAAAGGGGAAGAGGAACCCAGTTCGATTATGTTTTGTTTATTGCTGCATTACTCAGGTGATTGCTTACTTAAGTCCGACTGCCAGGCTGAGCTTCCAATCCCAGTTCTTTCCTGTGTTCATAAGGCTCAGCTAGCAAGCAGTGTTTTGCCCCCCATAGCTTCTGTAGATCTGGCTACAGTTAAATGGTGCAGATGGAAGTGTGAATGGAGGGTGAGCCCCGAGAGCCATTTGGGGCTAACTGAGGTGGAAGAAGATGGGGCTCAGAGCTCGGTCAGGGTCGGGTTAGGGTGGCTTGCTATTAGTGCTGAGAATGGAAATTCCTCAGAGTATTCAGAGCAGTTGGCTTTAGCCTCTGCACTGGCCACTGGCTTGTGATCCCGACTCACATCAAGGTACGGGCCAGGTTTGATCCTCCTGGACAGAGAAGAAATGAAAAAGTACTTCCCTTTTGTCCTTAAGCACCTGTTCCCACTCACCGGGTCAGGCAAATGGTGCTTTAGAAATATGCCTTATTTAATGAAACTTCTCCACCTTCATCTCTCAGATGAGAAGTCTGGGGCTCTGGTGCCCAGACAAAGAAAAACACAAGGCCATTCAAAGAACATTCTTGATGACACTAATTCCTGCTCTAAATACTGCTGTGATGGTAAATTTTATGTGCCAATTTGACTGGGCCCCAGGGTGCCCAGATATTTGGTCAAACATTATTCTGGGTGTGTCCACAGGGGTGTTTCTGGATCAGATTCGCATTTAAACAGGTAGACTGAGTAAAGCAGATGACCCTCCCCGACGTGGGTGGGGCCTCATCCAATTCATTGAAGGCCAGAATTAAAAACAAAAGGCTGACGTCCCCCAGGTAAGAGAGAATGCTCCCTGCCTGCCAGCCTTCAAACTGGAATATCAGCTCTTTGTGGTTTCACAACAGCCTGCTGGCCTTCAGACTCAACCTGAGATGTTGATTCTGTAGGTTTTGGACTTGTCAGCCTCCATAATCACATGAGTCAATTCCTTATAAGAAATCTATCTGTCTGCCCAACCATCTATCTATCTATCTATCTATCCATCCATCCATCCGTCTATCCATCCATCTAGCTATCCATCTATCTATATCCATCCATCCATCCATCTATCCATCCATCCATCCATTCATCTATTAATCTATCTATCCATCCATCCATCTATCCATTCATCTATCTATCCATCGATCTATTTATCTATTTAATCTATCATCCACCTATCATCTATTTATTATCTACTTATCTATATCTAGCATTCATCTCTTGCTATCTAACTATACCTATCATCTATCTATATCTACCATCTATTTCTCTACCTATTATCTATCTGTATCTATCACTTATCTATCTACCCATTCATCTGATAGGTTCTTATTCTCTGGAGAACTCTGACTAATACAACTGCTGCCCTGAAAAATCACAGCCTGAACCTTAGTATCAGTCTGCTGCAAACTTGCCAGAAGGATTGAGAGAGGCTTAGATCCAGGCATTCTCAAAACACCATCCTCTAAACAAAGTCTTTCAAACCAGAGGACTCTCATCCATGGGAGGCCAGGTGGAGGCGTGGCACCTGGAGCCAGGAGAGAGGCACAGGATGAAGCCACAGGGCAAAAGAAGTGGGTCTTCCTACAGTTCACTTTGTGTGACATAATGAAGCTCAAACATTAACTTTTACATAAATCAGACATAGATAGCAATAAATAGAATTCAAATTTTGCATGACTTAAAAATCAATCACGAGATGATAGAGAAACTTCACAATTGCAGTAGGCTGTGGACTCTGCCTTCAAGATTTCTTTTCCCCTGCAGTGACTTGGACTAGCTGTTTGTTTCTCATTTCCTATCCATGGGGAAATACCTGACCATCAAGGGAAGAGCCCTCGGCCATGAGGGGCTTGATGGGTTGGCTGTCTCTCCGACCACCTTTTACATCCTGAGTCAAATTCACATGTTGGGGGACAAAAACCTGGGGCATGAACTTGACCTCCAAATTTAAAAGTCCCCTCCTCTGCCCTGTTTGTGACAAGTGGCCTGTCCCCACCCATCCCAGTGCTCAATAACCACAACTTTCCTCCAGAGAGGACATCTCAATGAAACAGATCCAGAAAGCCCATCTGGACCTTAAGGGGAGGCCCCCAGGGTTTCCTCTTCTCCTGACTTAGCCTTTCCCTGTGGAACCCCCCCATGCTTCCAGGTAGCACATAGAGCCTCCTTGCACCTCACCTGCCCCCAGCCTCTGAACACAAAGCAGAAACTCAAGCTTGTTCATCTAGGCAAAGGGAAAGGCAGCTCCCATAGTTGAACCACTCTGGTCTCAAAGGCTAAGTATTTCACACCTTTCCTGAGGTTTTTGTTAGGTAGGGGCCATGTGCTCTGCAGGAGCCAGCACTGTGCTGCATGGACTTGGCTGGGACAATGAATTCTTCCGACTTCTTCAGGAGCTAGGCGGGATATCAATCAGGAGGAAAGAAGCACCAGAGGCTGATTCACAGGCACAGGTCTCTTCATTGGCTGGAGGGTGGCCCATGGCCACCACGACATGCAGAGGCCTCTTTATTTAACCTTGCTTGTTTCACTGCACACACACATAAGCACAGACACATGCACACACACACACAAGCATACACATGCAAGCACAGCTCTACATCACTCCTCCAAAACTTTTCAGGGTTGCCCAAGCCCGGTTCACTGGAGAATTCCTTTCTCTGGAACTCTCCACTTGCCATATGGAGCTATGCAAATTAAAGTGACCACATAGCTGCAGTCTCTGTTCAGACCTGCATTCCCACCCCCACTTCCTCTTCCCTCCATCAAGTCTTCTTTCCTTCTGTGGCTACTGCTTTCTCTCCTACTGTCATGACAGGGATGGCCATACAGGGACAGAGAAAGAGGTTAAGACTGAATCCAGGAGACCTGGGCTCTCCTTCCAGTGCCAGCACTGATTAGGAATCACAAACCCTCCTTGCACTTGTCTCCTCACTGCCTCCGTGGACTTGACATTGGTTTTCCTGCCACCTATTTCGCTAGGAGATCAGAAGAATTAATGGGCACTTTGTCATCCATGAGTCTAAAGATTATTGGAGTTAACTGCATTCTCTGTGGCAAGCAACACGCTGGCTCCTTGCCGTGTTCCTGCAGCTTTCTGGACTCAGTGCTGTCCATTGGTGACACTGAGGCACTACCCCTCTCCTCCATTCTCCCCTCTAACACAGGGACTAGAAACCTGGAAACTACATTTTCTGGAACCTCATGGAATGGACCAATGAGGGAGACAGTTGCCCAGTATTTAATGGACAGGAGCCATATCGTTTTTCCTGGGGCAGCAATGGTAGATCCACAGGCTCTGCAGGATGAACTTGATTTACAGCCTGCAAAGTTCCCAGCTATGTGCTACAGGCAACTGTAGTCATTGCTGGTGGCTTGCAGCAAAGTCTGGAGTCTCTGAAATCCAGTGGCATATCTGAGAACTTCAGCCAGTTCCTTGACCTTCACTCCTCCAAACTTTCAAATGGTTTTGGAAGCATTACATTGTCTACGTGAAATCCCTTTCTACTTGAGATATTCACAATGAGTTCTGGGCATGTCCTGTGCTTGTGTATGTACATTTGTGTTTTCCTCTCTGATACACTTAGTCCTGAAAAAAATACCAAGCATCACTTGTGTATTTAACTCAACGTCTGAAATGTTGGCTTACATGGAAATATCCGATAACATTGGCATAAAACAAGGTATGGCTGTCAATTGAGGACTCTTAGCTCTGTGAGGGAATGACAAGGTTAGTCGGAGAAGGCCTCAGTATTTTCAATCACAAGCTTTCCGAAACATGTTTCAGTGCTGTCCCATTTCACACATTATATTACATTGTCCTTGGAAAATAAATCTCTTTTATTTTTGTATAAATTAAATTCCTCTGTAATCAGTTCCAAGTAACTAGCTAAACCATTGGTTGTCCTATAACTTTGTAGTGTTAAATATCACTGACAAATACATTTAACCCTCAGAGAGTCTGAAAGCTTGTGTTAAAGGGATCATTTAATCTGACCGTAGCCACAATAAGGGGTTTGAGTTGGTTTCCTCGTGGCCTCCCAGATGGTGCTGGGACTGCATCAAGGCTGGTACCCAGTGCCCTCCAGAATATTCTGTTCCACCTGCTCTCTGGCCTTGAGGCTAAATGAGCCATTTTTCTGTTTTCAACAGACTTGATTTTGTCCCCTTCTTTTAACTGATGGCCACAGTGCTTTTCTTTAAAAACAGAGGGGGATTCTCTCTTTGAGATCATCAGGAACTAGCCAAGCTGTTTGAATGCAGAGAAATGAGGACCAAAGGGAAAACAGCTTAATGCCACAGAGAGGTATCTGGGCACTGAAGTGTGCCAAGCACACTGTGTGAAGATGCTGGGCACCCAGCAGTGAGCAAGAGCTTGGTTTGCACTGGAGACACTGGGGACTCCAAAGTGGAGGAGGAGAGACAGGGGCAAGAATTGAAAAGCTTCCTATCAGGTACTATGTTCAGTATTTGGGTGATGGGTTCAATAGAAACTCAAACTTCAGCATCATGTAATATATTGTGGAACAAACCTGCACATGGACCCCTGAATCTAAAATACAAAATAAGTAAATCAATAAAAGTTTAAAAAATCCTTTCACTTCTGCCATGCACCACATCACATTCACAGGTCTCACCCACACCAAGGAAGGGGGTCAGGCTGGGCGTGTACACCAGGGAGCAGGAATGTTGGGAACCACATAACGCATTGTCCTGATGGAACTTCCATTTCAACCAGGGAGATACACTCTGCATGTAACTGGAAGGGCGGCAGGCAGGCGCAGAAGAGCGGGCACTGTGGGAGGGCATCTGGCTCCATCCCCATAGCAGTAGGGCCTGGCCCAGTGCAGGGCCCCCATCGCCTGCCTCCCTAAAGTGCAGCTCAGCCTCTTCTCTGCTCACAGAGGCATCTCACACATTTGTGACAACTGGCACTGGCTTATTCATCATCTCAGATAGCAACTCTCTGTTTTCTCAGACACCCACTTTAATACTCTGACATTTCTGTTCAGCCCATAACATTCTGTCAATTGTTTACGTCTCGCTCTTGCACCAATCGCCTTTTCTGCCGTGCTGTCGGCCCTCCCAGGCCCTGGTACGTGCTGCTTAGCAAAAGGGTGGGTGTCACCCTCTCGCCGTCCACACCACTGGATTTCCAAAGAAGTGTGCTGCATCCCAAGCCGCCAATCATCTCCCAAGGCACTCACAGGATGCTCCTGTCTCACGGTAGATGCTGCCTACAGAAAGGCAGTTTGTTGGGCTCTGTTCACCCACAGGAGCCTAAGCAGGGACTCCCATTCTGCCCCTCTCCAGTTCATAACCAAAAGGCCTGTTGCCAGAACCTGCAAGAGGGCAGAATTGCACTCCTTTCCATCTACCCCATGTCTGGCCCATCAATAGGACCTGCTGTCCATCATCTGGCCACCCATCCTGGCTCCCCTCCCTCAGTCTGGACCCCACCCTACCCCATTCACCCCTGCAGGCACTCAGCCTTTATCCAGACCACACACGGCATAGTCGTCTTAAAACATAGTGTGCACCACTGCCCTGGGGACACCCTGTAAGGGGCTTCCCACTGCCCTAAGGATGGAATCCAAACTTCCCTCCATGGTCTACAAGGCCAGCGTTATCTACCCACTGCTCCCCTCCCCTCCCTGACCATCTCAACCCCTCACACATGCCAGGTCAGGCCACTCTCCTAAGTGAAGGAATGCAGGTTGTATTTCAGGTCCTCTGCCTCCTTTCCATGTCAGGGTTGGGGCATGTGCCATTCCCCTCACATGGACTGCTCCCTCCCACCCCTATGGGAAAAGGAGAAATTCTGTAATTAGTGGTGTTGGGACAAATGAACAAGCATTTGGGGGAAAAAAACAATAAAAACAATGTTTGGTTCCTACATGGCTCCTACCTGTCCTGCAGGCTTTGACTTAAACATTAGTTTCTGGAATAGAAATATCCCATATTGATTCTTTGCCTCACATACTTGTTAGAATTTTCAAGCATTGGATGAATTTGTCTGTTTACCTTTTCTTCCTGTCTGCATGACAACCTGCAAGTCTCAGCAAGGCAAAAACTAGGCCTTGTTGCTCACCATTGAATCCCTAAGCAACGCATTGCCTAACGTAGGGCACAAGCTCAATAAACATCTGTGGGATGCAGGAATTAATGAATCAATAAACACTAACTCTGCAGTATGGACAATGGGAGCCCACTCTATGGTTTAAAATGTGAAAGGGCAGGGGAAAGGATCTTGTCATACCCTATATTAGAAGGCATTCTGAGGCATAATAATTAAAACAATGTGGCATTTCTAAGAAAGAGTGAATACAAGGCCAGGCGCAGTAGCTCATGCCTGTAATCCCAGCAATTTGGGAGGCCGCGGAGAGCAGACCACCTGAGGTCAAGAGTTCGAGACCAGCCTGACCAACATGGTGAAATCCTGTCTCTACAAAAATAAAAAAATTTGTCATATTAGGGTGTGGTGGCACACACCTGTAGTCCCAGCTACTCAGGAGGCCAAGGCATGAGAATTGCTTGAACCTGGGAAGCAGAAGTTGCAGTGAGCCTAGACTGCACCACTGCACTCCAGCCTCAGCAACAGAGTGAGATTCCATCTCAAATAAATAAATAAATATAAAAGTAAAAAATAGAAAGTGTGAATAAAAAATTAATCAATGGAACAGAATAAAAAGTGAAGTAAGAAAACATATCACTCAAACATTAAAAATGTTGCTTTCCAAATCAACAGGAAAATAAATTATTCAAAAGATTGGTATGGACAACTAGCTAACAACAAGAAGAAAAAGTGAGCTACAGTCTTGCCTCGTTACAATGAAATAAATAACTGTGAAATGACTAAACATTTGAATGGAAAAATTAAACCATTGCACTATAATATAAAATTTCTTTTAATTACAGTGTAATCTTGGAATGAAGAAATCCTAAGTATAAAACTAAGGGCAGAGCCATAGAGAAAACTTTGATCTCTTCAACGAGGTAAAAATGAAAAACTCAAACTTAAAAACTGTTGTTGTGGTAGCAGGATTTTCAGCCATGGTGGAGAGAAGAGATCAGCAACCCTTCTCCCCATAAAACAAGTAAAAATTGGACAAAACTATCAAAAACAAACACTAAGAGCTCTGGAAATTGACTGTCTCTGTCCATTGGGCTGCTATAACAAAGTAACACAGACTAAGTGGCTTACAAACAACCTAAATTTATATCAGTTCTGGAGGCTGGGAATCTGGGATTGGGGTGCCAGCAAGGTCGAGTTCTGGTAAGGGCTCTTTTCCAGGGTGTAGACTGCCAACTTCTCTTTGTGACCTCACATGGCAGAAAGAGAGTCAGAGAGCTTTCTGGGCTCTATATATAAGGGCTCTAATCCCATTCATGAGGGCTCCCCCCCTCCCAAAGTCTCCACCTCCAAATACCATCACAATGGGATTAGGGTTTGAACATATAAATTTTGGGGAGACACAAACTTTTTCCATAACATTGACCCAAAGCAAACAATAAACTGGAGGCATTTATTCATGAAAACTGCAAGAATTTTGAGTAAGAACAGTAGGATTTGGTGATCTTCTTGCCTAGGGCTGCTCCCTTCTCTTCCCCAGCTAAATTGGCATGGTATTTTTTTTAGGACAAGTCTGGCTGGAAAAACAGCATCTTCACTGCCAAAGGGAGCTGATCTGTTTTGGAGTGAAGAGCAAACCTGTAGTTGGTTGTGTTGTCTTTAAAAGTTGCAAACTCAGAAGAAAATTAAGGAGGAAAACCCACAACCCTGCTAATGTAAAGTTGCAGTCCCAGTTGGGGCAAATGGGGTGAATGGATAACCAGAAATTTAATGCGAATATCCTGGAAGAGCTAACTAAGCTATCCACACATCTTGGGTTTTATCTCTACCTAGAGAGCCTCTAGCATGTGCAGGGAATACTCAAGAGGGCCCAGAAGAAAGTAAAACTAAATCTTAAGGCAGATTTGAAAACTGCCTGAACATGGGGTACAAGCTACAACCCATACACAAATCAATCAGCAGAGTGTGGAAGCACTGAGCATCTTCCAATGACTGACTGACTACTAATCTATGCAGACACAGGGGCAACTCTTAGGAAGTCAGGCTAAAAATAAAAATAAAAATAAGAATTTAAGAAACTAAACAGATGTATCAACCACACATGCTTAGAAGACAGATTTCATGTATTAAGTCCAGGCAAGTTACTTTTTTTAATGCTTAGGGGAAATTTTACAATCCAGAGTTTGCATAAAATATTATTTTAAATGTCCAGTTTTCAACAAAAAATTGTAAGAAGTGGTAAAGTATAAATTATACTCAGGGAGAAAAAAAGAGAACCTATATAAACTGATGTTGAGTGGGCCCAGATGTTGGATTTGGATTTAGTAGACAGAGAGTTCAAAGCAGCTATTAGAAATACATTCATGTTTCCATGGTGTAATGGTGAGCACTCTGGACTCTGAATCCAGAAATACATTCAAAGAATTAAGAACACTATGTTTAAATAATTAAAGAAAAATCACTGCTTCACATTCTATCAAAAACTGAACTCAAAATGGATGAGCAACCTAAATGTAAGAGATAAAACCCTAAAACTCTTAGAAGAAAACCTAGAAGTTAATCATAATCTTGGATTTGGCAATGGATTCTTAGATAGGACACCAAAAACATGAGCAATGAAAGCAAAATAGATAAATTAGACTTTATGAAAATTAAAAACTTTGTATCAAGGAGGTTATCGATAAAGACAAAAAGATGACCTACAGAATGGGAGAAAATATTTGCAAAGCACACATCTACTAAGAATCAGGCATTCAGAATACATAAAGAATTCTTATAACTCAACAAGAAAAACATAAATGCCCAATTAAAAATTGAGCAAAGTACTTGAATAGGCCTTTCTCCAAAAACATATGCAAATGGCTAAGAAGTACATAAAAAACACTCAACAGTATTAGTCACTAGGGAAATGGAAATCAAAACCACAAATGAGGTAAAACTTTATATTTCATACAGAAAATAACATGGTGAGGATGTAGAGAAATCAAAACTATTCCACATTATTGGTGCAATGTAATATGATGCAGACACTGTGGAAAACAGTTGGTCACTTCCTCAAAAGCTAAACATGAAGTTATCATATGACTTAGCAATTCCACTTGTACATATATTCCCCAAAGACTTAAAAATAGGTACTCAAACAAATACATTTATATGCATAGTTATAGTAGCACTATTCACAATAGCAAATAGGTGGAAACAGCGAAATGTTTATCAACAAATGAATGAATAAAGATATCATGGTATAGACATACAATGAAATATTATCCAGCCATGCAAATAAATGAAGCATTGATATACGCTACCATGTAGATAAACCTCAAAAGCATTATGCTCAGTGAAAGAAGCCAGACATAAAACGTACATATCATAGGACATCATTTATATGAAATATCCAGAAAAGGTAAATCCAGACGTACAGAACACAAATTGGTGGTTACCAGGGGCCGAATGAAGGGAGAAATAGGGTGTAACTGCTTAATGGGTATAAGGTTTCTTTATGGAGTAATGAACATGTTTTAGAAAAATGTTGTTGATGTCCTAAATGCCACTGCATTGTAC
This sequence comes from Homo sapiens, assembly GCF_000001405.40. Lineage (NCBI taxonomy): Eukaryota > Metazoa > Chordata > Mammalia > Primates > Hominidae > Homo > Homo sapiens. Next base: position 31,997,005 of record NC_000019.10, read on the forward strand.
ACTTTTAAATAGTTAATTTTATGCACACTTTAAAATAGTGAATTTCACCTCAATTTTAAAAATCTAAAAAATAATGAAAGGAAAATATAATAACAATGACTCATACCAAGAACCAAAATAGAGAAATATAAACTATAAAAATAAACTAAATAAAAATTATAGATGAAAAATACAATGACGAAATGAAAATTCACTAGAAGAGTTCAACATCAGATTTAAGACGGCAGAATAAAGAATCAGTAAACTGAAAAATCATAAATAAAACTTATCTAACCTGAAAAATGGAGAAAAGATTAAAAAAAAACAGAGACATCAAGTGAGACAACATCAAGAATGACAACACATGTAAAGTGGGAGTTCTAGAACTTGAGAAGAGAGAGAAAGGTATATAAATTGAATATTCAAAGGAATAGTAGCCAAAAACTTCCCAAACTGGATGAAAACAATTTACAGAACCAAGAAGCTCAAACCAAATGTAGGATAAATACAGTATAATCAGCCTGCTGAGAGCTAACAAAAACAATCAGAAAATCTTGCAAGTAGCAAGAGTAAAACAACTTATTGTGTAGAGGGGAGTAACAACAATAATTAACAGCAGACTCTGCATCAGAAACAATGGAGTCCATAAGGCAGTAAAATAACATTTTCAATGTGCTGGGGCTGTGGTGGGTATAAAACTGTTAACCAAGAATTCTGTATCAAAAAAAATTATTCAAAAATGAAGGGAAAGATGCTCCTAGGTAAACATTGAGAAAGTTTGTTAGTAGCCAACCAATCTTGCAAGAAATGCTGTAGGACATTTTTCAGGTTGAAAGGAAATGTCACCAGATAGTAACTTGAATCAACAGGAAGAAATGAAAAGTTTAAAAATGGTAAATATATCATTAACTATAAAAGAATGATTAAATATATATTCTGCTTTTTTCTACTCTTAATTTTTTTCAGAAATATAAGATTTCAAAAAGGAATTAGAACACTGTATTTTTTAGCTTCTAACACATATAGCTAAAATATATACGACAATAACGCCACAAAACAGAGAGAAGAAATGGAACTATACTATAGCAAAGTGGCCTATTTTGCTAGAATTAGGTCAGTACTAACCTGAAGAAAATTGTGATACCTCAACAGATATATTTTAAACCTACAAAGCAAAAAGTATTTGAAAAAAGTTTAAAAATACATCATTAGAAAAACAGAGGAATTAAAATGGTACATGAAAAATTTTTGTTTAACACAGAAAAGGGCAAAAAAAAGGAGGGACAGGAATTAAAAAAAAGTGAGACATATTGAAAACAAATAGCAAAATGGCAGATGTAACTATATCAATAATTATATTAAGTACTGAAGAACTAACCTCTCTAAACAAAAGGCAAAGATTATCTGAAGGATAAAAAAGCAAAATCCAATTATATTTTATCAATAAGAGACACGTTGTAGACTCAAAGACAAATAAATCAAAGTGAAAAGACAAAAATAGATATAACATACAGGCATTAACAATAAGATAACTAGAGTGGCTACATTAATATCAAGCAAAGTTGGTTTTGAGACCAGAAATTTTTCTAGAGATAAAAAGAAATATTTCATATTAATAAAGCCTTAATACATCAAGATGGAATGAGTGTTGTCAATGTGCATTATGAATCTAATAATATGTATAATAATATGTGTATTATGAATCTAATAATAGACTTCAAAATTCAATAAGCAAAATCTGGCAGAATTAAAAGAGAAATAGATAAGTCAATTATTATAGTTGAAGATTTCAATAAGCCACTGTAAACAATAGATAAAATTAGTAAAAATATAAATACATAAATTTTACACATATAAAGATATTAGTAAGTATATAAATATATAAACCACTATCAACCCTACTGACCTAACTGACATGTATAGAACACTCCAACAGAAGAATATAGTCCTCTCAAGTGTATAAAGAGCATTCTCCAGAATGAATAATGTCTAGGCCATGAAAAAGTCTTGATGAATTTAAAATGATCTGAATCCTTTAAATTATATTCTCTGCCTCCAATGAAATTAAATTAGAAATTAAAAACATAAAGAATTTTGAAAATTTGGAAATTTAAAAACATACTTCTAAACAACCAGTGGCTGAAAAAAGGAAATTACAAAAGTAATTAGAAAATATTTTGAACAGAATGAGAATGACAACAAAACATAAGAATTATTAGTGCATCAGGGAAGGGTTGCGGGATTGCAGATGATTACATAGGGCACAAGGAAACCTTTGGAGAAGACAGATGTGTATATTATTTTCAGTGTAAATTCTTGCACATGTACGTATGTCAAAATGTATTAAATATTAGTTTGTACATTTTAAATATGTGCAGCTTATTATATGACAATTATGTTTCAATAAAGTTATTAAAAAGTGCACCTTGTGGTAAATTTATAACATTAAAAGCTCACATTAGAAAAGAACAAAAATCTCAAGACTCTAAGCTTCCACCTTAAAAAAAAAAAACTAGAAAACACAAGCAAATTAAACACAAATCAAGTAGAAGAAAAAAGAGATATTAGAACAGAAATCAATGAAAATGAAAATAGGAAAATAATAGAGAAAATAAAATTAAAATTTAGTTTTTCGAAAAGATTAGCAAAATTGATAAACTTTTAGCTAGATGGGTGAGCCTAAAAAGAAAGAATACAAAAATTACCAAAATTAGGAATGAAGAAGGTGTTATCACTACCAAACCTACAAAAATTAAAAAGATCATAAAGAGAGACTATGATTAACTTTAGGCCAACAAAGTTAGACAACTCAGATAAAATGAAAGTCACAAATCACCAAAACTGACACAGAAAGAAATAGAAACATGAATAAAACTACAAGTAAAGAAATATATTTAATAGTTAAAAAATCTTCTCACAAAACAGCGCAGGCCCAGATGGCTACACTAATGAATTCTATCAATATTAAGGAAATAATATTAAGCCTACACAAACTCTTTCAGAAAACAGAGGAGAGGGAAACATTTCCCAAGTCGTTCTATAAGGCTGGTATTATCCTGATGTCAAAGCCAGAAAAAGGCATCACAACAAAGGAAAACAAAAGATCAATATTTCTCATGAAGATAGAAAAAAAAAATCCTTAACAAAATATTAAAAAATTGAACACGGCTACAGTTTTTTAAAAAAAGATTATTATATAACATTACAAGTGATATTTATCTCAGGAACACAGTTTAGTTTCACATCTAAAAATCAATTAATGTAATACACAATATTAATAAAGGACCAAAAGCTCACATGATTTTCTCAATTTTCAAAATCCACACCCATTTAAAATAATAACTTTCTGCAAACCAGGACTAAAAGGGAACTTCCCCAACCTGATAAAGTTGGGGAAACCTATGAAAAACCTACAGCTATCAACATGACTGATTTTAAAGACTGTATTATTTCCCCTTAAGATCAGGAATAGGGCAAGGATACCTGGTTGTACCTTTTCCATTCACCATTGCAGCGGAGGACCAAGTCAATGCAATAAAGCAAGAAAAAAAATCAAAGACATACATAGTTGACCCTTGAACAACACAAGCTTGAACTGCATAAGTCTACTTACACATGAATTTTCTTCCACATCTGCCACCCCTGAGAGGAACAACCTCTCCTCTTCCTTCTCCTCTTCTGCCTACTCAGCGTGAAGACAACAAGGATAAAAACCTTCATGATGAATCTACTTCCATTTAATGAATAGTAAATATATTTTCTCTTTCTTATGATTTTCTCAATAACATTTTATTTTCTCTAGCTTATTTTCTTATAAGAATGCAGTAAATTATATATATATATAAAATATGTGTTAATCAACTGTTTATGTTATTGGTAAGGTTTCCAGTCAACAGTAGGGTACTAGTGTTAAGTTTTGGGGCAGTCAAAAGTTCTATGCATATTTTCAACTATGCAGAGAAGTCAGTGCCCCTGATTCCCACATTGTTCAAGGGTCAGATATATATTGAAAAAGAAGTAAATTTCTATTCATTTCTACAGATCATAAAAAGCTACTGGAACTACTGAGAGAATTCACCAAAGTCACAGATAACAAGATCAATATGCAAAAACCAATTGTACGTCTATAGACTAGCAATAGACAATCCAAAAAACAAAATTAAGGAAAAAAAATTCGCATTAGTATCAAAACAAATACTTAGGAATAAACAAAAGATTTATATATGGAAACTACAAAATTACAACTAAAAACTTGTACACTGAAAACTATAAATCATTACATGGAATTAATTACACAGATGAAACTCAACACATTATGCTAAGTTAAAAAACTAGACACAAAAGACCACAGATTGTATGACTCCATTTATATGGACTTTCTAGAAAATGTCAACCTATACCGATAGATAGCAGATCAATGGTTACCTGGGACTGAGTGCTGAGAATGGAAACCAACTACAAGTCATGAAGAAACCTTTGGGAGTGATGGAAATATTCTAAACCTGGATTGTGGCCACTGTTGCATGACTCTATACATTTATACATAAAACTAAAACTCATTGAATTGTACACTTATAATCATTGGATGCTTTGGTTTGTAAATTATGTAAATTATACCTCCATAAAATGGCTAAAAAATTATTGTAGCACTTCCACTTTTGATAAGGGTATGATAGATTATTTGAACTGTCATTTCCCCATGATAACTAGAAAAACTAGATAAGATATTAAAAATAAAAAAAATACTCTAAGGAAATACAGAACTAACAAAATACAGAAGAATTAACACTCCATGATCAATGAGAAATGGAGGCCCAGGAGGCCTAGAATTTGGGGTTACCTTTTTCACCTGGGGATATATACCAATTCCGGTTAGGAAGACTGAGAAGTGCTTTTAATAGACTCACCAAAAAAAAGTATTGAAGATTGCTGCCCAAGTTTCAACAAAGTATGGTAGAGAAACTGGATCTCAAAGATAAACTATTGTAAGGCTTGCTTTTGAAATTAAGAATTAAGTCAAAAAAATAAATAAAAGAGGATTTGGAAGTGAAGTACAAGTTGTGGATATTTAAAAAAAAGAAAGTACAAATTAATACAATAAGTGGGTTTAGCATGGTTGCTGGATATAAGAGCAATATATTTAAAATATGTATTTTTACATACCATCTACAAATATAATTAAAACCATTACAACAAACATCAAATAAAATTATATATCAAAAGCCTAGTAATAAGCCAAACAAAAATGTGGAAGATCTCCACATCCAAGATTAAAATATATCATTGAGAAAAATATAAAAGAATATAAACAGAGCGATATTTTATGTTCATGAACTGGAAGCTTGATTTTGTAAAATATTGTATTTTCCCCAACATGATCTATTCAATACAATCACAATAGAAATTCCAACAGTATTTTTTTTAGAAGTTGACAAGCTTATTGTATCAACGTTCTATTGCCACAAAACAGATTATCAAAATATCATTGGCTACAGAAAACACACATTCCTTATCTCACATTTTCTGTACGTCAAGAGTCTAAGTGTGGCTTAGCTGGGTCTTTGCTCAGAGTCTCACAAGGTGGCACTCAAGGTGTTGGTCAGGCTCCGTTCTCATCTGGAGATCAGCGGTCCTCTTCCAAGCCCAGGTGGTTGTTGGTAGACTTTAATCCCCTTGCAGTTGTAGGATTAAGACCTCAGTTCCTAGAGTCTACACCCAATTCCCTGTCACGTGGCCTTCTCCATAGTCAGTTTACATCATAGCAGCTTGCTTCTTCAAAGCCAGTAGAACTGAATGATAACAAGACTGAGTTTATATATATGTAGTACATATGTGTGTGTGTATATATATATGTACATATATATATATATATATGCATTTGCTTTACAGGAGAAAAGTCACACTTGAGAGTTAGAAGGAAATGACAATGGGACAACTAGATATCTATCAGGAAATAAAATTGATCCTACCTTACACAATACTCAAAAATCAATACCCAGGGAATTTTAGACCTGAATACAAAAGGCAAATTAATAAAGCCACTGAAAAGTAATATACGAGAGTATATTCATGACCTTAGGGTAGATTTTACTACATTAAGACTAAGAATTTCTGTTCATCAAAACATTCCAACAGAAGAGTGAAAAAGTGACAGATCATGGGAACGCACCTGTGACACATGAAACTAACAAAGGCTTTTCACCAAAACCACAAAGCTATTGGAAGAAAGACAGGTGAGCCAGAATAGACAGATGGCAAGAAGACATGACCAGGAACTTAGGAGCCAGGATCTCCAAATGGCAAATAAACAGCCCAGAAGTGTTCCACCTCATTAGTCACCTAGGAAATGCTGGTTAAAGCCACAATGAGATACCACGACCCACACACCTGAATGGTTGGAATTTAAAAATAAAAATAAAATAAAATAATAAGCTAACAGCATGACGTTTTGGCAAGGATGTAGAGCAACAGGAACAGTCAGACACTCCACGTGGGGTGTAAATTGTACAAGTACTTCGGAAAAATGTTTGTGAGTGTATGCCAAAGCTGAACTTACACATACTTTAACACAATTTTAGTTATATATGCAAAAGAAATACACATGTATGTGAACCAAGAGACACATACAAGAATATTCATGGCTGCATTATCAATTGCCCCCAAAACTGGAAATTACTTAAATGTCCATCAACAGAATAATGGAAAAATACATTGTGCTATAGTCATAAGATGGAAGACTGCAGGAATGAACTGCAAGAATGATAAGGAACGAACTACAGCTACAGGCAACAAACACATAAGATCACAGTGCATATTCCCATTTATATAAAGTTCAGAAAATTAGTAAAACTATGCTATAGTATTTAGGGATGCATGCTCACATGGTAAACTATAAAGCAAAGCAAGGAATTGCATACCATAAAAGTTAGCATGCTCTTTTGGTTTGGCATGGATTTTGCTGGGGACGAAAGAATAGTGATTGTGAAGTACAAGGAGATTTCAGATTGCTGGCTTGGATGGTAGTTACGTGGGTGTTCAGAACGTGATTATTATTGAGCTATATGCTTTTGTGCACTTTTCTCTATGTGGTATATTTCATGATAAAATGTTTTAATACCATTAACTAAAAATTTATTGCAACATATATGATAAAAATTTTGTATCTTTAATATGTAGTCAGCTTTTCCAAATCAAATGGGCAAACAAGTGTGAGATAGAAAAACAGAAAATCAAAAACTACAAATATAAGTGTCCAATAAACACTTTTAAGTAGCCAATCTCAGAAATCAAAGAAAGGCAGTTTAATTATACAATAGAAACATACAACAATAAGGGAATTTCTATGCAATAGACAATGATTAGCCATGAAAAGTAATGTTATAAATAATATTGATGATATGAAATCATAGTCATGATATAATAAGTGAATAATATGGGTTATCAAACTATTGAATATGTGGGAGACAGAACCTTGCTTACTATTTTTAAAAAGTCCATGTTGTAAAACTGAATATAATTGTGATCTATTTTTTTAAATAAACCTATATGTAGGTATGTATTTATCTATATGTAAAGGAAACAATAGGATGATTTTGTTGTCGTTGCTGTTACTGTTTTGAGACGGAGTCTTGCTGTGTCACCCAGGCTGCAGTGCAATGGTATGATCTCTGCTCACTGCAACCTCTGCCTCCCAGGCTCAAGCAATTCTCATGCCTCAGCCTCCCAAGTAGCTGGGATTACAAGTGCCTGACACCATGCCCAGCTAATTTTTGCATTTTTAGTAAAGACGGGGTTTCACCATGTTGGCCAGGCTGGTCTCGAACTCCTGACCTCAAATGATCCGCCTGCCTCAGCCTCCCAAAGTGCTGGGATTACAGGCATGAGCCACCGCGCCTGGCCAGGATGATGTATTTCAAAATGTTCAGTGACCATCTCTGAGTGCTGAGGTTACAGATTATTTTCATTTTATAATTTTCTTTACGCATGTTCTAAATTTTTCTCAGTGAGCATGTATTAGTTATGAATATGGAAAAAAGATTGTTCTTTTTTCATGATAAGCCAAGAATCATAGAATGTCATCAGCACAGGGAAGCTGTGGGGAGTTGAAGGTGGAGAGAGAGTGGATATTTTCTCCTGTCCCCCCTCATCTACCACCCATTTGCCCTAAATGTCAGTAAGGAAGATTTTTTTTAAACAGAAAATAGATCAAGACCTAAACTGTCTGGCAGCAGAGAGACGATTCTTTGTCCAAATCAATGCTCAGGCAAATGGTAAACAGGAAAATCTCTGACAGAGCCATCATTAAAGCCAATCTGGAGGAAGGTGAAGATTTCCAAATACAAAATATGGCAGCTAAGAGTCAATAACAAAGATGGTGTGGAGGCACCTCATTTCAGAGAAATAAAATCTCCAGGTATTTCTTTGTCTTGTTGCTTTTTTGCCATTGACCAGATTTTTTTTTATTTTAACTCTCTGTAACTATGAACACCAGGATGTGAATGAGGACTGCGCTTGAAGCCACCTAAAAGGTAGAAGAACACATCTAAAGCCCCCAGCAAATGAGCACACCTCGCAGGTGTGGATAATGGCAGCTTTGCACACCCACCTGACCCTGTCTTGCGGGGTTAATAAAGGCCATCACTTAATTCCTTCACAAAGCCACAGTGCTCCGTAGAGGGGAGCCTTGGTAATTATTACACCCATAAGGTGAGTCAAGATTACAGTTTATGTGCAGCTAATAACCACCTATCAGCAATTTTCTCACTCTCTCTTTCTCAGTCTCTTTCCTGATGAGCTACTCACCTGTGTCCTGGGAGTCACTGAAAACAGAAGCCAGGAGTAGGAGAGAAGAGCAGGAGGGATGGGGGGGCCTGTGAGTCTCTCCCAGTATCAGATTCATCCCAGAGAAGGCTGAGCCCCGGCAAGATGATCTGAAAAACTACAGGGCTCCCTGGTGCCCTCTGCAATAGTGCATAACTTAAAACCATAATAGTAGGCCAGGCGTGGTGGCTCACGCCTGTAATCCCAACACTTTGGGAGGCCAAGGTGGGCGGATCACTTGAGGTCAGGAGTTCCAGACCAGCCTGGCCAACATGGTGAAACCCATCTCTACTAAAAACAAAAAAATTAGCCAGGCGTGGTGGTGCATGCCTTTGATTCCAACTACTCAGGAGGCTGAGGCAGGAGAATCGGTTGAACCCAGGAGGCGGAGGTTGCAGTGAGTCAAGATTGTACCACTGCTCTCCAGCCTGGGCAATAGAGTGAGACCCTGTCTCAAAAAAAAAAAAAAAAAAAAAAAAAAAACCCTAAAATATGAATAGTAAACCTAAATGAAGTTCAAGAAAGTCCAAAATGTCTTGATTTATGCCCACGATGGCCACTCAGATTTGTTTTTTTTTTCCTACGGTGCCCTGCTTTGCAGTGTCTTAGGCCCACTGCCCATTACTGACCCTGGGATGGTTTGATCTCCCACTACCTCTTTGGGATAACCTTTAGGTTGTGCTTTTGATCAAAATGCAATGATCATGCCCAAAACTCATCGTAAATTTCAGGCCAATTCCCAAAACATCCTGGGTAGGGGAGCCCAGGCACCCACAGCCATGACCTTGTATCCCCAGAGTGTTCCCATTTCAAGCACACTCAAGCAGGTGAATTCTCCTGATGGAAGAATTCAAAGGACAGAAATCAATTTTTTTTTGGCTGTTACTGTTTTCTCTTTGTTCTACACTTAGACCCCATACTTTTTGTTAAAAATGGAAAAGAGTTTTGGACCACTGGGCTTTCTCCAGAGTAAATATTAGACTAGATGGTTATGAAGCTCATTTGGTCAGAATATATGACTCTTAAAGAAAAAGGGGATCAGGACTCAGGGACAGCTGAGCCATCTGCAGAGGGAGAAGGTTCAGGACAATCACCCACCCAGCCATTAATGAGACATCTGACCAAGATCACCACATCAGCAGCCAGCTCTTTCTTACAAAAGCAAAGGCCTGTCAATCTGAGACATAGAGAAGGCCCACCTGCAGCGTATTTCATCGAGTGTAGACACAGCCCTACGTCAGATAGTTATCCTTTTAATTTGACTGCAGTGAAGTGCTCTTGTGGCCCTGACAGTATTCTCTTGTGCACCAAAGGAAGTGAATAATAATTAAAGAGTCCTTTGGACAATATCCTTCTATCTGAGGAATCATATACTCAAATAATTTAATTTGTAAAACCTCTTCACCACCTTACTGCCCGGCTTTCATTTTCTTTTGCATATATTTTCACCACTCAACTAATGATGGATAGAGGGAATTAAGACATGGTTGATTGCATCTCATAAAGGCACTTGGACACATTTAAGATCACTAGCCTCTTTTTCCTTCCCAGCACCTTCTAATGTAATGTGTTCTCTGAACACATGTGTAAGACACACACTGATATTAAAAGCTGTATTCTATACCACCTAATAAAGAGGATGCCACATCAAAAGGCAGAGTTAACATCAAACACGCACAAGAATCATTTAAGAGATTAGAATAAAGGAGCTGGTGGAAGGTTGATGCCACTAAACTACCTTCACTCACTACCTCTATCCACAAGGGCAAAGTTAAACAGCCACAGAAAGATGGCGGGGCCACAGTGCCCACAGCCCATCCAACAGCACATTACACTTTGTCACCATGTGACCCTAGCTATTTCCAAAAGTATGAACAAATATGTGCAATGATGAAAAGTACTCAGTATATTTTGTGTGTCCTCTAGAAACAAAGGAAGAATGCTCCTGTTGGGGACATGTCATCTATTTTTTTCCTAAGTCAAGAATTCAACCTCTGACTTGAGCCAGTTCAACAGAACCTAGAGTAGCTATTTATTCACGTAAAAACTAGCAATTCTGAGGCAGATAAAAACTGGTGACCACGTGCTTGGGTCCTACTGCAGACTTCTGGGGACTAAACCCCGGTTCTGCCATGCCCTTGCTCTGTGACCCTGGGCAAGTTACTGAGCCTCTCCACATCCTACTTTCCTCACTGTGACATGGGGTCTCAATAATGGCCCCTGTGGCCAGGCACAGTGGCTCATGCCTGTAATCCCAACATTTTGGGAGGCCAAGTTCAGGAGTTCAAGACCAGCCTGGCCAACATGACAAAACCCCATCTCTACTAAAAATACAAAAATTAGCCAGGCGTGGTGGTGCACGCCTGTAATTCCTACTCAGGAGGAATGTAATGCCTACTCAGGAGGCTGAGGCAGGAGAATCGCTTGAACCTGGGAGGTGGGGGTTGCAGTGAGCCAAGATCGCACCACTGCACTCCAGCCTGGGCAACAGAGCAAACTTCTGTCTCAAAAAAAATAAAATGAAAAATAATAATGGTCCCTGCTTCCTAAGATTTCTTTTGTGAGGACTGAAGGAGCTAGTTCAGGCAAATCAGCGTATTTGCACTCTTTAAAAGTAAATGATAAACAGATATTAACTATCATCATTAGGGCAAAGAACGAATTCTATGTGAACTTAAAGTATCATTTTCCAAACTCTGTTCCATAGAACAATCAAGATGTTAATATTAATAAATGCTCCAGAGAAGGAAGAAAAATTAACCTGGCCTTGGTCGAATGTGGCGGTGCACACCCGTAGTTCCAGCACTTCGGGAGGCCAAGGCAGGAGGATCACTTGAGCCCGGGAGTTCTAGGCTGAAGTGGACAGTGATTACACCATCACATCCCAGCCCAGGTGACAGAGTGAGACCCTGTCTCAAAAAAACAGAAAGTTTACTGAGTAGATAAGTGACCAGTTAACTGACCCTTAACTAGTCAGTTAAGGAGGGATGTCATGGGTCCTTGGTTGACCTGGTCTTTAGTTCTTTGTAACTTTAACACGTTGAAGAGTTTATGAATATCTCATGGCTGAACTCCACTTGGAAATGATGAGCTAAACACAACTGCAAAATTTCTTTTTATAAGTTTTTTTCTTTCTTTTTTTTTTTTTTTTTAGAGACAGGGTCTCATTCTGTCACCCAGTCTGGAGTATAGTGGTAAAATAGGTTCACTGCAACCTCAAACTCCTGGGCTCAAGCAATCCTGCTGCCGCAGCCTCCCAAGTAGCTGAGAATGCAGGTGCTCACCACTGTGCCTGGCTAATTTTCTTATTTCATTTTTTTTTAGAGACAGAGTCTTGCTATGTTGCCCAGGCTGGTCTCAAACTCCTGGCCTCAAGCAAACCTCCTACCTCAGCCTCCCAAAGCACTGGGATTGTAGGCATGAGCCACCAAGTCCAGCTATTTCTTTTTAAATTATATTGGAAAGCAAAAATAGATGTAGGAAAGCATGCTTCCTGTCTGAGTGATCCTGGTACATTCTCTATGAGCTCCCCAAATGAAAAGTCCAGCACATTCAAGAAGCTTCTAAGGCCTAGACCTCTGTCCAGAGATGTAGCACATGGCCAAAACAGAAGCAGGTCAGGAAGATGTTCAGGATGACACTGATGGCACCTCCAAATTCTGAAGGAACAGTAGGAATGTGCAGGGTTCTGTTTAGATGAAGTAACAGACTGAAAAAAAAAAAGCTTGAGTACAAGGAAAATATCTTTTAAGACTGCTAAAGAGGTCAAGAGAGAAATGAAATGGTGCAAACTTGACATTTGTTTTGATCTCTCAAGGAAAGCATGATTTTGAAGGAAATGGCAGCCAATCATAATAGAAAAAAAAAAACTGTGGATTTTAACTAAGCTCTACCTCCTAAACCAAGTGGTCTCTGGCCTGTTAGGAACTAGGCGGCACAGCAGAAAGTGAGCAGCGAGCAGGCCTGTGAAGCTTCGTCTGCATTTATAGCCTCTCCCCATCACTTGCATGACTGCCTGAGCTCTGCCTCCTGTCAGATCAGCAGTGGAATTGGATTCTCACAGAAGCCAAAATTCTATTGTAAACTGCACATGTGAGGGATCTAGGTTGTGGCTTCTTATGAGAATCTAAGGCCTGATGATCTGTCACTGTCTCCCATCACCCCAAGATGAAACAGGAAAACAAGCTCAGGACTCCCATTGATTCTACATTATGGTGAGTTGTATAATTGCTTAATTACATATTACAATATAATAATAGAAATAAATGAAGTGCAGAGTAAATATAATGCACTTGAATCATCCTGAAACCATCCCCGCTGGTCCGTCGAAAAATTGTCTTTCACAAAAACCGATCCCGGTGCAAAAATAGTTGGGGACCGCTGTCCTAAATGGCATCATCGTGATCACTCCTGAGACTCGGGAGACCTCCCACAAAATCCTAAATGGAAATCCACTTTGGCTCAATGATTGAAATTCATTCCCCAAACCTCAGGGCTTCAACATCAGCCAGATTTTCATGAGAAAATCCTAGAACACTGTCCAGATTATTCGACAGGTGAAAGGAAAGCACTACAACTCGCAAATTCATTGCTTCACTTCTCTGGGAAGCGGTTTCTTACCAAAAATGACCAAACCTGACTTGCCCACTTCATGAGGCTCGGAATGGTTTCTGGCCATGCTGCACCCTGGTTAACACTTTCAGAGAATGAAATCATACCAGTCAAAGTCATCCAGTGGAAATCAGGAATATTCCTAAAGGTAGAACACAGAAGAAGAGTCAGAACAAAAATTCTTATGGCAATAATAACTTCATTTTAATAAGTATATGGATAACATGACTATTTTACAGGGGGTGGGAGCCAGTTCTCATTGGCTGGTTTTAAAACATCAGCCTCTTCACTTCCAAAAACTGCACTGATCCCTAAATGCGATACACCATGCCATCTCCTTAATTTATGTAAAACAGCTTTATTTCTTTTTTCTTTTTAAAATATTTTTTAGAGGCAGGGTCTCATTCTGCCACCTACCCTGGAGTATAGCGGTGCAATAGGCTCACTGTAGCCTCAAACTCCTGGGCCGTAGGGATCCTTCTGCCACTGCCTCCCAAGTAGCTGGGAATACCACTGTGCTGGCTATTTTTTTTATTTTTTATTTTTTTGTAGAGAAAGAGTCTTGTTATGTTGCCCAGACTGGTGTCAAACTCCTGGCCTCAAGTGATCCTCCCATCTCAGCCTCTCAAAGTACTGAGATTGCAGGCATGAGCCACTGAGTCCAGCTATTTCTTTTTAAATTATATTGGAAAATGGGCCAGGTGCGGTGGCTCACGCCTGTAATCCCAGCACTTTGGGAGGCCAAGACAGGCAGACCACCTGAGGTCAGGAGTTCAAGATCAGTCTAGCCAACATGGCAAAATCCCATCTCTACTAAAAATAGAAAAATTAGCCAGATGTGGTGGCTTATGCCTGTGATCCCAGCTACTCGGGAGGCAGAAGCAGGAGAATCACTTGAACCTGGGAGGCAGAGTTTGCAGTAAGCTGAGATCAGGCCACTGCACTCCAGCCTGGCGACAGAGCAAGACCGTGTCTCAAAAAATAAAAATAAATAAAATAAATTATATTGGAAAGCAAAAATAGATGTAGGAGAGCATGCTCCCTGTCTGAGTGATCCTGGTGCATTTTCTATGAGCGTCCCAAACCCAAGTAAGTCAGAGTCAAAGACATACCTGGAATGCACTTCAAAGTGAAGCCCTTTATGCTCCATGAACTAAGACAATTGTTCAACACCAAAGATTTCAATGATGGAAAGGGCAAATCCTCATGAGCGGAAACGGTGACACCCCAACTTCTCCTGCTCCCCGAGACAAAGCCAATATGATTCTAAGGAGGCCTTTTCTTTACAAAGAAATGTGCCTTCCAAAAGGAGGAACCATGTCACCAATTAAGACATTTCCCAAGCATTTGCTAACCTACTTACAGGCATCATTGCTCCCTTGGGCCTGGGGACCCCTCCACCTTCCTGAACGGAGTAGCTGAATAGGTAAATGGGTTATATCAGGCCAGGAAATCAATGTGTATACTGTGTTCTCAGCCACAGATGAGCATGTCGAAGCCATTCTATTATAGCTCTAGGAGCCGTATTGATCCAGCTGTAACTACTCGGAGGTGGCCCGCAATCCAATGAGAACACATCCATCTGTCCATCCAGCCGCCTCTCTCCCCCAGTAGTGCTTAGAGAGTAAGTGTTTGCAGATTGGATTAATTTAATGTTTGCTTAATCAAAACTGACTACCCTGGAACTTAAATGCTATTAATTACTAAGAGAATCCAGAACTAATTCACTAGCACTGTGAGGCCGGGGAGGAACAGCCGCTCTGCAGAGAAAGGGAGTTTCTGTTTGTCTCTCTTTCCAGATGTTCATTTTGTGGCCTTCCCCACTCCCATTACCACTCACCCACCTGCTTTCCCTCACAGCCTTCTAAAAAGAAAAAAAGTACTTGCTACTTTGGTGTTTGCTCTTTGGAGCATGCATGCCGCATGCATGGGAGTCTGCTGGTTGGATACACAGAGCCTCCACCTCAGATGTCCCGGCAGCATGCATTGCGTCACTTGCTTTTCCAGTGCGCTCTGGTGAAATAGCACCCTGTCTTTCATCTACTTCTTGGTGCAAATGGTTCTTTCCCAGAGCCCCGAGAGCTCCCCAAAGATAGGAGCTCCCCAAAGACTTGCTAATCTGTGATGCCCCAGCACCGAGCACTGTGCCTGTTGCATACTGGCATTAGCAAGTGTTTTCTGAACTGAACTGGGGGAGGAGACGATGGCCCCTGCCAAGGGCTCTATGTTTACAAAGCCCTCTGCGGCATTGACACCTCTCCAGGGAGTGTCTCAGAGGCTTCAGTTCAACTGCACCTGCATCCAATCCTCCATCTTCCTTGTCCTTGAAAAGACAGCAGACTGTTCTTAGAACCAGGACCCAATGCCTATCTTGCTTATGAATTAAATGCCATCACAAGAGGAGTGTGAAAGTGCATATCTGCCTCCAAATCTATCCCATGGCTTTGCAAAAGCATAACCAAGGACCACAAAATGCCATGCAGTTCAGCCAGAGGGCTAGCAGGAGCCAGAAGAGGCACTGCTACACCCTGAAACGTGTCTTTAGCCCCAGCAATACCACAGGCTTTTGGTAAAACAACTGCATCTGGGCATCTGCAGTTTGGCCATGAGCACATATCACATCTCATGAACATCTCACTATTTGTGGTGAGTGGTGAGTGGTTCCACTATCCACTATGTGTATTGTACAGAAAAACTCCACTGCTCTCCAAAGGGAATTCCTCTGCTGAGCACCTGGCCCCTGGGGTGGTCACTCCTTAAAGCAGAGGTTCTTCTGCAAGGGCATGGTTCTCAGCCCCCAGCTACCACTCGGGAACTTGCAGCTATTATTACAGGCATTGCAGACTTAAATCCCTACAAGGACACAGCAGGCAGAGTAAATGACCGAAGCTAGTGAGGCATACGTCCCTATGCAGTGGAGAGGAGCAGAGCAAACTGGGGAGCCTGTCCCTCTCCAGGAGGGGCTGCTGTGACTCAGCGCTCACTGCTGTTCCCCTGCAGAACACAGGCTCAGTATGAATAAATCTTCTTACTTCTGCATGACCTCACCCTACAGTAAAATGCTGGCAACGAATTCAATTTTTAAAACATTCACATGTCATTCAAATAAGGTCTATAGTTCAGTTAATAATATTGTACCAATGCCAGTTTCCTGGTTTTGATAATGTGCTATGGTCATGTAAGATGTTACCATTGGGGGAAGGTGGGGAAAGAATACAGGAGAATTCTTGGTGCTATACTTGCAACTTTGTGTGCATCTTAAATTATTTTAAAATGGAAAATTAAACACACACACACACAGTGCAGGCCAAGCTACATAGCTCAACAAGCCATAGGTTTTCTAAGTTTGTTGACATCCCTTGGTCACATCAAAGTGGGCTAGTGCCTCACGGGCAAAATGGGAGAAAGACCCAAAACCCTGACCTGACAGCTTCCACACATGGCCAACCTCAGCTGTTGACCTTTTTATGGAACCAGTGCCCTGGAGGTGACACTGCAGACTTAGCTCACTGAAGTCCTGCCTTTGCCAGATTTCTGAAATCAAATCACCACTGCACCACACAACACCCACTAATTCATATGCATTTTGCACAAATAATTCTTATTTGATGAATAGAGCACCAGACTTACAATTCAGCCGTGGTGTGGTAAATTACACTGGCCAGATTAACTGTACAAAGAACACCTCTCAAAACAATGATTTCACTTCGAGCTAAGGGGGAACAAGTGCCCTTTCTTTCATTTCTAAATTACATTTTCAATCATAAATATTGAAAATTACATTTCTGATCACCGCTGTCACCTTGTGAGTAGTGGCACACGAGCCCCACAGACACACGGGTTTTTACAGAAGGAAAGCGAGAGCCATTAGAACACCCTAACCACTTTGAGTTTTAAAGGGCCTGTTCTCCCAGCCCACAAGATTATAAAACGATGGCACCCTTTGGAGCTTGCAGAGGCAGGGAGAAGCAGTCTCACTGGCACATTGGTTGTTAAACATATGGAATTATTACTCTGGGTGTATTTTACCACTTATTATACATGGGCTGTTCCAAGTATATACAGGTAGGTATGGTGCAGCCATTGCCCCAGAGAGGCAGACAGGAAAACAGATCATACTTCTGCCTGGTAGACCTCTGAAACATGTGAGCTTCTTGCTATGAGCAAAATAATTTTTTTAATGTAAAATAGGGGGTAGCACGCTCATCTTCCTCTCCAGTAATAACAAAAGTCAGGATCGTAAGGACAGCTGGGTGCTGTGGCTGATGCCTGTAATCTCAACACTTCGGGAGGCCGAGGCAAGAGGATTGCTTGAGGCCAGGGGTTCAAGACTAGCCTGGGAAACAGAGGAAGACTCTGTCTCAGAAACAACAACAAAATTAGCCAGACATGGTGGTGTATGCCTATAGTCCCAGCTATTTGGGAAGCTGAGGCAGGAGGATCACTGGAGCATGGGAGTTCGAGGCTACAGTGAGCTGTGATGGTGTCGCTGTACTCCATCCCAGGCAACAGAGTAAGACCCTGTCTCAAAGAAATAATATAATAAAATAAGACCAAAATAATCTTGAAAAAATGAAATAAAAATGAATGCTGCATGTAGAAACTTGGAAAAATAAAATAAAAAAGACAGTAAGGATGGAGAGGCTCTTCAAAGGAAAGATGAATGGAGTGTTAAAATTACTTGGCTGAAGAAATAGCAGGAAAGAGGCAGAGCTGCCCCCGTGGTCCTGGCTGGGAAAAGGGAAGGGTGGAAGAGACTCTGATAGAAACACAAGGCTAGAAGCAGAGTCCGTCTGAAAGACTTAGATGGTGAGCTAGTTTAGCTGCAGGTATTTTGACATTAAGATGAAAATAAAGCGCTTGCCTACAATGAAGAAACCAAACACCCACCTCAACCAATGAATCATATCCTTCAGGACATATACCCCTGGTGCCTTTAGATATAACCAACACTAGGTTCAACTCTTCTCTGGATCCATATACCTGTCAGGCATGTGGAAGGACCATTAATAGACTGTAGCAATCTCTCTACCCACTGGCTCACATCAGGGATGTACTGACCACTCTGCTTATGCTGGACCACACCAAACCCAGGCAACACTAAGCCATGCAAAGTCATACATAGAATCTCCCATATCCTAAAGACGAAGCCCATAATATATTCTTGCAACTCTGCATTCCAGAGTCCCCTTCCCCCACATGTATAGTATGCTTATAGTAGTCCCTTAAGCATAAAGTTGTACAGACCCTAACATGGTAGTATTTGTACATCACCTCCGTGCCTTGCTCTAGCACTCAGAGTTCTAGTACAGGCATCAAGGGTGTCTGCTGCAAGCATGCACCAGAGGGCTAACGCCCCAGGACAGCCCTCCACTCCACCAGTAGCAGATAGGAGTTGATGGATTCATACCCAGCCATTTCCTCCCTTACTTGGAACAACTCAGGATTTTTTTACATTCCCAGAGCTCCCAGCTGCCAGGCAAAGCAATCTGCTCATTCAATGTGTTCTGTATCAGTCTCCTTCCCTTCCCTTCTTCTCTCGGGCTAGATGGGATTAAGGCCTAAAGACCACCTATGTTAGCCAGAGTTCTCCAGAGAAACAGAGTCAATGGGATGTGTATACACACACTGCATAACAACATTTTGGTCAACGATGGACCACATCTACCATGGTGCTCCTATAAGATAAAAATATAGCTGAAAATTTTCTATCGCTCAGTGATGTCTTAGCCATCATGACTGTCAATAACATCTGATATGGTTTGGCTGTGTCCCCATCCAAATCTAGAATTGTAGCTCCCATAATTCCCTGTGTCATCAGAGGGACCCAGTGGGAGGTAATTGAATCATGGGGGCAGGTCTTTCCCGTGCTGTTCTCATGATGGTGAATAAATCCATGAGATCTGATGGTTCCATAAAGGGGATGTTCCCCTGCACATGTTCTCTCTTGCCTGCCACTATGTAAGACATTTCTTTCACCTTCTCCTATGATTGTGAGGCCTCCTCAATCATGTGAAACTGAGTCCATTAAACCTCTTTTTCTTTATAAATTACCCAGTCTCGGATATGTCTTTATCAGTGCGCAAAAACGGGCTAATACAACATCATAGCAGAATGCACTATGTTTAAATTTGTTTAGATAACACAAGTACTTATCACTGCATTACAGTTGCCTGTAGTATTCAGTACAGTAATATGCTCACAGATTTGTAGCCTGAGAGAAATAGGCTACACCGTATAGTCTAGGCGTGTAGTAGGCCATACCATGTAGGTTTGTGTATGTACGCTATGAGGTTCACACAATGACATAATCACCTAAGGATGCATTTCTCAGAAAGTATCCCCATGGTTAAGCAATGCATGATTGTATATGGAGAGCCAAATTCACTTAAAGGAATTGGTTCACATGATTTTGGAGGCTGGCAAGTCCAAAATCTGCTGGTTAGGCCTGCAGGCTGGAGACCCACCCAAGGAAGGACCAGTGATGCTGTTCCAGTTGGAAGGTTGTCTGCTGCAGAATTCTCTCTTGCTCAGGGGAGGTCAGTCTTTTGTTCTATTCAGACTTTCAAATAACTGGATGCCCACTTTATGGAGGGCAATTAGCTTTACTCAAAGTCTACTGATATAAATGTTACTTTCATCCAAAAACATCCATAACAATTTTCACTAAATATTTGGGCACCGTGGCCCAGCCAAGTTGACACATAAAATTAACCATCATACCTCCATTCCCCATCCCCTACCAGTGTGTCCTGCAACCACCACTGAAAGAAACAACTTGCACTCTAATTCTTGTAACAGTGTCTGCTTCTGGGGGAACCTAATTTAAAACGTTGTATTTTTAGTATACTGTGACTTGGAAAATAAATGAAAGCATAGAAATGCTTAGTCCTCTTTCAAAAACCTAGTGACCCATGAAAGCACTTGGCCCACAGTTTGGGAACCACTGCATTGCAGGTGCTGGAGTTTAATGCCTAGAAAGGCCCACGCAATCTCTAAGGCCATGTAAACACAGATGTTTCCAAAGTCGTTGATCATGATTTTGGAAAGACCTCAGCATTCCTAATAGTGACACAGATATTAGGATGGTGCTGTCAAAGAAGTCCCTCTCTATTCCATTGCATGCCCGACCTTCCAGACAGTTAGCAACGTTCTGAGAGGTTAAAGACTCTTATCTGAAACCCATCACGTCACCAAAGCAGCAACGATTTCATTTAAAAACAACACCTCTATCCAAAGGCTCAGAATCTGTTCACAAAAGAAAACACATCTTTTGACATGCCTAAAAATACATGATTATATCCTTTGTGGCAAGATGAGACCAAGTGACTCATTGAAGTCATAAAGGCTGCAAATTGCAGTATTGTTGTCTTTGAATGAAAATTGCCAGAGGACTTGTGTTTCGTTGTCTCAAGAAACCTAGGCAGTCATTTGCCGCATCAGGAGATCCAAATCATCTGAAGTTGAAGATCATCTCCTCCTTTTTGTATTTCATTAGCCAAGATCAGGTTAATAAAAAGTTTAAAAGTTGACTGCCTTCCCCAGGAGATTTATTTAGACCTCCTCTGAGGGGATGAGCTGGGAATGGCAGCCTACACTCTCATTTCTCCAGAGCTCACTCTGTCTTCTCCCTCTGTGGTCCCTGAAGTCTGCCAATTAAAGACCTCCTCGATGACATTCTGCTGCTGAAGTTATGCACACATAAATCACTGTAATAGGAGAAGATTGTTATGTTAACCTCCACCATGCAACCCTTTTCCTTTTGTGAGAAATGTGAAAAACATTCATTTGTCTGGCACAAAGGAAGCTATTTCCCAACAGATGCCTGGAAGCCTTGCCTGGATGATGCCCCTTCCTGTGGTTACGTAGGTGGTGCCTCCTGCACCAGCAGGCATTACTCAACTCGAAACGCAGAGCAACGAGGCCATAAACCAGGCAGCATTACGTCAGAGACAGGGTGCTCTGAAATAAATGGGGAGCTGGTTCTATCTAGAGGAACATTTTTCCATGTTTAACCAAGCAAAACTGGAGACATTACTGAACACACAGTCTCAAAGGTCAATTCTTAAGGAGACCAGTGCTGGGGAGGGAAGACACAGTT
This sequence comes from Homo sapiens, assembly GCF_000001405.40. Classification (NCBI taxonomy): domain Eukaryota; kingdom Metazoa; phylum Chordata; class Mammalia; order Primates; family Hominidae; genus Homo; species Homo sapiens. Next base: position 32,018,516 of record NC_000019.10, read on the forward strand.
TCTACAGCTATGGAGGAACCCTTGAGGTGGCTGGAGTTTCACTGTTAGAACGAGGGGCTGGTGTGCAGCGACTGTGAATTCTACTTTGATGCGAAAGATTGCATCTTCTGGTTGAGCCCCTGGGAGTGGCAACCATAGCAGCCATGGGGCTGAACCTGGAGGTGGTCACCACTGTGTGCTTCCTCACCTGCACTGCAAATCTTCATGGGTTCAAATTCCCCAGAGATTCAGTTTTCAAAAGAGAGACAGACAGAGAGAGAGAGAGAGAGAGAGAGAATGTTTTATCAACAACAGAATACATATTCATGACGCATTAATGACTTATATCTACATGTTAACTTTAGAAGATAATATTAATTGAAAGACTTGAAAAGGAAAAGTCTGGGCATGAGCTGAGCTGTTTCTCTCTATATTCAGTTGCCCCCAGTTAGCTGACTCAAGGCTGGGGTGCCCCCAGGGGATGGCGAGGGGGGACCTGCTATGCAGATACAGCCCCTCATCCAGAAACTGGCTTGCTTTGGACACCAAAGTGGGGACACCAAACTTGATCAAAGGACTCATTTGCCCACCCCTAAAGACCTGATTTTCAGAGCTGCTATCAAAGGGCAGCCACCTTGCAGGGCAAGCCCACAGCGAAAGAAAGGAAGAAAGAAGGAAAGAAGGAAAGAAAGAAAGAAAGAAAGAAAGAAAGAAAGAAAGAAAGAAAGAAAGAAAGAAAGAAAGAAAGAAAGAAAGAAAGAAAGAAAGAAAGAAAGAAAGAAAGAAAGAAAGAAAGAGAGAGAGAAAGAAAGAAAGAAAGAAAGAAAGAAAGAGAAAGAGAGAAAGAAAGAAAAGAAAGAGAGAAAGAAAGAAAGAAAGAAAGAAAGAAAGAAGGAAAGAAAGAAAAAGAAAGAGAAGAAAGAAAGAGAGAGAAAGAAGGAGAGAAGGAGAGAAGGGGAGAAGGGAAGGAAGGGAAGGAAGGGAAGGGAGGGAAGGAAGGGAAGGAAGAAAGAGAAATGACAGTGGCTCACGCCTATAATTCAAGCACCTTGGGAGGCTGAGGTAGAAGGATTACTTGAGCCCAGGAGTTCCAGACCAGCCTGAGCAACATAGTGAGTCCCTCTCTCTACAAAACAAACAAAAAAATTAGCCGGGTATAGTAGTGCACACCTGTGGTCCCAGGTATTTGAGAAGCTGAGGGGGGAGGATCACTTGAGCCCAGGATTTGGAGGCTGCAATGAGCTATAGTCACGACACTGCACTCCAGCCTGGGAGACAGAGCAAGACCCTGTCTCTTAAAAAAATAATCTAGTTAGAGGGGTTGGTAGGGAGGGAACAGGACACAATTTCTCTTATTACTTATTTCACAATCAAAATGAAATTTCATTCTAGTTCACACTACAGCAATTCACTTGCTGTTGGAATTTTGACATATTCTGTAAAGAGTGTCCAAAAATAACCAGTTGTACCTGATTCTGTTGAACTCTCTGCACCTGTCCATTTTAAATCTCATTTTCTTATTTGCTGTTTTTTCTCCCCCTTCAAACTTACAGGTGTAAGGTGCTTTGTTTTTCTGCTTTTCTTTTTTTTTTTTTTTTTTTTTTTGAGACAGGGTCTCACTCTATCACCCAACCTGGAGTGCATGGCATGATCTCAGCTCACTGTAACCTCCACCTCCTGGGTTCAAGTGATCCTTTTGCCTCAGCCTCCCAAGTACCTGAAATTACAGGTGTGCACCGCCATGCCCAGCTAATTTTTGTATTTTTAGTGGAGATGGGGTTTTATCATGTTGGCCAGGCTGGTCTCGAACTCCTGATCTCAGGTGATCTGCCCACCTCGGCCTCCCAAAGTGCTGGGATTACATGCATAAGCCACCATGCCTGGCCAGATGCTTTTCTCCTTAACCTAGAGTGACCAGCCATCCTGGTTTTCCTGGGACTGAGGACTTTCCCAGGACAGGGGGCTTTCAGTGCTTAAACCAGTCCCTTGCAAGCCATAGAGTTATTTGCCTTCTTTAAGTAAACATGTAAATCTTAGTTTGAGCCTACCAAACCATGATCAATTAAACACAGTATATTAGTCCTTTCTCACACTGCTATAAAGATACTACCTGAGACTGGGTGACATAAACAAAAGAGTTGACTGAAAGTTCTGCATGGCTGGAGAGACCTCAGGAAACTTACAATGATGGTGGAAGGCGAAAGGGAAGCTTGCACGTCTTACAAGGCAGCAGGAAGAGAGAAAGAATGAGAATGAGGAAGTGCCACACTTTAAAACCACCAGCTCTCATGAGAACTCACTCAGTATCATGAGAATAGCATGGGAGAAACCACCCCCATGATCCAATCACCTCCCACCAGGTCCCTCCCTCCACATGTGGGGATTATAATTTGAGATGAGATTTGGGTGGGGACAAAGAACTAAACCATATCACACAGTTTCACGGTTTTGCAGTAGCAGATATACAAGTACATTCACCAGGCTGTGGGAAACTGGCCCTATGGGTTTCTGAGCAGAAGTGAGACCACGTCCATCATTGCTGAGAACGATTTCCACTTCATACTGCAGGAAGAAGACTGAAGGTTTTCAGAGGCTATTGCACAATTCAAAGCATAAAACAATAAGGGGTTAAGTGAGGGGAATGGAAAACAAGGGGCAGGGTAAGCAGACCCTTCTCCACGGAGGTCTTGCAAATTGTTCCAATCCAGTCATTTATACAGTCTTCACCAGTTACCCGCAGGCCCCATCAAAAGCAACATTTCACCTGAGGAGCCAACATGGGGTGCCACCTCCTCCCTGGCACATGTGGCCAGAGCATCATCTCACTGTGGTCCTTTTATTTTGAAGTAAAATATATAGGAACAATTAAAAAGGATGGAACCAATGCATCTCGACATTCTCTTTACAGGCAAAAAGAAAAAAAAAAAAACCAAATTAGGCTTTTGTTACCCTGACAGCACTGAGAATCATCTGGCTTGTGAGCTTTTAAATACTCAGCGTATAATGAACATCTCCAGCCAGATCCAGTGGGCATCACTCGTGGAGACTGGCCACAGGGTACGCCCACATCTCCCTTGCCTTCTTCTAGGCTTTCAAAGGGAGCCTGTGATGCCTACATATGAATTGCACTGAATTGCTCTTGATTAAATCACTGTAATTTTTTTGTTACTCTATGCTTTACATTAATATTAGTTGAATACCCAAGGGTTTTTTTTTTCCACTAATCCCAGGTCCAAATTACACTTTTCTCATCCAGAAGTGTTGGGAAGATGGAAAATAAAAATAACGAGTATGAGGAAGAAGAAGAGAAATCGCTGATACTGAGAGGTTTTGCTAAGCACCTGGCATTTTGCTGAGTGCTTCTCATGTTACGTTGTGCTCTGTGAAACTGCCATTTTCATGGGTCCCATTTTTATACTGTTTGACCCACTACATTGTCTCCTATCATCCTCACAGCAAGTGAACCAATACTGTCATCGCCCTCTTTTTACACGTGGGTACACTGAGGCTGGAGAAGAGTGTGGTCCAAGCATGTGGTTGAGTCCAGCTGTCCCAGCTCTGACTCCAGAGACTGTGCTGCTAGCTGATACCCTTGAGTGCCCTGCCCTGACCCAGTTCCCCAGTCTTTTTTCTTTTCCCTTCTTCCCCAACCTCTACTCTGAGCTGTAGGCTGCTGATGAGAGAGGACAAACAAATAAGATGGACAAGATGGTACCAAATCCAGAGTCATGTGGACAAGGGGACGGCGTGGATTGAGTGGCTGGGGCAGTTGTAACTTCATGCTGCTGGGATTGGAAGCCAGAGCTTATTGAAGGCAAGTGCACGTGGACATTCCCAGCAGAGGAGGGGCAGAGCTCCCAGGGAACCACAAAAGCACCCACGTGGAGGGGCTGAGGATGTGGCCTGGGAAGGATGCCATGTGACCACGTTTCCTCTCTGTTTTCCAGGCCACCGTGGCTGACCACCCAAGCATCCGAGTCAATAAGTCTTTCACTGAGAAAGACCTGATGCCCCGCACAATCTCGCCCCAACTGGGAGGGTTGGCACAGGCTTTGTCTTCTCCTTGCACTTACTAAAGTTTATTTAACAGTTTGGACCTTGCCTGTTGAATCTTGAAAATATCACAACTATGCATATACTGTGTTCTGAAGAGCTTACCCGAACACTATTTATTAGTCACTTTGATCTAATTCATCACATGCAAAAATCTCAAACAAGCACTAAGTGTCCTTTCAAGGGGACGTGTTAACGTAGTTAAAGTATGCCTAAGCCTCTGTTTCCCACGGCTCGGGCAACGGGTGCCATGGGTTCAAAAATGCAATTAAAAGAAGACTGTCAACTTCATCATTGTCAAAACGCCACATCACCCGCTAAAAAAGAGGCGCCCCCTTCGTCAATTTCCCCATCCATGCCAAAGTTTTGGAGAGACCCTTCACTTTATAAATCAACTCACAGCTTAGAACATCCTGGCAGCCCCTTCAAGGAACCGATCGGAATGACAGGGAAAGAGAGGATAACCATCATAGCTTGACTGGATACAGGTGTTTGCGTTTACAGACGAACCACAAACGCCTGGATCTTTGACAGGCGTTGATGCTATCAGTGAATCGCAGCTATTATTGGCTCCGGTCACCAAGGGCTCGGGGGCCTTTCCCTTAGCAACATCTCTGAGGCTGATAACATTTGGCTGAACTTTTCAGATTTTAACCTCCCTTCTGACTTTCTGCAGTCAAACCCGCCTAAACTGATCAGAAGAAGAGACACGCAGTGGGAAGACAAGTAAAATATTATTGACTGGACTGTTTCATGTCTATTAGGAAGAAAGAGCAGAGGGGGGAGGGAGAACCTCACGGTCTGACAGGCGTCAAGATAATCAGGGGAGGAATCGGGGCTGCTCAGTAACCCTCAGTGAGGTTGGAAAGCACTGGCTTACAAGAGGTCATTGTTCTGCGCGGGGAACAAACAGGGCGCCAGGCAAACAAGGGCGCAATTGCATTCCTCTACGGGACCCCGTTCCTTGTCAGCAGGCCCTGCTCCTGCAGCAAAGCATAGGATGGGAAACAAAAACAGGAAGTCGCGTGGCTCAAGGAAGAGGCAGGGGCTCCGCATCCTCATCCAACGGCTTTGGTTTCTGGAAGCAGCAGGATGTGCTGACCCTATATGCACCCTGGTGCGTGGGGCCTTTGTGCTGGGCAGAGGTGGGACCCAGAGGGACAGGCGATGCTGCTCTGGAAGGATTTGGCTTTGGCAATTGGTATTTTCTTGTGTGTGTGTGTGTGTGTGTGTGTGTGTGTGTGATTTATTTTTAAATTTTAGATTCAGGGGATGCCTGTGCCTGTTTATTACACGAGTATATTGCATACTGGTGAGAATTGGGCTTCTAGTGTATCCATTACCCGAACAGTGAACATTATCCCTGATGGGAAATTTTTCAACAACTGCCTCACTCGCACTCTACTCCCTTTTGAAATCCCCAGTGTCTATTATCTCCATTTTATGTCCGTGTGTTCCCACTGATTAGCTCCCACTTATAAGTGAGAACACACGGTGTTTAGTTCTCTGTTCCTGCATTAATTCACATAGGATAATGGCCTCCAGCAGCATCCATGTTGCTGCAAAAGGCATAACTTCATTCTTTTATATGGCTGTGTAATATTCCATGGTGTGTATGTACCACATTTTCTTTATCCAGTCAACTGTTGATGGGCACTAAGGCTGCTTCCACAACTTTGTTATTGTGAATAGTGCTGTAATGAATATATTATATAATAATATATGTAGTGCTGTAATGAATGCAAGTATACATTATAATGATTAATATATACTTGATGAATAATATAATGATTTCTTTCCTTTGGGTAGATATCCAGTAGTGAGATTGCAGGTTAAATGGTAGTTCTGTTATTTCTTTGAGAAATCTCCATACTGTTTTCCGTAGAGGTGGAACTAATTTACATTCCCAACAACAATATATAAGCATTCCCTTTTGTTCACATCCATGCCAACATCTGTTAGTTTTTGACTTTTTAGTGATAGCCGTTCTGACTGGTGTTGGATGATATCTCATTGAGGCAACTGGTATTTTCAATTTGCATTTCACTTCCCTGCTCCTTGTTCTGCTGTTCCTGACGGACCTCCTTGCTTCTTCAAGTTCACGTCCTCAGCCTCCTGGCTGTGCATGCCCAGGCTCAGGTGTGCATGTTGGGGAGCAGCTAGAAGGGCTCCGCTTCCTCTCAGTGACCTTAAGTCCAGTTGCCAAGACCTCCTGGGACTCCACAAATGGGTTGATGATACAAGACATGCTTCCCCCTGCCCCCAAACCTACTGGAGAGGACAACAAACCCCACTTGCTAACCAGTTTGCAAGACCGAGCTTGCCATCTGAAGCAGAGGTCAAGGTATTCAGCACTGATAAAGAAAGCTGGAACAGTGAGGCCATGCCCTGCCCTGCCTCTCCTTTCCTCCCTGGACCACTTTCATTTTTACTCGCCCCTTGGTTCTGTCAGGTAAAACCAACCACAGACACTGCTCAAGGAGGTCCCAGAAAACCTATGGAACATTCCCCACCATCCTTTGGGTACAATTCGCCTTGGAGCCATCTCTCTTTGAGGACTGGGCTTATTTCCCCCAAACATGTTTCCACTCTGTATTCCAGCAGCCCTGATCTGTGCAAATGGTTTGCTCACGGCCATCCAAGAAGCACCATCCTTTTGTTAGGGGAAGCACCTGATGCCCATAGAACCGTGTGACTTGTCCACTTGAGCTTCTCACCACTCAGGGTGAGAGGGTGGGGTGGCATTTCAGAAAAACATCAGGAAAGGGAGACTTGGAATCAGAGAATGGCAGTACAGAAAGGAACTAAAACATCACCTTCTCCAATTATTTATGCCACATGTGGGGAAACTGAGGCACAGGGCAAAGAAGAAAGAAACCCTTGGGTTTACACATGGTAAACTCCCCTGCGGCCCGTCCCTGCCTCACCGCATGGCCCGGCTTTGCAGTGCATTCAGGCATGCGGGTCCATCCATGCTCCAGACACGCCCAGGGTAGGCCCCACCTGCAGGGGCACTCGCTGTCTCCCTCACAGCTGACCAGGCTCTACCGCAGACCTTCAGCTGGGCCTAGATCAGAAACCTGGAGCCAAACAAGCTCCCATCTCCGTAACACATGCAGTTGGGGGGCCTGCAATGCTTCCTCCCCACACCCGGCCCCTAAACTTACTCTTATTTCCATCTCTTACTGTGGTCTTGCGTGTCCTCTTTCCTAATTCTTCCCCTGTTAATCACCCTCCCACTCCCTGCCACAGAGCCTTCTAGAACCCTGGTTCTATGACATTATGATGATGATGACAACGATGACGATAGTGGCAATCATTTATTAAGCATTGCCCTGGCCTAAGACACCACATGGGTCATTTCTTCCAGGCTCCAACTTGCTTCTGCTTTGCCATATGGTAACACGCCGTATTATGGAAGCACCATCATTACCGCCATTTGCAGGGGAAGCCTAAAGAGGTGAAGTATCTCGCTCAATCTCATGCAAGAAAGCCAGGATTCGAGCCTGCGAGCTCTTCCACTTCAGCCACCCTCGCCCAGCATTGTCCCAGAATAGTGTCGTCACCACAGGGTGGAGGGACGGGTCTCAGAACTCTAACATCCCCATGTCCGCCCCTCGACCACAGCCGCCTTTCCTGCCAGTCTTCAGACACCTGGTTTTCTTCCCAGAGACCTGCAGAACAGTGATGCCAGCCCCTTGCCCCTTGCATCAGTCCCTCCTGGCAGCTCCTCCCTCCCATGCAGCCCAGAACCCACACTGGTTCATAAGAACACACTGGTCTCAGCTGGGCACTCAGTTATCCCACATCTCTTCCTTGTCCTTAAACCTACAGAGATTGCGCCCTGCTCACCCCTCCTCCTCCCACCCATGTGGCTGGGAGCTAATGGTAAGAATCTCGCCACTGTGTAGCACTGCATGTGGGCCCCCATCTCCACTGCACCCTAGGTCCCTCCATCAGGGCTTTCTGCCTCTGTTTTCAGCTTCCTCTTTCATTCCTCCCAGTGCTCTTGTGACCTCATCCTTCCACCTACAAATTTAGCAACATTCATGGCGACGCCTTCCTGCCAGTCTCACCAGCCACTGAAGACCAACCTTCCCTCCTTGCTCTTTCCTGTTGCCCATGGTCCTCTGTCTCCTCCACTCTGTTCTCCCCACCACCAACAGCTAAAGCACTCCTACCATAAACCAACAAACTAACCACCCTTAACATGATGACCTCCTCCCTCTCACTCAGTCCAGTCATCAGTGACCTTCCCATAGGCAGATCTCAGACACCCACTCCTCAGTCCTTGTGTGGCTGAACATCTCTGCTGTGTTCATCACCACTGAACACTCCTGCCATCTTGAAACTATCTACCCCCTTGGCCTCGGGTTTTCTTCCTTCCTCCATGACCACTCCAGCTCATTTCCACCCATGGCTCCCTCGTTCTTGACCTGTCCCTGGTTGGTGGTGGTCCCCAGGCTTCCACTGACAACCTGCCCCGTTTTCCTCTGCCATAGCTTTACCTGCCACCCCAGGTGCTAACTCAAGCTCTTCCCAAAGATTTTGGCTTAGCTCCAAACTGGCTGGATATCTCCAGTTGCCTTCGGCAAAAGAATATGTTCATGACAAGGGCCCACTCTCTTGCTCCCCAAGGTGATTTGATAGTGTGGTTTCGGATTACAGCCTGGCTTCCTGGGGTGATCCATCACAAGAATAAAGAGTACTGATAAGGCCAATGGGTGCACTTCCATGTCAGGATGGTTGTGTTTCTCTCGGCAAATGAATGGGTAGTTTCCCCAGCACCTGCAGGTGGTGAGAGTTGGTCTCAGCTCTGATAACACAGGCTCTGCCAAAGGTGTGCCCTTGGGCTTTGGGGGATGGAACGGAGTCAGTGATAGTGTGTGGTGGTGTCCATCTGTCCTTGCTCAAAGCCGATCTCCACCTGCACCTGTTCTGAACCCTAGCTCTGGATGAAGAGAGCAGTTGAGTGTTGATGAATGGACAGAGCCAGCCCCCAGCTCTTCTGGGCTCACTGTTTGTGGGGGACTTATGGGCATGCTTGAGCCATAGGGTGGTTGCACCCCGGCCCACAGGGCAGGATCCCCATCCACATTCACCTCACTAGAAATGAGGCAGCCCTTACTGTGTGAAATGTCACAGCGTGGGGGAGTGGCGGTAGGCAGCCACTGGGAAGAAGCACCCTCCTCAAGCGGGTTTGATGTTTCTTTAACTCTCAAAACTGCTGCCCATGGTTTACAAGGTCATGAACAGGAAATGACACACAGCACATGCCTCTCATGGCAGCACCTCCTGGATACTCCATCTGGACCTGAAAATGCAGAAGGAACAGGGGGAGGAAGTCTAACCGGGAAGCCGCCTTTCAGATGCCCACTCTGTCACTCACTCACTGCGTGACCTTGGGACAGTGACCAGCTCTTCCGAAGCTCAGGATGCTTATCTATTGGACATTTACTACAATCCCACCCTGACTTCTCACCAGGTTGACTCAAGGTTCTCCTGTGGTTACCCTCAGAGCTGTCATGAGTGAGCCCAGAGGATGACGGAGCCAGTAGGGGTAGTGTCTTCACAATCCTCACCCTGGCAGTCCCGATGTGGTCCCCTCTGCTGATCCCCCATCCATGACAGGCTCCTTCTCATCCAACAGGCTTTAGCCCAGGAGTCACCGCCTCAGAGTGGACTTCCCACCACTCATTCCAGTGCAGCCGCCAACTCAAGGCACTTTCTAAATGATGCCTCTGTTCTGTTTTTTGAAGAAAGTCTCAAACTTACCTTCCAGGGAAACTGACCAAACCAAGAAATGCTGACCCTAAGTCCCTCCTGGAGCCAAGATCAGTGAATTCCTACATGGATCAGATGACGTGGCCTCTTCTTTGAGCTTCTCTCCAATGCTAATCTTCTAGTTATCACCAACTAGAGGTTTTTTAATTTATGTATTACATTTCTTGCTTGTTATCTGGTGGTCTGCAAGGTATAGGTGTATCTTAGCCACTGAAGTAGAACCTGACTGGCTCATAGTAGGTCCTCAATAAATATTGACTGAATAGCTAATGAGGGGATGATTGAGTGGACATCCCCTGTCCGAGGCTCGGATACCTGGACTTGATAGACCCTGGTTCCCAGGTCTCAGTGGGTTCTGCCTCTTGTCGCCTCCTTTGCCAGCCACTTCCTCAATGATGGAGAGAGCCGAGGTTCCCCTGCTGGATGCATTTTCCGTGAATTTGGGGAACACAAGACACTGTCAAGCCCACAGTGAGCTCTGAGCCCTTTCAGGAGAGCCAACCCTTGATACAGTCCCCCAGGTACCCCTGTGAGTTTTTCTCCTATAAAAAATGAGAAATCTGTAGCTGGGTGCAATGGCTCATGTCTGTAATCCCAGCATTTTGGGAGGCTGAGGTGGGTGGATCACTTAAGGCCACGAGCTCAAGACCAGCCTACCCAACATGGCAAAACCCCATCTCTACTAAAAATACAAAAATTTACCAGATATGATGGCACATGCCTATAATCCCAGCTACTCAGGAGGCTGAGGCATAAGAATTGCTTGAACCCAGGAAGCAGAGGTTGCAGTGAGCTGAGATCGCACCACTGCAGCCACTACACTCCAGCCTAGGTGACAGAGTGAAACTTTGTCTCAGAAAAGAGAGGATCTTCCATTGTAAACATGACCAGACCTTACCCAAGAAAGAAATTCCTTTTGATGCCTTTTTAAGCAGTGTACTCAACTACCAAACAGAGCTGGGACTTCCGTCCTTCCCAAGCCACTCCTGTAGAGCAGAGACAGGCACCTGTCTCTTCATAAGCCCTTCTTTCTCTATAGTCTGATTTGATTTGACCTGTGCGATAACTCCTATCTGTGTCTGGTATCATCACTCGTGTCTCCGAACATTTCACAGCAGTGACTGATGCCCAGACCTCCGGCTAGATGGTAGCCCTGACTGTCTGTTATCTGTGCACCTGGTCAGCCTCTCTCCACTTGGACTCCAGCCTCTTGAGGGACTAAGCTTGCAACACCTCACATCAAATAGACCAACGAGCCACCTTGTTTGGCTGAAATATATGTTCATTCTACAATTTGGCCATCAGGGGAAGGTAAGAAAGAAGAGAGGCAGAAAAACAGACGAAATGAAAGGGAAAAGACACACACCCAGCAGCAGAGAAAAGACATAGGAAAAAGAAAAAAAAAACCAGTTTAAGGGAGAGGGGAAAATGAATCATATACAGAAGCAAAAGAAGATTAAGGGGAGAAATTCTCTAAGATCTGCTGTCTATAAAGGAGTGACGGACATGAGGTGAGGATTATACGGTGCTGTCCACTTGGCACAAAGGGTGCAAAGTCCTAACATCCCCCTGCCACCTGCATTTCCCACTACACCATGCTATGAATGAGTCTCCATTCCAGCTCAAACATCCCTGCAAGCTCAAAAGTAGAAAACTTGTCCTCAGATGCAACAACTGTTGTCAGAGCAATGTTACCCTGAGTTGTGAAGAAACCTAGGTCTGCATGGAAGAAACCTGGGCTGCCCCAGTCCCTGGCCAAAGGTTTGCCAAGCACCCTCAGAAGACCTGCAATTGTCAGGGGAAGTGAACTTGGTCCCCCGTCCCCCAAATCCCTGCCCGTTCTCATTGCTTCATAGTCCAGTGCAGTCCCCGACCCAGACCCAGGCCTCCCGAGAAGCCGGTGAGGTGAAGTCATTGGAGGGAGCCTCATCCCTGATGGGTGGGCACAGGGCCTGTCTGACTTGCCCACTCATATCACTCAGAAATCTGAGGAGGTGGTGCTTGAGGGGCAGTAGAATGAGGCTCCAAGAAGTCACTCTCATCTCTGTGGGCCACGCCAGAGTTCAAGACTGGATCTTCGCTCCAATGGCCGAGGGATCTCTGGAAGGTCCCCTTTGCCACCAAAAGCCTGCCCTTTTCTGCATGTTTTGAAAGGAGTTTTCCTAAACACAGCCTCCTCCATCAGGAAGTTTGAATGTATAAACAGTGACTCTTATTCAGAAAAGCAGCGACGAGCAGTTTTATGTAAAAGTTACATCTCCATTTAAGAAAGAATATATAATTCCACATTCCACTGTCCCTCGAACTTTATTCCCATTTATGTAGATCTTAATACAGTTATATAGTCGCGGGGCTAATGTCCCCTCCGGATGGTAATGAGGTCCTCTCGAACCCGTTAGCTGCTATAAAGTATGCAGAAGTTAAACGCACAGATGGAAAAAAATTTGTCTCAATTTTATACTTCTGCAAAATGGTAATTTTGTACTTAAAATGTACAAGATGGATGTTCAGAAATATAGGCTGATAGCCTAAATTATATTTGGTCATAATTTATGTAGTACAGTCCCAAAGAGATACAAAAAGGCAGAGCATAATTTATCTGCTGGAATCAGCGATAGCTTTGCTAAAACTCCCATTTATTCCATCCCCCATAGTTTTAAGCAGCCTTCGTCCTCAGGGCTCACTCTATTTAAGTTTTCCATACTGCTGTTTGATCACATATTGTACTCTATAATTTGCCTATCATCTGAAGCAAATTTAGGTCCCAGAAGTTATGATCTCTACATAGCAACCACTTTATTTGGTAAATGCAAAATATTTATAGCAATATAAAAACCAGATGAAAATAAAATTCCTATAATCATTGGAACATACACACTTTATCATTGGGGCTTGTAAGACCATTAGAGTAAGACTAGTATGTTGACTAATACAATTACCTTTGGACGCTCACTCGAATTTGCTGATGCTTGGGAACTGGAGAAACTTTTTCTCCAGCATCCCTTCCATCTTGCCAATGGTGAAAAAACAAAACAAAACAAAACATCTGGGCACGGGCTCCAGAGAGAATTGCCCCAGAGGAAATGAGTTGAAAAGCGAAAGTCAGATAAGTCATCACTGTGCCTCAGATGTGGAAAGGAATTTCCAAGTAAAAACACACTGCTTGGCAATGGCACTGCCCTGGATGGGTTCACCTCTTACCTTCCAGGGAAACTGACCAAACCAAGGAATGCTGACCCTAAGTCCCTCCTGGAGCCGAGATCAGTGAATTCCTACACGAATCGGATGACACGGCCTCTTCTTTGAGCCTCTCTCCAATGCTAGTCTTCTCACACCTCTAACTTCTTTGTGTGTGTTTGTGTGTCTGTGCTTCCAAAATTGTTACTTGGAGATGTTCAGGCTGGAACCTACAACATGACACAGTCCATCAACGCTCCTCGCAAAGCAACGAGCTCTTCAAAACAGAGTGGAGAGAGAAAACAGGGAAGGGACAGGCCCCAAACTGAAATGTGCACATGAAAACCTGAGGGAATAACGTTACTATGCATATTCACATACACTTGTTGAGTGTCTGTTCTCTGCAAGCACTGTCTAGGACAGAATGCTATTAGGACAGAATGCTGTTCAAATAAGTGTTCAGGTGACTTTCGCTTATGCATAGGACCCTGCCCTAGGTTCTTTCTAGTCCTCAGAAAAACCCTGCACAGTAGGGCTTACAGATTACCAGTATTAGAAGGAGGAAATTGGCCAAGGGTGGTGGCTCACACCTGTAATCCCAACACTTTGGGAAGCCAAGGCAGGCGGATCACCTGAGGTCAGGAGTTTGAGACCAGCCTGGCCAACATGGTGAAACCCTGTCTCTACTAAAAATACAAAAATTAACCAGGCGTGGTGGCAAGTGCCTGTAATCCCAGCTACTGGGGAGGTTGAGGCAGGAGAATAGCTTGAACCTGGGAGGCTGAGGTTGCAGTGAGCCCAGATCACACCACTGCACTCCAGTCTGGGTGACAGAGGGAGACTTCTTCTCAAAAAAAAAAAAAAAAAAAAAAAAAAAAAAACAAGGAGGAAACTGACGGAGGGAGAGGTCACCCAGTCAAGTAAGTGGTAGAGGAGAGAGTGACACCTAGGACTGACACCATTCAAGCCAGCTGTATCTGATACCAAACAAGCCCCCTGTTGTACTTTTCTGTATGCCAACACAGAACACCAAGCTTCCCGAAGTGCCTATGCAGGGATATTGCTTCTCTGTCTTCAGACCTCTCCCCGCCCACCTCAACCCCCTTCCATCCGCCCTCAAGGTTGCCTTCAGCTGAGTGAAGATGAAATAAAACCCCAGCTGCATCTCTCTGATAAAAACTTCAACTGAAGCCTCATATATTTTGTAGATACTAAAGATCTCATGGCTCTTTGAAGACGAGTGTTGTATTAATCATTGTGGTTGTTCAGATTATTTCCTCATTTTTAACATTGCTCGAGCCCTCTACCACAGAGCCACCATTTCTGTGTCCAGGGTAGTGAGGCCCTAAGAGATACCCTAGATTCCTCTTTATAGCCACTTCCTCCTTCATTGCAACTTAGCTCCAGCTCCAGCTCCCTAAGTCTAAGGGAATCTCCCCATTTTTAACTTTTTTACCCAAAACATGCTTAAGCAGAAATCAACTGAATGCATATTTGAATAGCATTCTGTTCTAATCCAAATATTATTCTACAAGGTCCATTTTAAAGTCTGTTTTTTCATATATCACACTGGAGGGAGAGAGAGAAAGAATATAGCTCAAAATAAATGTGTAAAAAAAAACGAAAGAGATCATAAGGGCAGAGGAAATAACTTGGTCTAATTTATCTCCTGATTCTATAATTATTTCAAAACCAAATACAGGTTCCTAAAGTATCAGTGTGGAAAGGAGCCCTAATGCACCAGAACTGCTCATTCCACAACTGGGGAAACTGAGGCTCATAAGAGAAGTCTTACATACACCAGTAAGGAGAACAGCTAGGTCTCTATTTGGGTCTTGCTCGGTAGCATGTGAACAATGTGTCTGTTCTCAAAAGGCAGTAACTATTGCAATCAGTTGGGAACTCAAGAATATCTGACATATGGGACCATCCATGACTTGTCTCCAGTCCTCTTATAGCCTGTGGGCAGGGAGATGGGTTTCATTTGCCTATTGTCTGTTCATCAGCACTCCTCCCCATGCAAGGGTAGAGGAAGCAAGAGGGTATGTTGACTTTTATCAAGAGCCTGCAGGCTGGGCATTTAGTTTGAGCTTTCTCCCTCTACCTTCAGGCAATCCTATGCATGGCTCCAACGTGCAGGTGAGGCTCAGTCAAGGGCAGTCATTTTCCCAAGGACACACACAACCAAGCCCAATAATTGATAATACTACTGTACAGGTTACTTCAGAGAAAGGAACTATTAATGTTGCCTTGGGGAGTAGGAAACAACATTCTAGTTGAATCTTCTAGGACGGGATGGTATTTGCATGCAGAGGACAATTTGTGGGCAGAGGTGCTAAGGTCCCAGTAAATATTTAGGATGGTGTTTGCACACAGAGGACAATTTGTGCACAGAGCTCCTAAGACCCCTGTAAATATTTGCTCCATGTTCACAGTCCAAGGAGGGAGAAAACGTGCAAAGGCCCTGAAGAGAGAGGCTTTAAAAACCCACAGGAAGCTCTTTCCAAGTGTTGCAAAGGGAATGGTTGTTCATCCTTTTCTTAGGAATCGTTCAACCTAGCCCTGCCTCCCAGCCACCCTGCAGCCAGGAGCTCTGATGTGTGATATTATATAGAGTTCAGGAATGTGAAAGGCACCACATAAAATCAAATTCTCTTCTATTTTAAGTTGAGTGGTGCATCAGTTCAGCTTTAAAACCTGATTTCTTAAAAGTTTCAAAGGGAAAAAAAATGTTCCTTTGCAATTGGAATCGAGTCCACATAAATTAGCAGGCCAGCTCTACATATCCATCTTTCCGAACTTTCCTGGATTGTTCATTTTAATCAAGCGGCCCACATTCTTGACTTTTCATCCTTCACTGCCCAGAATGATGCACTGCAGCTACTGATGACACGCAAATGTTAATTTTGTTCAAGTTCAAACATCATCCAAAAAGGGCCTATTTTAAAGACTGCTTTGCAAACACCAGCTGAAAATGAGGATGAACCGAATCAAACACCGCCAAGAAATTCAGAGGAGGGAAAGCTGTGGTCTTAAGGAAACTCACAAGTTTTTTTTTCTCTAGATCCTCAACCTCTCCAAGGCCGAGAGTAGAATCCTTGATGTCTAGAGCTGGAAGGGAAATCAGATTTCACCCCAGCCCTGCCCAAGGTCATTCAGTGTGGTAGGGAAGGGACGAGATAATTCAACTCTTCCCCTGGGTAAAAGAGCCTTCCTAAAATGTGAAACCAGTGAAACCATGTATTTCAAGTCTTTCTGTCATTTAGTAGGTTTCAGGAGCAGCAGGATACATCACACACACACACACACAGGCACAGGCACACAACAGGTTTATTTTAGAACTCTGGCTCACCCCTTAACCAACTACCACTTCCTCTATCCCGTCTTCTTCAGTATAGGATGTCACTATTGCCCAGTGAGGGCACAAGAGTGACAGTTGTTCAGAGATGCTTCAACAGGAATCGTGCACTTGAATAAGGAGAAATCAGCCAAGTTCCTATTTCTTCATGGCTGAAATTGTCTGAGATTTGGCATCTGCTTTTTTGCCTTTGCACCCAATGAAGCTGCATGAGAAAAGGACATCATCTGTATGAGTCACTACCGCATCCCCCTGGAGCCTAAAACAGGGCCTTGGTGCCTCGTGAGCACCCAATGAATATTTCTGAACAAATGAAGAAATGAAATCACTCTGGTCTATTATTTACCAGGATCCTTCAAAGCAGGACAGTACTATGGAAGGTCTCAGCATAGAGGTTAGAGATCTGAGGGTCCCTAAGTCGTTGAGCGCCATCTCACAGCAACATGGCCCTAGAGAATAAATCCATCTGAAAGCTTTGGCCCCAGGGATCTCAACGGCCTTGCCTCTAGAATACCAGCCTCATGTAAACAAGCCATCGGCAGTGACAAGTACCAGTTTCCATGGCCCATCAGACTAAACTGTTCACAGTGGCGGCCCATCTTCTGAAAGAACAGAAAAGACACTGCAACGTCAAGAAAAAAATGACTGCCGCTATTCCCTGAGCGATAACAGCCGCTCTTGAAATGCAGGACATGTTTCATTTGGCTTATAATAATTGTGTACTGTCTTTTAACCCTCAAAGTGTTAAGCATTGTCATATCCTCTGGGGATGAAAAGATCTGGGGTTAACAACTTTCTCTTTTAAAAATTCATAAAGGTGCAAATAAACAGCATTGCATCCAGTGGCTATGCATTGCAAGAAGCCAAGGGAGAAAGAGGAAAAAAAAAGACCACAACAACAACATTACCCCCCACAGGATACTTGGCAATTAACTGCAGCTATGTCAGCAATTTTTTGAAAAATTTCCTAAACATGGAGAAGACTCATCCTCACCATATGAAAAACAAAGCTACTGCAGTGACTCTCCCATGCATTACAATGTGTGTGTCTTACTTCTTAACCAAGCCGCTAATCACGCAAATTATTGCAACTAATTACATTTGAAGGTCTAATTAATTCTTTCAGTACCACATCATTTAGTACGCATTCACAACACAGCACCTGTTTTGAAAATCCTTGCAGTTAATTTGTTTATAAACAAACACTATTTGCATAAAATGTTTAATGAATGGTTTAACAGTTAGTACAATACTCCAGTTTTGTCTTCGTAGATCTGAGGTCATCAAAGGCCACGATAAATTAATTTTAAACTATACAAATTAATTTAAATAGAATGTGTGAATTTCTCATTAATAAAGAAAACATTTTCAACATGTTAATTAATATCTCTGTAACAGGCTAATTGCTTCCTGCACAACAAGTACATCTTACAAGCAAACCTTAAAGATTTGGGGGGCAAAGGGGTGGGGACTATTTTAAAACTGCAAAACAAAAAGTGCAATTCAGAAAAAACACACACAGCCCGATTATACTGGAGAATTCACCACTTAGGACAGGCAAACCAAGAAAGGAAGCTGTTGCCTTATGTTACAAATACAACACATTTTAGTCATCGAGAACGGGACGGTTGAAAAACATTTCTATCACAGGTGCAGTTACGCTGCAAAGATGGTTAGATGATGTCTGCCTTCTGGTAGAAAGACAGAATTAATGAAAATATTAGTTCTGAGAGTGAAGATCTCTCCTTTGAATGTAGGGCATATTAGCTGTGTTTGTAACCCAATGGTAAATACGGATTTCATTAAACAAATCTGCATCTTCACACCAGTGTCTGAGGCTCAGCCATCATAATTCTCCCTGTGGCAAACCATGGAAAGATACTTCACGTAGAAACTAAAGAGGAACAACATTATAGCCCAACATCAAGCACAGCCCTTGCAAAAGCCGTCACTGAGATATGTTCGCCCTTAAGTTTGTTTCCGATTTGCAAGCGTTTTCACATTTGATAAGCACCTGTTGTAAATTTACATCCACGCAGGAAGTATTCTTATGCTAGGGAGCTGAGAATTGTAAAGCATGTTTATACTCTTACCCTTTTGTGGTGTTGCCCCTTAATGCACAGGCTGATAAAATGACTAGCTACACAGGACCCAGAGGGATGTGCCGCTCCACCTGGTTCCCGCCGCATCTTCCCCCGAGGAGCCACTAGTCCCTTCCTCCTGGAACAGGTTCTGTCAGCACTGATCAACAAGCACTTGGTTTTTGTTTTAAGTTTGTTAATTTGGAGAGGACATGGAGAGACAGGGAGCGAGGGAGAGAGAGAGAGAGTGTGTATGTTCAGGGTGTGGGGGTAGAACGACAGAAAGACAAAGAGAAGCACAAATACAGACTTCCCAACACTTTTCTGGGACCTGCCAATGTATTTCCAAGAAAACAATGGAAAAACAGTAGGAGTTCCATCCTGATAGCACCAGGGGAAAAGAAGAATTTGCCCAACCTCTGATTGGACCCAGATTTCCAGGGTGGTGCTGCTACTCGTCAGAAAACACTTGGCCACATGGCCCCTTGGTCCTGATATTTCTTTGGAGGTGTATATAGAATAAGACTATCCCAAGCACCCTGCTCCCAAACTACCCTGGTGAACCCAGTATGGTGTGAAAACCCCTTTGCTTTGCTCTTTTGCCAGATAAATGCCAGCCAGCATCCCTGTCTCTGGGGCCCTGGAGAGGCCTTCAACACACCTGGCCTCACTGCCCTGTGGCTTCAACAAAGAGGCCGAGCATCTCCTATAAACCTTGAGGTCCATGGATGACATAGCGGAATGATGGATTTCAGAAAAGGCAGGTGCTTCCCACTCTTTAAATTTTTGTTTATTCTTTCCAAGTTTCCCATCAACAGCCCTGCAGTAAAAATTCAGGGCTTCAGAGACAAATATTTCATGAGTACAGACTGTGATGAGGAAAAGCAAGCCATTCCCTCTCTATCAGGATCCAGAGGTAAGCTGCTGCTTTGCTCTTAAAACGCAAGAAAAAAAAAGTGATTAACGGTTGGCACAGGACTCAGGATTATACGCCATTTCCATGTTGACTTCTTTTTGGAAAAGATACTCAGGATAGCCATGTGAGGAGTTACTCCGGGTTTCGGCCCCATAGCCAGCTAGAACTGAGGTTCAAGGGGCAGAGGGTGAACTCCCCAGCAGAGACAGAACGGGGCAGGAGGGGGGCAGGAGGAGGGCAGGAGGCGGGTGGCTGTCAGACAAAATGCTTCCATCCCAGAACAAGCAGAAACAGGCGCACCACTCTGCAATATAAAAGTCAGAAAGCCTTGCAACCTAGATGCAACCCAGGGACTTCCCCCTTGCAGCCAGCAGCCAAGGCAGCTTCTAGGCACTGTGTGGCTGTATTTAAACCCAACTTGGTCCCTAACTTCTCTCCAAAGCCGGTCAAGTTGCCCCACCCTAAGCATCCAGATGACAGGCTCCTGCCTCCCCTCTTGCACAAAATCATTCCCGGATGTAGAGCCTGGCTTTTTCTCTTTACCCATTAAAAATCACCAGCGTTTTGCAAATAAAGGCGATCACCATGTGAAAAATTATCTTTTAAAATGGAGTTTAATTTGCATATAAGGAACGAGAGATTTATGACAAGCAACATCGTCCAGTACTGCATCTGCCTAGTATCAGTCGTAATTTAGATTGTTTGTGACTGATCTTAAATTCTAAAGCTTGGAGAAGATGAAGTACTCTGTTGCTGTATTATTGTCAGGAGTCTAAGACTTACCAGAGATTTATTAGTAATCTTATCACAAACATGTCTCAAGTTTTTGCTTTTAATATGTGCCAAGCTCCTCTGAGGAATTTTCCTCACTGCAATTATATTCCTCAATGCCTGCATTCTGAAGCTGAGTTGATTTCCTTCCCAAAATAAAGCGACCTATCATTACACCACAGCCGCTCTTGTACATTTTTCCTCTGCTACTTAATAATCAATGTATTCATCATTAAAATCTGAGCCCTGAAGCAATGGTTTTTAGCATATTCTAATGACTAGCGACTTGCAAATTACAATGACCTTTCATGTACATTCTGTAAGCACCTTGTTCTAATGTGTACTGTATTTATAGTTTGCCAATACAAACTAGCCAAAGATTGGATAATTACTGTAATCTATTAGCTCGATTGCTTTCCCTGCTCATTTATAGCATGTGCCACGCAGGCCATTTTCAAAAACTGGCCTATCTTTCATCTCCCGCAAGCTCAGAAAGTAAGGGATACTTCATCTTCACAATATACACACTTACAAATGTCTGAAGAACAGCCCGTCTCAGCTCAAGGAGGTTTCAAAAATAAAGAACCTTCTTTCCTATTAGTGTCATAATGCTATTTGTGACTGACAAAAAACACCGCTCCGAGAATGTAAACTTTCATTGAAGAATGTCAAGGCCAGTCCCATTTTCTGCCCATTACTCTGACCTCCAAATAGCATTTAATAAGATCTGCTTTGAAAGAAAAAGATAAAGGCACTTCCCTTAAACAAGAAACAATTTTTTTTGTTATAAGTAAATGTTTCAAGTGAAATATTAAACTTTTTCTTTTCTTCTTTTTCTTTTTTTTTTTTTTTTTTAAGCACACTGCTGTTACGACTCCAGAACCGATAAGGAAGCTATGTGTGGAAGTATGAGCTCAGGTCGCCTTCTGACCCTCTGTGACGGTCTATTTCAGGCAGTTATGGATAGATAACATTACAGACACTGGTAATTAAAACAACACTAATTTTGTCTCTGTGGTCACGCTTTGTTGTTAGAAGCCATCTATCATGGCCTTCACGCATCACGCAATGAGAAGACATTTGTCTACGTACATTGTGCTTGGTCAACGGTTTTACGGATTTCCCCGCGTACCTGGACACCCAGGCACTTTTAAAGACGTACTGCCTTCATTTCTACTCTATTACTCTGATTAATAAAACATTTTGCATGCTTCATCAAAACACCCTGCAAGCTTTTCACCACATATATTCATGGGGGGGGAAGCAATGTTAATTTCTTTCCCTTTTAGAAAGAAACTAACAACAACAACAACAAAAGAAATTCTCTTTTGGATTGGAAGAGAGAAAGAAAAATTCAAATATGGAAATATTTGTCTTCCCTGTAAAACAGAGTCCAGCCTAATGAAAAGCATAATATTAAAACACACACACAATGCCAAGCATCTCCTTTAAGGCTACACGTATTTTTGACTATATGTATCGTTAGTTCTTTTCTGTGCATTCATTTGCTTGATTTATGGACACTCAATTTCACTTCACCTTTTATTACAAGATCTACAGTTACATTAAGAGTAATAGCAAGTCAAATGTTTTTATATTTGGGCAATTAAAAAAAAAGAAAAGATCTATTCCTTGGGCCCTTATAAGAAATTAGGGATAGCTGAAATGCAAGATGACTAGTTTAGTTCTGTTGTAATCAACTAAGAAGAAACTGTAATGGTGCATTTCAAGGGATCTTTAACAAGTGACACAAACAAGAGAAGAAGCAGACAGGACCATTTAACTTCAAACTCCACCGAAGAGAGCTGAATTGTAAGCTTCCTACAGCAAGCCCGGCTGGCGGCTATGTGGCAGTCTTCATTTCTCAGCGGAAAAGCCACTCCCTTGAGACTCTCCAGGCACCCCCCAACCGCATTTTTTATCAAGTGTCTAAAAGGTAGGAGCTGTTAGAATTCTTTTCTCTATTCACAGATGATCACAGCCCTTTTTTCCCCTTTAGCTTGCAGACGCACATGTAGTTTCAAATATTAGCTAGAACTCCAGCCCTCACCAGCCCCTAATTGCTCTCTCAGGGAAGGTATCATAAACTCAGGTATGGCTGACACAGATGTAGCTTCAACTTTATGCAGGCAGGAATGCTACATCAAAGCTATTTGCAAAGTGACATAGCTAGTTGTTTAAAAGAACATTTTTATTATATTCCTTGGAATTTGCATTCTTCTAGAAACCAAGTGTATTTTTTAACACGGCCTCAGAAATGTTGGGGCAATTGACCATTCATGATGTCTGCAAAGGAAAAGCATCTAAATATTTTTCAAGCGACTTTAATAAATTTGAGTGCGTCTGTCACTACATGTAACCTGATTATTTAAATAAGTTAATATTATCACTTCTCTTTTGCCAGCTGCTGTAAGCAGTCGGCTGCTGTCATTAAGCAAAAAGGCCAAGACAATGTGAGTTTATCTGGTCCTACCTGCATTTCTACTCATCGTTGGACTGAAACAAATGGGAAAGAAAAACTTACTGACTTTTGGCGAACTACAAAGGTTAACTCTATTCATCATGGAGAAACTGATACTAAGTGCTTTCTGTCTGTCCATATATTCTAAAGATTTAGAAGGAACCTGGTAGTGTTCCTGGGAGACAGAAGACAGAGTGTTCATCTTTGCCATATGCAGAGTGTCTCTTGCAGTTTTCTCTTTACCTCACTGGCACTGCTGAAATCCTTCTTAGACTACAGAGTTTTGGAAACAAGTTTATTTTTCAATGAGTTAAAAAGCCAAAGCTTTTCTTTCTTAGGATCTTTAACTCTTTTAAGGTAAGTGGCAGGGTTTGAAGCTGCTGTTAACCGTTTGAGGAGAAGGAGCTCAATAGCTTGCAGTGATAGGAAGAGAATTCTCATCACCCAGGTTGCAATAAAACGTGCCTCTCCCGATACCAGTAAAGCCCACTCCGGAGATTTCCAGAGACTGTTGGAAGGCAGTGGAAGGTAAACCCAGAGGAAACACAAGATAAAGGCAACCAGGTGGCCTGGTTCTTAAATCTTAAAGCAACAGTTCCAAAGTTGAGAGCCCGCATTGCACTCTATTGCACAGCCTGACAGGAGAAGGGACGAGGAAGTTCAGAACCTGGCAATTGGAGTGTTTCCCAGCGCCGGGTCCCACCGCGCACCGCACCGAACAAGAAATCTTTTTCACTTTCTATAACTCATTTGCATGAATTTACTTTTTTGCCTTAAGAGGTTGTTGTAATGTGTGTTAAAACACACAGTGCAATTTTATCTCCATAATATCACAAAAGAAATATTATGTTAGTATAAAGTTAAAAAAAAATGCTGCGAGATCCTGCAGCACGGCGAGCGGCAAAGCGTTGCTCAAAAGCGCCACCCAAAGGCGGGAGGAGTGTAACGGCATTCAGGGAGGATCGTTTTTGTTAATTTCAGCAATCCGAATGTAAAAAATGACAGCGCCACGCAAGTTGACGGAGGCTTTTGATTGAATTGACTGATTGCCTCAGCTGCACCTGCGGAAAATTGATGACAATGCTGTCTAAACCATTCATTAGGATTTGAAACTTCACGCAGATGAATGCTGGATTCATAAATTTGCTAGACATGTGTTGTAGATAATATGACAAAGCACTGTTTTCAAATGAACATTTCTTTGACCTAATTTTATCAAAATCATGCAAAGGAATGAAAGAACATTTGTACCCGAACTCTTTGGAACAGCTGCAACTGAGGTCTCTCTCTCCATCTCTCCCTCTCTCTTTCTCTCTCTCTCTCTTTACCTTTTTTGTCTTTCAAATAAATTTAAATGAACTATATTGTTTGAAATATATATTCTAGTTTATTTAAATTATTTTTAGAATGGCAAAACATTTATTTTTACTTATTATGAACAATGTTACTCTCCGCCAGATGAAGGAAAATTATTTTGAGGGTTTTTTTCAAGCTCCAAATTTGCTAAATTGAACACAAGTGGTAAGTAGATTTTTCAAATAATATTAATAACGCGATCTCCACAGACATGTTGGGGGGAACCGTTTCAGTACCAACTGGACATGCATTCTGTGAGAAGTGGACTTCTTGCAGGCTTTGAAGGGAAAAGAAATTCCTGTAAAATATTGACGCTTTTGGTCAAAAATGGCGAAACCAGAAAAAAATGACATCTGTGTATATTGTATATAAGATTTCTGACTTGTTCTCGATTTTAATGTATCAAAACACTATCAATATTTAATGGAGCTTTCTCTGTGTGTCCAAGAAAGAAAAACAAGATGTCTGAGAAGGGGAAGGGAGCACCGTTTTCATACCTGGCTTGGCTTAGCTGCACGAGAGAAGAAAAGGCCGTGGCTGAATCCATCTCCAGGAGCAGCTGTCCCCCTGCACCGTTTGAATTGCGAGGAAAGAGTTACAGTTTTAGAAAAGAATACCTGGTATTTAAGAATTCGAATTTCTCGCTGCAGAACTAGATCTCACTTCTACAACAAGGACCCTCTGCTTAGTACTTGGACTCCCCCCCAAAAAAACAAAATGAATATTTATTAACGTTAGAAGAACCTGGCGCAGGTCGGTCCGTGCATCCGAATCTGCCAAAACGCTTCCAAATCTCTTCCCTGGCATTTAAAAGAAATCTATTTTTATACATTCTCATGAATTTGGGTTTTACTACCAGTAAGGTAATTTCTGATTAGGCATCTTGGGTTTTTCTCTCTCTTTTTTTTTTCTTTTTTCCTAAAGAATCCCTGCAAATACACCCGAGGTGCTTGAGTTAACCCCACACCTGGATGGAGAGAAACTACAGGTGTGAACGGCAAGGCTAATAGACTTGAGTTTTGCCACGCATTTATTCTTCTTTTTTTTTTTTTTTACCATTCTAGCAGTTACTTTAAACTGGAAAACATTATTCCAACAATCCAAACAAGGCTCTTTAAGGCTGCTATGCCCAAGCTGCTACAGATACAAAATTATCAAGTAGACATGTGAAACCCCCTAAATGCGGAACAATCTGGGTTGGCTTCTAATTGCTATGTTTCAATTTCTAATGGGGAAAATGTGTAAAACAAATAACTGGGTATTGGGAGCTCTGAGCACTAAAAGCAGAACATTCTTGTATTTCAGTAAATCATATAACTCTACAGATGGGTTTGGAAAGCCTGAAGCTCCAGCCACCTTTTAGACTATTTGGATCCAGCGTTTGCTTCGAATTCCGGGCAATACGCTTAAAACAAATTACCTGTTTGTCTTGGATGGCCTTTGCAATGAGAACCCTAGGCCTGCAAGACCTCTGAGATTCATTGACCTCACCAGCCCACCCACAAAGAAAGATACGTGGATACTCCCTGTATTGCCCAGTCCTGGCTACAATGGCAGGGAGGAGCAGGCAAACAGCCTCCCCGTCAAAGATGTTACAATCTGGTCAATGTACACTGGGGTAGGACACGTGGGGAGTCAAATATACATCAATTTCTGGCAACACACGGCAAGAAAACACAGATGCCCAAAAGGACATCAACTCAAGGTTAATTCTTAGCTCTCACAGAACGGGGGAACTTGGGCATAGTTAAGCAGCAAAAGCTTTGGGGGAGGAGGTAGCAGAGAATGTGTAGGGCAGAGATGTGTATATATGTGAGCCTCCAAGGATGCACTAACTGTGCCTGTTCTTTCTCCCTTGGTTACTACCCTTCCTGCTCTTCTGGTAGGGTTCAGCCAGGCACAGACAAGAGTGGGCAAAGGAGCACCCAGCCTTGCTGTGCTCACCCACGCATATATCCTGCCTGGCCTGGGCAGTCACCTGAGTTTGTAGCCCTTGGAGATGCACTTGTCACCCTCTATTCTGACACCTTTATAGGAACAAGCCTTTAGTCTCAACAATGAGAAAAAAAATAAAATGCCCTTCCTCCAAGAGCTTCAACTAAGAATCATTTCATTCATCCTAGGCATTCTGGTAATGTCCTTTTTCCAGTTCCTTGTTCTAAGAAATGCTGCATTGTAGGCATATTTAAGGAATCTACCCTTCTCCCACCCTAACCTCCTAAGCCAGAGGGGCTTTTTGTTCCCTTATCCTGTGTATCCCCTCAAAACTCACTCAAAATCTTCTTGTGTGGTCAGAATGGGGATCCTTTTGAGCTTGTTATGAGACAGGCTCTGTCCTCACTGGGGTCTCAAATGCTAAATTAATTTTTATGTCTCTTTAGACACAATGAACAAAAACCAGAGCTTTTGAATACAGATTTCCAGTAAAACCAAACCCAGCTTGGGTCAGATGCACCTTTCCAGCAACCACCATCTCAGCAACAACCTGCCAGCTGTCAACTGGAAGTTCAGCTTCTGGGAACTTCAGCCCCCTTCTCAGAGGAGCAAGGTCCTAGCACCAACAGCACCTGCAGTGGAGCCCAAGTATGGCTGCTTCATGGAGAAGGCAGGTAAAGAGGGGTGTGCACACTGTCTCAGGGTGGCAACTCTTATTGATAACGAAGGCATTGTGGCCTTCTGACGGGTACTGCTGCCCACTGACAGGTACGTGACAGTACCTCCAGCTCAGGTCAGGGTTAGGTCTCAGAGACCCTTAAGAAAATGGTATTCCAGGCCAGGCGTGGTGGCTCACGCCTGTAATCCCAGCACTTTGGGAGGCTGAGGGGGCAGATTACTTGAGGTCAGGAGTTAGAGACCAGCCTGGCCAACATGGCAAAACCCCGTCTCTACTAAAAATACAAAAATTAGCCGGGCATGGTGGTGGGCGCCTGTAGTCCCAGCTACTCAGGTGGCTGAGGCGGGAGAATCACTTGAACCCAGGAGGTGGAGGTTGCAGTGAGCCAAGATCATGCCACTGTACTCCAGCCTGGGTGACAGAGTTAGATTCCATCTCAAAAAACAAAAAGTGGTGTTCCAATCAAACAATAGATAATTAACACTGTGTTCCAGGGTCAGATCTGGCAGTTGTGTTGGACAGACAACACAGGTAGAGGAGAGAGAAAAGAAAGGAAGAGGTTCAGGCCAGGCATGGTGCCTCATGCCTGTAATCCCAGCGCTTTGGGAGGCCGAGGTGGGAGGATGGCTTGAGGCCAAGAGTTCAAGACCAGCCTGGGCAATATAGTGAGAACCTGTCTCTCCAAAAAATGAAAATAGCACGGCGTGGTGATGCACGTCTGTAGTCCCAGCTACTTGGGAGGCTGAGGCAGGAGGATTGCTTGAGCCCAGGAGGTTGAGGCTGCAGGGAGATTTGATTGTGTGCCACTGTACTCCAACCTGGATGACAGAGGGAGACCCTGTAGAAAGAAAGAAAAAAGGAAAGGGAGCGGGAGAGAGGAGAGAAAGAGAGAGAGAGGGAGGAAAGAAAAGGAAAGGAAAGGAAAGGAAGGGAAGGGAAGGGAAGGGAGAAAGAAGAAAGAAGAAGAGAAAGAGAGAAAGAGAAAGAGAGGAAAGAAGGAAGGAAGAAAAGAAGGAAGGAGGGAGGGAGGGATGGAGGGAGGGACGGAAGGGAGAGAGGGAGGGAAGGAAGGAAGGAAGGGGGGAGGGAGGGAGGGCACGGTGGCTCACACCTGTAATCCCAGCATTTTGGGAGGCCGAGGCAGGCAGATCACGAGGTCAAGAGATCAAGACCATCCTAGCCAACATGGTGAAACCCCGTCGCTACTAAAAATACAAAAAATTAGCTGGGCATGGTGGTGGGTGCCTGTAGTCCCAGCTACTTGGGAGGTTGAATCGCTTGAGCCCAGGAGGTTGAGGCTGCAGGAGACTCGTTTGAACCCAGGAGGCGGAGGTTACAGTGAGCCGCGATCATGCCACTGCACTCCAGACTGGCGACAGAGCGAGGCTCTGTCTCAAAGAGAGACAGAGAGAGAAGAAATGAAAAGAAAAAAAAAAAGAAAAGGAAAGAAAGAGGTTCAACAGGCAGAGTATCCTTAAAAAACTCACCCAGCCCCTCCTTCATTTAGATAAGAAAATGGCTGAGAAGTGGCAGAGTCAAAGTTCCGATGCAGGCCCATGGGCCCTCTTGGTTCACCTCCTCCAGCCCAGGCTTCTAAAACTACTTCCCATACCTGCTGTATTGCAGCAACCATGCTAATTTAGCAACTTCCCATCCCAGATGCATAAAGAAGATGGAACCAATTCACCATGAATCTATCCACCCAGGCATTTAGACACAAAGGTGAAAATAACAACAGGCCCTGTCCTCGAGAAACTCCTCGTCCAACAGGGGAAGGGGGAGAGTGCCAGTAAACAGGGCCGTTGAGCTCTGTCCCAGCAGTGGGGACAGGCTTGCATAGAACCACCCTCACTCCTGCAGCAACTTCCCTCATGCCAGACAAGAATAGAGTGAAAGGAGACCCCCACCTTAGCTTTCTTGGCCTGGGGCTCCATCCTGCTGTGCCTAGCAAGAACACAACACACAGACACACACCAATAGATACATGTATCTTACCACTACTGGGGGAGAAAGAAAAGAAAAAATAAATCACTGGGAACCGCAGCAGGGTGAGAACCCAGACCTCAGCAAGTCCCAATTTCAGAGGTGACAGCATCTTTAAATGCCGCAGGAGTGCGCTCCTAGCTGAGGCAGGTGTGTGGATTCAACAGTTGACCCCAGCTGTCGCAGAGCGCGAGGAAGCTGCGCAGTAAACCCCTTACATATCAACCTCTGAGGACCGGTTTTTCTGCACCTGGTGGTCCTTCTAGACGTCTAGGAGGATCGTGTTCTCAGGAGAGGGTTCTTCAGCATCTGTGCTGAAGAACACTGCCCCAGCGGGTCACATGCAAGATTCCACCTTCGAGCAACATAGCTGACACTCTGCAGCCCAGTTGTCACTTGTAACAAACCCCAGTGGGTCACATAGTGAGGGGAGGCAAGGCTGCGTAAGGCAGTGGCTGAACTATCCCAGAAAACAAGGATCACAGGCCCCCAGTGACACCAATGTTGCAGAAACACCTGCAGTGGCAAGTCAGATGTCCTCCAGGACCAGGCAGATAACAAGGAGTAGGGGTCTGCAGAGGCCTCGGGAGGGTCTGCACCATCCAAAGAAATCAATTGTTCTGCACAGTGGTAAGGATCCAGTGTTCCCAGCACTTCCAAACATTTGAATGAAGCCAGAATTCCAGATAATTATGTGAAATCCCCAATTACTAAATATTGGCAACAAATTCATATTTCTTTCAAATAATCTGTGAACCAAGCAAAATACATCTGTGGGTAGATTGGGATCCCAGATATGCACTGTGTGACCGACCCTAGTAAAAGCCCTCCCTCCAAGGACCCTGGACACTCACACAAACCATTTAATTCCTCTCCTTCCTCCCAAGCCAAGCATCACAGCATTCAACAGGTAGGACTAGCAAGCTCAGGCCAAGGTCACAGTGTCCTGAGCAGGGTGGGCTAGGGGACCTTTTGCACGATGTTTTCCTTTGGGCTGTGGGACCACGTCATCTGGCCAGAGAGCAAAGGCTTTCCTAGTAGAAGTTACCCTCTGAGCTTGTGACATCGAGGGCCCTGCCTCTGGGCAGATCCCCCAAGCATCCGTGCAGGGCTGCCTGAGAAGCTGGACCAGCTCTGACACAGCCAGTGGGATGTTCCACAGCCTCCCAGGGCAGAAGGGCTTGTGGGAGATTCGCTTAAACGTGACCGATTTCCTCTCGCTGGTTATCTGTGGAAGGTGGAAGAATTACCCCCTGGTCATTAGGGAATCACCCTTTCACAGCAGCAGAGCGTGTGTGACCTGGATGATTTAAATTTTAGTTTTTGTCAGCATGTGCTTTCATCAGATTGTTCTTTTTATATATTTCATACATATTATATATTTATAAATAGATACTAAATAGACATAGATATAGATATATTTAGGTATGTGCATTTATTTTTATATTGTATTTTTTTATCTCATAGTTCCTTGCTAATGCATATAGACTGAGTCCAATACGATAGTTAAAATGTCACATTCCTCCAAATGGATTTCCAGATATTGAAATGTGATCACTGAGGCTCAGTGGGAATCCCTTTGCTCTCAAACTCCCCGATGCAATGCCTTCTGATTTCAACAGAAAAGCAAGAGGCTCCAGGCACCCCATTCAGGGACTGCCACCAAAGTACCCGCAAATCCTTCATGAAAGGGGAGACATTGACACATTCTTTTTTTATTCTCTGGTAGGTATCTGTTTGCGTGCAAATCCGTGAGTGCTTGCATCTCGTGTATTTGAAAATCCTGTTTAAGAATGCAGAGGTCCATATAGTGTCATTAAAACAAATGAGTATAACCCTTTGGTCATCTAGGTGAAAGCATTTTGTTGGGTTTTTTTTTTTTCAAATTGCTATTGCTATATATAAATGTAACGTATAGCAATAACCGTAGAAAGATACTGTGCCCTTGTGTATGGATAATTAAAATAGGAACATCTCTGGACTAAATTAAAATGTGTAAAAACCAAATCCTTATAGCATCCATGAAATTACAGAAGCTACAAGTGAATCACTAGCCCAGGGACGAAGCATTTCTCTCATTACTTCATGAACCTCTTCCATGATCACAGTTTTACATTTTCACAAATCTACATGGTTCTTTTTATGTCACTAAATATCTCAGCTCACTTTTACTGCCCTCCTTATAGACATGCGAGTTGGTAACAGCACGCAAACAGTCTCCAATCATTTAAGAGAAACCAACACTTTCAGTGCTTTTGATGACACTTATTACTACAAATTATGAACTAAAAAACTGAGCAGGATATAAGGAGATAAATTACATCTTTAGAACATAAAGGGGGAAAAATGCATATTTTTCAGTACCAGAAAATCAAAACCCATGGGTCCTAATCTATGAATTAAGAAGACCTGAATACCTGAGAACGTGTACACAGATTTTTGCCCTAACCCATGACCTGCTTAACTGTGTAACTCCCCTCAACAGAAAGATCCTGATTTGCCCTTTTCTCCTCTGTACTTTGAACATAAGAGGTGTTATTACCCATAACTTTTTATTTAAAGGAATTGTGCAGCTGGGAAAATGAATGAATTTAATTATCAATGCAGTGTGAAAAAAATCATTAGAGCAAGGGCCTGGAACGCCACATATTAAAAATAAACAAAGGCTATTAAAAAACAGTTCCAAAAAGGAACGTCAGTTTTTCTTCAATTCTTAAAATGTAAATACCAAAAAGAAAACCATATGTAAACATCTATAGTTACAGAAGAAATTACTCTTTAAGAAAATGTTAAATGACTGACTGGATCATTTAACTTTAAATCTATACTTTATGTGGCAGTATAGGAAGGTCATTTGATTGCCATGCATAGAAAAATGAGAATTCTAATGTGTTCTCAAAGTTTCACCTTCATAAGACAAAATTTTCATTATGAAATTGTATTTAATGGTGAGCACATAGAACTTCTTCCTCAATTGCATGGGATGACACTTCTGTCAGAGGCGTGTGAACCAGAGCAACTCCATCTTGAATGGGGGCTGGGTAAAATGATGCTGAGACCCACTGGGCTGCATTCCCAGACTGTTAAGGCATTCTAAGTCACAGGATGAGATAGGAGGCTGACACAAGACATGGGTCGTAAAGACCTTGCTGATAAAAACAGATTGTAGTAAAGAAGACTGCTAAAACCCACCAAAACCAAGATGGCCATGACAGTGACCTCTGGTCATCCTGACTGCTACTCTCCCACCAGCGCCATGACAGTTTACAAATGCCGTGGTAATGTCAGGAAGTTACCCTCTATGGTCTAAAAAGGGAATATATGAATAATCCACACGTTGTTTAGCATATCATCAAGAAATAACCATAAAAATGGGCAACCAGCAGTGCTTGGGGATGCTCTGTCTATGGAGTAGCAATTCTTTTATTCCTTTACTTTCTTAATAAACTTGCTTTCACTTTACTCGACGGACTGGCCCCGAATTCTTTCTTGCGCGAGATCCAAGAACCCTCTCTTGGAGTCTGGATGGGGACCCCTTTTCTGTAACATCTTTCCGGCGACCGCAGAAGGGACTACAGTGAGGAAATCCCCAACCCAAAGGTTAACTTTGGGTAAGTGTTAGGATCCTGTAACACTTCCATAACCAAAGGAAGCTTGTCTTTACCTTTCTAAAAGACAGTGGAATTATATCTTTTAACTAAATTTTTAAAAACAACTCTAGATTAATATTCCCTCCATGACTGGAGAGTAAAAGCACTGATTTAGCTGAGTATTAGGGAAAAATACTAAGCACAGGTGCCCAGGAAAGTCCTTCCTAGTGGACGAAGACTATGGAGAAACATGTGTTCTAGGCATACAGGAATGCTGAACTGCTTATTTGTGGTTCTGAATTTTCTGCTTGGGACCAAATTTGACCTGTAGCTGCAGACTTCCCATGGGGTATTTACAGCTGGGCCACTTACAAATTGGAATCCAGGGGAGTCCAGGAAAGATGAATGGCAGCTCAGTTATTTCCAGCTGAAAGTGAATGGGGCATCTGAAATTGAATGGGGCCCTGGATCCTGTAAACATATGAGATCTTAGCCTCTGATAGCCAAGTTTGGAAAATCAATGAAAGCAATAGACTTTCTCCTCTGCCCAATGCACACACAAAATAATAATAATAATAATAATGCAATGTTGCTTACACTTTCAAGAGGTTTATGGACCACCTCAAAGCTCATGCATGCACCCATTCCCCCAGCCCCAAGAGAAGAGACAGGATGACAGATCCAACCGGAACAGAGTGTGGCCCCATGGTGGTCTATCTCCAGCTAAACAGAGCAGGAGCAAATCCCACAGGAGCAAACTAAGGGAAGACAAAATAATTCCACCTGGGAGGAGAAGAGCAGGGGGTCTTTTCTTCCATCAGCTCAAGGAAGACTACTTTCTGACCATAGCCACAAGAGTTAGACACTGAAGAGAGAAAGAGCATGTGGGAGATGCCCAGTGCCGCAGAAACGAGACGCTTTCTGGACAGTGAGTCCAGTCTCCACCAAGAGGGAGGAGAGCCCAGGAGCTGCCACATGTCCTCAGCTATAGCCTCTCCCTCTGGTGTACCAGAGCCTCATGTTGGTGCTGGAAAAGAGAGGTGCAGGCTGAAACCCACATCAAACAATTGTCACTAACCAATATCACGCAGTTGTTTTTACTTTCACCAAAAGCTTTGGTGTATGTGTGGTTCCTGATTTACTTATTTCCACGTCTCTCCTCTCCCCTGGGTTTCCCAGTGCCTCTCTGGAAGGTCAGTTTCTAAGACAGAGTCCAGCTGGTTCTTCCCAGCCTCTCTGGGACTGAATCCCTGCCTGGATCTGCCTTCAGGGATCGCCATCAGAATGGCACACAGCACTTGCCAGTCCCCTCTCTGAGCCTTAGTGGCCCCATCTCTAAAACCAGAACATTGAACAAAAGCATCTGAAGGTGAATGGGGCCCTGGCTCCTGTAAATATATGAGAGCTTAGCCTCTGATGGCCAAGAGCCTTTTGGAAATTCAATGAAAGTGATGGACTTTCTCCTCACCACAAAAAGATAATAATGCAATGTTGCTTACAATGTCAATTACATGGGCCACGCCAAAGCTCATGCATGCGCTCCAAGCTAAGAGCCCCTGACCTGGCTCAAAACGACCATCCTCACCACCATAAGTTTCAATATGAGGGAAACTGAGCCCCAGAGAAGAGGATAGAGTGTCCCAAAGCCACACAGAAGGAAAATGACCAAACTGGAAAGATAACCCATTTCCTACCTCCCAGGCAACATCCTTTTCCTGGGCTCTTCTGCCCTCTGCACTCCTTCATTCTCATCAATGCCTTTCTGATTACCCCAGGTGTTGCCACCTTTTTGGCTCCCCAGGTAGGAATTTGATATCTGGGCCCCACAGGTCACCCCCACTCCAGAGTTCACCTCCCAGCAATGGCAGGGACTTGGGGAAGGAATGATGAAGGTGAAACATGGGAGCCAGAAGGGGGACTATGGCCAAAATACCACAGCCATCAGGTAAGCACTGGATGACCCTGGCTGAGAAAGGGGACAATGGAGACAGAAAGGAGCCACCTGTCCCTTCCACGCAGAATAGGTGGCCCTAAGCTGTTGTTTCAAAAAGCACATTTGCTGTCTTCAAAAAAATATATATGTGGAGGAGGAGGAGGAGGAAGAGGAAAAAAAAAAGATGCTCAGGCTAGATAAATTCAGAATGATTTGAATACATTACTGTAGTTAAGTTTAGTACATAAAGTACTGAGGATGGCTCTGCCGTGCATTTCAATGAAGCCCAAAATAATGAGGCACTAGCTGGGCTGTTGCGGCTTCGTCAGAGCGATTCTGCCCTAATAAGTGGGAAGGAGGTGGCTACGGCTCCCTGCCTATGAATTGTCCTCATGGGATTTGGCCCGGCCTCTGAGGGGAAGGCAAATGGAAGATGAGAGAAGCTGGGCAGTTGGGATGAGAGACTGAACACCTGGAGAGAAGGGTGAGCCCACGTGGAGCATTTCCAGGCTTGAACCAGCCAAGGAGTCCTTCAAGGCAAAACAAAATCTGTCCCCTTAGACCTTCCAGGTCTTCCCAAGGGAGGCTGTGGGGGGACGTGGAGTCCAAATACCAGAAGGGCAGCCTCCAACCTGCTTCTCACAGCTCTCTTGTCTCCACCTCCTCAGACCCTACACTCCCACCAGAGAAAATGGAAAGACGTAACTTAGAAACCTAGAGGCCCAGAGAGCACCAGTGATTCCCTCCATGATCCATCACAGGGAGGAGGTTAAGGAGAGGAGGAAGGGAAGAGTGAGAAGAGAAGGAAATGAGGGAGGGAGAAAGAGCAAGGGAAGAGATGAAGGAAGAAAGAGACAAAACAAAGTCCCCCATCTGTAGCTGCCTCAGCCCCTGAATGGAGAGAGATGCTATATGTGGCTTTCTCCAGCATTTCCGGGGCCTGAAATGGCTAATCTGTAAGAGCTAGAGGAGGAGAGACTGACTCCATAACCACTACATGAGTCATGTGTTCCAAACAGCCTAGGAGCCAACATCCAGGTTGTGGGGACAGACGAATGCAGCTGTGGCTCAGAAAAAGAACACTAGAAAACATGATGGCCCTCTGGGAGGACCCTTTGTAGAGCCTGGTCTTTGACTCCATAATCAGGCATTTGACACTCAGACGCTGGAGCAGAAAGAGCCATGAAGGCAGCAGACCTGATCCCTAGGCAGTGACAAAAGAGGGTTTCCTTTCCCATCAGTCTCCAGCCAGAGAAGCTGGGAGTTCTCTCAGGTGAGCCCAGCAGATGTTACGAGCTTGCAAATAAAGGGTGAAAGTGACTAGCCTCCGTCTAAAGGGAAACCCAAGCCTATGGCCAGCCTCTCACTGAGAAAATATAAATAGTTAAATCCGTAAAATCAGCCTCCTTTTCTGTTCTCTGGATATAACTTGCTCCTGGACGTCTGTGAGTAGTTAGCTGAAAAGCTGTTGGGGTGGACATCTGTTGTTTTTGCCTGCCCAGCCGCTTTTCTCCTTTTACTGGAAATAGCATCCCGATTTTCCTTGAGGAATCACTCCTCCCCCATGCTCGATCCATGTGGTCTTGGGTGGCGCTGAACCCACCCCCAGCTCCAGGGACAGGCAAGTGACCCAGACCAGGACAATGAGGGCATCATATCCCACGGGCCACCATGATTGGCTCACGGGTTGGGATAGGAACTAATATGGAACAGCCTGACTCAATAACAGGTCTTTGTGTAAAAAGAGAATCTTTTCACTGAAGTTCCAGAGAAGATAGATGAATGTCTGGTGCTGCTGACAGCCATCTTGCCACCACAAAGAAAGACTCCAAGCTGCTTGAAAATGGAGTTAAGGCAGAGAACACCAGAGCAGAAGCCTGCTGACAGCATTCTTGCCCCTGGATCCAGCTATACCTGAAGATCTACCCCCTGGGATTTTTAGTTACAGGAGCCAAGTTCATCTGTGGTTTGACAAGCCCATCTGACGTGGGCTTCTTGCAAAAGCCTTAACTAAGATAAACTCACCTATAGAGTCTTTTTTTTTTTTTGAGACCTTTGGAGCCTCTATAACTGAGTCTATTTTAGTCAAGGCTTATGGAATCTACCATAAGTTCACAGATGGACTGATAAACATATAAGGTGTCTTTGTCCATTTGTGCTGCTGTAATGATACCTGAGACTGGGTAATTCATAAAAAACAGAAATTTATTTTCTCACCATTCTGGAGGTTGGAAAGTCCAAGTTCAAGTGCCAGCAGGTTCAGTTTTCTGGTGAAGATGCTGTCTGTCTCCAAGATGGTGCCTTGCTGCTGCATCCTCTGGAGGGAGGAACCATGTCCTCATGTGGCAGAAGGTAGAAGGGTGAGCCAGTTGAACACTGCATAAAGCCTTTTTCATAAAGGCCTTAATCGTACTCACAAGAAAGGAGTAGCTGGGCTCAGTGGCTCATGCCTGTAATCTCAGCACTTTCAGAGTCCAAGGAGGGAGGATCGCTTGAGCCCAGGAGTTTGAGACCAGCCTGAGCAATATAGCAAGACCCCATCTCTACAAAGAATTCAAAAATTAGCCTGTTATAGTGATAGGCACCTGTAGTCCCAGCTACTTCGGAGGCTGGGGTAGGAGGATCACTTGAGCCTAGGAGTTTGAGGCTACAGTGAGCTATGATCACACCATTGCACTCCAGCCAGGGCAACAGAGAAAGACTCTGTTTCTGGAAACAAAAGAGAGAGAGAGAGTTGCCCTCATGGCCTAATCACCTCTTAAATGCTCCACCTGTTAGTAATATCACATTGGCCAAAACACCTGAATTTTACAGGAGACACATTCAAACCATAGCATAATGGATCCTCTGAAGTCACAGGGCTGATGGGAGGCAGAAGAGCCTCCTCTCCCGGTACCATGATGCCTAGCAGGTTCCCGGGGTCTCCAAAAAAAGGTATGCACTGGCCCAGTTGCACTTCGGGCTGCACAGTGAGTGAAGGACTCCTTCCCCAGGAATATATCAAGCTGTGAAGTATTCACAGTTTTTAAATTACTCATCAAGAGCTGGATTTTTTTTTCTCCTCTGCTACCTTAGTTACTGATTATTTCCAGACCCATCAGATACACAAACTCTTGTTTTTAAAATGCAATCAGCACACCCACGCACCCATCTATAGATAGTAAAGAATAGGTGCTGAAGTCCCTGGAATGTATTGCTATCATGCAAGATGAAATGGACAGCATTACAAATGTACACTCAGCAGGAAAATACGATTTACCTGGTAATTCAAGCTGGGGATGGATAATCAGTTCATTTCAAATAATGAACCAAGAAAGCACTGCCATTTGGAAAACTTGGGGGTCCATGCTTGTCTGTGGGATCTTGGTGTGGCTGTGTCATTCTTATGCAGAAGGGTCACCACCTCTTCCAGAGGACACAGGACACCGTCTCCAGTGGGTCAGATGCAGCTGATGGGAGACCACCCAGGCAGACTCCCCAGGCACCATTTTCTCATCTGGCTCCAGTGGTTTTAGAGCCCACAGAGAGGTCTGTCATTTCTTCAAAGGCTGACTCTGTGGAGGGGCAGATGGTGCACAGTTCTGTCCCTGATCTCGGGACAGGTTTAAAAGTCCCATTTGTTGATTTCCTCTCTTGTCCTCTGTGCATTCAGTCCCATCACTGAGCTGCTTATGGCTGGGAGCTACAAGATCTTTGTAGTGGGGGATCCTTCGAATTTATCCTGACATGGCTCCAGAAAATGCTCAGGTGGGTTATGGACAATGCACTCTTAAGACTCCGGACCAGCTACTAGAGTGTAGACCAGGGCAGCAGCAATACAGGAAAACATCTCAGGAAAATAAATTCACACAGAACCCATTATAGCTGATTTTGACCTATTTTGAAGAAAATTGCACCGTTTCTAGGTGTGGAGTTGATCTGTTGCAGGTGGCCTACACTGTGACCTCTCTTGTAGGCATGGAGATGAACATACTTGGTATCATCCACTCTCCTGCACTGCTGGCTCAGTCACCAGCCTTTTCAGGCACGGGGTCTGCAACCTCTCTCATGGTTTGTGCCATCTCTTGAGTCAGGAGCCACAGACCTCATCCAGGACTTACAGCCTGACAGATTAAGGAGTCCGATAAATCCACACATTCTGAGTTGTTATGCTGGGCAAAAGCCATGCCCATCCACAAGCCAGACTCTTGGCCTCCACTGGAAGCTTTGGAACTTTATTCCCATCAAACACTGACCTAATCCTTGCACTGAGACTGCTATTTACATTAAAATTGGTCACATAATGAAAAAAAAAGGTAGTTCATTAATATGCTAAGAAGTGCTAATTTGAACATTGCTGAAAAGCAATTGCAAATTCCATTTTGCAACTTGCAAATGTGATGCAGTGCAAATTAGGGCTGATGGACCCATCTTCAGACATTCAAACTTCATCTGGGTATTTCTGAGTTCCCCAAGCCTTGGCGGCCGAGATTGGTTGCAAGACCAGTGGGGGTGATTTCTCCTTCATTGGAGATGAAAGAACGTGCTTCCAGTAGTGGGTGGACAACCATGAGCCCTTCTACACAGATATCAGGTGAGTCCAAGGAAGCCTGTCTCAAGGGGCTTGCTGAAATGACCCGAAACAGAAGAATAAGAATGACCCCAAATGCACACAACACATGTCTTCAGAGAGCTTGAGCTGTGCCAGATGGACACCCTGCACCCAGTGAAGCCCCCAGCCCCCAGCCTCAACTCCATCTTCCGCTGGGCGGCCTTCGATGCTCTGTTGACCCAAGCTGGGTTGAGAGGTAGCCTGAGGCCCCCTCCTTCAGCAGGAGAAGCCAGTGGGAATCAGAGCCAGCTTTGGCAAGGGTTTGCCATTTTCCTCCCAGAGGTGCTCTAGGGGCAGCTCTCTCCATGGAAAATAAAGCCCCAGGGACTGTGCCAGGCTCAGTTGCCCCTTCCATCTTCCTGCTATCCTCCTCCTGTCTACAAAGGCAGTGGAGTTAGAACTTACATGACTGAGCTTCCAAAGTCAGAAGACACCCAGAAATTGATGTGAGATGAAAAATACACTTGAAAGTCCCTTAGGACAGTGTAGCACCAGAGACCAACATACCTTCCCCTTGGTAAGTGGACGCTGTCAACTTTACCTCCATCTTTGTCTGTCATTCCTTCTTTCATTGGATTCTAGATGAAGTGGGTGGCCTGCCTTTGGCACCATGCTGTTTCCTTTATTTTTTTTTAAGTGTGTACCTTTAAACATATAACAGCCCATTACACACAGCAAGATGTTCCAGCTCTAAGAGACACCAGCCACAGTCCCTGGTATCCATTGCCAAGGTCTGCCAGCCACAGAGCCAGCACAGGCAACAGCTCCCCCTGGGTCTTCACACCACTCTAAGCTACCTTCCCAGAAGTGGAAGACCAGCACTTCTGCTGGGATCTAACTCCAAGGCAGAAGTGTCTCACTCATGAATAAATCCTCAGGTGCAACTTCCTTCCTTCCTTTCCTTCCTTCCTTCCTTCCCCCTTTCTTTCCCTCCTTCTTTTCCTTCCTTCACTCTTTCCTTCCTTCCTCCCCTCCTTCCTTCTTTCCTCCTATTTTTCCTTCCTTCCTTCCCTCCTTTCTTTCTTCTGCCCTTCTCTTCCTTCCTTCTTTCCTTCCTTCCACCCTTCTCTTCCT
Source organism: Homo sapiens (assembly GCF_000001405.40). Classification (NCBI taxonomy): domain Eukaryota; kingdom Metazoa; phylum Chordata; class Mammalia; order Primates; family Hominidae; genus Homo; species Homo sapiens. Next base: position 32,058,237 of record NC_000019.10, read on the forward strand.
TCCTTCCTTCATCTCCTCCTTCCTTCCTTATGTCCTTCCTTCCTTCCTCCTCTTCCTTCGTTCCTTCCCTCCTTCCTTCCTTCTTCCCTCTCTCCCTTCCTTCCCTTCTTACTTCCTTTTTTCCTTCCATCTTTTCTTCCTTCCACCCTTCTCTTCCTTCCTTCATCCCCTCCTTCCTACCTTCTGCCCTTCTCTCCCTTCTTTCCTTCCTTCCTTCTTTCTTCCTTCCTTCCTTCTTTCCTTCCTTCCTTCCTTTTCTTCCTCCTCAGCTACTTCTCAAAAGGGCACAAAAGGGTGAAGTAAAGAGATGGAGGAACCCGGCTAATGTAAGGAGAGGCAAGTCCACCCTGGAGCCATAAACAAGGTGCAAACATAGTCACATGGACATGCAGTGCCCACGGGGACACTGAAAACGTGGCCCTGAGCTTTCCATGGAGCTAAAGCCAAAAGGAAAACAAAACCCAGTAAGGAGCACCTTGTCAGCAAAACTGAAAAGGCAGCGATCCTGCTTTTCCTGCAGCTGAGGCCTGAGAGAAATTTCTTAGCTGGGTCCCCTCCAAGGTAATGGACAATGTCCTCACCATAGATTCTATGAGGCAGCTCGCTGGCCCGAGCCAGAGCCTGACTTAGCTCTCCAAAAGTGTCTGTTTGCTGGGGGATTTTCTACTCAAAGGTGAAAGTGGAAAGCAGGGAAGGCAGGCCCAACCCCAGGCATCTCCCACCACAGCCTCCCAGACCCCATTATGTCTCTTCAGCATTGCTCATGCCACTCTCGGGCCACCCATAGGGCTTTGGCACACAGACGCCTTCCTAATCACCCAGGCATCTTCTCATGTGTCCCCCGCTCAGGGAGGCTTTCTGTGACCACTCTGTCCAAAGTAGATCATTTCAGCCAGGTGAGGTGGCTCACGCCTGTAATCCCAGCACTTTGGGAGGCCGAGGAGGGCAGATCATTTGAGGTCAGTTCAAGACCATCCTGGGCAACATGGTGAAACCCTGTCTGTACTAAAAATACAAAAATTAACTGGGCGTGGTGGCCCGTGCCAGTAATCCCAGCTACTTGGGAGGCTGAGGCATGAGAATTGCTTGAACCTGGGAAGCAGAGGTTACGGTGAGCTGAGATCACACCACTGCACTCCAGCCTGGGGACAGAGGGAGACTCCGTCCCAAAACAAACAAAAAACAAAGTGGATTGTTTTTTCACATTGCTTATTACAATCTGAAATTACCTGTTTCTTATGGTTCCATATAGAACACAAACTCCACGTGAGCAAGAACTTTGTCTTGCTCAAGCTGAATCCCAAGCTCTAAGAATTTTACCAGGCATGTGACAGATACTTAATAAATATTTGCAGAATAAATGAATTGGCATGACAAGTCCTATGATAGCATATTCTATATGCCACGCACTTCTAAGCACTTTGAAAATATGCACCTTCATGTAACCTTTAGAGAAGCCCTTGGATATAAGTTCCAACACCAACCCATTTCACAGATGAAGAAACAGAGGCACAGAGAGGCTCGGTAATTTACTGGAATAACACAGCTAGTGAGTGGTAGGACCAGGAAGTCTGGCTACACAGTCAGAGCCCACGACCTCCACGGCCGATGTTTGATTGGGGCAGGTTGCCCAATGCATGATGAGCAAAGTTTGAATCTACTTCCCCGCACTCAGAAATCTTCCTTACCCATTGCTCCTTTCTCTCTCATTGTTCCTGAACGCATTGTCTAATTTTGGCGATAAGCAGCCTAAACCATTTAAATTCTCCTTTCTTTAATGTTGTTGATTTTAGCTAAAATGCAAAGTGTAGTGCGGAGGAGCCCAGACGGCATCCACTGGAGAGTCTGGGATTAGTTCATTAATAGGTTCGGCTACTGCCCGTGCGGCAGCATAACATTAGGAGCTAACTGCTTCTGACCACGCACCACTTAGAACCCCACATTTGCAAATCAGCTCAAGACGCATGTCACCATGAGAGATGACAGTGTTAAAGAAATGCATTTTTCATTGATTCTATTAATATTAGTAATACCTCTTATTGAATATGATTGGTGTAGACAATGCAAAAAGTCGTTTTTCTCATTTATTTTCGAAATCAGCCAGCATGCCCCAATACCAGCCTTGCTCTGTGGACAGCTGCTGGCTGTGAGCATTTTATGGAGACGGATATGCCAGGCCTGGTCTGGCCTCTTTTAGCCCTGCCTGTACCCCAACACATGCCCAAGTCCAGAGCAGGAACTATTGGAACCATTTACAGCCCATTAAGAATGCCCAAAGCTGAGCACCGTGGCTCACGCCTGTAATCCCAGCACTTTAGGAGGCCGAGGCAGGCAGATGGCTTGAGCCCAGGAGTTTGAGACCAGCCTGGGCAACATGTCAAAACCCCATCCCTACAAAAAATACAAAAACATTAGCTGGACATGCACACCTGTAGTCCCAGCTTACCCAGGAGGCTGAGGCAGAAGGCTCACCTGAGCCAGGGAGGTCGAGGCTACAGTGAATCATGATTGTGCCATTGTACCCAACTCTGGGCAACACGGGGAAAATCTGTCTCCAAAAAAAAAAAAAAAAAATGCCTGAGAACTGAATGGAGATTTCTGGGGAATTAGGTTCCTCTATACCCCAGGGAAGCCTGCAAAGGAGCCCCCTGATCTCTGAGACACATGTTCTGGTGTGATTGTGTTGAATGAAGTCCCAGATGCAGTGCCACTGGCACATTGGCACATGGAGCTCAAAGGAAAGGAACAGGGGAATGAGTCGGACCTGTGTGTCTTGTGCCAGGCCTGCCACTCTGCACACCGGCCCCAGCCTTACAAGTCTCCCTCACTGTGCAGTCCTACTCTGAACGTTTCCACGTTTTTTGTTTTTTTTTGCCTCCTAGTTTCTGCTTCTCCAAGTCCCTGCCTTCACACATCATGACCTCCTGTGGCCCATCCACCTTGTGGCAACTTTGCTGCTTTTAGCTTCAAATTCAAATGTGGATTGCCACGCTGAGAGAAAGCAATGCCTAGGAAAATATCCTGGAAAAAAAAAAAAACAAGAAACTACACTGCTCTTTCCTTTACTGCCCCTTTTCCTTTCTCTGCCTTTTGTTCAAAGAGGTATCCAGGAAGTGTGAAGTCTCCCAGGATCCAAGGAGGCTGAGGAAACCAGCATAGTTTTCCCTGAGCAAATTTCAGTTTACCAGGCTTGTAGGAAGTCAGAGCCAAAAAAAGAAATCAGCATTTTGGCAAGGCCCAGCCTGGATGAATCTCAAATGAGTCATTTGAGAAGAATGTAATGGGCTGCCCATTTTACCTAGTGGTACAACTACCTGCCCAAGAAGAGAGTAGAAAATGCTACTGCGGGAAAATTGCCTAATCTGAGCTTGAGTTGATGCAAGAAGCCCAGTTTCATACTGATATGGTTTTGCTGTGTCCCCACCTAAATCTCATCTTGAATTGCAGTTCCCATAATCCCCACATGTCATAGGAGGGACCCGCTGAGAGGTAGCTGAATCATAAGGGCAGTTACCTCCATGCTGTTCTCGTGATAGTGAATTCTCATGAGATCTGATGGTTTTATAAGGGGCTTTTCCCCCTTTTGCTCGGCATTTCTCCTTGCTGCTGCCATGTGAAGAAGGACATGTTTGCTTCCTCTTCTGCCATGATTATAAGTTTTATAAGTTTGCTGAGGCCTCTCCAGCCATGCAGAACTGTGAGTCAATTAAACCTCTTCCCTTTATAAATTAACCACTCTCAGGTATGTCTTTATTAGCAGCATGAAAATGGACTAATACACCTACCATTTTCTTTTTCACTGTTAAATTACACATTGGGTTTCTGGGTTTATACATCAGTCTCATGATCTTGACTAATGTGAGTCCACACCTAAGAGACAGATCCACTCTCAGAATCAGAATCAAATCTTGTTTCTAGATTTGTGAGGTGGAGAATCAAACTACAAGCTGTGATAAATTTACCACTAACAAATGTCAACCTGCAGAGGCAGCCACCACCCCTCCACCCCAACCCCACCAACAATCCCCAGTAAGTCCCATTCTTGAGAGGAGAAGGCAGGAAAGGGTACACATGAGCCACAACCTAGGACAATGATTCTCAACCCTGGCTGCACAGTGGAATCATCTGGTCTCACCACAGAATTTCTTATTTAACTGGTCTGGGGTGCCACTTGGGAATTGGGGTTTTTTGAAGCTCTCCAGATGGCTCTGCTGTGCAGTCAAACTTGAGAACCACAGACTAGAGCTTGGAAGCACCCAGTCTGAATAAAGACCAAGAGTGGCTGGGCATGATGGCTCACACCTATAATCCCAGCACCTTGGGAACCTGAGGCGGGAGATCCCTTGAGCCCAGGAGTTCAAGACCAGCCTGGGAAACACAGTGAGATCCCATCTCAGCAAAAAATTTAAAAATTAGTGAGGCAAGGTGGCATGTGCCTGTAGTCCCAGATATTCAGAAGGCCAAGCACGAGGATTGCTTGAGCCCGAGAGTTCAAGGCTGCAGTGAGCTGTGATTGTGCCATGTCTCTCCAGCCAGGGAGACAGAGGGAGACCCCACCTCTAAAAGAATAAAATATAGTAGAATGATTTATAATCCTTTCGGTATATACCCAGTTATGGGATTGCTGGGTCAAATGGTATTTCTGGTTGTAGATCCTTGAGGAATCACCCCACTGTCTTCCACAATAGTTGAGCTAATTTACACTCCCATCAACAGCGTGAAAGCATTCCTGTTTCTCCACAATGAGAGACTGAATAAAGAAAATGTGGCACATATACACCATGAAATGCTATGCAGCTATAAAAAAGAATGAGTTAAAATTAGCTGGGAGTGGTGGTGGGCACCTGTAATTCCAGCTACTCGGGAGGCTGAGACAGAGAACTGCTTGAACCTGAGATGGGAAGTTTGCAGTGAGTGGAGATCATGCCACTGCACTCCAGCCTGGGCGAGAGAGCGAGACTCCATCTAAAAAAAAAAAAAAAAAAAATGAGTTCATGGTTCATGTCCTTTGCAGGGACATGCATGAAGCTGGAAACCATCATTCTCAGCAAACTAACATAGGACCAGAAAACCAGACATTGCACGTTCTGACTCATAAGTGGGAGCTGAACAATGAGAACACGTGGACACAGGGAGGGGAACACCACACACTGGAGCCTGTCAGGGGTTGGGGGGCAAGGGGAGTGAGAGCATTAGGACAAATACCTAATGCGTGAGGGGCTTAAAACCTAGATGATGAGTTGATAGGTGCAGCAAACCACCATGGCACTTGTATACCCATGTAACAAACCTGCACATTCTGCACATGTATCCCAGAACTTAAAGTAAAAAAATTTTTTTTAAAAAGAATGAAATAAAATAAAATATAAAAGACCAGAGGGCAGAGAGTAGGAGCAGCCCACAGGAGTGCTGAGAAGAAGCCTCCAGAGACAGAAAAGGACTTCCACCAAGGGAATGCCGCTCATCCTTCTCCATCACTCCCTCACTGAGTTCTGCCAGGAGGGCACCTCGCTGTAAGTCAGGCCTCTGTGTCAGCCGCCAAGAATAACTGCTTGCCCTCACTGAAGTTCAAAACTGCCTTCGGAAGCCAGTTAGAGCCTATAATTAGAATTCACTGCAACTCTGGCAACACGCAGCCCATCCACCGCCCAGGACTCCAGCGGCATCGGCTGTAGCCCGGTGATTTAAAACCACAGTGGACAGATTCGCCACACCTAATGTGCATCCCTTGGTGGGTTGCCCCCTCTGATGTCCACTGGGAAGGAATTGAATTACGGCCTTAGATACAAGACTGAGAAGTTGCAGGAGGAAGTCGCAATTATGCACAGAACTGGATGGGCAATTTGAGGAGAAGGTGACAAGAGAAGCTAAATCTGCCTCCCTTTTGTCCTTCAAGTCTCCTTCCAGAAACCCGTTCCAGCACCCACCCTGCCAGAGACGCGGTCTGCAATGCTGGAAGCAATGTAAGGGGTGGAGGGGTGGGGGGTTGAGCTTGCATTTGAACCTCTCTTATAATGCCAGAATGGAGACAGCATAATTAGTCTTCACTTTCACAAGTAATAAATACACTCAAATTAAAAATACATTTGTACCACTCATATTACCCCTGCATATATCATAACATGTAAATACACATTCTGCTTGTCTTTTGCTAATCATTTGCTTTATATTTTCATGTTGGTCAACAGGATAAATAAACGTCTTCCTATGTATCTCAGTATCATTAATATTCTTTAAAATGTGTAGGTTCTCATTTAAGGCTGAATGAGCGCTTTTGCCTATGGCCGTGGAAACAATTAGGAAATTTGTGAATTACATGACTGGTTTGCTTGCATTTCCCAAGCTAAATATTTAAGAAAGCTTTCTCTCATGAACAACCAAAAGTTTTTGGTAAGCGCAATCATTCAGGGAGAAGAACTATGGAAATAATACCAAATTTGGAATTGGAAGCCTCTGGTTGGAGTCCCAGCTCATGCATAAAACTATTCTGTGACTTTGGCCATCAGCACCTCCCTGGGGTTTAGCTTCCTCACCAAGCTGGGAATACCCTTACCTCACCTACCTCCCTTTTTAAATTTAACTCTTATTTTAGGTTCAGGGGTACAAGTGCAGGTTTGTTATAAAGGTAAATGTGTGTCATGGGGACTTATTATACAGATTATTTTGTCACCCAGTTTTTTAAGCTTAGTACTCTTTAGTTATTTTTCCTGATCCTCTCCCTCCTCCCACACTTCACCTTCTGACAGGCCCCAGTGTGCATTGTTCCCCTCTATGTGTCCATGTGTTCTCATCATTTAGCTCCCACTTATAAGTGAGAACATGCGGTATTTGGGTTTCTGTGCATTAGTTTGCTAAGGATAATGGCCTCCAGCTCCATCCATGCCCCTGAAAAGGATACAATCTCGTTCTTTTATATGGCTGCATAGTATTCCATGCTGTATATGGACCACATTTTCTTTATCCAGTCTACCATTGATGGGCATTTAGGTTGACTCCTTGTCTTTGCTATTGGAAATAGTGCTGTGATGAACATATGCATGCATGTGTCTTTATGGTAAACAATTTATATTCCTTTGCATATATACCCAGTAATGGGATGGCTGGGTCGAATGGTAGTCCTGTTTTTAGGTCTTTGCGGAATTGCCACGCTGACTCGCACAATGGTTGAACTAATTTACACTCCCACCAACAGTGTATATGTGTTCCCTTTTCTCCACAGCCTCTCCAGCACCTGTTATTTTTTGACTTTTTAGTAATAGCCATTTACCTTACCTGTCTCTTACTAATAGGAGTATTAGCAGATGCCCGACTAGAGAGAGACCACATGAGGCAGGGAAGTGCAGGAAAGAGAGCTTGTCACGGATGGGGCCAGTGATGGACCAGACATCATCCAAATGGCCCAGGGACGACATAGTGTTCCCAGAGCCCCATGAGCGGGCCCAGGAACCTCAGAGGAAGGCCTCTGTGACAGGAGCTGAATCTCTGCCAGATACCTGGCCCCAAAGCAGAGAGGGAGCTTGAGACAGCACACCCGCCTTGTTCTCTGATTCCCTTTTGCAGCCTACCGGTGGGCAAATCTAATTGGCACTGGCCAGCATGGGCAGCCTGCAGGGCCAGGCTCCTGGGGCAGGGGGAGGGCCAGGGAAGGCTGGTAAATGGGTGATGGGGGGTGGGCAACAGAGGCCTCTCCAGAGTGAAAATCTCCATCCCACCTCAGGAATGAAAAACGTGCCCCTTCCCTTCAAGTTTTCAAGGTGCCTTAGAATTCAGCTCCCTTCAGCCAAGGAAGCCCCCGATGCTGAGTGAGAAGGGAAGCACAGCTTTAATCAAAAGAATGTTGATGAATTAACCCCATTTTCAAAAAGTTCAGTACCCAAGAAAGCAAAGTTTTTCACATTAGATTAGAAAAGATTGTTTTCCATTAAAGGTTCTCTAAGTACTCTGCCCATCTGCCCAGGGATCTTTCCCAGGGAAGCACCCCCATCCCCCCGCCTCGCCTCCTGCACCCTGAGGTCAGAGGCTGGCATGGGCTGGAGGAGAGAATGACCAGCAAGCAGGTGGGCCAGGTAAGAGAGTGTGCATGCCCAGAGGAGGTCAGTCACCTGCCACCGCAACCATCCTGATTCTCAGCACATACCTATTGGTTTAGTCTCTGGTAGTCCAGTGTCAATGAAGAACAATGACACTGATGTGGTTTTGCAACACCACAGGCAATCAAGGCATCCCCAAATGCTCATTTCACCCTGCATGTCCTCAGGAGATGCCCCAGTCATGTCCTGAAGTTTCATTTTAGGAGAACATCCTGTTCTGGTACCTGGGTGGACCTCAAGGGTTAATCCAATCCAAGCCTCTGTTTGATAGATAAATAAGCTGAGACCTAAAGAAAGGATGTGGCTTGCTTAAGACCACACAGCAAGCAAATGGAAGAGCTCAGGCTTCCCAGCTCCTAGGCCAGGGCTCCTTACTTATCCCCTAACTCCCCAGCTGAGCAACTTCCATGAGAAAATGCATGGGGATGCGGTCTTTGTCATGATTTAGGGAAGCAGGGAATGCAGGCTCTAAAATTAGACTGCCTGCGTTCAAACTCCTGCTCCACTAGCTCTATGAGTTTGGACACAATATGTAACCTTTTTAAGCCTCAGTCTCTGCATCTGTAAAATGGATACAAAAAAAAAAGAATCTTATCTTATCTCAGGGAGTCATTAAAAGAATGAGATAGGTCAGGTGCAGTGGCTCATGCCTGTATTTTCAGCATTTTGGGAGGCCGAGGCAGGTGGATCACCTGAGGTCAGGAGTTCAAGACCAGCCTGGCCAACATGATGAAACGCCGTCTCTACTAAAAATACAAAAATTAGCCAGGCATGGTAGCACACGCTTGTATTCCAGCTACTGGGGAGGCTGAGGCAGGAGAATCATTTAAGCCTGGGAGCAGGAGGTTGCAGTGAGCCCAGATCAAGCCACTGCACTCCAGCCTGGGTGACAGAGTGAGACTCCATCTCAAAAAACAAAACAAAACAAAAAGAATGAGACAGAGCATGTAAAGTACTAGGTACAGAGTAAGCAATAAAAAAATGTCTGCTGTTGCCAGTTCACCAGAAGATCACTATTAACGATAATAGCTCTATGTTCTGCATTTTGTCAGCCAGACCTAGCACCTGTTCCTTGCTGGAACTTGGGATCCTACTGGACTAGAGAACTCTGAATCAGCTGAGAGCAAAGCTCCTTCCATCATTTCATGGGGAGTCAAAGCACTTGTCAAAGCACATCCATCTCCACGGAATGAGGAGACCCATGCCCACCTGCAGAGGCAGGGCAGAGAGAGAAGCATGAAGCATGAATGGGCTGCCCCAGCTACTTTGCCTGGACTTTGACAAAGCTGGGAATCTGGTATGTCCACATGCTACCAGCCTCCCAGGGGGGCAGAAATGGGGTCATGCTCACTTTAAATACCAAACTGTAATGACTCGAGCCCCACCATCTTGATTCTGGAACTCAGCTCTCTCCTACTCTCCTGCCCTCTGCAAAGCACCCACTCAGCCGCCACCATGTTCTTCCCCTGTCTTCTGGCTCCCTTGGCCCTTGTCTGTTTCCATGGAAACCACCTAGCAAATCCCTGGACCAAGGAGCTGTCTCTAAGCCTCCAGGGGGCACCCCGAACAGGACCTCTGATTGTGCTATAGGACGGGAGACCAGGTCTGGCAGCTCTCTGTCACGAGACCCTTCTTGCTTCTCCTTACCCTTCAACAGCTCTCATCCCCATCCCTCCTTCCTCACACCACCAATGGCCCCCTTCAAGTTCTCTGTTATCCAGCTGCACTTTTGGGTCCATTCCTGCACAGGGCAATCAAACAGGGCCCGGCTGCCTGGAATCGATGAGTCTTTATGGAGTCAGGCATCCCGACATCCACTGAGGCCAGAGCGAGGGAGCCCCCATGAGCTGGAGGACTAGGAATGAAAAAAATGAAGAAAAATAATAAAATTGCTATTGCTTCTGGATGAAATATCCTGATAGTCAGATGAAAGGAGAGCTTGAAATCATAATCATAATCATCTTTGGTCTTTGCCTGTGTAGACCTGGCCTAAGGCTTTAATGTAAACCCATGGTGATTCTGAAAGCTACATGAATAGTTCATTTCCCAGCAAAACTGCCATACAGGGAGACAAATAATTTAAGTAGGGACAATGCTTCACCAGTATGCACATATTAGAAGTTTAAAATCACAACCCAGGGAAAGCCAGAGAGAGAAAGAAGGAAAAACAAACTTTTTTGTCTCAATTTCTGCTAGCTGGAAAGATCGTTCCATTCTGAAGCTGTCGTGGTCTCCCTGGCAGAGCCTCTTTTCCCTCTGAGAGAAGGAGCTGGGAGGGGGTGCCTGCACACAGATGAAACATAGAGACGGGAGACCCTTCTTGGAGGAGCAGGGGGGAAATTTAGAGGCAGAGATACCTGGCTATAAATTCACAACTGGAAATTTACAGAGGATATGTCTCCACTCTAGAAAAGCAACCAAAGGCTTATTGACATGAGATTCATGTAAATGAGGTCTAATTTCTCACCCCGGGTGCACATCATCACTTTCCTGAGACGTTGGATTTTCTGAGTGTTTCACCCCACATTCCACCCAGAATCAATGTATGGGTTATAGATTATTGATCACTGAGGACCCAGGCCCCAGCCTCGCTTTCAGTGTCAGAATGAGAGCTATTGTTCTCCTTCCCAGACATTTAACCGTGAGTCATCACACATTTTCAGACATAGAGCAATTATTTATTGTCATGTTATGCTACCCAAGCTTGTCAGGAATTTAAACTGAAGAATATGTGCACGTGCCATCCTGAGGCAGTATTCTAGATACATGAGGAAAGTCAGAAAAACGTTACTGGTCCAAGAACAAACTCTAAACGTTTGGCTTTTGATTCTCTGTCTAATATATAGCAATTTCAATGAGACTAATATCACCATTCTGTGAACCTGCCAGCAGATAGAAGTTCCCACATTATTGTGGTCTGTTTCCGAGGACAAATAAAGTATGCTGCTCTCCAGTGTTCTGTAGAAGCACGCCACGCTATAGACAGAAGTGTTTCAAGTCAACACAATATGAAAAAATTCAAAATAAAATGAAAAGTGTCTGAAAACAAACCAACATAAATATACAGCAGTCCTGTTAATTATGATTATTTATGATCATAAGAACTGGCATCATTACTGTGGTTTCCTTTCCAAAATCTCACAAACTTGTTACTATACAGCAGTTTCGGAGTTCTATAGGCTTAAAAAGGTGGCGTGCTGGAGGCAAAAGTCATTTTTGGCAGGGATGACGTACGTCCCGAATGTGAGGGCTTGCACCCACGCAGGCACGTGTGTGCTGCTGGCACACAATAGAGTCAGCTTGGACTTTCCAGGGTCCCCCAACGTTAAACCACTGGCAATGCATTACAGATGTCTCTGATGAGCACCGCCAATCTATTAAACAAAGTGCTCTCATCGCCTCCGAGGGGCCTGAAGAATGATCTAGAAATCCACCCCCTGGAGGGAAACAGCCTATGAAACATCAAAGACAACACTGAATATTTCATCAGGGATAACAGGACTTTTCTCTTTGTAGCCCTCCCCGCTTTTCCACTGCCCTGCCTGCCACTGTCTCCCCCCCGCCCTCCCCAATCTTTTTCTCCACTCACTTGACAAGTAGTCACGGCCACATCACTGCCGTCCCGCTGTCCTTGCACGCTGACCTCTGTACTGTGTGGTGCCCAGTGGTCATGCTGTCCTCGTCTCTCACCAACCACATCTGACAGGAGACGAGGCACTCGTGGCAGCGGCTCCTGGCACCTGAGACACCCTGGGACTACACAGGTAAACCAGGGGGGTCTGTGTTGTCTCCAGACTAACAACAGAAGGAAAGACATGACATCTCCAACCAGGAGCCCACGTCCGAATATTCAAAAGGTTCATCATGCGGGAGATGGGGGCGGCCCTCCCGGCTTTCCAGGATGAGGCCTGCAGAAGTCAGGAGGGATGACGAGAGGAGGAGGGAGGCCCACACCTGGTCCCGGCCCAATCAGGGGAGAAGAAGAATGCGGGTGTAACAGACCAGCGATGTCAACTCCGGGGTGAGGGTGCAGGGGAGTGTCAGCCCCTACCCTCTCCAGGGACCCCTCCCAGGCAGGCTTCAGACCCCTAGACATGTGTAGTCACACAGGCAGCTGAGAGATCGGCTCTTCCTCGGGGACACAGTCGCCACCCAGTCCTGTGGCTCCTTCAGTACCCAAGGAGACAACGAAGGTTGATTAGTCAAAAAAGAAAATAGCTCCTTTAAAAATGACATGGCGGTTTTGAGTTGCTATATTTTCTTACAGCTCCTTTTTGGTGAATGTCGGAGTGGAGAAAAAGCATGAAGTATTTTGACTGAAATAAATGCTTTCATGGAAAACAGAGAGCCCTAGAGAGTATTCTAAGACTGGAAGAACGTCATACTATTTTAAGCAGGTGACAGTAATGTCACTGTCTGAGGGGTTAGGGTATTTTTTTTCCCTAGAATTACAAGAGGAAAAAATAAGTTTGCTTTGAATAGAGAAAGTTAAGTAAAGAAACACACTTCCCAGTTGCATGGATAATTCATAGACTGCAGTGACATATTTCCCTGCTCTTGGTCTTTGACAAAACTAACCAGTACTATTAGGCAGAGAATGTTTGCTAGCTCCAAGCAGAAAACTAAATAAAGTACAAACATACTCTTCAAATCACTCTGATTTTTCCAACTTTCATTACACCACCCACATCAACATGGCTGCAATGCAATTGTTCAAAACCCTATCCCAGCTCTCCCTCTGTTTATCATGGACAGAGAAGGTCTGGGGAAAATCCGGACAGCACACTTTATCTAATGAGCTTAAAGCTTCTTCCAGGCTACTGGTTATTTTCCTTTTCTTCCTTGATAGTACTGAAGAGTCAATAGAAGGGTAGATGGCATTGCATGTTACCTTCTAGTACTACCAGCATTAATGGAGATCCTTCCTGTTTCAGTACACAGCACTGAAATACACACACACACACACAAAAGAGTCTTGCAGGCCAGGCGCAGTGGCTCACATCCGTAATCTCAGCACTTTGGGAGGCCAAGTCGGGCAGATCACTTGAAGTCAGCAGTTTGAGACCAGCCTGGCCAACATGATGAAACCCCGTCTCTACTAAAAATGCAAAACATTAGCTGGGCATGGTGGTGCATGCCTATAATCCCAGCTTCTCGGGAGGCTGAGGCATGAGAATCGCTTGAACCTGGGAGGCAGAGGTTGCAATGAGCCGAGATTGTGGCACTGCACTCCAGCCTGGGTGACAGAGTAAGACTGTCAGAAATCTTGTTAGAAGACTTCACTAGGACCACATCCATTTACTGCCCACCTCTTCACCCCAGGTTGCTGGCTGCCATTTGGCAGCTGTTTAAGAGTGGCTCTTGGGAGGGTAGGAGCAGTCCTGTGGCAGCTGTGTTCTTGGGTTCCATGGTGAGGCCATCATGAAGCCATGGTGAGGCTCCTTCTGGGCCAGGAGCTGGAACGGATGAAGACCCCAGCTCAATAGGTCCCATGGTGGAGTCCCCGCCCCCACTGTCACCACCTCTCACCTTCCCACGTGCAGGTACACCATCTATCATGAAGAGAAAATGTGCTTTCCACTCCCAGCTCAGCAACAGCACCTGGGGCCAGGAGGAAGAAGAGAGAGAACAGGGAGGTGACTTCGCTGGGGCCCTGGTGCCTCTGAGCTCAGGAGAATACCCAGAAGATAATATGGACATGTGAAGAGTGGTTCAAGAGCACACCTCTGCCAGCTGAACTGCTGCTGCTGCTGTACAGTTCTTGGGGCCAGACCAACCTTGAATGCCTTTGAGGACAAAGCCATCCCTCCCTAGATGAGACCCAATAATCAGTCTCCTTGGAAACATCTAGCTCCCTGGCAACTACACCCACTCAAGCTGGCCCAGCCCCTCTTGGGGGATGGAAGAGTGCCTCAGATGGATTTGTATCAAGAGGCTGTGCTCTGAATCCCCTTATGGGGTCTTGCTAAGCTGGAATCCCACATGAAGTCACACCGTCACGGGGCCTTCTCCACTGGGGCCTCCACCACACTGACGCCACTCAAGGTCAGGGACTCTCCAACTACAAAAGTAAGATTTTCTTCTGAAGAAACCTCACATCCCAATAAGCTCAGAAGGAATAAGATAACTGCTTTCATAACCACGCAGTGTCTTCTTTTATTATTTTTTAAAGGGACAAAGTCTCACTCTGTCACCCAGACTGGAGTGCAGTGGTGCAATCGTAGCTCACTGCAGCCTCCAACTCCTGGGCTCAAAGGATCTTCCTGCCTCAGCTTCCCAAGTAGCCAGGACTACAAGCACAGGCCACCACACCCAGCTAATTCTTTTAATTTTTTATTTTTTTTAAGATGAAAGGAGAGACCCAATCTTGCTATGCTGCCCAGGCTAGTCTTGAACCCCTGACCTCAAGCAATCCTCCTGTCTCAGCCTCCCAAGTCTCTGGGATTACAGGTATGAGCCATCATGGCTGGCATCTTGTGTCTGTAAAGCGAGGCCCCAAAATAGTGCACCAGGATGGCATGGGACTTCAGAGCACTATGTCACCCTGATGCTACAGACCCCTGCTTCCCACCAGCACAGCAGTGGCAGTGTGGCCTGCCACATACACAGGTCATCAGCCCAGAGAGAGGGCACTCCTCAGAGCTGAAATCCAGAGAAGGGTGGCTGTGCTGCGTACCCTGGGTCCTCATGGGGCTCTAGGAAGGCGGAACTGAGGCCAGCAGCATTTACTCCAGAGCAGAGAGGAGTTTCAGAATTCACATGAAATAAAACAAAAATCTAAACCCAAGCTGAGATTTCATTACAGAATCCCACTCTAGGGCTGCAGGAGCCCCCATCCCCACTTTCACTCCACTCCCTTGGCTGTCCAGATGTCCAGGTTGGGTCGCCAGAAAGGCCAGTTGCCCCAAGGCCCCAGAGAATGTTCTGCTGCTAGGCCAGAGCACCATCCCCAGGACTACTCTCCATGCATGGCCAGCTGCCTAGTTGGGTTTCACCTTGGTTATTTGGTGAATATCTATTTGGAGCATGTTCTTATCTCAGCAGACACTTCCAATAAGA
The DNA here is from genome assembly GCF_000001405.40 of Homo sapiens. NCBI lineage: Eukaryota > Metazoa > Chordata > Mammalia > Primates > Hominidae > Homo > Homo sapiens. Next base: position 32,073,386 of record NC_000019.10, read on the forward strand.
AGACTGAGCCACCAGGCAGATGTTATAAGCAATGTGAGCTTGTGCTGGAAGAAGAGAGAATCCACCAGTGTCCTGGGCCCTCCAAGGCCTCTCTGAGGGAAAGACATTTGGACAGAGATGCCAAGGACAAGGAAGAGGCAGTCACCCACCTCTGGGCAAGGTGCAAAAGCCCAAGATTCACGTTCATGTGTTGCAAGCACAAAAAGAAGATCCTGTGGCTGGAGTAGAGTGAGGAACAGTGAGAATGGTAGGAGCAGAGGGCAGAGAAAGTGGCAAAAACAAGGTCGCATGAGGCCTTGTAAGCCATGGTCAAGAGGTGATATTTTATTTTAAATGAATCCAAAGTAATTGCAAGTTTTTGAGCAAGTAAGCAAAATGCTCCTTTGCAAAAAACAAAAAAAAAAAAAAAAAAAAAACAAACAAACAAACAAAAAAAAAAACTCTAGGGCTTCAGTAAGGCAAACAAATTGTGAGTGGGAAAGAGTGGATGCAGGACTTTTAGGCAAGGGTGGGGTCAGGGAAGATGGAGAAGAGAAGACATAAGATGTTTGGAGGTGGAGCCAACAAGATGCATTATTGACTAGGTTGCAGGTACCTGGCAGGAGACAGGGGCTTTCTCGACCACTCATGCAAGAGAAGAGTCCAGGATGCTGCTTCAGTCACCTGTCTGTCCACAATGACAATGGGGCATGAAAAAATGCCCTAACTCAGGGCATAATAAAATAATTAGCTTTTATTTAGTACACAAGTCTGAACTTTGCATTTTAGGCTGGGCTCGGCTGGGCAGTTGTTCTGGTTTTGAAAGGGCTCATTCACATGCTGGTGGTGGGTTGGCTGTTAGCTGGGATAAGAGGTAAATGGGCCATTTGGCTCCCACCCTCCATGTGAGGCTGGCCCAGGCACATCCTCATGGTGAAGGCCAAGGTGGAAAACTGGACCAGCCCAAGCACAAAGCATTTTTCATGCCTCTTCTCCTGCTTATTTGTTATCGCCCCTTTGGCCAGAGCAAGTCACAGGACAGATCTCAGCATCAAAGTGGATGGCCCTTATAAAGATAGATGGCCAGGGGTGAGGACTTAGACCACTCATGCAATCTGTCTACCCACCACACAAGGTCCTAGATGTTTGACTTGAATAACAGGGTAGCTGAAGGTGCCTTTTATTGCCATGGGGCAAACTGGGAGAGGAATGCATTGTAGATGGCAGGAATCAGGGATTCTATTTTGGCTTAGGGACCTGCCGGGCAGCTTTATGCTCCCTAAGCACTGAGTGAGGGCTCATGGGAACTGCTCCATGCCTATGGGTAATTCTGCTCTTCTGGTTTTGAATAAAATTCACTAACCTGGAGTTTCAAAGTCCCAAGAAGGCAAACCTTCTGATGATGATGCCAGTGAGCCTGCATTCAGGTGACAACATGGCAAAGAGCGGTTCCTCCCCAGTCCCAAAGTGACACCCGTCAGCTGAACAGTGACGGACATTTGTCACTTGCCAAACAGATTCCTTCTGTCTGTCATGTCCCCATCCTGTCTCCACTGCAGAAGGAGCTGGAGCCTCCTTTTACTGAGAGGCTCTCCAATCTTATGCTGATCGTTAACTAAGATATTTCTCTCCAGAGATTTATTACATTAATGAGCTCTGAAATTACTCATAGCAATTAAGTATATTGTTTTTAAACTCTTCAGAAATCATCAAAACACATTGGTTGTTTTTCAGGGAAACATAAATAAAGGGTACAACTTGTCACCCAATAAATCCTGCAGCCTGCTCTCTTCATGTTGGTTTGGGGAGTTTCTGGCCCCTAGTCTCCAAGGTGTGCCTTCACAACTGAAAGGTGTTCCACTAGTGAAACTTGTCCTTTTTCTTTCTTTCGTCTTTCTTTTCTTCCTTTTTCTTTCTTTCTTTTGTTCTCTCTCTCTCTCTGTTTCTCTCTCTGTTTCTCTCTCTCTCTCTCTCTCAACTTTCCTTCTTTCTTTCATGTTATTGTTTTACTTTTTAGAGACAGGGTTTCAGCTTGGCATGGTGACTCAGACCTATAATCCCAGCATTTTGGGAGACAAAGGCACAAGGATTGCTTGAGCTCAGGAGTTTGAGACCAGACAGAGCAACATGACAAAACCTTGTCTCTACAAAAAACATGCAAATTAGCCAGGCGTGGTAGTGTACCTGTAGTCCTAGCTACTGGAGAGGCTGAGATGGGAGGATCACTTGGGCCCAGTAGGCAGAGGCTGCAGTGAGCTGAGATCATGCCACTGCACTCCAGCCTGGGCAACAGAGTGAGACCCTGTCTCAAAAAAAAAAAAAAAAGAGAGAGAGAGAGAGAGAGGCACAGAACTCAGGTCCTTCTAGATATTAATAAAAAGGAACTTCTTACAATCTGTTTCATTTAGTTTTCACAACTAGAAGGGCAAACTCTTATTATTCCCCATCTTACGAATAAGGAAACTGAGACACACAGAGGGTAAGTGATTTGCTTAAGTTACTGTAGGCTTGGAGTTTTGTACCTCTCCAGATTCTCTCTCCATGCAGGGAGGCTGCCCCCAAATGGACTACATTATGGGCTCTGGGTCAGTTTCAGCCAATGAGAGCTGCTGTATCAGATCAGAAGGTAGGAGGAGAGGGAATGGGGGTATTTGTTCTCCCAGCTGCCTCCTGGAAGGGATGCTACTTGCTGTTGCTTCTTTCCATTAATCCTTCTCTGTCTTCAGGCTCCAAACTACTCTTTCCCAACATCCATGTCTCGGCCTCTCCCTACCCAAACCCTACCCTGTGGACTCCTAAACTCCACTTGCTCCTTTGTCAATGGCTCTTTCACTGTTTCATTAAAGCCTTTTTTTTTTTTTTTTTTTTTTTTTTGAGACAGAGTCTCAACTCCGTCGCCCGGCTGGAATGCAGTAGTGCGATCTCAGCTTACTGCAACCTCTACCTCCCAGGTTCAAGTGATTCTCATGCCTCAGCCTCCCGAGCAGCTGGGATTACAGGCACATGACACTATGCCCCACTAATTTTTGTATTTTTAGTAGAGACGGGTTTCACCATGTTGGCCAGTCTGCTCTGGAACTCCTGACCTCAAGTGATCCACCCACCTCAGCCTCCCAAAGTGCTGGGATTACAGGCGTGAGCCACCACGCCCAGCCCATTAAGCCCTCTTTGATTTGCATACTTTGAGCTTTGAACATGCCATCTGCTTGTTTCTAGGCCCCAAACTCCCAAATCTATACTCTAACCACTACCCCACATTCCCTGTGTCCTGCACCCCAGAAAACAAGAAGCTTGACAGACGGCAGGGTAAGAAAATTACTGGTACATTTTTCTTTCACTCTTGAAGCTAAAAAAAAGACTTGAGAGCTTCTTACATTCTGAGCCCTTTGGCAGGACTTTGTTCACCTTGGTGGGTGATGGGAAGGACAGAGGAGCCCCATCAGGAACACCAGCATGGACCCTGGTGGCCCACCAACACCAGCACACCAGCACAGCCCTAGTTATTTAAATACATGAGAGGACAATCACAGAATCTTCGCTAGGCTCTGCCGTGGGCTGTGCAGTACAGAAAGAGTGCTGACAGTGTGTACAGAGGAGAAAGGAGAGACCCAAAGTCCCAGGGCTGGAGAAAAACTCACCAGCCAGCCCTTCCTGGAACCCCATGTGCAAGGAAACTAGCTTACTTTTCAGCAGGAGCCTTTGAGTCTCAAATTCAAGTGAGTTAGCCCTGGTCACTGCAACCCCAGCACTGCCAGAGGGAACTCGGCTTGGAGGGAGGGATGCCTCTTCCACTCTCCAGCACACTGCAAACCCCCATTCACAGCACAGGATGAAGGCCTCACTCCGGAGCTCAGGGAGATGGCAGTGTCCTGAATGAGATCACAGGACAGGACAAAGAGAAAGAATGTGGGTCCAGCTCCCTTTCCCATTGGGAAGTGTCTTTGCTTCCCAACTAGAATCTGTAGGCTGCCTGGAGCTCCCCTCCCCATCACTCCCTGGCACCAGCCATGCTCACTTCATGGGGATACGAAATGTCTCAGTGGTGTGCACCTTAGTTTCTAGCACCGTTAAGGACCCAGATCAAATCCCTTTTCCTCCATGAAGCTAGGCTATGGGAGGCCTCTCTGAGCTCCATTTGGACTTGCTAAGGTGTCTCATGCTGCCTCAACCACCCCACAGGAGCCCTTTTAGGCAGGGGGCTGAGCCTTCATAGCTCTCACATCTCCCCATCTCACATGGACACATAGGCCACACTCCAGAAACACTAGCTGTTGGTTCCAAAAGGCAGCCAAAACAGAGAAAATTGCAGATTCCTGGGGCTGAAAAGGACCTCAGAGACCATCTGGACCATTCTACAGGTGGGAAAACTGATACCCAGAAGGAGAAACTAGACAAAAAACCTAGATGCAAAGCTAGAGGCTCCTAATCCCAATCCAGGGTTCCTGAGCTATTGCAAGCCCATCCCAGCCTTCTTGCATCTACTTGCATTTCTCATTGCCCCGTTTGGACCCCCAGAAGTAGCCAACCCAAAGAGCATCAATATCAGAGCCTCTCAGAGTGTGAGGAAGGCACTCTGTAAGTATTAGATGCACAGTGGCCCAGGGATTTTTTTTAAGTTTAGCAATAATCAATGTTTGCTGCCACCACCATTTCCTCAAGGATTGTAACCCAGAGCCCTTTGCAAGTCCGGGGCTGTGTGCCATTTGACCTCATTGGTAGGATGGTAACTATAAAAGGCAGTTGTGTTTAAAATGTGTCCATTAAAAATTAAAACCTTCTAGGAGCTTAATGCCAAATGTGCAGATTCCACCTCCTTCCACTCCCTGCCAAGCATTCCATGCCAATAAAGTGTAATGGTTTTAATATCCTTCAAAATTAACATAGGATAAGGCAACCACATTAAAACAGCAATGAACAAATCCCTCCCCCATCCCCCCAAAATAAAGAAACTAACAAAAGGGGATGATTGAGGCTTGGTGGGGTGAGTCCTGAGGGCAGAAATTCTGGTTACTACAGGAGGTCTCTGAATCCAGACTTGGGAAGAGCTGTTGGGGTATCTCTTGCCAGGGAGAGAAGACTGTGAGAATGAGATCTTCATTTGCAAGGTATTGCAAAAGCTGGGGTGACTTGCTAGTGCCCATTCAGAAAGCACCCACTAAAACCCCAGCACAAATCAATTCATCCTGAACTGAGCTCCTGCAAAGAGACATTAAAATTTGTCTGTGCATAATAATGGGAACAGTAGAGACTATAAGAACAGGGAGGGAGTGGGGAAGGACTGAAAAACTACCTATCCAGTATCATGCTCACTACCCTGGTTACAGGTCAATCGTACCCCAAACCTTAGTTAACATCATGCAATATACCCACATCACACACCTGCACCAGTACTCCCTGAACCTAAAATAAAAGTAATGAAACTATTCTAAAATTGATTTTGGTGATAGTTGCAAAATTGTATGAATATAATAAAACCATTGAGTTGTACACCTTGAAAAAAACAGAAATTTAGAAGTTAATAAGTAAATAAACAAAAACTTAAAAAAAAAATTGTCTATGAATAGCATCCAGCACAGCAGGGCCAGGAAGAGGAGCTATCAAGGAAAAGGGGGCCCCACCCATCCTCAGGCTCAGCTCCAGCCCCCACCCAGCCCCCCTGCAGCCGCAGAACCCAAGATTCTGAACCTCATCATCCCCCCGCCACCAGCTCCAGCCCCATCATACCTCCCACCTCCAAGCAGGTGTATCTTCATTGAAGTGATCCCTTGAAGGAACCAAACAGCTAAACTCAAGCAAGACCAAGGATCAAAGTGGGGACCGCTCAGACCCATATGAACAGAACTGGCCACAGTGACGTGTCCAAGAAAGCCCTTGTCTAAGAGGAGCTAACAATGGCGCCACAGAGAGGCCACGGCCAGGCTCTCGGGCACCATGATACTACAGAAATAAAGCTAAATTATACCACTTGTCATCATTAAGAAAAATTTTCATCTTCTTTCTTCATTTGAAAAGCACTATATTTAATGAATGCGTACTGAGTCATGACACGCAAACGACTAAAATACAGGAATTATACTGGGGTCAACTAACGTATTTTAAAACCTTGAAATTAAGGGACTTATTCATGCCTGTCACCAGTGTGACTCCCAGTCATTAGGGTCCTCTGCATGGCTGCCTGTGAGCAATGGGGAATGGCGGATATTTCTGCAAGGGGTAGCCCAAGCTTCCTTGCAAATTCCATCATGGTCAAGATGAAGAAATCTTGTTCACCTGTTTGCCCACCTTCTGTGGGCCTGTGCTCTCTTTGGGTGTGTATCCAATGAAGGCATTACTGGTCTTGTGCAAGGTAAGCCCCATTCCAAAGGCATATTTTGCAGATTCATCACTAATGAAAGGTGGAGCTTTGACACCTCCTGTGCTTCCACAATGGGGGCCCATACCAGGTGTGCATCAGAAGAGTGGCTCTTTCTCAACTGCATTCATCTTTAATTTCTCCAGGAAAATTAAGATGTCTCAAAGTCTGAACTCTGCAAAAGTTTGCATGAAAAATGGCAAAGAAAAAAAAAAGATGGCAAGATCAACCAGGAAACCTGAAATGAGGAAGTTTGAACTATCTTCCAAGGTCTTGACACCTTTAGGTTGAAGTGGGCATATTTTTGTTTTTCCACCCTCCAACTATCAGCTCTTTTCTTGGTAAAGCAGTATTCTGAATTTCCTTTGGTGAAGCCACAGCTTCCATTCTCAAGCATGAAGTTTGAGTAGGGTTGACCTCACATACAGCACCAAGGTTGGATGCCGTTGTAAGCCAATCAGTTTATGCCTTTATCCGACCACAGGAATTCGTGGCCCAATTCTGGTCAAGTTATTGATGATTGCATATAGATACAAAGATTTCATCTGCCAGAAACACATATATTCATGAAAGGAGTGCTTAGAGCTATTGGAAGGGGAAGGTGATATTGTGTGGAAGCTGATGATGATGCCAATACCAAGAGGGCCCTTGGGCACACCTTTTATTCTGCTGGATCAAACCTCACCTGAAGCAGAACTTTGTTGTTTACAAAGGCCAAGATAATTTTCTCTCTTTTTTAATCCAATGAGAGTTGGGTGGGTTTTATGGCATGCAGTGCTTCCAGAATGTGAAAGGCCCTGTCCAGAATCCTATGATCTAGAGCATACAGAAGCTTTTCAATTGCCTTGCCTCCAATAAACACAAAGATTACTGGACTCAAAGTAAGTTTCAGTAAAGAGAGTCAGTAAACAGTAAAGAGAGGCAGCCGTATCAGTAGCAAGACACATGGAGCTCCCAGCTTCCTGAGAGCTGGGGGTCAGGTCACATAAAACCTCATTGTTTATGGCTGACCTCTTTTCTTATTTATCAAATCCCAAACCATCCTAGTCTTTTATACTTGGAAACTACCCCTGCCTTGAACTGTCCAAGCCTGTCACTGATTAACTTCTCTCTGCTAACTAGGCTCACTAGTATCTCTGGGATTCTGATGGGGACATACAAGCAAGAAAAATGACCAAAATTCCCCCCACCCAAGTTGTCCATAAAACATGACATTTGATCACATACTTTGAGGCCGCTGCAGTGTTAAAAGATGAAGCTTAGAGAATGGGAAAAGAGAAAGCTATGATAGAGGAGTCTAATATCTTCAACTGTGGCAAGAAAGAGAGGTTGAGGAAGACTTCACGGTTGTTTCTGTCTTCCCAGCATTCAGATGAGGATACAAACATGAAATTTCAAGCTCTACCAAGGTGGAAAACGTCTTAAATGTCATCTACTCTGACCCTTAATTTAATGTTTCATTTCCTGTCCCAACCTCTCCTACAAATGTCCACATAGCCTGTGTTGAATACTTCTGATAATGGGGAACTCACTCCCTACCTCCCTCAGAGACAATACCTTTTTTGATTAGTGTTGAAAGTCTCAAGTTTTCCCTTGTTCTGAGCAAATATCCATATCTCTGAAGCTCCCACCCATTAGGGATGTCCAGAACTCACTGTTCTCTCTTCATCTGGAAGCTCTCAAATATAGAAAGCCAGAAATCACGGTCCCCTAGGTGTTCCTATGTCTGGATTGAATATTCTCTATTCATTTTTCACATTGCCTTGGTTCAGCATGTCTAACCCTGTCCCAGGCTGTACTGATCACAATACTATCTAGTGTGGACTGGTCAGCATGGCAAGATAGAGATCCTTCTCATCACCTCCATGTTCTTTACACTATACTCCCATTAATACAGCCACAGTTACACTGTGATTAGACAGACCAGTAGGGATTTAGACCAGTGGAATTTCTCCTCCTTATTTTTCAACAGAGGTAAGATATGCTCTGCTTATAAGAAATCCACCTTAAAATTGTAATCGATGCTCCCACATTTTGGGCTGGTGAGAAAGCACATTGCCTGGTGGTGAGTTAAGAACATGCCAGTCTCCATGCAGTGGGAGGGGGAAAAGAAGTGTTTTCAGCTTCAAAGATGAATGTGTAAGTAAAAGTGAAGTCTACCAAATTGAAACTGATCAATGTAGGCCACCCATCGCTAATTGTCACCCAGCTATTTTGCTTCCACGAGTCACGTGGTGGGTGACAGCCAGAGACATTGATGGATTCTGACCTAGACTAGAAATCTGGTTTCTAAAGAAGAAAGAAAGGAAAGAGAGAAAGATGCAATGAAATTAACGGCCCAGCATGAAGAGAAGGGAGTGGGGAAAAGGCGGTGTCTTTGACAGCTCAAGCTGAGGAGGAAAATTAGAAAAGAAAGCCGACTCCACCGCCATATGTGTTAGAGCTGGCCGGGACAGCTGGAAGAAATATCGCCCAGCCCGAATCCCTGGCCAGGATTGTGATCCATGTCTGCATACGGCTATCAATAACCCTGCATGATTAATGCTAATGATTTATGTTAATTTTGCCATAAGCTTTATTTGTGCCCGGTGTTGAACTTATGGATGTCAAATCATTCCTTAGGAGGTTGCTAGAGATTTTTAAAAGCAAAGTCTAAAATATAACATCTGACATTCCATATATCACAGCCCCAGCCTCCCCAACATTCTTTGTGAGATGAGGGTCACCATCCCCCATGTAATTGCCTCTCAGTCAGCAAGAAGTCTTTGGGAAAGGCTCCACGTTACAGGAAGGATAGCTCCACAGGGACCTGCAGGTTCCTCTATTTTGGGGGGTTGGTGTTGCAAAGTCCATCCCTGACACCCCACCTGTCTCCATGGGCTACCATTTATCCAGGAGGTAGGGGAGTGCACAGTGAGCTCCTTGAGTTTCATCTTAGGTGGCTGTGAACCAGTCACTTCACTTAGAGAGCCCACGTTCCCTTCTGTTCCATAATGTGGTGGGTGGGGGGGTATGCTCAGCCCACTTGCAGGAAACCTGGGAGGCTCAGACTCTGTAACACCATGGGATGCTTTGTGCTCTGTAATGCCCCCCATACCCAATGCACTGCATTCTCCAAGACTGCTTTGAGGGTCTGGTTGCATCTCCAGAACCAAGGCATAGGGGCTGGGGGTCCAGAGGAGATCTGAAGATCTGGCCTTTCAGGTCATCACCTGCCCACCTTGAGTCTGTCCAAACATCAGTCACTTATCCAGATGACCCCCCTTTGATACCTCCTCTATTCACTCCCAAAAGCCAGTCAACACCCTTCTATGAGTCTGGCCCTCTGCAAGATTCTGGACACTATGGTGTGCAAGAAAGGTGGGGCCAGGCAGCAACTTCAACCTCTCAGATATGCTGAAACTTAAGCCTCAAGGACAAACCCAGTTACAGAGCCTAGTACCCGATGGTGGTGCAGCAGAGTGCTTCAGGTGTCTACCCTGCAGAGGACAAAAGGAGGCCAGGTCAGACAGATACAGTAGAAATGGAAAGAGGGTGTCACTATCTAGCCCAGTGCAGCGGCACTGGATGGGACAGCCATCCAACATTAATGCAGCTCACTTGGGGGTTCAAGCTGAATGCAAGTCAGGGGACCTAGGGGCACCAACGTAGCACCTCTGCTCTGTCTGTCCCTCACTCTTCTCATGAAATCCTGTCCAAGACTGCCACTGTCCTCTGCAACCACAGGATTCCCCCAGCCTCCCCCTTGGCTCCAGTAATCAGGATTCCTTCAAAAGCCCACTGAAGACCCAGGGACCGGTAGCTTTTCCACCTGTAAACCACTCACCCTGTCAGCAGCTTCCCTGCCTTCAAAATGAAACCAAGATCCAAGCCAGGACCCAAATAAAAACCCAAGCCATGGGGGAGGTAAATCTCCTCCTCCTCTTCTTTTTCCCCACATCTCTTGCTAGAAAGTCATTATCTATAGCTTAAAAGAAACAATTTCTCTATGGGTTTGTACCAAAAAGGAAATATTCTATCTGCTTTCTTGGCTTCCTCTGATGGGGCTTCACGAAACCAGTTTGGTCTGGGCTGTACGGTGAACACCTGTCAAAACGTATGGACCATGCCATTTATCAAATAATCTGCTCCAAGAACAGATAGGCACTATCAGCAATCTGGTATTGATCTGTACAGGCCCCTGCTATTGTTCATCCCTGCATCCCGAATGGCAGCAGGAATTAATGAAAGAAACAAAACAATGCATACCAATCACTCAGCCGCACAACTTTGTTTGCTGCTCTCATTAAGTTGGGCAAAGTTTCCCCAGCTAACCCAAAAGCTTGCTTGGGAGGGGTGGGCCCAGAAGGCCAATCCTCTGATTCACCAACAGCCCCTCTGGCTGTCCCAGTTCCTCTTCCTGACCTCCATGGAGCCCTTGTCAGATGCCCCTGCACCTTTGACACCTATGGAAGTGGAGGTGCTAGTGGCAGGCAAAGACCCCACCTGGGTCTCTACCCGGGTCCAAGCAGAGATAGCCTTTCTTCTGACAGCCCCTTTGTGGTTGTGTTTAAGCCACCCTTGTGCAGGGCCCTCCTCCACATACAGTCTTGCACCGGGAAGAGATCTGTCCACAAACAACACCTAAAAGCCCCCAGGGAGTGTCTAGGCATCGGGGAGAAAGAGTGAGTCAAACCAAGCCTTCCCCCTAAAGGCAGGTCCTGCAGAGAGATACATACGAATGCCCAGCTGTGGGCCTCCACTAAACAGTGAGCCCTTCCAACACACACACAGTCACTCCTGCCTCACCATCACTGTCCATACCTGAGCAGGCTTCAAGGCTCAGCTTAAATAGCACCTCCTGAACCCTTCTCCAATCCCTCCAGCCAAAATTGGTATCTCCCCCATCTGAGCACTCACCATGCTTTACCTGGCCTATAAAAAGTAGTACTGTTTATATCTCCTCCATCTATAAGACTTATGAGTAGAGGTCCAGGTAAAACAAGCAAAAAGAAACCTCTGAAGTCAAGGACATAGTTGCAGTCATCATTGCAGCCCTACATAGCATCTAACACTATTAACAATGGGTGGATGGATAAATGAATGGATGCATGGATGACAGATAAATGGATGAATGCATGGGTAGGTGAGTGGGTGAATAAATGGATGGATAGATGAATGGATGGATGAATGTATGGATAGATGGATAGATGAATGGATGAACAGATGGATGGATGGATGGATGATAGATAAATGGATGAATGGATGAGTAGGTGAGTGGGTGAGTGAATGGATGGATAGATGAATGGATGGATGAATGGATGGGTAAATGTGTGGATGCGTAGGTGGGTGGATGGATGGATGGATAGATGGATGGATGGATGGATAGGTGGGTAGGTGGGTGGGTGGATGGGTAGATGGATGGGTAGGTGGATGGGTGGATGGATGGATGGATGGATGGATGGATGGATGGATGGATGGATAGATGGGTGACTGGATGGATGGATAGATAGGCCAATGGATGGATGGGTGGATGGGTGGATGGATGGATGGATGGGTGGATGGATGGATGGATGGATGGATAGATAGGCCAATGGATGGATGGGTGGATGGGTGGATGGATGGATGGATGGGTGGGTGGATGGATGGATGGATGGATGGATGGGATGGATGGATGGATGGATGGATGGATGGATGGATGGATGGGATGGATGGATGTGGATGGGTGGGTGGATGGATGGATGGATGGATGGATGGATGGATGATGAATGGATGAATCTGAACCACGTGGGACAAAAACTCAAGAGTGCACCAGTTCCATAGCAATGAGCTCAGAGTGATGGCATCCTGATGATGGGCAGCACTGGGGATTTCACTTTTCTTCCCAAAGCACAAAAGTATCTCCTCCTACTTTAGCCATAGTGCCAAAAAGGAGACACTGAGGTCCAGAGAGGATGAAGAATTTGCTTTGGATCATACAGAGCCAGCCTCAACCACAGACATCCTGAAAATAAAGAAACTTACTCGCTGTCTGGTATAATCAAGAACCCCACCCCATCACCCCTTCAGGACAAATATCTGAACCCCACTTCCAGGAAGTTTTAAGGCCATGGCAGAACAAAACCACCACCATAGTCCTGCTAAGTCAGTGAGTGCAGCTGAGCTCACACCACACCTGAGAGACCTGAAGTCCTGTTCTTTTTGGAAGCATGACTTGGAGGGATGCCTTGGTTGTCCCTGTTGGGGGTTCAGAGGGTCCTGCGTGTCACCCGTACTGAGAGAGTGAGGCCTTTCCTCTTTGGAGGACCCTCCTTGACTTGGAGGAAGCCTCAGCAGAAAAATTGCCAAGAGTGAAGCTTTTCACTCAGCTCAAGTTTTCAAGAGCGGCCACTCACCCCACATTCAGGAGATGTAGCAGAGAGAGTGGCACTGACCGAAGTCTCACTCAGCTAAGTGGGGCCTCAAGGGGGCCAAGAGACACTTACATTCTGGAAAGGCACAGACCAAAGGGCCAGGCTGGGCCAGCCAGACATGTGACATGCAATTCTCTGAGGACAGATGGCAAATCTCCACTCATGCAGGGCCCAGGTGTGGGGTCATTCCCCCTTGCTCCCACCCAGAGTCTCCCTACAGTATCATCTGGACACTGGGTCCTCCCCAAGGGCCACATCACACGTCTGCATTGCCAGGACAGGAGAAGCAGCAGCAGCTTCTGTTTCCAAGTAAAGATGACAAGTGTGGATGAGGAGGGCGGGTAGGCCGGTGGGCGGGGAAGAGAAAGGAAGGAGGAGAAAGTCAGACAGTGACAGGGAAACAAATAAAGCTAAAGCCTTGGTTCCTGCCCTTAAGGATCTCAGAATACAGTGGAGAAGGAGAACCATTAGGTCACAGACTCAAGCAAGGACAAGAAACCAAACCAAAGGTCCTGTAACCAAATGCAGGTTCAGTCACTCACCCACCCACCACTGGCAAAGTCAAATAATAAAGACGAGGTGTGGTGGAAGGAAAGTGACTTTACTTCCAAAGCTAGCAGTGGGGAAGCAGCCAGGTGCATGCCTAAAGAAAATGCTTCAGCTTTTTGGGTAAAGGGTAAGAACTTTAAAAAGGGATTTTGGTATGTAGCACATGCAGGAGTGACTGGGGATGCTAGTCTATGTGACTTGTTTTGATGACTGTCTTGAGCTGTTGCCCCATCTGGTGAATGGACTGGCACCATCTCAGGTAGAACTGGGTTGCAAATTAACTGCAGCCTTGAAGTAATCTCCAGGAGGGGAGAATTCCACAGTGGCTTGAATTGTTTTAAGGTTTAGTCTCCGGAACTTCCAAACAAACACAAAATTAAATAAGGGAATCATCATGCAAGCAGTGCCTGGCAGAAGGGAGAACAAAGGCTATTATCTGATTATTAGAGGCAAGACCAGGAATGGGCAGGAAGGAGAAAGAAAAGAAAATAACGTTTAAAAACAGGACACTTGCTGGGCATGTGGCTCACACCTATAATCCCAGCACTTTGGGAGGCTGAGGCAGGAGGACCGCTTGAGCTCAGGAGTTTGCAGCCAGCCTGGGCAACATAGACTCCATCTCTACAAAAGAATTTTAAAAAAAACAGCCAGGCATAGTGGCACATGTCTGTACCCCCTGCTACTCGGGAGGCAGAGGTGGGAAGATCGCTTGAGCCTAGGAGATGGAGGCCACAGTGAGCTATGATCACACCACTGAACTCCAACTGAGATGACAGAGCAAGACGCTGTCTCAAAAAAAACAAAAGAAAAAAAGGTCACAGTCCCATGCTTAGGAGTGCCTCTTCTTCAGGAATTCTGGGGATATTCAGAACGTTAGGAGGGATTCCCTAAATCCCTCCTTTCTAAGCTTCCAAATATCTCTTGTCCAGAGCTCACCAGTGGGTAGGCCAGGATTTGGGGATAGAACTGTGTTCTCTTGAGTTCCTGCAGGCAAGTGCCACAATGATCAAAGGTGGTACCCACCCCCAGTCCAGCTGACCTCAGCAAAGTCCTGTCTTCCAAAGCGGGTCAGTCCTCACCTGCTCTTCTACCACAATTCAGGTAGAAATGCAGGTTGAGTATCCCTTATTCAAAATGCTTGGGACCAGAAGCATTTTGGATTTGGGATTTTTTCAGATTTGAGGATATTTGCAAATATAGGATGAAACACCTTGGGGATAAAACCCAAGCCTAAACACAGAATTAATTTACATTTCATGTACACATGAAGGTAATTTTATACATTTTTGTTGTTGTTTTGTTTTTAGAACAAGGTCTGGCTGTTACCCAGGCTGGTCTCAAACTTTCGGCCTCAAGTGATCTTTCTGCCCTAGCTGCCCAAAGTGCTAGGATTACTGGTGTGAGCCACTGCACCCAGCCTACAACATTTTTAATAATTTTGTGCATAAAACAAAGTTTTCTTTTGGTTTGTGTTTTGTTTCTTTTTTTGAGACAGAGTCTCGCTCTTTCACCCAGGCTGGAGTGCAGAGGCACGATCTCGGCTTGCCACAACCTCTACCTCCCAGGTTCAAGTGATTCTCCTGCCTCAGCCTCTCGAGTAGCTGGGATTACAGGCATGCACCACAACACCAGGCTAATTTTTCTATTTTTAGTAGAGAATGGGTTTCACCATATTGGTCAAGCTAGTCTCAAACTCCTGACCTCAGGTGATCTGCTCGCCTCGGCCTCCCAAAGTGCTGGGATTACAGGCGTGAGCGACAGTACCCAGCCATGAAACACAGTTTTGACTGTGATCTGTCACATGAGGTCAGGTGTGGAATTTTCCTCTTGTGGCATCATATCGGGGCACAGAAAGTTTTGGATTTCAGAGCATTTCAGATTTCGAATTTTTGGATTAGGTATGCTCAACCTGTTCAGCATTCCTGAGCAGGCAGGACTGCTGGGACTCACGAAGGTAGGAATGAAGGATGGGTTCCTTTTCACTGACTCCTGTCCCATTATAGCAAAATCCCCAAAACCCCGAGAATGTGCTGGAGAGCAGGGGTTCCAGAAGGCAGGGAGAGGGCCTCACAGGGCCTTATCCAAGGAATCCTACCAAATTCAAGAATGCAGAAACGGAAGAGCCTCTGGCGTGAGCCCCAGGCCACTCAGCAATGTCACTCGCTGTCCCGGTTAGTGCCGGAAGCACCAGGGCTCCGGATGTGAAAACCCATGCTGCACATCCACTCCTGATTGCACTGGGAGCTGATAAAGGGAAGTCCAACCCACAGCAATGCTGCTCAGTGCTCCGGAGAAAGCCATTAGGCCAGGTCCCCATGCTGTCGTCAGCCACTGAGGGTTGACACCCACATAGAACCCGGAGAGCCAATGGGCACAGCCTGGCCATGCAGCCACTTACATCACCTTTGGAGGCAGAGGCCCTGCCATGCTCTGGGACATGAGCAGCTCAGGACAGAGCACATGGAGCTCACCACTAAGGCTCATACATTCACCAAGTGACCGTCACTGCCCACACATGCCCCACCCTGCCCTTCCAGCATCCACACGCACCTCTGGGCACACAGCCAGTCCCACAGAGGCCTGACACCCTGACACTCTCAGCCTCCATCCCAGTGCCCACAGGCCCGCTCATCTAGGCCAACTCCAAGAAAGCTGACAGAGCAGCAAAATCCACCTTCGTGGCCCTGGAGCGGTGACACCAGGTTCCTCCCAGATGGCTCCAGTGAGCCCAGGGGCCATTGCACCGGCACGCTGCAGCTGCCTCTCTGTAGGAAGATACCACTTTAGAAATAGGTCATGTGTGCTGCCTGCATCCCCTTGAATCAAATGGGATGGTGGCTTGATGGGTTCTTCTCAGGACCCTGAACGCCAAGGTCTCCATCCTGCCTTCCTTTCCATGACCATATGACATCTTCACCTTGGAAATAAGCTGCCAGCTTGCTCTGCAGGCTTGCTTGAGAAGAGCTGATCTCCTCTCTCTCTCTCTCTCTCTCTCTCTCTCTCTCTCTCTCTATCTATCTATCTATCTATCTATCTAATGCTAGCAACTCATCAGTGAACCCCTCCCTAGGAAAGCAGCCATTTCAATCAAATATCTGCAGGTGCAGAGCCTAGGGCATGACGCTGAGCAAGATCTCAGAACATGGTGGGACGGAGACCCATAAGATCACAGAGTTGAGCAAGGACAAAAAACCAAACCACAGCCCCAAACCTGGCAGCATCTCTTTGGGAATGTCAAGCGAGATCCCCCAAATGCCTCCATTCTGAGCTTCCAAATGTCTCTTGCTCAGCACTCACCCAGGCTCTGACATCCCCTGAAGACCCCAGCAAAGCCTGGATATGGAACACCACCATGGGTGGAAGGTTTGCAGGGAGCTGTGCTCTGTAGAGGGAGGCACAGGAAAGAACATTTAGGTAGGACTTGCTCATCCTCCCAGGCGGCACTGCTGTCATGGGAATGGGGGCCACTTCTTGGCAATTAGGATGTTTCATGCTGCTCAGCCCTGAATGCTCCAACACCCATAAGGACCCATTCAATGAAGGCTAGATGAGGGGGCACCTGAATGGTTTGGATATTTGTTCCCTCCAAATCTCATATTGAAAGGTGATCCCCAGTGTTGGAGGTGGGGCCTGGTGGGAGGTGTTTCGGTCATGGCGGTGTATTCTTCATGAATCCTTGGTGCCCTCCCCATGGTAATAAGTGTGTTCTCACTATGTTAGCTCACCCAAGAGATAGTTACTAAAAGGAACTTGGCACCTCTTCTTCTCTCTTTCTTGGTACCTCTCTCGCCATGTAACACCCCTGCTCCCTGTCCGCTTTCCCCCATGATTGGAAGTTTCCTGAGGCCTCACCAGAAGCCAAGCCAATGTGGTTGCCATGCTTGTACAGCCTGCAGAACTGTGAGCCAAATAAACCTCTTTTCTTTATAAATTACCCTGTCTGAGCTATTGCTGTATAGCAACACAAAATGGACTAACACAGCACTCAAGCAATTTCCACCCCCACATCCCCTCCTCTGAAGCCATGACTGAGGTCACACAGCAAGGCCAGGATGTGGAAGAGGTTAGCCACTAGAAAGTCACTGTCTCTCTGTGGCCTGGCTTGGTTTGACATGCACAAATTATTTTTTACTTTAATTATCCCCCATTTAAAAATCAGGAGGCTTTGCTTTTTAGTCTGTACTACCACTTCTACATAAATAATGGAGGACTAGGCAATTCTGGGTTGCATTCCTACCTGGCTAGGTCAGCTGGGGCAGGGCAGCAGTAAGTGGCCCTCTCTAGCCCATGCCACTGATGGCACTACCTGCCTGGCCCCTAGAGGTATCTGGTTTGCAACTCTGGGGTGAAGCATGACTGCAGATTGAGACATGATATGGAAGTTTCCAGAGGGCCAGTGGGGTAACAGTTGGCCATAGTAAGCCATGCTTCCTGGTGACCCTAAAATTATGTGAGTTGGAGAGCTTATTCCCCTGTGAAGGATGCTCTCCTGCACGTCACCAGGTCACCGGGAAGCCAGGAAAACTTTGCTGACTGGGAGAGCAGAATTTTCAGAGAGGCAAGGCCAGGTTTCTGGGAATCCCTGGGCAATGGGGCCAGCATCCTGGCTATTCTGGATTTTACTGCAAGTGTTCGCAGCTGATGCCTGTTTCCAGGAGTCAGGCAGGCTTGCTTTAAATGCAAAGAGGGGCCGTGATTGACTGCAGAGATCCAGTAAACAAAGAGGGTTAAAAAAATAAAGCTAGGCTTCCTGTCTGCCCTTTGCACACTAACAGCTGCTGTTTGCTCGGGCTTCCACATGAGTAACACGGGCGCCCTGATTTCTATTATACAGAACATTAATAAGAGGAAGCACTGACCCTCGATTGCTGAGAACCAGGTAAATGATGGGGAGGGAAAGCGGCCGAGAAATGGTAAGCATTTTACACCGCACGACTTGAAGGGGAATGCGTTGACTATAAAGATGACGGGTGTTGTAGCACCGAGGAAAAAAACATAATTTTTCATTGATGTACGGCAGCCAGGCTGGAAGGAACACAAACACTACAGTAGATCCATTAACTGGATGACAAGAAACAGTGTTCACATCCACTCACTAAACTGTTTTTGATTCTTTAGTACCAACATGCAGAATGATCCTTACATTATGTTGCCAGGGAAAAACCTTAAAATGCATTTATTTCATAATGTAACTTTCTTGTATTATCATAACAGAGCCACAACAGTTGTTGCAAACACTATGGGGTCTAAAAAAACACCTAAGTACAGTTATTAAAGGGGAAATTTTTTCAAAGGGGGAAATGTTGTGTGTCTACAAAAGTAAGGGGAAGGAGGGGGATACAGCTCACCTTCCACCTCTCCTTCTGGCCACGGGAGTTCCGGACCCTGAGCACCCTCAGTCACCGCGGGGCAGGGCTGGGGAGGACCTGGGAGAGGGAAGTGGAAGACGTGAAGGTATTCATGCCCAGTCACTCTGTGAAATGGAAGATTTGCAGGGATGGATAACAGTCACTGCTGCCATCTAGACTCTGGCTATTCCATTCCTACCCTTCACATGCCCCTGTACTTCCTCACCTACTCCCGGTACCCTGGACTGTATGTCCCACCTATATAATGGGGACAAAAATGGTCATTTGGGGCAAGGTGTTGTGGCTCACATCTGTAATCCCAGCACTTTGGGAGACCAAGGTGGGAAGATCCCTTGAGGCCAGGAGTTCAAGAACAGCCTGGGCAACACAGCAACATTGTCTTTACAAAAAAAAAAAATATATAGCTAGATGTGGTGGTGGCTCATGCCTGCAGTCCCAGCTACTCAGAAGGCTGAGGCAGGAGGATCACTTGAGTCCAGCAGTTTCAGACCAGCCTGGGCAACAGAGTGAGACCCTGTCTCTACAAAAAGTTTAAAAATAAGTCGGGTGTGGTGGTGCATGCCTGCAGTCCTAGCTACTCAGGAGGCTGAGGCAGGAGGATCCCTTGAGCCCAAGAGTTTGAGGATGCAGTGAACTGTGACCGTGCCACTGCACTCCAGCCTGTGTGACAGACACTGCACTCCAGCCTGCATTACAGACACTGCACTCCAGCCTGTGTGACAGGGCAAGACCGTAACTCTTCAAAAAGTGTTTAAAATTAGCCAGGTGTTGGGTTATGCAGCCTGTAGTCCTGGCTACTCAGGAGGATAAGAACTGCCTGGGATCCCTTGAGCCCACAAGGGTGAAGCTGCAGTGAACTATGATTGTGCCATTGCACTCCAGCCTAGGTGACAGAGTGAGACCCTGTCTGGGAAAATTTAAAAAAAAAAAAAAATGGCCAGCTGATGTCACATGCCTAGGCATGTGCTCAGCAGTAAATGAAAGGTTCTAAGGGGCATTCAAATGCACTATTCTGAGGGGCACTGATTTCTATTACATACAACATTAATAAGAGGAAATTGTAAAAAATAAAACATTAGATGGGTATGTACGCTATTGTAGTCCCTTAAAATGGGACATTCCAATGATGCTCTCCTGGGCCTCACCAGGTCACCTCAAAGCCAGTAAAACTCTGCTTCCTGGCGGAGTAGAATTTCCAGAGAGGTAAGGCCCAGATCTCTGGGAGTCCCTTTGCAATGGGACCAGCATCCTAGTTCCCTGGTCTTAACCAAAAGGGTGTCCTCAGGAGGCAAGAGTAAGTTTCCAGGAGGCAGGTAATTTGTCTTCCCCACTGTGGTCACCAAGCAGACAGCCCACACCCAGCGACTCTACCATAGCCAGGCTCTGAAGGAGCCAGCCCCAGGGTTGGAATCTTGGCTCTGCTACATCCTCCGACCCCCCAGAATGGTAGTTCTCATTAGTGGTACTACTATAGCCAATACACTCCATTTCCAGCACAGAGCTCTGGTGTGAGTGGTGCCCCCCACCAGGAAGGACCTTGCCTGCTGCCACTGAAGGCAGTGAGGAGAGCTGTGGCAGATGCAAAAACAAAGTGTGCGGCAGTAGAAGAGCAAGTGAGGAAGGCTTCCTGGAGGAGGCAGCACTTTGAGACTTGGGGTTTAACAGACACATGAGTGGCAAAGGCATTCTCACAAAATGAGCAGGTAGACGGAGACGACGTGTGCAGGTGGCAGGTGGGATTGTCTGGGGCAGCCAAAGCCCAGCCCATGCATGGAAGACAGCTGGACCCGAGGCTGCAGAGAGGAGGGGCAGGGTAGGAGGTATGGAGAGCCTGGTGCTAAGGCCAGCTTGCAGGCTGGCCTCCGTGACTGGCTGGAAATAGTGAGTGGGATAAGAAGGAAGGGACAGGAGTGACCTCTCAACTTATTTTCTTCCTTGGATCCCTGGGTGGTAGGCATCCACATGGGGAAGCCGAGCCAATTTGGAGGAGACAATGAGATGACCAGGACAGGTAATAACACGGAGGATAATGGCAATGCCAACACTGCAGACAACATCAGTCTTTCCATTGAATGAGGCAAAATACAAAAAGAGGTCGGGTGCAGTGGCTCATGTCACTAATCCCAGCACTTTGGGACTCTGAGGCAAGAGGGTCGCTTGAACCTGGGATTTTGAGACCAGCCTGGGCAACACAGTGAGACCCCCAACTCTACAAAAAATACAAAAATGTTAGCTGGGCATGGTGGCTCATCCTTGTAGTTCCAGCTATTCAGGAAGCTGAGGCAGGAGGATTGCCTGAGCCCGGGAGGTCAAGGCTGCAGTGAGCTATGATCGCACCACTGCAGTCCAGCCTGGGTGACAAAACAAGACCCTGTCTCAAAGAAGAAAAGCAGAAGAAGGAGAAGAGGAAGGAGAAGACAGAGAGGAAGAGGAAAAAGAGGAGGAAGAGGAAGAGAAAGAGGAAGGGAGAGAGGAAGGATAGAAAATCCCAGGTAGTGTGAAGATGTAAATGTGGCAAAACAAAAACCATAAAACCCCAGGTGAAAATTGGATGAACATTTTTATAATCTTGGAATAGGGTGGATTCACAAAATATCCTTTTTTAAAAAAAAAAGTGTAATTCTTTTTTATAAGGGGTACAAGTGCAGTTTTGCTCCGTGGATATATTTCACAGTGGTGAAGTCTGGCCTTTTAGTATAGCCATCACCCCAAGAGTGTACATAATACCCGTTAAGTAATTTCTCATCCTTCACTCCTCTTTCACCCTTCAGAGTCTTCAATGACTACTCTTCCACACTCTATGTCCATGTGTCTAAAATATCATTCTAAAGTCACACCTGCTGCCCAAACCATCACCATGACCTGCCCCTCCCTTGGGCTAAAAACAGCTTTGTCATTAAGACTGCTTTATTAAGATGCCAATTCTCCCTGGGAGGTGGGATCACCTGCAGAAGTGGCTTATGGGCTTTCTTTCCAATCCTACAATGCACAGGAGAAGCGACGGGGCTTGGCAGAAGACATCTTGGTTTGGAAGTAAGGAGGAGAGCTGGGGAGAAGACATGATCCTTGGAACCCCAAGGAGGGACAGCAGCTCCCAAGATTTCTGGGTTGCAGGAGGGGGATTTCTCTGCCACTCCCTCCCCACGAGGAACCCAGTCCTGTGCCCTGCGTTGTAGATGATAAAAAGATCATTACGAGTCGATGTACTACATGAATAGGTTCAGTGTCTAGGGGTGAAGGGAAGGCCCAGACTTAAACTCTTCTGACCAAGTTAGTCTAGGAATCAAACATGTCCTAGCCGAGAGAGTCCCGTGGCATCCAAAGGACTCTGAAATCCCTCCACCAGCCAGATTCCCTCTTTCATGAGACTTCATGGAAGTTGCCTGTTGATGCTAGTTCACATTTTAACGTCAGATCACCTAGCTGGGTACAAAAGGGAATCAGTAGAACCTAGAGAATGCAGGTAAAGTAGCCGTTTTCTGCTTTATTGCTGTGGTTCAGCTCTTAGGCTTTGACAAAGGTGATGGCTTCTGGGGCTGGGTGCAGCGGCTCACGCCTGTAATCCCAGCACTTTGGGAGGCTGAGGTGGGCTAATCACTTGAGGTCAGGAGTTCGAGACCAGCGTGACCAACGTGGTGAAACCCCATCTCTACTAAAAATACAAAAATTAGCTGGGCATGGTGGCTCATGCTTGTAATCCGAGCACTTTGGGAGGTCGAGGGGGGCAGTTCACTTGAGATCAGAAGTTCGAGAGCAGTCTGACCAATATGGCGAAACCCCGTCTCTACTAAAAATACAAAAATTAGCTGGGCATGGTGGTGGGTGCCTGTAATCCTAGCCTCTCGGGAGGCTGAGGCAGGAGAATCGCTTGAACCCAGGAGGCAGTGGTTGCAGTGAGCCAAGATCATGCCACTTCACTCCAGCCTGGGTAACAGAGTGAGACTCCATCCCCCTCAAATAAAAGAAAGGTGAGGGCTTCTAAGGCCAGACTTCAGCCCCAAATCTCTACTGGCTGCCTCTTGGGATATACAGAAACCTAATCTCCAATAGGCATTCCTTGAAGCAAAAAATACCCTATTCCTTACTTTTTTATTTCATTTTAAGGGACTTTTTTTGGTTTTAATTTTCCAATGAACATGGTTTGCACTAACATGATAATTGCACTGAATATATATATATATATATATATATACTGTTTCTTGGTGTGATTCCCATGAATAATTCAACATGAGAGGTACGCCTTGGAAAATTATCACATGAAATTCACAGAGAGAAGCTAGAACCAAGTTGGAGGGTCAGCTGTCTAACATCTTGTTATCTGTCCAGAAGTAGCCATAAATTCACGCAAAAAGCAAAATCTCCGGCTCCTGGGAGCAGAAGGGTCGCTGGAAGCCAATCAGGAGGACATGGCTTTATTTAATTGAGGACTAAATATCTTTGGGATTGTTGTTTGTCTCCCAAGGACGGTCACTTTGCTGTAAAGGCAATGTCAGTGTTTCCCTGGTGGTTCCATTCCCTGGTTAGACCCGGATTTCCTCTCTGCATTACATATTCCATATTATAAGGGTACAATCTGCCAAGCCAGTATTTGGATTCTCAGCATCGTACCCCATATCCCGGAGCCCATGTTGCCCCCTTCCCCGCCTCAGTCAGGTACTCAGAGGCCCCCACTCATTAGCCACAGAGTCACAGAGACTCGCATGGTATTAAGACAGCAATATCATCTTATTGGCTATTAGCACAAATGTGCCAATAAACATAGTGCATAAAAATTATACATATTCCCTCAGAGTCCATAATCCCGAACTGATATGGCATAATGCAAAACACACTTCCCCAAAAGTAGTGCTTAAAGTCACGGTGTACAAATTGAATTTTAAATAAATTTCCTGAAACATCATCAGTGGTTCTGGCCACATTAGCAATACACATTTGCTAAAAATAAAGTGCAGAATGGCTGTGCCCAGCCCAACCCCAAAGGGATGGGACCAGTGGGCATTTATTTGCCCTCAAGTGGTTTCAGAGTTGGGCTGGCTGCACATGTGTTCAGGTGCAGTTGTTACAACAGCCCAATAGCTTCCCCTCAAGGGTTTCCCCTAATTATCAGTGATCATCAGGTTCCAAAAGTCAGCTTGTCTTCACCTCATTCTCTATCAAAGAGGGAGATGTTAATTGCATTATCGCCTTGCCAACACCCTCTGAAATGATGGCAGTGATCATTAACAGCCTACCACGGAGCCAATCAGAGTCAATCCAAATTCAGAACCAGCCAATGGAGTGCTTCCTAATCCCACGTGTGTGTAAACACTGAAAACATAAAAACACAAGGCAGCCATTGTGGAGAATGGGGTGCTGGGGGTGCTGAAGACCAGATCCGCCATCAACTCCATAAAATATTTCACTGGTTAATACAAACACACACAGACACGCATACACATACACACACACACATGCACATGCACACAACGCAGTGAAAAGCTAGAAGATCCCCACAAGCCTTATGATTTTTTCCCCCAGCCCTCTGCATCCCAGACCAAGCTAATTGACCAGCAAAGAAATTCAAAGTAATGCCCAGTTGTCTGGTTTTATTTAATGAAGAACCTCTCCAAGAATGCTGTCAGCATGTCACCTTTCACAGATAAATAAATATTTGTGGTTCCTTGCATGTTAGTTTCAGTAGACACCAAGACCAAAAATAATTTGCCCTTGTTCACTTGACTTCCTTTCTTAAATGTACAAAGTAAGGCTGTGGTTTTCCTAAGTGTGTTCTCGTTCATGGCTCACCTAAGAAGATGCCCTTTGGACTGACCTAGAATCCAACTATCAAAATCCTGCTCAAAACTACTCAAGCCCTGGTTCAAACCCCAACCCCCCATATCTCCTTTTTCAACCCCATCCAAAGAGGGATGAGTCATTGAATAGTTGATATCTTTCTGCTGTTAAGAGCGCTTTCAAAAACTTAATCCTCAAGGGAAAAGTGGGCAAATAAACAACGCACAAGAGAAGAAATATACACACACAAGAGACGTATGGAAATGTATTCAACCGCCACCATAAAAGAAATTCCAATTTTAAAAATTTTGATCTATCAAACAAACAACTTGGCAGAGACTACCTCTTATTTGGAAATCTAGGCTGTCACTCTCCCACAAAGCTCACAGAGCCAAACTTACCAGGGGGACAAATATTTCAAAATAAAGGGGACTCACTACATAGGATTTTCTCTTCTAGGACTTCACCTTAAAGAAATATCCAGAGGGCACCAAGTGATCAATGGTTAAAAAAAAAAAAAAAAATTGGCCACAACTTCACTAGTAATGTGAAAAAATCAGAAGCAACTCAATGTTTGCCAAAAAGGAAATGGTCAAACAATATGATGCATCTGTCAGAAGACAAAACTGCAACTGACCCTTGAACAACATGGGTTTGAATTTCTTGGGTCCACTTACATTCAGATTTTCTTCCACCTCGCCATCCAAGACAGCAAGACCAACCCCTCCTCTTCCTCCTCTTCCTCAGCCTACTCAATGGGAAGATGATGAGGATGAAAACCTTTGTGATAATCCATTTCCACTTAGTGAACAGCAAATGCATTTTCTTTTCCTTATGACTTTTTTAATAACATTTTTGCTCTAGCTCACTTTATTGTAAGCATACAGTATGTAAAACATGTAACATTAAAAATATGTATTAAGTGATTGTTTCTGTTATTGGAAGGAGTCCAGTCAGCAGTAGGTACTAGTAGCTAAGTTTTAGGGAAGTCAAAATTATATGTAGAGTTTCAAAGGCACGATGGGTGGGTGGAGAAGAATGGGCATCCCTAACCCCCAGGGTATTCAAGAGACAACAGCACAACAAATGAGTTTAAAGTGCTCAATTGGCTTTATTTGCAATTCTAGAACCAGGCAACACTTTATTCCAAAACACAGAATGAGTAATCCAGTGAGCCCCGCAGAATTTGCTTTATTGACAGAGAAGGCTGAAGAAAGCAGAAACAAAGAACAAAGGGAGGATTCGTTACTTTTAGACAGAACAATAGAAAAATAACTGATTAGTTAATATCAGGTTACTCCAGGCTTCCTTTTTTGTGTGAGGATTAAAGCAGAGGGAACTTCATTATCATGCGGATTGAGGACTGAAACAGACCTGTTTGGGAAAGTGGCTGTTATCTCTCTCCGGATTTCTGAGAAGGTCAGATAACAACTGAGTTTAGTTTTGGTGACGGGGAACTGAAACAGATCCAACACTTCCTTAGACAGTGCTTTCGGATAAACATAGATACTAACTCTTCTGCTCTTAAAGCTTATTTATTTTTTGTTTTGTTTTGTTTTTAAAATTTTATCTTACTTTATGTTCTAGGATACATGTGCAGAAAGTGTGGGTTTGTTACATGATTAAATATGTGCCATGGTGGTTTGCAGCACCTATCAACCTGTCATCTAGGTATTAAACCCCACGTGCATTAGATATTTGTCCTGATGCTCTCCCTCCCCTCGCCCCGGCAACAGGCCCTGGTGTGTGTTGTTCCCCTCCCTATGTCCATATTTTCTCATTGTTCAACTCCCTCTTATAGGTGAGAACATGCGGTGTTTGGTTTTCTGTTCCTGTGTTAGTTTGCTGAGAGTGGTGATTTCCAGCTTCATCCATGTCCCTGCAAAGGACATGTTCTCATTCCTTTTTATGGCTGCATAGTATTCCATGGTGTATATGTACCACATTTTCTTTATCCAGTCTATCATTGATGGGCATTTGGGTTGGTTCCATGTCTTTGCTATTGTGAATAGCGCTGCAATGAACATATGTGTGCCTGTATCTTTGTAAAATAATGATTTATATTCCTCTGGGTTTCTACCTAGTCATGGGATTTCTGGGTCAAATGGTATTTCTGGTCATTTGTTTAATCTGAATTCCTTCCTCAGGAAAACACTCCCAGACCCCACAAAAAGTATGAAAGAACTGAAACTCACCAGATCACCACATCCAGACAAGGAGATGCCAGACCCCTCACTCATCATGATTGCCTCCTCACCATTCCCCAGTTCCTATTTTCCAACACTTGTTACATTTCTTCCCTGCTGCATAAGCCTCTAATTTTAGACAGCCAGGGAGAGGAATTTGAGACTGACCTCCCATCTCCATGGCTGCAACACCCGATTAAAGCCTTCTCCCTTGGCAATAATTGTTTTCTCAGTAATTGGCTTTCTATGTGGTGAGAAGCAGGGCCTAGACAGAACCCCTGGTGTTTTGGTAACAGCATGTTAGAATGAGGAACTCCATTTTGATTTTTAGTCTGGTCTGTTGAAGCCTAGTGCAGAAGCTTAGTCGAAAACAATAGCCTCCTATAACTTTTATTTAACACATCTATAAAATGCAACTCTGTGAATTCTTAAAATCGAACCAAAAAAAGTCTGAAAACCATCAAGGACATAGAAAATGTTTACAATATGTTAAGGGGGAGGAAAAAAAAGGGCAGGATATAAAAACTATATGTATAGTTGAATCCCAATTTTGAAAAAATAGTAAGACATCTAAATGCCCACAGGCCTGTAAAGAAATGCATAAAAAATTTAACAAGGTTTATCTCTGGATAGCGGGATTACAGGCAGTTTTTATTTTCTGCTTGAAACTTCCCTGTATTTCTGAATGTTCAAAAATAAATTTGTATTACTCCTATATTCAAAAAGCAATGTTTTGCTTTTGTTCTTTACAGGCTCTGAACCCCCACAGCTCTTGCTGTCAGAATGACTTACCGCAAACTGCACACGACTCCCCAGCTCTGCAAGAACTCGTTCTGGCTTCTGCTCCTGGCTCAGCCTCCTGAAGCCCAGGAATCAAGGCTTCTCCTCCCTTGCTCCTCACCCAAGGTCTATGGGCTTAGCTCTTCTTCTTGTTCTTTAGATTTAAGGGGTACATGTGCAGATTTGTTACAGGGATATATTGTGTGACGCTGAGGATTGGGGTACAAGTGATTCTGTCACCAAGGTAGTGAGCATAGCACTGAATAGGTATTTTTTCAGCCTTTACTCCCTCCCTCCCCTCTAGTAATCCTCAGTTGTCTGCTTTCCATCTTTGTGTCCATGAGTACCCAATGTTCGGCTCCCACTTATGAGTGAGAACATATGACATTTGCTTTTCTGTTTCTGTGTTAATTTACCTAGAATAATGGCCTCCACCTGCATCCATGTTGCTGCAAAGGACAGGATTTCATTCTTTTTTGTGACTGTGTAGTATTTCATGGTGTAAATGTGCCACATTTTCTTCATCCAATCCACTGTGGATGAGCACCTGGGATGGTTCCATGTCACTGCTATTGTGAATAGCACTGCAGTGAACATACATGAGCAGGTTCCTCTTTTGAATTCAGTTCCTTATTTTTGATGTTTGCCCTCAATTGCCCACACTCTGACCACTTAGCTCATACCAACAAGCCCCAGACAAGGTGTCTTGTTTCTGAGGAATTAGAGGGCAGGAATAGGGAAAGGAAGAAAGAGGAAGTAAAAGGTGTAAGAAATTCTCCTTGCTCATGATAGAAAGCTGTAGACCCAGCTTGGGCATGCGTTTCATTCACAGGGATTTCTTTTTAGGGGGTTATATATCCAGCTTTATTTTTTATTATAATCTTTTTTATTTGTATGAATGGATAGGGTGCGAGTACAATCATGTTACATGCATAGATTGTGCAGTGGTGAAGTCAGGGCTTTAGAGCATCCATCCTCTAAATAACATGCATAGTACCCAATGAGTAATTTCTCATTATCCACCTCCCGTCCACCCCACCCCCTTCTGAGTCTCCATCGTCTACCATTCCACGCTCTACATCCACGTGTACACATTATTTAGCTCCCACATATCAGTGAGAACACGCAATATCTGTTTTTCTGTTTCTGGCCTGTTTCACTTAAGGTGACGACCTCCAGTTCCATCCATATTGCTGCAAAAGACATGATTTTTTTATGGCTTAATAGTATTCCATTGTGTATATGTACCATATTTTTTCCACCCATTTGTTGATGAACACTTAGGTTAAGCAGTACTACAATAAACATACAAATGCAGGTATCTTTTTTGTATAATGATTTCATTTTACAGAAATTTCTTGATAATTAGTTGTCATAAGAGTGAGGGATGGGGTGATACTGTGGCCTGCAGTTCCATCTGTGAGCCTCTGCCTTGGGTGGCCTGAAAAAGATGAGGATTTTCAGGCCAGGTGTGGTGGCTCACAACTGTAATCCCAGCACTTTGGGAGGCCAGGGCAGGTGGATTACCTGAGGTCGGGAGTTCAAGACCATCCTGGCCAACATGGTGAAACCTCATCTCTACTAAAAATACAAAAATTAGCCAGGTGTGGTGGCAGGCACCGTAAACCCAGCTACTTGGGAAGTCAAGGCGGGAGAATCACTTGAATCCAGGAGGTGGAGGTTGCAATGAGATGAGATCACGCCACTGCACTCCAGCCTAGGAGACAGAGTGAGACTCTGTCAAAAAAAAATAATAAAATAAGAAGGAGGAGGAAGAGGAGGAGGAGGAGAAGGAGGAGAAGAAGAAGACAGGGATTTTCTTCTTTCCATTGGGACCTCAGCTCCCAGGTGGGCTGATGATCACATCACCAAACCAAACGTAATTCCAGCAATGGACAGAGATACAGAATTCTGTTCCGATACTACAGTAAAATGAGCTATGTTGGACTTAGGGTCATCGTCTCATACAATACTTTCCCAACAGGCTGGCAAGGGAACAGTGGCTTTTTCCTGGTTTTACTTTGCACACTACCTTGGATCCTACCCCTGAGTACCCTATGAATGTGCCATTTTGTTTGGTCCTGAAGTGTGTACTTTCCCCATCCTGTCAGTTTCCTGGGAAGACTGTCAGTGCCCCTGATGCCCTGCGCCTCCCTCACAATTTTCCTGCCATTCTCCCACCCTGGCCAGCAGTGGGAGCATGCCCCAAGCAGCAGGGGGGTCGTCCCACCATCATAGCTATTGCCGGCCTGAGATGATAGATGCCACTGTGGAAGGGACAGAAGAGCTTCCATCTAACCGCTCCTACTGACCTCACCATCAGTGATGCAGATGTACTTGTCACATCATAAACACTTGGCACCCATTGGCTCTTCCCCAAATGGCTATCAGAATTGCAGTTTCAGCCACCAGCAGCTCTCCGATGGGCACAGGCTCCACTTATGGCTGGTTTGGAATGGCAAATCCATCACTCTCTTTGCCTGTAAAATGCCAAGGAGACTGATCTAAGCAGGGGGTTCCCATCCATGGCCTGCTCTAGGCCTGAAGGAACACAGATGGCATTTGCAGGAAGATGACATCTCACCATCCCCATCTGAGCAAAGCCTGCCCATCAAACAACCAAAGGATAGCCAGTCCCCTGCACAGTGTAAAGTGACTTGCAGTGATCCTCTTCCCCAAGGCCAGCCCCAGCTCTCAGACCTCCAGTCCCAACAAGTCTTTTTTTGCAAAGGAGGCTCACCCTGGAACATGGCTCTCCCAAGGGGAGACAGGAACGGATGTTGACTTCATCCCAGCAGCTTCTGACACAATGCCACTATCTTTCAACTTTCTCCACCAACAGGGTCAGGCTGTTGATTGGCCTCGACTGCAGTTAGCCTGACACGGCTAGCAGCCTCAAAACAAATTAAACGAGGCAGGGATGCCGTGCAGTGATCGTTCCATTATGTCCCCTCTGCTTCCACACGTGACTCACACTATCACTTTTAGAAGGTGAAGCATCTTATTGAATCAACACCTAATCTGCACACAGTGTCACGGAGGAGGGGCGAGGGGACAGCGGGAGCATTTTCTCTGATCCTTTTCTTTCCTGAAGACTTCGCTGGAGACAGGCTGGGTGGGGGCGAAGATGAATTGTGAGGAACCCTGACCCTATTTCAGGTAAGCTTCTGATTTACTGTTCATTGTGCTTTCTAACGAATAATTTTTATATAATAATGCCACCAGTAAGCACCAAACCCTTCTTCTTGGGAATGCAATTAAGGGAAAAAATAGCAATAAATTGTTTTCAGTACTTAACCCAGCTCCAAATTTATGGCTGCTGAAATTTATTGTTTCAGGGGCCTGAAAAAATGGCGATTAATTTTATTCCATTTCCTGCCATTCACCCTCAAAACTGAAATATAAATAAGGAGCTGTTCTCGGCCTCGGGTTTTCCTGCCTGTTAGAACCCTCAAAACTACAGCTCTCCAGACAGCTACCTCTGAAGGCTCCTGAAGCTTAGAAACAGAGAGGAAAACACCCCTTTATCTGCACGTGTCTCCACCACTGCAATTGCTGGAAGCTCCACGAGTGCCCTCGGTGCACAGATGTGCTTTACAACAGAGTGACTGTAAATGAGAAAACACTAAGTTAGGCTCTGACGGCCAATGCTGGATGTATCCGTTTGCCCTATAAATAAGCACTGATCACCTCCATTTTATTGAACTCATTTTCTAGGCAAGCAAAGACCACAAGATTCTTCTGCACATTTTCTCTTTACACCCTCTAGTACTGCTGCTACTGTCAGCTCCGACAGATTTATAGCCCATTCATTCATGGGAACAAAAACCCTGCCACGGCTGGTCATGGGACACGCAATAGCAGTTAGTTCAAAAGATAACAGCTGCAATACCTCACCTCTCCATTCAGCACTACAGAGCCAGCACTACTTCGGAGGTAATAAATGCTTCTTGTTAGTGTGCTTTGAGTCATAATCCTGGAATAACTGTGGTCGGCCTTACCCCGGGCCCCGCCCCTAGGGAAACCGCTTTCTGCCACTCCCCAACACCCACCCCGCACCTTCACTCCAGCCCCTTTCTGCCAGAAAAGAGGGGAGTGGGGGGTTGAAGGCAGCCCACTGCGTAACCAAAAAGTGGACCCTGTCTCCTTTTTCCAGTCCACCCAACACAAGCTGGGTTGCTGAACCTTTGCAACTCAAGCACTTAGGCAACGCTGAAAAGCCGAGCTTCCTCGTGGTAAGTGGCAATGTGGGTATATACATTCTCCTTGCAAACTGATCAGAAACAGAGCTCGGGCATGAGTCCTGTCCCGACAAGAAGAGGCAGCTGGTCTGACTAGTCCACCACCATCCTCAGAGCCTGGACACACACAACAAGCATGTATTAAAAGAATCCATGGATTTTTTTTTTAAGTAGTGAATGACCTGGGGAGGAATAGAGGATCGGTTCCACCCCGCTCACTCAGAGCAGGAAAAGGTTTAATGCAAGAAGCAATATAGTGGTGAAGCGTTCTGCCTCATTTTGAAGTCGGCCTTTCCCACCCACAGGCCTCAGTTTACTCATCTTAAAATGGGGATGTTAACTGTACCGATTCTACCAACAAATCAGGGATTTGTTGCTAGAATTAAACATAAAAAGTAAATACCTTTAAAAATTTATCACAATGCTAACCAAGTAGTATGCGTTATCAAATAAATTAATTAGTTTAGTTGGAGAAATCAGATATGCACACAAGAAACTTAAAGGAAGATCACTAGAAGACAAGGTCATTGACGATCAAACTTTAGGGAAATGTCTTCCATTTTTGAAACCCTCCAACAAGACACATACACCTGCCCCCACCTCTACCTCCACCAGCGCTCTGTGGCCTATATTTTGCAGAGATGTGTTATTGTCACTGTTAGTCTGATGTCCCGACAATTAAACTGCAAAGAGAAAAAGGCCAGTCATGCAGAAATCCAACAGCCTGGCCTCTGGGATCCGCCCACCCTAGCAATGGGTCCAGGTGGGAGATGGGTCATGGAGATATGGCTGGCCCAGGTCAGGCAGTTGAAATGGAAGTTGAGAGCCTCCAGGCTCCAGAAGGCACCAGAGAGAGAAGCAAAGTCAAACTCCCCATGAAGACACACAGTTCAGTGGGGAAAGAGTAGACTGTGAAACGCATAGAAAAAGACACTGGGCATTAGTTGCTATCAGTACATTCCTCCCTAATCAATCAGCTTTATTGTGACGCCTCTAGCTCGGCTCATAAGGCCTCAGCTCATAAGGCCGGAAAGCCGCTTCGGCAGCAGTTTAAAATGTTTCCAGTTTAATAATCCCTGCTAATTGAAAGCAGCTCAGAAAAGCGGGGAAGATGGGGGTTGGAAGCAAACCAGCACCGTTTATGGCAACAGTGCTGTTCCTAGGGGAAACAAAATAACCTTTGATGCTGCAGGGGGAACCTGCCTCCCCGTCCCCAAACAAACTAATTCCCACAACTGTCTTCTTTGGCACGAGAGCTGTTTCTTCTTACGTTTTAATTGTATAATGTTATAGCAGCCGAATTGCTGTGAAATCTGTTTTTAATCTGTGGCCCCCTGCTGCAAAAACTGGATTATTTTTTCTTCAACAGAGAATTACATTCATTTTTATAATTGTTCTTTCCTTTCAAATCACCTAATATGACAAATGCTGGACAACCTTACAGCTCATCTGCTGAAGAGTGTCTTTATGAGTTGAGGCTTCAATGCTTTCATGGAGAAATTGCCTGATTTAAGTAAATCATGTCACTTTCACCCTTGCAATCGTATTTGTTTCAGACGTCTGCTGACCTAACCTGCAGAGCAAAAACAAAACACGTTTACATTTCTAGGCTGAGATATTTAGTTCAAACGATGTACAAATAGGTCATAATGAAAAGTAATTTTAGTACACGGCAAAGGTATCATTTAAGTATACTTTTGACAGTTTTTACACATACATAATTATTCCAGTATTGTAATTTAAATGGATAAAAGACAGATCTTAGCACAAAAGCCTCCATCCTGGTTTCTCGGAATTCCCTGGCAGAGCTACAGTTGGGGACATGGATATAGAAGAAGGATGTCATGTGTCTGATGTACCATGAATCAGCTGGGCTCAACCTTCACCCTTTGGATCCATGCAAACCTACCCTAGAAGGTGGATCCAGACACCTAGATCTTTTTTTTTTTTTTTTGGTATTTTCTTTTTATTTTTGTGAATACACAGCAGGTGTATATGTTTATGGGGTATATGAGATATTTTGGTATAGGCATGTAATGCATAATAATCACATAATGGAAAACCCATCCCCTCAAGTATTTATCCTTTGTGTTACAAGCAATCCAATTATACGCTTTTAGTTATTTTTAAATGTACAATTAAATTATTATTGATAGGTCGGACAAACACAGCCTGGGTGACCTGGTCCTGCTGTGTCCCCACCCAAATCTCATCTTGAATTGTAGTTCCCATAATTCCCACATGTTATGGGAGGGACCCACTGGGAGATAATTGAATCATGGAGGGGTTCCCTTTTAGTGTTCTCATGGTAGTGAATAAGTCTCACAAGATCTGATGGTTGTATGAGGGGAAACCCCTTTCGTTTGGCTCTCATTCTCTTCTCTCTTGTCTGCTGCCATGTAAGATGTGCCTTTCACCTTCCACCATGATTGTGAAGTCTCCCCAGCCATGTGGAACTGTGAGTCCATTAAACCTTTTTTTCCTTATAAATTGCGCAGTCTCGGGTACGTCTTTACGAGCAGTGTGAAAACAGACTAATACACCAAGCATCCACCTGCGGCCACAAGAGGATGGCTTTGTATTGAGAGACATGATATGTAAGTAGCAACAGAAGTGTAAATCTGAGTATTCCTCCTCCCCTCCAGAAAGACTTGAAACATGGAACTGGAGGGCACTGAGTTTTTTAGGGTGATTGCCAGATGTGTTGATTAGTGAATTAAACAAGGCTGCATTCACAGGAAGGCAATGTCCGACACTGAGAGGTGCCCCCCCGTCTGGGCTGGAGTAGTTCCTTTTGCAGGGAAACAAACCAGCTGAAGTATGCCTGGGAAGGAGGAAACAGGACAGTTTTCCAAGTGTCATAGCTGAACAACAGGGGAAGAAACTGGAGAAGAGAGAACTCTAGGAAATAGGCTTTCTGTCTACAAATCCCCCTGGTTAACCATTCCAGAGCCCTTGC
The DNA here is from genome assembly GCF_000001405.40 of Homo sapiens. Classification (NCBI taxonomy): domain Eukaryota; kingdom Metazoa; phylum Chordata; class Mammalia; order Primates; family Hominidae; genus Homo; species Homo sapiens. The sequence continues at coordinate 32,107,965 of NC_000019.10, forward strand.
TGCCTACTGGAACTGAGATGAGAGCTTTGCACAAGATCTTCCTCATGCCTCACTGCATTGTCAGTTGAAGATAAGCAGGACCATGGTCCTCGGGTGACAGATGAGAAACTGAGACTTTGGGAGGGCCAATGACTCACCCAGGATCATCTGCTATGACATGATGGAGCAAGAGTTCATACCCAGCATCTTGTTTTGATTCTCCAATCTCACCTAAGGTCAGGAGTTCAAGACCATCCTGGCCAACAAGGTGAAACCCCACCTCTACTAAAAATACAAAAATCAGCTGGATGTGATGGCTCATGCCTGTAATCCTGGCTACTCAGGAGGCGGAGGCAGGAGAATCACTTAAACCCAGGTGGTGGAGGTTGCAGTGAGCCAAGATCACACCACTGCATTCCAGCCTAGATGACAGTGACTCCGTCTCAAAAAAAAAACAAAAGAAAATTACTCAGGAGACACAGCCAGTGAGAACAAAACGGGAATTATTTTTAAAATTTAATAGAGCCAGGATCTTGCTATGCTGCCCAGGCTGGTCTCGAACTCCCACGCTCATGCAATCCACCTACCTCAGCCTCCCAAAGTGCTGGGATTACAGATATGAGCCACCACGACAGGCCAAAATCAGAATTTTTATACCAGATAATTTGACTCCATAACTTGTGGTGCCAGCCACTGTGCTGTGCTGCTGCTTCTGTGTGTATATTTATGAACCAGTTTGTCTTGAGGAATTAAGAACCCAGGTGTGCCATTCATTGTGCGTAGCAAGAAGCTTGATGCTGTTTTATCACTGAATCATCCCAACAATCCAATGAAGTTGAAATGTTTGTCCCACATATCAGAGGGGATATTGAAGCACAGAAACTTGACCAGACCCTACTGCTAATAAACTCAGAACCGGGATCTGCCTGAGTCCCTCTGTTCTCCTGAGGATGAAGATCTGCTGTCTAAGGATGTTCACCAAGGCAGGTCTTAGGCTTAGAAGGCGACCCAGCCCCATCTGGAGCCTCCTTCCCAGCCAAGTCTGGCCTGCAGTCATTTGTCTCCATCAGGCACAGCCATTGTTCTCCAAACTTCCTGGATCCCTCTTCCTGAAACAAAAACCTTCAGTTCCAAGGAAGCCCTCACTTTGGAGAGAACAGGAAGGCACAGTTTCATCTTTGGCACTTCTCAGGCAATACTTCCTCACTGTCCAAGGGCAAAAATAAGGTGGATATAGCCCAAAAAAGGGACATAGTGCTCTGAGAATTTAGCTTGGCTTGGAGAAGCCTGGGAATATGTATGCATACACACATACACATGCACACACACACACAAATACACACAAATGCACACACACACACAGAGTTTCCTATGTTCCAAAACAAACCAAACTTTATGCTTTCACCTGGTACCCTGCAGCCCTGGAGTTTTCTCACTTTCAACCTCAGACCCAAAGAGGAACAAAGAGAAAGGGAAAGAAAATGCCTTTGGGTTGAGTCCATTTGACCCTGATCCATCCAGAGGAGGTAATGAGGGCATGACAAGTTAGTGGCCAGACAGGGACAATGATGGCACCTAATTCTCTACATAGAGCCACCCTCTATTCAGGGAACTCTCTGCTAGTCCTTTTTTTTGTTTTTTAGACAGTCTCGCTCTGTTGCCCAGGCTGGAGTGCAGTGACGCTATCTCAGCTCACTGCAACCTCTGCCTCCTGGGTTGAAGCAATTCTCCTGCCACAGCCTGGGGACTACAGGCACCCGCCACCATGCCTGGCTAATTTTTTTTTTAGTAGAGATGAGGTTTCACCATGTTGACCAAGCTGGTCTCGAACTCCTGACCTCAGGTGGTCCACTTGCCTTGGCCTCCCAAAATGTTGGGATTACAGGCATGAGCCACCATGCCTGGCCTCTGTACAAGTTTTGAAGCTTAGTTTCTCTGTTATACACTATCAAAACACTGGGAGCACACACACATTCTAGAAGGTTGATATCATTAAATACCTCTCTTCTTCTGTCATGGTGGCAAAAAGAGAAGGAAGACATGCTTCCCTTTTACTTGGGGCTGCCATAACAAACAAGAAACAGGTGCTCTTCAACACAGGGGAAATTCCCTGCTTGAGGAGCCTCTGGTTGTGGGTCACAGAAGCTAAATTTGGGGCCAGGTATGGTGAAGCATTCCTGTAGTCCCGGCTACTTGTGAGGCTGAGGAAGGAGGATCACTTGAGGCAAGAATTTGAGGCTGCAGTAAGCAGTTATCCAGCCTGAGGGACAGAGCAAGACTGTCTCAAAAAAATAAAATGGAGTGTTACAAAATAAGTAAATAAAAATTAGTTTTAGGCTGGGCATGGTGGCTCACATCTGTAATCTCAGCACTTTGGGAAGCCAAGGTGGGCAGATCACTTGAAGTCAGGAGTTCTAGACCAGCCTGGCCAAAATGATGAAACCCCATCTCTACCAAAAAAATACAAAAATTAGCCAGGTGTGGTGATGCACCCCTGTAGTCCCAGGTACTCAGGAGGCTGAGGCAGGAGAATCTCTTGAACCCGGGAGGCAGAGGTTGCAGTGAGCCAAGATTGCACCACTGCACTCCAGCCTGGGTGACAGAGTGAGACCCTGTATAAAAAAAAAGAAAAAATATTTAAGAGTTTTAATAAAATAAGTTAACTTGGCAAAGGAAAGCAACTGCCAATCTACACTTTTCCCTACCCTCTTTGACTGGGCCTGAAATATCTACATAGGCATGCCACACTCTCTCTCAGAACCCCCTACTGGATAACCCTATGACCTCCCCCATGTGGGAGAGAAAAAACAGAGAAATCACAAGACAGGTGGAAATATGTAGCCATTCAAGATGCATACATAAATCTGCACAATTAGAGCAAACATCACATTATATGGCAGAGTTAGTGCAAGAAACAGGAGACAAGTGCAAAGATGCTCTAGGTGTGTCCTTCCGAGACATTTCAACTACAAAACTCTGGCAGGTAGTATAAAAGAGAAAAATCTAAAAATATTGCTTTTGGATCGAGAAATATGATTGACAAATTTTTAAATGGAGAATTAGAAGACAAGCTCAAGAGATAGTACCAGGACTCAAAGATAAATGCAAATGAGAAAGAAATAAGAAATAGCAGGCGAGGCGGGCGGATCACGAGGTCAGGAGATCGAGACCATCCTGGCTAACATGGTAAAACCCCATCTCTACTAAAAACACAAAAAATTAGCCGGGCGTGGCGGTGGGTGCCTGTAGTCCCAGCTACTCGGGAGGCTGAGGCAGGAGTATGGCATGAACCAGGGAGGAGGAACTTGCAGTGAGCTGAGATCGCACCACTACAGTCCAGCCTGGGCGACAGAGCAACACTCCGTCTCAAAAAGAAAAGAAAAAAGAAACAGCAGGCACTTATCCTGGATATAACAGTGGTTTAAAAGGAAAGAAAAGAAGAGTGGAAAAGCAATAATTAAAAGGAAAACAGAAATCTTCCTTAGGGCACATGAATAGGGACGTCTTCAAGGTAGAAAAGGATCTCTGGGAACAAAATCCTTACCCAGAAGGAACTGATACAGGCTATGCTTCAATTTCACACAAAAAGACAAAAGCCCTGTAAGTAACTAAGCACAAAATGTAAATGAGCTGGAAGCTTCTATTAAAAGACTTAGTTTGGGTCAAAAACAAAATCCAGCTTTGAGCTATTACAGAGGAACAAACCTATAATAAAATGTTCCGAAAAGCTTTAAAAATTTATGCATTTATTCATTCAACAAATAAATATTGAGTTTTTTCCATGTGCCAAATAAAGTGATGGGCAACGACTTACCAGGCAAACACAAACAAAAATAAATCAGAGACGATAATATTAATATTTAACAAGGTAGAGATTAAAGCAAAATGGTCAAAGTGAACATTTTTCTCTTGATCTTTGCCAGGTATACCGAGAGAAAAAAAGAAGATTTAACCAATATTATTAACAAAATTGAATATATATATGGTATATTTACACATATATACATACACGTATACAAACCATATACCCAAAGGTCTAATACAGTATTTGAACAAAATACATTTGAATAGTATTATTAATAAACTTGAATACACACACTCACACACATACAAACATTTCAAACCTATACTCAAAAGTCTAATATAGTAGCCACTAACCATGAGTGGCTATTTAAATTTAGATTTTAACTAATTAAAATTAAATAAAGTAAATAATCAGTTCTTCAGACCCACTAGCCATGTTTTCTGAGTCTAGTGGGTACTCCACCAGTCAGGGCGGGTATATAACATTTCTATTGTTGCAGACAGTTCTGCTGGACAGTGCTGCATACACAAGGCAGTTTTTAAAATGCTACATAGCATCTACAAAGTGTTCCTGTAATATAACATGCACAAAAGAAGGATAAACTTTTTAAAAATTTAATTGAGATTAGTAAATAAAAATCAGGATCTTAGCACAAGACGTGCTCATTGTTACTAGCGTGTCATTGTTTCTAGGACCTCTCAGCAGACAGAGCTGGGAAATACATGCACATGTACACACACATTAAATAGGCATTAATATTTATTTCTGTATCTATAGATGATGGTAGATGATAGATAGATAGATAGATAGATAGATAGATAGATAGATAGATAGATGATAGATAGATATTAAAAACCATGAGTTCATCTGCCCCTTTTGATTCCAATTCAGCACAACAAGGTACATTTCTTTTTTTTTTTTTTTTGAGACGGAGTCTCACTATTGTCACCCAGGCTGAAGAGCAGTGGTGCAATCTCGGCTCAATGATGGAACCTCCGCCTTCTTGGTTCGAGCGATTCTCCCATCTTAGCCTCTGGAGCAGTGGGACTACAGGCATGTGCCACCATGCCTGGCTAACACTGGCTACATTTCTAACCTCCTCCTCTGCATGTTTCCCCAATAGTGAGAAACCCAGTTCCCATTATCCTCAATACATGGATTCACTTGCTCATCCTAGAAGTCACAGAAGGTGGGTTCAAAATTCCAACCCATTACCATTGCAGGAAGGAAACCAACTGGAAGCAACACCAATGAGGAATCCGTATTTGTTTACCACTGGTTGGTTGGTCAGTTAGTTGGTTGGTTAATTGGTTGGTTCTGCGTAGGGCTCCTTGGAGAAATAACTGAACTGGGGCAGGGAAAATCCAAGATGACCCTGAAACAGCTTTCTGTGTCAGAAATTAAGGAAGCGCTCAAAGACTTATAAGGATTTGTCAAAAGGAGACAAGAACCAGATTGAAGGAATCTCAACTGCCAAATCTAGGACAATTTGAACATCAAAATATATCCTTAGAGGCAGAAGGATCACTTGAGGCCAGGAGTACGTATGAGACCAGGCTGGGCAACACAGCAAGACCCCATTACCACACAAAAATTTTTTTTTAATTAGCCAGGCATAGTGGAACATACCAGTAGTCCCAACTACTCAGGAGGCCGAGGTGGCAGGGTGGCTTGAATCTGAGAGTTTGAGGCTGCAGTGAGCTATGATCACACCACTGCACTCCAGCCTGGGTGATAGAGTGAGACCCTGTTTCTAAAAAAATATATTTTTAATGTAATGATGGTAATGTGTTATAACCCATTGAATAAATTAAGAGTTCATGCATCCATACTGATATAAATAAGTAATTTTTTTTTAAATTAAGTAAGTGGGGAGAAAAAGCTCTTCCCTACAGTACAATGCTCATTGATAATATAGAATGAACGCTGAGGTTATAAAACCATCAGTGTATAGTAAAACTAGTGGGTGGGAATTTGATGAAGAATATTTACACAGTGCAAAAGTATCTCTCCACAATTAATTACTAGTTACAAAGGAGAAGATAGTAACTTTACAGTGGAGGAGCCAGCTAGGCACCACCTTAACCAAGTGATCAAAGTTAGCAGCACCGATATTGGAAGAAACCAAGTTCTGTGCCTCTTCATAAGATGCACTCAGAAAGGCACGATGTCACTTGTGGGTATTCCTGTTAGAAGTGCATAAACCGAATCTATAAATGAAGAGTCATGAAATACACCCAATTGAGTAACTGTTCCAGATTAACGATGGCTAAAGAGACAGGACAACTGAATGCAACTCTTGATCCTGGACCAGATACTGCAAGGGAAAAAATAATAACTAGAAAGGACAATATTGGGACAATTGACAAAATTTGAAAATGGATTATGCTTGTTTTGAATAATGGACTGGGAGAATCTCCAAGTTTCTCTTTCCTCTGAAACAAATGGCACAGGGATTGTCCATGCCTTGATGTTTGGAAGAAATTAGCCTTAAAATTTTAATCTAGTGTCTTGTTTCGGAAGCAGTCCTTTGACAGTCTTTCCAGTTCTTCTATGTTTATTAGTAGTAGTATCTTTAGATTTTTCAATATTTCTTTTGTTGACAGTTTTGGTAATCCATATATTTCCAAGAAACTTGCAAATTTAGTTAATAGTACCATATCAATGTCAAATTTCCTGATTTGGGTAACTGAGCTGTGGTTATGTAAGAGAATGCCCTCTGTTTATTAGTAGTGGTATCTTTAGATTTTTCAATACTACTTTTGTTGACAGTTTTGGTAATGGTAATCCACATATTTCCAAGAAATGTGTAAATTTAGGAAACAGTGCCATATCAATGTCAAATTTCCTGATTTGGGTAACTGAGCTGTGGTTACATAAGCGATATACTCTCTGTTTACTAGCAGTAGTATCTCTAGATTTTTCAATATCTGTTTTCTTGACAATTTTGGTAATGCATATATTTCCAAGAAATTTGCAAATTTAGATAATAGTACCATATCAATGTTAAATTTCCTGATTTGGGTAACAGCTGTGGTTACGTAGGAGAATGCCCTCATTCTTAGGAAATAGCAATGAAGTATTTAGGGGTAAAGGGGAATGATGCTTCCAGTCTATTCTCAAATGGTTTAGAAGGAATATTAGTATACATATTAATGTATACTAAATATTAGTATGTGCATATTAATTAATATATGTACAGAAAGAAAGAGAACACAAATGGGGCAAATTTACACAATTGATGAAGGATATGTGGGAGTTCATAAACTATTCCTATAACTTTTAAGTAAGATGGAAATAATGACAATAAAAAGTTACCAAAAATTTTAAAATTATTGACAGTTTTTGATTTTTTTAAGTCGAACTACTGAATAAATTCAAGGATGAGTTTCTCAAAACAAGTCCCTGTCAAGTCTAATCAAGAAGATAAAAGAAAAAAATAATCTCTGCTGTGGCAGGATGGTGTCATCCTTATAAAAGAGTATGATAACTCCATAACAATACTTTTTAAGTAAATTCCAGACTTTATTTAGATGTCACCCACTTTTCAACTAACGTCCTTTCTCTGAACCAGAATCTTATCCAAGATGCCCCATTTCATTTAGTCACCGTGTCTCCTCAGTCTCCTCTGATCTGCGACAGTTTCTCAGTCCTGCTTTGTTTGTCATGGCCTTGGCAGTTTAGACGAATACTGGCCTGGTATTGTGAAGAATGTCCCTCAATTTCACACCTTCAGTTTTTAAAATCTGAATAAGATTTGCAAATTTCTTGGAAACATATGGGTTACCAAAACTGTCAATAAAAGAAATATTTAAAAATCTAAGGACAATAATACTACTAATAATAAACATAGAAGAACTGGAAAGACTGTCAAAGGACCGATTCCAAAAACAAGACACTAGATTAAAGTTTTAAGGGCAATTTCTTCCAAATGTCAAGGAATGAACAATCCCTGTGCCATTTGTTTCAGAGAAAAGAGAAAGTTGGAGATTCTCCCAGTCCATTGTTCAAAGCAAACATAATCTTGTCATCCAAACTTCCCAAAGATATAACAAAAAATAAAACCTATGAACTAAACTCATTTGTGAATATAGACATAAACATCCCAAATAAAATATTACAACTCAGATCCAACAAGATTAAGATTTTCTTGCCCATATGCAAAATACCTCAACATTAAAAACATCTATTAACTATAATTCATTTCATCAGAAAGTCAAAGAAGGAAAATCACAGTCATCTTGATTGATGCTGAAAGGTATGAATTCAATATCTCCTCCTGATGAAAACTCACTAAATTTAGAAGCATCTGATCTCAAAACAATACAAAATAGCTACCTCGAACCACAGACATTGTCACACATGACAGCAAAAAACCAGCATCATTTCCATTCAAGTCAGCAATGGGACAAGGGTATCTATTATCACCATTGACAATATTCAGCCTGTTCTAGGCAATTCAATATAACAAAGATAAAAAACAAAATGTGTGACTATTGGAAAGATAGGATTTTTTTTTTTTTTTTTTTTTTTTTTTGCTATTTCTCAATATGCTTGTTGACCTAGAAAACCCAAGAGAATTAACTAGAAATAAAAATTAGAAAATTCAAGAAAGCACAGTCTGGTGGCAATTTACAGAGTAAAGATAATAGATGATAGGTAGATAATAGATAGAAAGATAGATACATAGATACATAGATAGATAAGATGCTTTCCTATTTATTCACAATGGCCAGTGAAAACTAACCATAATTAATAATGCAAAATAATATCATCCACAAAACAACTGGAAATCTGAATGCACAGAATACTAAACATGAAAGGTCATAGATTCCTATTAGAAAAACCAAAAATTAACAGTCTTCAAAGAAGATCTGGGTGAATGGAAAGATATATCACATTCTGATAATACTATAGACTTTTTCAATTACTTTACAAATAAATTGCGATTTCAGTCAAAATCCTTGTAGGAGAAAAACATTCATAACATTTTTAAAAAAACAAAATAGGTATTAGAAGAGGCTTACCCTACCATATATTAAAATAAATTACAGAACCATGCTGTTAAGACAATATGGAACCCACTCAGAAAAGACAGATGTAAAAGAACATAAATAAAAATTTATCTGAGAAAAAATAATCAAAGAATATACTAAAAATATATTGAGTCCATTTATTATTAAAGAAATGTAACTCAATACAAAATAACATTTTTTGGCTTTCAAATGCACCAACAGTGGAAAAGAGTATAAAATACAATTGCTGATGAAGAAGTAGGAAACTATACACTTCCATACACTATGGATATGAGGGCAAATTTCTATAACCTTTTTGGAAAGCAACTTGGAAACATGTAAGAAAAACTTTAAAATGTGGCATAAACTTTGATTTAGGAATTTTATGTTTAAAATTAGAAGCAGTTTTGTTTTCTTGTGATGTCCTTGTCTGGCTTTGGTATCAGGGTAAAGTTGGCCTCGTTAAAAGAGTTTGGAAGTATTTTCTCCTCTTCAATTTTTTTGGAAGAGTTTTTGGAGAATTGGTATTAGTTCTTTAAATGTTGGGCAGAATTCAACCATGAAGCCATCTGGTCCTGGGCTTTTCTTTGTTGGTTGACTTTTTTATGACTGCTTCAATCTCCTCCCTCGTTATTGGTCTGATCAGATTTTTCTATTTCTTCATGATTTCAGGTCGGTGTGTTGTATGTCTCTAGGAATGTATCCATTGCTTCTAAGTTAACCAATTTTTTGGCATATAATTTTTTTTTTGGAGACAGGCTGGAGTGCAGTGTCACCCAGGCTGGAGTGCAGTGGTGCAATCATGGCTCATTGTAGCCTCAACTTCCTGGGCTCAAGCCTTGAACTACAGATGTGTGCCACCATATCCAGCTAATCATTTTTTTAATAATTTTTTTTTTTTTGTAGAGGCAGAATCTCACTGTTACCCAGGCTGGCCTTGAACTCCTGAGCTCAAATGATCCTCCCACCACAGCCTAACGAAGTGCTGGGATTACAGGCATGAATCACCATACCCAGCCAGCATATAATTATTCTAAATAGCCTCTTATGGTCCTTTGTATTTCTGTGGTGTCCCTTGTAATGTCTCCTCTTTTATTTCTGCTCTCTTTCTCTTGGTTAGTCAAGCTAAAGTTTGGTCAACCTTGTTTATCTTTTCAAAAAACTAACCCTTATTTTTATTGCTTTTGTATTGTTTTCTAGTCTCTATCTCATTTATTTCAGCTCTAATATTATTTCTTCAGCTGCTAACATTGGGCTTAGTTTGTTTTTCCTTTTCTATTTCCTTGAGGCATAACAATAAGTTGCTTATTTGCAACTCTTCTTTTTTGATGTAGGCATTTATTGTTATACACTTTCCTCTTAGAACTGCTTTGGCTGCATCCCATAAGTTTTGGTATGTTGTATTTCCCTTTTTGTTTCTTTCAAGATATTTTTAAATTTCTCTTTTAATTTCACCATTGACCCGATGGTCGTTCAGGGGCATGCTATTTAATTCCCATGTATTTGTGAATTTTCTGAAATTCCTCTTATAACCAATTTCTAGTTTTATAACACTGTGGTCAGAAAAGATACTTGACATGATTTCAACCTTCTTAAATTTGGTAAGATTTGTCTTGTGGCATAACGTCTGATCTATCCTGGAGAATGCTCTATACGCACTTGAGAAGAATGTGGATTCTGTTGCTATTGGATGAAATGCTCCATATATTTCTGTTAGATCCACTTGGTCTAAAGTGCCTTAGTAATTTTCTGTCTGGATAATTTGTCCATTATTGAAAGCGGTCTACTGAAGTCCCCTACTATTATCATATTGCAATCTATCTCTCCCTTCAGATTCTTTAATATGTGCTTTATATATTTGGGTGCTCCACCATTGATGAATGGATAAAGAAAATGTGGCATATATACATGATGGAATAGTATTCAACCTTAAAAAAAACATTCTGTCATTTGCAACAACATGGATAGAATGGCAGAACATTACATTAAGTGAAATAAGCCGAATATAGTAAGGCAAATACTGTGTGTTCTCACTTATACGTGGATTCTGAAACAATTGAACTCATAGAAGCAGAGAGTAGAATGGTGGTTACCAGAGGCTGGGGCTGTGGGGAATGGGGAGATGATAGTCACAGAGTACAAAGCCTCAGCTAGACAAGAGAAAGAGATTTGGTTTTTTATATCAATTGAACATCATGGTAAATATAGCTAATAATTGAGCTCTGCGCATTTCAATATAACTAAAAGAGTACATTTCCAATATTCTTATCATAAAAAATGTTAAATATTTGAGATGATAGATATGTTAATTAACTTAATTTACTCTTTCCACCGTGTATTCAAAAATCATAACACCACTTTGTAACCCAAGAAATACATACAACTGTAATCTGTCAATATATAACAAAAATATTTTTTTTAATAAAATAAAATTAGAAGAAACCATCCACTTGACCTCATGGAATACTATGCAATCATTTAAAATTGCATCCTTGAAAGATATACTATTAAGTGGAGAGATGAGCAGCATACATTAAGTGAAAATGCATGTTAGTGATTTTGCATAGGAGAATCCCAGGTTTATAAAGGAGCAGGCATCCAGAGAAGATGGTTAGTATAAACAGAGACTCAGAAGGACAGGCCCATCTGTTTCCCTGTAGGTGTAGTGTCTCGGTCATCAGTCAGCCATGTTGCTGTTAATCTTCCCCTCCTTACCTTCTTTTTATTTTATTTTTTTTTTTTTTGAGATGGAGTCTTGCTCTGTCACCCGGGCTGGAGTGCAGTGGCATGATCTCGGCTCACTGCCACCTCCACCACCAAGGTTTAAATGATTCTTCTGCCTCAATCTCCTTAGTAGCTGGGACCACAGGTGTGCACCACCACACCCAGCTAATTTTTGTATTTTTGTAGAGACGTGGTTTTGCCATGTTGGCCAGGCTTGTCTCAAACGCCTGACCTCAGGTGATCTGCCTGCCTCAGCCTCCCAAAGTGCTGGGATTACAGGTGTGAGCCACCACACCTGACCCCTCCTTAGCTTTATCCCTTGCATTAGAGGGTCAGCTTCTGGACGGAAGGGTTGTTATTCATTCACTCACTCATTCATTAATTCACTATGTGAGTCAGGCATGGAAGTAAACAAAGACCACCCAAATGAGAACAAGCAAAGGCTATTTATTTAGAGCTTGCTATGTCAAGAGAGTCAGCAACCATCACTCACATTTGGCAGAGACTCACAGGGAGGCAGAGAGGTGGGAAAAGTTTACAGTGGAAAAAGAGAAGGCTTCCAGTGTGCCCCGTTAGTGGGGGAAGCTGTAGGCAGCTAACTAGAAGCAGGGCATCCTATGTGATGGTTTAAGTGGGCATATTTGGCTTTCTCCATGTGAAGCTAAGTTAGAAGCAGGGACAAAAATTAGGGACACTGTCCCTAATTCAACAAGTCCCAGCCATTTAAGACCAAATGTTACAAGGGTTGTTATTTGTCATCCTGGATGGTTGCTAAAGATGGGAGTTTGACTTCTTAAATTCTTTGCTGCCGATCGTAGGTCAGAGTTCTATCTTATATATGGTCTGGTTATTGCCCGTATATTTTGTCTCTTGTAAGCACTGGGAAAAACAATGACTTAGAAAGGTACCTGAAACCCATTGCTTGCCCTCAGGGAGATTATGATCAAACAGAAAAGACATCCTATTATTTTGGAACGTCCTGGTGACTTGTTCATGTTCAACAGTAGGGCTTCTACCTGGCACTACGAAAGCACATTGGACTTGAGCTAAAAGCCACACCCCAGCACCATGGCCTGCAAGACCCCTGAGGACTTGGCTCTTACAAGCCCCTTTTATGTCATTTCTCACTACTCCTCCCCTCACTTGCACCTCTGCAGGTCGCGCTGGTGGTCCTGCCGGGGAAAAACCACCCCTTAGATGCAAGGAGTGAGGGTATTCAATGCCTACGGAGCATTTTTATCTCCATGTGCCAGCAATTCTAAGCAATGTGCATGATTTAAAAAAGAAATACTCCTTTCAAATCTATTGTTGGTTTAGGTTCTATACAACGACTCCCATTACTTTGTGTTTTAGTAATATAGATGCAAGCTTCAAATTAGCACATTTTTATTACTTACATTTTAATACACATTGATTTCTACATGGAACTTAATTCAAATAACTCCTAGTTATAGATGTGTTCCTGAGACACACACACTCAACTATACGCATTTATTTAAAGAGTAAATTTATAGCAGCTCAGAATTGCTGAAGTTCACTTTGGGCACAGTCCCTGTCCCCAAGCTGTGTGGAACTACACATCCCTGCATTTAAACAGTAGGTTCAAAACAAACAATGCTAGCACAGTGATTGCAAAGGCAAAGAAACAGAACTGAGATGACTTCAAGTCTGTCATCCCAAGTGATCGTGTGGAAGTTCATTCATGTTTAAAATTTAAAACAGAAGGAACTAAACAGTGTTACCTTTTTGTTTGATAAGCGCAAATTTTAGTTCACGCATGATTTATTGAATTTTAATAGGGTCTTCAAGATTGAAATTTGTTAGTTTCAATCGTTAATTGAAAACTAAAAGAGAATCAAAAAAGTTAAATTGTACAGCAATGGAGCCATTTAGTACTTTTTATCCTGGTGTGATGTGATCAATGAGGTTAATCAGTCACAAAAAATATTTGCAAACAACCAGAATCTCCCTTGAACAATGTCCAGTGAAGCTTCAAGCTTTAAAACTGTTCCTTGAAGATCCATGCTCAGAAATGGTGGAGAAAGTCAGGGCGCAGTGGCTCACACCTGTAATCTTGGCACTTTGGGAGGCCAAGGCAGGGGGATCACCTGAGGTCAGAAGTTCAAGATCAGCCTGGCCAACATGGTGAAACCTCGTCTCACTAAAAACACAAAAATTAGTCAGGTGTGGTGGTGAGATCCTGTGATCCCAGCTACTCAGGAGGCTGAGGTAGGAGAACCTCTTGAACCTGGGAGATGGATGTTGCAGTGAGCTAAGATCGTGCCACTGCACTCCAGCCTGGACGACAGAGCAAGACTCCATCTCAAAAAAAAAAGAAAGAAAGAAATGGTGAAGGCCATTAACAATGCAGCACACAAATACAAAAAAAAAAGAAAATGAAATAGAAAAAGAATCAAATTTTGAGAAATAGTGCAAGGAGAAACGACAAAAGACACGAGTCTAACATTGCCAGAAGAAATTGAGAGAGCAAAGCTTCAAAGCCTTGATCATTTTCACCAAAGACTGGACACATGGCCCACAGCAATGGAACTGGTCATGTCATGCTCATCATCATCCCACCGTTCTTCCTGATTTTTGTAAAAGAAGAAAAACCTTGAAAGTTTTTACTGAATAAAATAGGAATCTATGATGAATCTCTGGTGATGATATTTTAGTGGTTTTCAACTAGGGGAGATATTTTAGATGGGATTTTTATACATCTCTGCCAAAATTATCCTCACGTTTAAGACTTTCATAACCATTTGTATGTCTGTTGTTTCTTGTGAAAGAAACTCTTTGAAATTAAAACTAATAAAGAAGTATTCTTCAACCAACTATGAGTGAAGACAAGCTGACAAATCTGGCTGTTGTGAACAGTGAACATGTATAGATGAAAAAGGTTGTCAAAGCCACTGGCAAATTTGCCGAAGTCGAGGCTCAAAGTGAGAACTATGATGTCATTATTCACTGTTGCAACAGATATATGGGAATAAGTTTGTCCACATGGACGTAATTTAATAGGATTAATCTATTATGTATTTTTCTTTTTGCTATCGTAATTTTTCTTCTGGCATGATTAGATATAAAAAGTTCAATAAAAGGACTTTTTTGCTGTCTACATTTCTTTTCTGGTCATTACTACTATTACTTTCATTGCTGAATTGTTCTTGAAAATTATTCTGGCATATAGAGGAAAGAGGGTGTTGGAATAATCCCCTCTATGTCTCAAATGCACCAGGCTCACTCTGCTTCCAGTGCCTCTTGGGACACATCAAGCTCTTGTCCAACTCTAAGCCTTTGAACCTGTTATTCTCCCTGCCTGGAGCACCTTCCTTCCAGATCGTCAAGGAACTAGACTCTTCCCCCACTCAATATTACTCTCAGAGGGTGTCTCAGTCTGTTTTCTGCTGCTTTAATAGAATACCACAGACTGGGTAATTAATAAGTTTATTTATCGTGGTTCTGGAGGCTGGGAAGTTCAAGAGCATGGCTTCAGCATCTGCCAAGAACCTTTGTGCTGCATGATCACATGGCGGGAGGGCAAAGAAGCACATGAGACAGAGAAAAATGGGGGCTGAGTTTCATCCTTTGATCAGGAGCCCACTCCACAATAACTAACAAGATAACAGGATTAATCAATTCAGGATCAATCAATTCAGAATTAAGCAATTCAGGATTAATCAATTCATGAAGGCACAGCCCTCATGACCTAATCTCCTCTTAAAGGGCCCCACATCTTAATATTGTCACAATTACAATTAAATTTTGGCATAAGGCCAGGCATGGTGGCTCATACCTATAATCCCAGCACTTTGGGAGGCTGAGGCAGGAGGATGACTTCAAGCTGGGAGTTGGAGACCAGCCTGAGTAACACAGCAAGGCCCTGTCTCTACAAAAAAAAATTAAAATAAAAATTAGAAACATTAACCAGGCTATTTTTTTACAGTAGCTGCAGTCCCAGCTACTCTGGAGGCTGAGGCAAGAGGATCGTTTGACCCCAGGAAGTTGAGGCTGCAGTGAGCTATGATCGCACCACTGCACTCCAGACTGGATGACAGAGCATAGATCTTGTCTCAAAAAATCAATAAGCAAAATAAACAGATTTCAACATGAGTTTCAGAGGGGACAACCACAGCAGAGACGTTTTGCCCAGCCGTTTTCACAATGTGCCTGCTTCCCCAGTGCAAATCTCAAAGTCTTGCATGACCCTCTTTTTTACTTGCCTGTTCGTTGTCTGTGTCTTGCTACAGGCATGGAAACCCCGGGGAGGGCGGCTTGTGCCACCCTGTTTCCCCATCTCCCCACAGCACAGCACCTGGCATGCAAGAGGCCCACAGGAAATATCTGTGGCATCGACCCGTGAGCTCAGAGGAGAAGCACCTGGCCTGGAGGGGACAGGTGAGCGGGGTCGGATCTGCCAAGTGCAGGCCCCTGAGGCAAGAGCCAGAGGGAGGCGGAGGGAGGGCTTTCAGGGAATTGCAAGTGGACAGCATGTCTGGAGGACACTGTTGTGGCTTTGAAAGAACAGGGACCTTGAAATGGTCATCGTAACCCAGGGTAGACTGATGAGGGATTTTCGGAGGCTGGGCTTTTATGCCCAAGAAAATAAGGAGGTGTTTTAAGCAAGGGAGTGACATGATCTGATTTGCCCTCTGGAAATATCACTGTGGCAGGGAGAGAGAAAGGAATGGAGGGGCAAGAATGGGAAGGGAAGGGGAACATGGCGAAGGGCTGTGCTCTTTAGAGCTTCCAGAAAAGAACAGGGGCTGAGATGCAGACTAAGACGACCCCTTGCTGCTAATTTCCCCTCCACCCTGCACCCCAAGAGCTAAGATTTCTGCCAGTCCTGGGGGAAGTCCTTCGAGGAGGGGGACAGGAAAAGCAGGAGACCAGACTGCCACAACAGGCAGGGGGCAGGCGCTGGCAGGCAGCACAGATGGGTTTCTGGAAGGACACTGGTGCTGGATACAGGGGGCTCCTAACCAAGCTGCCTGTGGGGAACAGAGACTGAGAGGAGCTACAGGGGATAGGATAGAGGCAGAACTCGCATGCTTCCAGTCACTCTCCTCACTCACAGGGGAGCCCAGGGTCAGGGGAGGCCACAGGGCGGTCTCTGAGGACTGACACAAATACAGAATTTCTAGGAAAGAACCACTGAAAGATGAGTGTCCACTGATTTTCCTTTGTCAAAATCCAGTTTGGCAACGAAGCGGCTGCAAAGAGTGCCCCAGCCGGAACCCCCAGTATCCATGCCCAGTTCCCACCCTGGGGCACCCAGGTACGACTGGGGCTGGCGGATGCACAGGAACCCCCTCCTCCCCCTCCCACACTGGTGGCCAGGACCGGCCTTGTCCCCGACTCAGCTGCTGATGTGGGAACTCTCCTGGGACCCGGAGCAAGGGGCACGCTTTGAATCTTTACATGCCACAAGGAAGAAAATCAATTTCAATGCCCAAAGGAGGGAATTACTGCAGCAGAAGGTCACCAACCACTACAAGTTGTAGTATTGTCTTGGAGACTTGGACGGGGGGAAAATGCCTCCAAGTGAGGTAAGAGTGCTCTGAGGTCTGAAGCAAACCCTTCTCCCCAGGAATAATATGAGATGGTCCTGGGAGGGGGACAAGACCACACAAAGGAAGAAATTTCTTTGTGTATGTACAACTGGGGTGAGATTCTGAATTCTGGTTCTGGCCACTTAGGCAAGGCCTCAACTGTAGCTGCAGAGCTCTGACTCATGTTAAGTCTTGGAGGAATGGCTGATATTTTAACAGTATTGTCACAGTAGCAGCCACACCAGTGGCAATGGCCACTCCACTTAGGCATGGCAGACACATTCCACAGCCCAGCCTCCAGGCCCTAGAGCTCCCCAGTTAATGCCAGGTTCCCTAAGCACTGATGCAAGGATGCTAGATGTTGGATATTTATTTATGTTCCATCTGGCTCCCAAGATGAAACATAAATTAAAGCGCTGGCTCACACTTGTAATCTCAGCCCTTTGGGAGGCTGAGGCAGGAGGATGGCTTTAGGCCAGGAGTTAGAGAGCAACCTGGCCAAAAAAAATGAGAACTTTAGATGTCACTTATTCCATCTCTGCTCCATTACAGCAAAGATGGAAAGACCCTACCCATGCCCAGGTACCTTGTCTTTCCTTGGGGCCAGTGCAGCGGAGCCCAGTCAAAGCAAAGGTCAAATGACAGGTCCATTAGGCTGGACATTTACAATCCCATTTCTGGGTGTATAGACTATAAGGCAGCTGGGACCCACCTTCTTATCCAGGCAATGCAAAGATGAGCAGAGGGTCACTCAATGTCCTGGGATTCAAGAGAAAAAAGATGTTGCAGGTTCAGGGAAGCCGCTACTTCCTGGACTTTCTGCATTAAGTCCAAAGCCCTTATGGATGGTAAAAGGCAGTGCCTCAGCCTTGTTTCCAGATCTTCAAAGTTAGAGAAACCCGTGGCGTGAACTGTATTGGCCCCAGCCAAAGGGCCATGAAAGCAACAGTGTTTCTGGAATGAAAACACCTCCATCTTGAGAAAGTGGGGGCCGAGGCAGGCAAGCAGAGAGCAGGGTGCGTGGGAGACATTCTCAGTGGCTGTCCTGTTCATGACACCTTTCACCAGAGGCTTTAGAGGGGCAACATCTGTGTGCCAGTGCCCCTCTTTACAGAGGTTCCAGCTGGTGACCGAAATAGCCAGGAGGGTGCTATGGAGGGGCCAGGCAGGAAGTGGGGAAGAGCGGTTCCACGCAGCAACTGCCTGGAAACCACACCCTAGTGCTGCTCACAGGCTGAGGAGAATTAAAATAAAATTAAAAGCTGGTGAAATGACACCAAATGCGCAATCCATAAAAAAAAGGAATGATAAATTGGGCTCCATCAAAATTAAAAACTTCTGCTCTGCAAAAGACACTGTTAAAAGACAAGCCACAAACGGGAAGAAAGTATTTGCAGAGCCATGTTTGACAAAGGACTTGAATCCAGATTCCATAAAGAACTCCCAAAACTCAATAATAAGAAAACAAACAACCCTATAAAAACAGGCGAAACTTTTTAAAGACACTTAACCAAAGAAGATAGAGAAATAGCAAATAAGTACATTTAAAAGGTGTTCAATGTCATTAGTCATTAGGAAAATGCAAATTAAAACCACGATGAGATCCACTACACAGTTGTTAGATGAGCTTAAAAAATTTGTTCAAGTGACAATACCAAGTGCTGCTAAATGTGGGAAGCCTCTGGAAATCTCATACATCATTGGTTCAAAATTAGTACAACCATTTGGGGCAACAGTTTGGCAGTTTTTTACAAATTATAACCCCCAGCAGGGCGTGGTGGTACACCCCTGTAGTCCCAGCTACTCAGGAGGCTGAGATGGGAGGATTGAGCCAGGGAGGCCGGGCGGCAGTGACCTGAGATTGTGCCACTGCGCTCCAGCCTGGGAGACAGAGCGATACCTTGTCTCAAAAAAAAAAAAAAAAAAAAGATAGCCCTAGAGAAATGAAAATGTATGTTCTCACAGAAACCAGAATCCAAATGTTTGTAGTGTATTTACTCATAATCACCCAAAAAGTACAAACAACCTAAATGTCATTGAACTAGTGAACAAAAAAACAAACTGTAAAGCATTCATATAATGGAATACTGCTCAGCCATAAAAAGGAATGAGCTACTGATATACATAACACCATGCATGCATCTGAAATGTGTCATGCCAATGAAAGAGTCAGACACAAAAGAATACATACTGTATGATTCCGTTTCTGTGACATTCTCAGAAAGGCTAAAACTGTAAGATTAGAAGGCACTTCAAGGCCAAGCATGGAGGCTCATGCTTGTAATCCCAGCACTTTGGGAGGCTGAGGCAGGAGGATTGTTTTAGGCCGGGAGTTAGAGAGCAGCCTGGGCAACAAAACAAGACTTCATCTCTACAAAAAAAAAAAAAAAAATTTAATTAGTTGGCCGTGGTGGCATGCAGCTGTAGTTCTGGCTTCTTTGGAGACTGAGGCAGGAGAATCGCTTGGGCCCGAGAGTTCAAGGTTACAGTGGTTACAGTGAGCCATGATCATGTCACTGCACTCCAGCCTGGGCAACAGAACAGGACCCTGGCTCAAAAGAAAAAGGAAAGGAAAGGAAAGGAGAGAGGGAGGAAGGGAAGGAAGGAAGGAAGGAAAGAAGGAAGGAAGGAAGGAAGGGAGGGAGGGAGGAAGGGGGAGGGAGGGAGGGAGTAGGGAAGGAAGGAGAGAAAGAAAAAGAAAGAAAGAAAGGGAAAAGAAAAGGAGGAGGAAGGAAGGAAGGAGGAAGGGAGGGAAGGAGGAAGGGAGGGAGAGAGGGGAAAGAAAGAAAGAAAAAAAAAAGAAAAGAAAGAAAGAAGAAAGAAAGAAAGAAGGAGAGAAAGAGAGAAAGAGAGAGAGAGAGAGGGAGAGAGAGAGAAAGAAAGACAGAAAGAAAGACAGAAGCCAGGTATGGTGGCTTATGCCTGTAATCCCAGCACTTTGGGAGGCCTAGGCAGGTGGATCACAAGGTCAGGAGTTCGAGATCAGCCTGACCAACATGGTGAAACCCCATCTCTACTGAAAATACAAAAATTAGCTGAGCGTGGTGGTGCGCACCTGTAATCCCAGCTACTTGGGAGGCTGGGTCAGGAGAATCGCTTGAACCTAGGAGGCAGAGGTTGCAGTGAGCCGAGATCGTGACATTGCACTCCAGCCTGGGTGACAGAGTAAGACTTCATCTCAAAAAAAAAAAAAAAGAAAAAAAACGAAGTAAGGAAGGAGAGAGAGAGAGACAGAAAGAAAGGAAGAAAGAAAGAAAGAAAGAAAGAAAGAAAGAAAGAAAGAAAGAAAGAAAGAAAGAAAGAGAAAAGAAAGGAAGGAAAGGAGAGCGGGGGAGGGAGGGAAGGAAGGAAGGGAGGAGGGAGGGAAGGAAGGGGGGAGGGAAGGAAGGAAGGAGGAAGGAATGAAGGGAGAAAGAAAGCATCCGCAGTTGCCAGATTTTTTTGTTTGTTTGTTTGTTTGTTTTGGTTTGGTTTGGTTAGGTTTGGTTTTTGAGACCGAGTTTCACTCTTGTTGCCCAGGCTGGAGTGCAATGGCATGATCTTGGCTCACTACAACTTCCACCTCCCGAGTTCAAGCGATTCTCCTGCCTCAGCCTCCCAAGTAGCTGGGATTACAGGCACCTGCCACAATGCCTGGCTAATTTTTTGTATTTTTAGTAGAGACGGGGTTTCACCATGTTGGGCAGGCTGGTCTCGAACTCCTGACCTCAGATGATCCACCCGCCTCAGCCTCCAAAAGTGCTGGGATTACAGGTGTGAGCCACTGCCCCCAGCCCTGTTCAGTATCTTAATTGTGGTGGTGATTGTGGGGCCATTTGCTTTTGTCTAAGCTCATAGAACGGTATACCAAACAGACAGACTTTTACCACATTGAATTTTTTAAGTGAATTAATGTATTAAAAGGGCGTTTTTAAAAACTGGTGGCAAGAAACTTCTTCTCAAAATGGATGTGCCCTTTTTCAGCAAACGTGACAAGCAGACCCTGACTGTTCCATTTAAGAGACACAGGTCAAGCACCTGGGAGAAGTCTCTGCTGGCAGCCTAGGCGAATCTAGGCTGAGACCCCCACCAAGTTCTGCCTTCCAGGGACAACTCCAGAGCAAAGTAGGAGCAGAGAAAAATCCCAGCTGGAGCTTGGGGCTTTCATGGAGGAGGCAGGGTTTAAATTGGGTCCTGAGGAGTGGGTAGGATCCAGGGCTGTGGACGTGGGGGAGGCGGGAGTACATGCATGCACACACAAGGCTGATTCCGAAATAGGGAGAGGCCAGTGGGCAGCCGTGTAAGAGGACAGACCACACATGCTGACGGGAAACTGCAAGGGTCTGGTCGGCACAGCCCCCGAGAATCCTGTGGTGACTCATTTGGGAGCCAGATGGAACATAAATAAATATCCAACATCTAGCCTACTTAGATCAACGAGTACAAGAGGCGTAGGGAAGGCCTTTTTACCAAATGCTGTGAATAGCCCATCAGAAAGAAAAACATCAAGGAGAGGACGCAATGACCCCGTCAGCTGACACTGATGGTGTGTCTACCATGTGCTCTTTGCAAACCCTGGATATATAATGACACATCTAATCCACCCACAAGTCCATAAGGGACTTTCATTACCCTCATTCTGCAAGTGAGAAAATAGAGGCACAGAGAGATTGTGTTACATGTCCAGGATCACATGGAGGGTATGTAGGATTCAAATCCAGGCATTCCAACTCTGAGCACACCCTCTAAACTATATGCTGAGCTACTGCTTGGGTCCAAGTAATTATGACTGCAGAGAGAGCCCAAGGTATACTTTTCCAATTTTTTTTTTATTTGAGACAGAGTTCTGCTCTTGTTGCCCAGGTTGGAGTGCAATCGTGCAATCTCGGCTCACTGCAACCCCCGCCTCCCAGGTTCAAGCGATTCTCCTGCCTCAGCCTCCTAAGTAGTTGGAATTACAGGCACCCGCCACCTCGCCCTGCTAATTTTTGTACTTTTAGTAGAGACAGGTTTTTACCACGTTGGCCAGCCTGGTCTCAAACTCCTGACCTCAGGTGATCCGCCCGCCTTGGCCTCCCAAAGTGCTGGGATTACAGGCTTAAGCCACTGAGCCTGGTCATTTTTTTTTCTTCACCCATGTGTCAGCATTATGCCACCGGCCCACCACAGCCTCCCGGTGTTTCTCCAGTTGCAATTCACACCTGTGCAGCCTTGTTCAGCAGGCATGTGTGCACACAGGTACACAAGAGCACACATGCCCCAAGGGCATCCTTTGCCCCCAAGGAAGCCAAGGGACTCCACTGAGTTAAATGACACAGAAGAATCACAACAGACTGGATCTTAAAAGTAATAAGCCTTTTCCAAAAGAGGCCAGGCTTTACAAGCAGCAGTGGGAGCCAAATGACGTCTAAGCAGAACAGCCAATAAATTAATTTCATGTGGAAAAAAAACAGGTTGGCCCAGGGATAATAAAGATCCCGTCAACATGAAGATCTCATTACGACACAGACTTCCCTGGCAAGGGTCGAGTCTGCTGAAGCTGTTTTGGATTCAAGCTTCACCAGGGTCCCCTGTGCCTAACAAAGATTCCACACCAAATGCAGAAAAGATGGACCTGTCTAGACATCCCCTCACATAAACCCCACAGCATCCTCGTCAGCTACACAGAAGTGGAACCGTGTAAAGTTTCCCTTACCATGGCTGCCAGCAGCCAGGACAACTGGGGGGAAAAGGCAAACACAGCTGTTGACTCAGGAATAGCATTCAGGCTTTAGGTAGGAATTGTTATTGAACTTCTAGAAGATTCTGAGGACTTGGTGGAAATGAAAGGGGAAATTTTTTTTGTAGAGCCAGCAATCCCCTTGGAGAAGTAGAGGCACATCAGTGACTCATGGATGAAATTGCAGACTATTCCAAATCACAATTTGCAGTCATTCAGCCAGAGCTGAGCTCGAGTCTCTCTTTGGCATGGCTGGAAAACAAAAGGGCTCAGTCAGATCATGGTTAACGTAAAGACAGAAAGGGGATGGAGATCAAACTAATCTCATTCATAAAAATAATATCCATTCAGTGTTCATGAACATCTACTCAGCACCTCCGGGGAGGCACTTGCTAGGAGCTGGTGCACAGTAGTGGGTGTAGTAGGTGTGTGACCTCATGAAGCTTCCACTGCAGAACCCAGACATTGCACACAAGGAAACAGCGCTGACTCCAGACTGTGGCTGCACGCTGCCCACTTCCACTGTGCTCCTGCACTGCTCTCGTGGGCTGACGGCCACAGGCTTCAGCTGCCTGTGGATCACAGCCCAAGGCCTTTTCACTTGCTGCTCTCTGCCTCCCTCAGAAAGGCTGCTTGTTCTCATATGTGCGTTCTCGGCTCCTCTGCAGGGACCCACCCCAACCAACTGTGAATTCCCACCCTCCCTTTCCTCCCCCACCCGCTGACACTATTTACCCCATGTATTTTCTTCATATAACATAGTAAGGTCTCGTGCACTTATTTTTCCTATCTGTCTCTTGAGCTAGATTGTCAGCAGCTGGTGGGCAGGAACTTTATCTGTCTTGCAAACCAATATCTGCCTGGTGAACACAGGGTGCCCGGCACATGGTCGGCATCCAGAAGATTTTTTTTAAACTATGAATGAAAAACAAAGGTCATTATGAGATATCCCATGAGGTATGGGGCTAATAAGCTTATGAGGTATCCCATGAGATAGGGGCTAAATAGGTTATGAGATAGCTCATGAGATAGGAACCAATAAGGTTATGAGCTAACCCATGAGGTAGGGGCCAAGAAAGTCGGGAGACAGCCCATGAGATAGGGTCTAATAAGGTTATGAGATAGCCCATGAGATAGGGGCTAAATAGGTTCTGAGACAGCCCATAAGGTAGAGACCAATAAGGTTAAGAGACAGCCCATGGGGTAGGGACTAATAAGGATATGAGATAGCCCATGAGATAGGGTCTAAATAGATTATAAGATATCCCATGAGATAGGAACCAATAAGGTTATAAGCTAACCCATGAGGTAGGGGCCAAGAAAGTTGTGAGACAGCCCATGAGACAGGGTCTAATAAGGTTATGAGATAGCCCATGAGATAAGGGCTAAATAGGTTATGAGATACCCCATGAGGTAGGAACCAATAAGGTTATGAGATAGCCCATGAGATAGGGGCTAAATAGGTTATGAGATAGCCCATGAGGTAGGGGCCAAGACAATTGTGAGATAGCCCAAGAGACAGAGTCTAATAAGGTTATGAGATAGCCCATGAGATAGGGGCTAAATAGGTTATAAGATAACCCATGAGGTAGGGACCAATAAGGTTATGAGCTAGCCCATGGGGTAGGGGCTAATAAAGTTATAAGACAGCCCATGAGATAGGGGCTAAATAGATTATGAGATACCTCATGAGGTAGGGGCCAATAAGGTTATGAGAAAGCCCAGTAGGTAGGGCCCAATAAGGTTATAGATAGGGGCTAATAGAGTTACGAGATAGCCCATGAGTTAGGGGCTAATAAGGTTATGAGATAGCCCATGAGAGAGGGAGGCCTGATCTAAATGTGTGGCTGGGGAGGCCCTCCCTGAGTGGTGACATTTATGCCAAGATGAGAAGGAGAATGGGGCTCACCAGGTGCATGTTGAATAAGCTCTCTAGGCAAAGGAGAAAGCACATTCAAAGCTTCCAAGGCTGGAAAAGCCTTGTGCTGTGGGAATTTACGGAAAGACATCAGGGCTAAAATAGGATATGTGGCCAGAGAGGACAGCAGGGACATGTGAAGGGGTCCTAAGCCTATTACAGATGTAGCAGGAAGTCCCTGAGGACTTGAAGCAGATGCAGGTCATCGTCCAGTTTATATTTGTAAGGATCTTCTGGGCCAGACACAGTGGCTCTCATCTATAACCCCAGCACTCTGGGAGGCCGAGGTGGGCAGAATGCTTGAGGCCAGGAGTTCAATACCAGACTGGGCTACATAATGAGACCCCATCTCTCCAAAAAAGTATATAAAAATTAGCTAGAGATGGTGGTATACACCTGTGGTCCAAGCTACTCAGAAGGCTGAGGTGAGAGGATGGCTTGAGCCCAGGAGACTGAGGCTACAGTGAGCTGTGATCACACCACTGCATTTCAGCCTGGGAGACAGAGTGAGAACATTTCTCAAAAAAAAAAAAAAATCATTCTGGCTATTTGGTAGAGAACAGATTATAAGGGGACAAGAGTAGAGGCAAGAAGACAAAAATTAGAAACTGCAGCATTATGCAAGTGAGAAATAATTGGGGCGGGGTGTTAGCGAGATGAAGGGTGAAAATGGAGGGAAGTGCATGCATGAGGGTGTCTCCTAAAGTTGGCCTTGCAGGCTAGATGAGCTAACAAGGGTTAGGAACTACAACCAAAGGCCAGGCTCATGCCTGTAATCCCCACACTTTGGGAGGCTGAAGCCAGTGGATCACTTGAGGTCAGGAGTTCAAGACCAGCCTGGCCAACATGGTGAAATCCCGACTCTACAGAAAATACAAACTATAACTGGGCATGGTGGTGCGTGCCAGTAGTCCCAGCTACTTGGGGGGCTGAAGCAGGAAAATTGCTTGAACCCGGGAGGCAGAGGTTGCAGTGAGCCAAGATCATGCCACTGCACTCCAGCCTGGGCAACAGAGAGAGACGCCATCTCAAAAAAAAAAAAAAAAAAAAAAAACAAAAACAAAAAAAAAAAAAACAGGACAGCAACGGGGGATTGTTTCAATGATATAATTTACAAATCATATATCTATCTGATAAGGGTCTTGTATCCAGAATATAGAAATAACTCTTACAACTCAACAATAAAAAGACAAAAAACCCAATTTTAAAATGAGCAAAGGATGCAAATAGACATTTCTCCAAGAAGTTATACAAATGGCCAACAAGCAAATAAAAAACGTCCAATGACTGGTCATGAGGGAAATGCAAAGCAAAATCATAATGATGCCCATGGGATGGCAATCAGCAAAAAATGTAAACAGAAAATAACACGTGTCAGTGGGGATGTGGAGAGGAACCCTCATTCATTGCTGGTGGGCAGGTAAAATGGCACAGCCACAGTGGCAAAAGTTAAACATAGAATTACTTTGTGACTCCGCAAATTCAGTCCTAGGTATATGTCCCAAAGAACTGAAAACAGGTACTCAGACAAATACATGTACACCCCTGATACCACAGCACTTTCACAATAACTGAGAGATGGATGTACCCCAGGGCTCTATCAATATTAGATTAACGGATAGGTACACTGTGTTATATATTACCTATAATACATAGGTAATATATGTATCATAAGTAATATATTATACATATAATACATATATTATATATACACCTATGTATATATTATATACATATATAATATTACATGCATAAACATATTGTGTAAAATATACATATTATATATTACATACATATATGTATATTTATACATATATATGTATACATTATGTTTGTGTACACATATATGTATATATTATATGTGTATATTATATATTATACATAATATATGTATTATTGATATATAACATTATATAACATGTTATATATAATATTTTTTATTTGTATAAAATATAATATGTAGGGTCTAATAAGTTTATGAGATGTTATATATGTTATATATAACATACATAACATGTTATATGTTATATATAATGTTACATGTTATATATAATGTTATATATCTATAACACATATATACATATATAACATTATATATAAAATGTCATATGTTATATATATCTGTAATACACATATAACATAAAATATACAAATAGTATATCTGCATTATATATTATATACATATATACATATATGATATTATATGTCATATTTATTTCATTTTTATATTTTTATTATACTCTATTTGTATATTGTAAATATATATTATACTTATATTTATTTTTATTGTTATATTATTTATTGTATTTATATATTATATACATATGTATATTATATATGTATATAAAATATATATAACACAATTTACTTTTCCATATATGTATGTTATAATATAGTGGTCCCCAGCTTTTTCAGCACCAGGGACCTGTTTCATGGAAGACAGCTTTTCCATGGACACTGAAGGTGGAGGCGGATGGTTTGGGGATGAAACTGTGCCAACCCTGATCATCAGACACTAGTTAGATGCTGATAAAGAACATGAGACCTAGATCCCTCGCGGGCTCAGTTCACAATAGCGTTAGCGCTCCTATGATAATCTAATGCTGCTGCTGATCTAACAGGAGGCTGAGCTCAGGCGGTAGTGCTTGCTCACCCACCGCTTACTTCCTGTTGTGGGGCCGGTTCTTAACAGGCCATGGTGCTGGTCCATGGCCCCGGGGCTTGGGGACTCCAATATAATTGTGTTATATTTTTCAGCCATAAAAAAATGAAGTACTGATACATGGTACAGCTTCAATAACATTATGTTCAATGAAAGAAGTCAGACATAAAGGTCACATATTGTCATTCCGTTCATATGAGATATCTGGAATAGGTAAATCCACAGAGACAGAACTCAGATTGGCAGTTGCCAGGGGCTTGCTGGAGGGGGAAATGGGGAGTGGCTGCTTAATGAACGTGGGCTTTTATTTTGGTGTGTGGGAATGTTTTGGAGCTACATGGAGGTGATGGTCGTACAACTCTGTAAATGTACTACATGACACCGAATTGTTCATTTTAAAATGGTTCATTTTATGCTATGTGAAATATACCTCAATCAATTCATTTAAAAAAAAAAAAGAATAACAGCCAGGTTTGGGGATTGAACAATAGGGTAGAAACAAGTGCCATCCTTGGAGGTGGGGAAGGCTGAGGGAAGGTATGTTTGGGGGAAGCTGAAGAGTTTCAGTGTTGGACATGTGACATTGGGATGCCCTTAGGTATGAAAGGAGTTCCCAGGGAAGTAGTTGGATTTGGAATCTCAGAGCTCAGATAGGAGATCTTAGCTGTAGATAAGATATTTACAACTGCTTATATATAAAAGCATTTTCGAAGCAAGGAGAGGAATGAGAACAAGCGAGACAGTAGTGTAAAAGAAAATCCAATATTAAGTTCCAGAGAAAGTCACATGAAGACCAACCAGCAAGTGAGGCTCTAAAAGACAGAGGTGTAGAGGAACCTTGTGGGAAGACAGTGGTGCAGGTATCATGGCAGTGAGGAGGAGAGAGTGCTTTAAAGAAGAGAGGTCAGCTGTGTGTGCTGATGCAGAGAGACAGAGACTAGAAGATAACAGCTCCAAGTGTCCATATGTGACAACATGGAGGTCCCAGGGGCTGAGAATGGCAACAAGGAACAGAAGCCAGCCTCTACCAGCTAACAAAAGAGAGTGGGACATGGGTTCATATCTTTGCAGGGAAATGGACAAAGCTGGAAGCCATCATCCTCAGCAAACTAACGCAGGAACAAAAACCCAGACATTGCATGTTCTTACTCATAAGTGGGAACTGAACAATGAGAACACGTGGACACAGAGAGGGGAACATCACACACTGGGGACTGTTGGGGGGTGGGGGGCAAGAGGACGGAAAGCATTAGGACAAATACCTAATGCATGCGGGGCTTAAAACCTAGATGACGGGTTGACAGGTGCAGCAAACCACTATGGTACATGTATACCTATGTAACAAACTTGCATGTTCTGCGCATTTATCCCAGAACTTAAAGTAAAATTTAAAAAAAAGAAAAAGTTTTCTTTAAAAGAGGGCGGGAAGTAAAAGTATGAAGAAAGCACGGCAGACAATTCTCTTGTAAGCTTTGGTAAGCTTCCACTCCTTTTTAGGGAATTTAAAAAATAAGAAAATGATTGGGGGAAGACGTGAGGTCAAAAATGTCCCAGTTAAAAGATGGGAGATATTAAACTTATTTAGAAACTAGGCCGGGTGTGGTGGCTCACGCCTGTAATCCCAGCAATTTGGGAGGCCGAGGTGGGAGGATCACCTGAGGTCAAGAGTTCGAGACCAACCTGGCCAGCATGGTAAAAACCCTGTCTCTAATAAAAACACAAAATTAGCCGGGAGTGGTGGCATGCACCTGTAACTCCAGTTACTTGGGAGACTGAGACAGGAGAATCACTTGAACCAGGGAGGCGGAGGTTGCAGTGAGCCAAGATCGCGCCATTGCACTCCAACCTGGGCAAAAAGAGTGAAACTCCATCTCAAAAAAAAAAAAAAGGGAAAGAAAAAGAAAGAAAGAAACTAATCTGGACCATGGAGCTGGGAAATGCAGGAGAGGGGAGCTAAGTGAATGTGAACAGAGTCCTTGAGACGTTTTGAGGGGAGGGAGCCAGGGAACTACAGGGAGGGGAAGAAAAGAGACAGGAAGGGTTACCCGAGCAGGGAGCTTTCTAGAGGACTGGAGGGAGGAAGGTGAAGGCATTTGTGACCTGTGGCTTTCATCTCTTCAATGAAGGACAAAACAAGGTCACCCGCTTGTGTAGGCCAGTGTAGCCCAGGTGGTTTGAGGAGGGCGGACAAGACATGAGCCGGAAATGAAGAGAGCCGGCAAGCGTGATGGCGACAGAAACAGCTGCATTCTATTGGCGACTTTCTTTTGATATGTCCTCTATCATAGGTGATCTCCACCATAACCCCAGAAAGTGGAAGGAGAAAGGAGGCAGCTCTGGGGGGTGGGGAGGACAGAAGACCACACCCTTCACTTCCTTCAAGTCTTTGTTCAAATGCCACTTTTTCAATGAAGTTCATGTTGACCACTCAATTTTAATTTGCACACCATCACACTGCACTCTAGCTCCTAGTCCCTCCCACCCTGCCTCTTTTAAATAGCACTTACACCTTCCAATATGCTGTGTAATTTATCATTTAGCTTGCTGATGTATCCCAAGTGCTTGAACATGGTAGGTACTCAATAAATAGCTGCTGAAGAATGAATAAATGGACAAATGAATGAAGTAGCTTCTTTAAGTTCTCTGAGAGCTTCTATCTTTGTTACTTTTATCTGGTGGGTGTCAGTCTAATCATGAAGGAGGTCCCAAAACTCTTTCTGACCACACAGCCCTATCAGTGTAAAATTTGGCCATGTCCCCCCAAAATTTGGCCATGGGTATTTATTCATACACAAATAATTTGGTCATATTTTATTTGGTTAATTACATATGTTGTTACTGTATAATAATACATCACGTGTATTTTTACCTGAAAGTTTTTTAATTGAACATAAAGTAAAAATAACTAATAGATTGTTTTTCTTTGTATACCAAAGTGGAGCAGCTTCTTGTAGACATAAGACACTACCCTAAATAATAACTGAGTATGTATGATGTGATAAGCACATTCACATATGACAGCACAATAGCCGCCCCCCACCCCTCCACCACCCATATCTTTACTAGGTCTATTTGTATTCCCACTTAGTGGCTGAGAAAACCGAGGCTTACATAAATGAAATAACTTGGTCTGTGTCCCAGTTAGTAAGTGGCAGAGCCAGAATTAAAAACTTAGGGGTGTCTGACCCCAAAACTCATGTGCTTCAGATGTGGGACAGAGACTCCACCCTTGAGTCAATTATAGTTAAAGGGAGAAAAAGTGAGAATAAACTCACCATCTCACCCTTGTGGACACACCCTGCAATGCGTCCCCAAGCTCCGCATTCTGGAACAAGCCATTTGTCCAGTCCAGAGACTACATTAATACCCTGCAGAACCAGGGGCGCTTACATGGGTCCTCCGTGCCCATGGAGGCACCAGAACCTAAAAATGTTCAAGAAATGGACAGCAGAAGATATCAAAATAACAATGAATTGTGCCAAACTCATCTATTTCCAAGGTGACCTTATGTCCCAGTTTGACAGGGACAGCCCCCATTTAATTATCAATACACACCCTTTCACTCTCAAAATTATCACTCCCAAAAATGTCCCAGTTTGGATGATAAATTATATGGCCACCCCATCTACACCCTGGCTCAGCGCACACCAGTCTGAGCCCAAGGGCCGCTCTGATTAGAACTGAAAATGCAGTGATTTCTCATATCCAGGGACACTTCTCACCATTGCCCCCAGAGGTCAAAGCAGCAGGTTCCCCATTAGCAGTGGCTGACCCCAAGCAACCTGCATGGAATTCACACCCGGAGCCCTGGACCATCTGGGCCACCCAGACTCCTTTTCCATAAATCACCCCACGTCGGCCACCCAGCCTGGCCGCCAGCTTCACTCGGGTCTCACCTCAATAGAGAAACATCATCACTGACATTAACGGAAGGTTTGCCAGGGGCTCCACTGCTCAGGTGATCAGGGGCTTGTGTTCATCAGACTCGCTTGACAAAGAACTGGGCAGCCAGACACCTGCTTTGGAGTCCTATGGCTGCCACCACACCTTGGAGAGGATAAGGAAAACAGGGCATCCAGGCAGCCAGAATTGGGACCACTCAGGACAGAACCCCAAGGCACGTGGAGCTGCCCTGGCAATTGTCAGGGGTCTCCAGCGTCCCTCCTGATGCTCCTCCCCAGCCCATGTGGTCCTCACAGGCCAGCCCTCCCCTCCCCTTGCCTGAGCAACAAAGCCCAGGCAACAAGAGATATCTCCTGGAAGATAGCTTGACCATCTTGCTCCTGGGTAAGGAATAGGTGCTAGAATTTCACCCAGGTGGGCCAGACAGACCACCTGGTCCACAGCAAGCCACTCCAGCCCACACTGGCCACAGCTGAAAATCACTCACTATCAGAAACATCCCCTGAGTCGCTTGTGTAAATTACCAGCCCTAAGAAACTCAAGGTCAATGTCCCAGGGCTTCTTATTTTCTCTGCCTCCTGGCTGTGGTCTCTTTCCCTGAGAAAATCTGGGGAGTTGCAGGGCACCTAAAGGGATTTTT
This sequence comes from Homo sapiens, assembly GCF_000001405.40. NCBI lineage: Eukaryota > Metazoa > Chordata > Mammalia > Primates > Hominidae > Homo > Homo sapiens. The sequence continues at coordinate 32,139,861 of NC_000019.10, forward strand.
GTCGCTTTCTCAGTTTGATTTTGTTGGGGGGAAGCCCAGAGGCCCGTGTGATATGCCACCAATCTACCAAAAGTTGACATCCACCTTGAAGCACAAGACCCAAGGGGAAAAAAAAAAAAACTGATCCAAGATCAAACGTTGTAGGGCATGGTAATTTTTGAAGTTCTAAGAAACATTTACATTATTGTATTTTTTAAACCCTGGTCTTTGTTCTTTGGGTTGCTAGTTTCCTCCCCGCCGACCCCCATTCCCACCTGGCAGACTGGAAGGCAAGGGACCCAGGGGGTACCTTGACTCTGCCACTAATTGGTCATGAGGCTGCGGGCAAGGCTGCTCCCTTCCTTGGCCTCAGTTTCTCCAGGCACACTCAGCCTAGGGGTCTGGATCACTCTGTGAGCCTGGCAGGGCCTGCCCAGTGAAGAGCGGGTCTGGCTTCCAGCAGGGGTCTGCCTCCTAGTCCCAGCTGGATTTGACTCGGTGCCCCTGGGAGGGTGAGGATGGAGGCATCTTCTCCAGGCTCCTTAGCAGCACAGAAAAGGCATGCAAACCTTTCCGCTGTGGTCAGAGACAGCGAGCTCACTGCTGGACAGACCCCAGGGACTCCAGAATCAAGACTTCGTAGAATTGGGCTTGATGGTCTTAAAGGGAAATGTCAGGCCCAGATGGGATGCTGAGTTTATCTGCTGGGGTCCCGGCCTCCTGCTCACTGGTTCCTTCCTGTGCCTCCGAGAGAAGATCTCCAATGGCAGCTGCTGTGTCTCCACTGGGCAGCATCAGAGTAAACAGCAGGTTCTGGGTCAGGCACATCCTCCAGGAAAACCACTGGCTTCCCCACTGGCCTTGATGGAGGGACCCTGTGCCCACAGCACTCCCGCCCAGACCAGGCATCTGAAAGACAGGGAACCTGCACTGAACCTGTCCTAGGAGGCAGCTCCCAGGTAGGGAGAGTTTGCCCACAGGCAGAGTGAGGACATGGCAGCCAGGGAGCCTCAGGACACTGGCTTTGGACACCCTAGACTGTGGCATCCTTGAGAGCTGGAATCAGCTCACTCTGCAGCCATCCCTCCAACCCCCAAGTCCCAACACAGAGCTATGGGAATTCCCCTCACTGATTTTTGTTTTCCAAATGCTGTGGCTACCATGTGGGTCCAAAGGGAGCCCCATATCTGTGGTCGGAATTGTCAAAAGCTAGTGATGGCGTGGCTGGATTTTCTCCCAGACTAGGGTGAGAAATAAAAAGAAGGGAAATGGGAAGGTTAGCCATTGGTTCTTCCAAGAGAGGACTTGAGGCTTGCGATTCACCATTTTAAATAAAATAAATCCATTTTATTTCTCAGAAGCAGCCCCTTCATCCTCAGCAGTTCAGTCCAAGGACTAGATGGTGTGCAGGGGTGGAGGGTAAGGGCAGCAGACACCAGATTTGGGGTTCCCAGGAGCGACTGGCCAGCAGCCACTGCCCAGTCCTGGCTGACACTGACTGCAGCGCCAGCCACGCTGGGCACCTCACTCCCCTGAAGCGTGCCCTGGCACAAGCCTCCACAAAGCACTGAGTTGTAAGAGACTCCAGCAGGCATGTACCCCAAGAGATGATGAGAATTCGACTCAGAGAGACTAAGACACCTAAAAAGACTCAACCCCACATTCATTACCAGACACCTTCTGCAAGCATTCATCATTTCTTCTCTCCAGAAGTTTATGGACATGGAAGCAATACATTGAAACCATTTCTTAATGTCAAACAATAATAGCAGGTACTGATCTATCCAATAAGATGGAAAGATTATTTCCATTCAGTTAATTAGAAAACTTTACAACTAACATTCACTGGATGCTAACTATCAGTCAGGCATGTTCTAAGTACTTTTCATGATCATTGCAGATAAAACTCATAACACCCATAGGTAGTAAATTTCACTATCAAGTTCGTTTTGCGAATGAACTTGAGGTTGAGGATCGGGCCCAGAGAGGTTAAGAAACTCGCTCAAGATCACACAGTTCATAAGTGGTAGAAATTTGAACCCAAGATGTCAGATTCAGCCTCTACTTAACGATGCTTTACACAAAGACCAGAGATTGAAAATTGTGTCCAAGCCACATAGCTGCTATGCTGAGAGGTGCAGACTGAGCTGCAGGCTCTCAGGCTTTCAGCCTGATGGATGAGTACAGTATTCACAGTGCATTCTGGACACAGGAGCCCTTGGGAGGTGGTACATCGTGAGGATCCTGCTGTGCTGCAGCCTCAAAGGCAGGATGCGTGCCTGCCAGTCTCAGTCCCTGCAACATTCTCCACCGTTAGATGATTCTGAGGCTTTGTAGAGTCCAGAGTGAGGAGCCCCCAGGACTGACACTGGTGACCACCACCTGAGAAAATGGAGCCCATCCACACTGCCTTCCTTCCTCGCAGGCCAGACCAACCTCTTGTGCAAAACCGGTCTTGTGTCTTTCCCTCCCTCTCTCCTCTCTCTCTCCCTCCCAATCCCTCAACCCAGAACACAGGCTGCATCTACACTCATCCCTCACACCTTCACGGGGACCACAAGACATGAATCACTTCTCTCTGTCAAGGTTATATTTTCTTGTTTTAAAAAGAGCACCTATTCTTCTTATTATTCTGAGGATTAAAAAAAAAGTGGCATCTTTTTTTGGCTGAGAAGGTGGCTGAATTTTTCAATATATTCATGCAAACGAGATATTTCATCTCATGGATTTTATCCCAGTTCTGTCTATGCACATTTTAAATAAATTAAGATGAAATAAATCCATTTTATTATATTACCCAGTGCCATCTCCATGAAATAATGCCCATATTTGTATTTCCTAAGGAATGTTGACGTGGCTAAAAATGTTTCAGCAAGTGTAATCTTTGAGGATTGTACTGCCAGAAAAAAAATAAACCTAGGCCTTTGTTTAGAGCCCGGAGTGGCACCACTTTTGATTGAAATGGCTTGAAATATCCAACCCCAAAACATGGACAAGGCAGTAAAGTACACAGAATTGATCACCCTTGGCTCAGAAACAAAAGTGCTATGCCTTCCTTTGTTTTCTTAACATCTGTTCTCTCCCTCCCAGCATAAACCACCCCACAGAAATAAATTACACAGCCTCCCTTTTTTGGGAGAAGAGAAACGGGGATTTGCAGTGGCCAGACCTGAGGTGCCCAGGGCAGACTAGCCAAACTCTCCTTGCTCCCTGGGTGGCCGCTGCAGAGACTCCAGACTATGTGCTCCTAGCAGGTGCTACTGCTGACCTTGAAAACCCCAGCATCTCCACTTTCCACTTCCCTCAAGAGATGGAAGAAACAACATGAACCCTGGGAGAAGAAGCTCTGTGGCATCTTGTTTTCCTTTAAAAGGCAGGTGGACCAGTGCTGGTGACACCTGCAAAGTTAACACTGCAGCCCACCAGCCATCAAAATCAAGAAGAGCTAAGGAAAGTAGAACCAAGGTGTGGCTTAAATCACTCATTTGCCCCTTTCATGCAGGAGATAAACTAGGCTCACAAAGAATGGATGGAAGTGAATGATAGGCCAATCTGTCAACAAGAGCCAAATCCTGGGGCTGTGGTTTTTGTAGAACCCCAGGTATAAGTTGGGGGTAAAATATATATGTATATATCATGTTGTGGGAGGGCAACTACTGGCTTCAATCTAAAGCCCTGGACCCCTCTCTCCTGCTCACACATCCTCCACATCCCCTTCCCTACCATTCCCTGGCACTTCTCACTCTCCACCTTGAGTTACACTTAACATATGTTGGCTGGATGGACAGACAGACGGACTACTCAATTACACCCAGCCCAGCCCTTTCTAAACAACCACCCAGCTGTTGCAAACAGTGGCAATAACTGCTGGGTCTGTGTACAAACAGCAGGGGACCACCTGGGATGCATGAGCCCTCAAGGCCAAAGCCAGCATCTCCACAAGCCTGAGCATCACAGCTAAGGAACCTGGCTCTTTTTGTGGCTGTGCTTGGAGATATGATTCACATACTTTCTGGCCAAAAATGAGATGCCTCATCATCTGAGATGCTGCGAGGTTCCCCAGCAAGAACTCAACACAAATGTACAACAGCCTCCCGGTAGAATAGCCTATTTCCCATCTCCAGGACGGGCAAGGGCTTTCACTTGCCAGAGAGTCACCAGCAGCTTGGAAAGACACTTCCGACCGTACAGAAAGGGGTTCCCTTTGAATGGCAGAGATTGTATCAGGTGCTAATAGGACGAAGTGACCCCCAGACCCCCTCCTGTGTGCATCCTTAAATGTCCTAATGAGGCGGCAGCCCTCCTTCCATTAAATGTAAGGAGATCCAGACTTCCTTTCCCAGGCCTTCATCAGGGCCAGTTATGGAACACTCATGAGGCCTCGTAGCAAAATCCCCAACCTTCTGCAGCTCGCACAGCCAAGTGCTATTCTAGGCTGGCTCCTCCTCCCTCCACCGCTATTAGTGTCAATTAGGTTCGGCATGACAGGCCACCTTTGACAAAATGCTGGAGCAACAAAGACATAAACAACGCCAAAGCCTTTGGAGTTGATGTATGGTTGCATTTAATAAACATTTGTTTGCATATTTTTTATCATGCTAATGAATATAATTACTTTAATTTATGTCATCAAGCTATGATTCTGTTCTGATCTATACGTCACTTAAATGTGTAGCGTTAGCATTTTGCACACACTGGCAATTTAAGAAGGGAAAAGATTCGCCCCTCCTGTGAGAACTTGGAGCAACATTCCAGAGTTGCGCACGCCCTTGAAAAAGCTAAACCGAGCTCTGCAGCTGGGACCCCCATCCTCGCACCCCTGCAAGGATAGGTACGCCTTCCACGGCCTGACAGACCTTTTCCAAAGAGCACACATTTTTATTTCTCTGTAATCTCCCCAAAAGAGGCCACTGAATACTTGCCCACAGCATAATGCTAAACACAGCCATGAAAAAAAAAGAGTTAAAATCGTATTAATGGGTTTTACTGATTATAAAAGTAAAGCAAGTTTATTTTAGAGAATTTGAGAAAACACAGATCACAGGAAGAGACTAGGTGAAGATGATAAGCTAAACTTCTACTCTCAAAATCCTTTGAAATCAAATATATATATTTATATTAATATATTTTATATAGATAAGAGGATATATAATATATATTTACGTAAATATATATTTCAGCTATATATAAATATACATTTAGGAGAATATATATTATATATGTAAAATATATATTTAGAAGAATATATATGCATATTAGTCTAAACTGCACTAGAATACAGGAAGGGTTATTCTTGGTAGAACAGACTCATGATAAGCAAAACATACATTCAGAAAAGAAGCACAAGAAATGTTACAAGGTGCACCAAGAATGTGCCAAGCTTGGATGGGGCACCCCCGGAGCACCTGCAGTGCACTGGTTGAGCAACTATTGCAGGAGAACTGAGGTGGGTTACCCCTAACCATTGCCTTTCCATGGCCAGCATGTTAAGCAGCGTTATGGACAGGCACTGGCCTGTGGTAGAGACATTGTTTATGAGTACCTGCTCCATAGAGACAGGGCAGTGCCCAGATGATCTGAGCCTTCACTCAGAATGGGCCAGCTCCCTGACCCCTAATACATGAGGGCAAGCTATAGAAAAAGATTAAAAATTAACTGAGTTGGCTAAGACTCCTGTCTCCCACCCAGAGTCACTGTGCAACGCCCATGCCCCAGAGGCACTAGCAAGGGGAGTCATGTCACAGCATGTTGCTCTACACCAATAAGACATCTCCTTCCCCATAAGGCCTTAATTTCTCCCTTCCACTCAGACATACCATGAAGCCACAAGGCCACTGGCAAGGAGATCCTGACATAACAACCATATGGTCCAGGAAGCTCTCTCCATCCCCCACTGGCAAGGGGGGGAACCCATCACACAAGCAGACAGCCTGGGAAGTGCGCTCTGTCTATCAGAGACCCTTCCCCAGTAAGGTTTACCAGATGGCTCAGCCTGGGGAAGCTTCTTCTTCCCATTCAAGCACCAGCAGGGACCAGCGAAAGCCTCAGTCACAGGAGATAAACCAAGCAGACCAAAATAACACCACATAGGCTCTGAAAATTAGACTGTCATTGGAACCATAGCCTTTAAAAGTAGGCCAGGGCCTGCATGCCAAATCTAAACAGGGTGACTGCCTGCTAAAATGAAAGATTTAAATAGGAACCAGAGTCTCCTAAAATAACATCCAAAATGTTAAGGATACAATCGAAAGTCACCCATCGTACCAAGAACCAGCAAAAACACAAGTTGAGTGAAAAAAGACAATTCATAGATGCCAACACTGAGATGAGTCAGATGTTAAAATTAACTGACAAGGGTTTTAAAAGTAAGTATCATAAAAGTGGTTCAACAAGCAATTACATGTTATCTTGCAACAAATGAAATATTTTAAAAATCAGTAAAATTCAGTAAGGAAACATAACTTATTAAAAATAACTAAATTATAGAATTGAAAAATTCCGTAATAGAAATAGAAAACTGCTAGATAGGCTTAATACTGAATGGAGGCAACAGAAAATAAAATTGGTGAACCTGAGAATAGACCATGAAATTCATCCATTCTGAAAAATGTAGAACATAGACTGAAAAAAACAAACAGACCTGTGGATAATAACAAAAGGTGCAACATTGGCATTATTGTAGTCCTAGAGAATGAGAAAAAGAGTGAGGCTGAAAGAGCATTCAAAGAAATAGGCTGAAAACTTCCCAGATTAGTCAAAAGATATAAACCCACAGATTCAAAAAGGTAGCAAACACCAAATAATATAAAATCAAAAAAGTCATGCCAAGACACATCATAATTAAAACTGAAAACTGAAGACAAACAAGAGTCTTGAGAGCAGCTAGAGAAACCTACACATTACCAAAGAAAACACCAAATTGAATGACAGAAGATTTCACACCTGAAACCATGGAGTCCAGAAGGAAGTAGCAGTACATTTCTCAAGTGCTGAAAGAAAAAAAACTGTGAACTGGAAATTCTATACCCAACAAAACTATCCTTTGGGAATGAAGGAGAGGTAAATTCTCAGATGAAGAAAAACTGAAAGAACTTATCACTAGCAGACCTATTCATAAAGTACAGCTGAACAAAGTTCTTCAACTAGAAAGGAAACAATAATAAAAGAGATCTCAGATATTCAGGAAGGAAGAAAGAACTATGGAAAGACTAGAAATGTGAATAAACACAATAGACTCTCCTTCTCCTAATGAGTCTTCTAAATCACATGTGATGATTGAAACAAAAACTATTGACACCATCTGCCATACAAGATGATATTTAAAAGTGGAAATATTTTTTAATTATTTTAATTTTTAATTTTTTTATTTCAATAGGTTTTTGGGGGAACAGGTGGTGTTTGATTACATGAATAAGTTCTTCAGTGGTGATTTCTGAGACTTTGGTGCACCCATCAGCCAAGCAGAGTACACTATACCCGAGGTGTAGTCCGTCACCATCCTCACCCTTTCCCCTGAGTCTCCAAAGTCCAATGTATTATTCTTATACCTTTGCATCCTCATAGCTTAGCCCCCACATATGAGTGAGAACATATAATGTTTAGTTTTCCATTCCTGACTTAGTTCGCTTAGAATAATAGTCTCCAGTTCCATCCAGGTTGCTGCAAATGCCATCATTTTGTTCCTTTTTATGGCTGAGTAGTATTAAATGGCATATACATACCATAGTTTCTTTAACCACTCATTGATTGATGGGCATTTGGGCTGGTTCCCTATTTTTGCAATTGCAAATTGTGCTGCTATAAACGTGTGTGCAAGTATCTTGTTTGTATAATGACTTCCTTTCTTCTGGGTAGATACCTAGTAGTGGGATTGCTAGATCAAATGGTAGATCAACTTTTAGTTCTTTAATGAATCTCCATACTGTTTTCCATAGTGGTTGCACTAGTTTACATTCCAACCAACAGTGCAAAAGTGTTCTCTTTTCACCACATCCATGCCAACATTTAATATTTTATTTTTTTGATTATGGCCATTCTTGCAGGAGTGAGGTGGTATAGCATTGTGGTTTCAATTAGCATTTAAAAGTGGAAATATTTTTTTAAAGGGAGGACCTAAATGTAATTAAAGTTTCCACACTTTACTCAAAGTTGCAAAATGTTATTAGTTGCCATTTTGATATTGTGATATCTGCAGCAACAACTAAGAAAACTACACAAAATTATATACCCCAAAACACTACAAATAATTCAGCATAAAATTCTTAAAAATATTCAAGTAACCTATAGAAAGGCAAGAATGGAGAAATAGAGGAAATAGAAAACAAAATAAAATAAAATGTCAGGCTCAAGACCAAACATATCAATAGTTACCTTAAAGGTAAGTAGCCTAAATATACTAATTAAATGAGATTAGAAGAGTAAATTTAAAAATCACAACCCACCTAGAAGCTGTTTATAAGTAATTCACTTCAAATTCAACAACATAAGTATGTTGAAAATAAAATAGGAAAAGTTATATATCATAAAGACATTAATTTCTAAGACGAAAAAATGCTTATATTAATAGCCAAAAGAGTGAACTTCAGACCAAGAAAAATTACTGTAGACAGAAAGACATTACACAATTGACAAAAGTGCCAATCCACCAGGAAGACAAAACAATCATAGATGGGTACACACCAAATAACAAAGGTTCAAACATATGAAACAAAAAATGACAGAGCTAGCTGGGCATAGTGGCTCACACCTGTAATCCTAGCACTTTGGGAGGCCAAGGCAGGTGGATCCCCTGAGGTCAGGAGTTCAAGACCAGCTTGGCCAACATGGTGAAACTCCATCTCTACTAAAAATGCAAAAATTAGCTGGGCATGGTGGCATGCTCCTGTAGTCTCAGCTACTCAGGAGGCTGAGGCAGGAGAATCTCTTGAACCCAGGAGGCAGAGGTTGCAGTGAGCTAAGATCATGCCACTACACTCCAGCCTGGGTGACAGAGAGAGACCCCATCTCAAGAAAAAAAAAAATAGAGCTTAAAAGAGAAATAGATAAATCCATAATTATAATTGGGGACTTGAGACCCTCAGCATCTGACAGAACTACTGAACAGAAAATCAGCAAGGATAGAAATGATTTGCAAAATACAACCAACCACCAGGATCTCATTGGCATATATTTAATACTCCACCAAAACAACAGAAGAATATACATTTTTTTCCAAGGGCCTATAGAAAATTCACCAAAATAAACCAAATTGTGAGCCATAAAATAAACCCCAACAAATATAAAAGAATTTAAATTATCCAAAGTATGCCTTCTGACTACAGCAAAATCAAACTAGAAATCAGAAAAGGAAGAGAAAAGGAAGATGAAAGAAAGACAACAAGAAAATGTCTAAGCACTTGGAAATTAAATAACATACTTCCAAGTAATTCATCGGTCAATGAGGAAGCCTCAAAGGACACGGAAATTTTAAAAGATAGAACTGAATACAAACAAAAATACAACATATAAAAATAAATGGGATGCAGCTAAAGCAGTCCTTAGGGAAAATTTATAGCACTAGATTCACACATTAAAACAGAGGAAATGTCTCAAATCAATAATCTGAGCAAAATAAACCCCCAAAAAGCAGAGGAAGGAAATAATAAATATCAGAGCAGACATCAATGAAAATGAAAATGGGAAAACATACTTAATGACAAAAGACTGAGTACTTTCCCTCTAGGGGCAGAATTAAGGCAAGGTTGTTGCCTGTACCACCTTTACTGAGCACAGTAAACGGGAGTTCTAGCCACTGAACAAGTAAATGAGAAGAAACAAAAGACATATATATTGGAAAGGAACAAATAAAGCCATCCCTAATAATAATTTAAATTCTTTTATGTTTGTTGGGGTTTGCTTTATGACCTATGATTTGGTTTATTTTGGTGAATTTTCCATAGGCCCTTGAAAAAAATTTGTATTCTGCTGTTGTTTGGGTGAAGTATTATATACATGCCAATGAGATCCTGACAGTTGATTGTGTTTTTCAGAGAAAAATCAAAGAAACAAAAAGCTATTTCTTTGAAAAAATTAATAAATTTTAGCAAGAGTGTCAAATATAAAATGAGAAAAACACAACTTATGAGTATCAGGGATAAAGAAGGAATATTCCTATAGATCTTGGAAACATCAAAAAATAATATGAGAATACTACAAACATTTCCTTCAACAGCTGAGGAAAAAAAGTGGGCCAATTTCTCAAAAAACGCAAACTAGCAAAATTCAGTTAAATCAAATATATAATGTGACTAGATCTAACCATTACAGAATTGAATTCATACTTTAAAATCTGCCCTCCTTAAAAAAAAAGAAAGAAAGAAAGAAATCTCCAGGCCCAGATGGCTTTACTGGAGAATCCTATCAAACATTTAAAAATTAACATCAATAACACCAATTTTACACAAACTACTCCAGAAAACAGAAGAAGAGAGAACATTTCTCAACTTATTTTATGAGTCCTGTATTACTCTGATATCAAAATCATATAAAAAAATTTTAAAGAAAATTGCAGACTATTAGCTGTCATGAACTTAGATGCAAAAACTCTCAACAAAATATTAGCAAATCAAATCTGACAATCTATTAAAATAATTATATGCCATAACCAAATGGGATTTATCCCAGGTATGCAAGGCTGGTTCAATATTCAAAAATCAGTCAATGTAATACATCATATCAACACTCTAAGAAGTTTAATCATATGATCAGATCAATTGACAACTCAAAAGCATTTGACAAAACCTAATACCCACTCAGGATAAAAATTCTCAGAAAGTTAGGAATGGAAGGGAACTACATCCACTTGATAAAGAGCATCTACAAAACCACTACAGCCAACATTATACTTAATGACAAAAGACTGAATACTTTCCCTCTAGGGCCAGGATCAAAGCAAGGTTGTTGCCTGTACCACTTTTATTGAGCACAGTCAGCAGTTCTAGCCACTGTAATGAGTAAATGAGAAGAAATAAAAGACATACATATTGAAAAAGAAGAAATAAAACCATCCCTACTTGAAAATGACATAATTATCTACATAGAAAATACCAAGGGACTTACAAAAACATTCCTAGAATGAATAAGTAAGGTTAGCAAGGCCACAGGATGAAAAAGCAACACAAAAATCAACTGCATTTTTATATATTAACAATGAGGCTGGGCGTGGTGGCTCAGACCTGTAATCCCAGCACTGTGGGAGGCCGAGGCGGGCCTCTTGAGGTCAGGACTTTGAGACAGGCCTGGCCAACATGGCGAAATCCCGTCTCTACAAAATACAAAATAATTAGCCGAGTGTGGTGGTGGGTGCCTGTAATCCCAGCTGCTCAGGAGGCTGGGGCAGGAGAATTGCTTGAACCCAGGGGGCGGAGGTTGCAGTGAGCTGAGATTGCACTGCACTCCAGCCTGGGTGACAGAGCAAGACTCTGCCAAAAAAAAAAGCAAACGAACAAAAACAATCAATATGTAGAAATCCAAATTAAGGCCACAATAACATTTATAATCACTCCAGGGAAAATGATACAATGAAAAACTATAGTTTTACAAGATGTTACTATTGTATAAAGGGCACATGGGAACACTGTTGTTTCCTACAACTGCACATGAATCTACAATTATCTCAAAATAAAGTTTTTAAAAGGCACAGCCCTTTGGAAAACATTTTGACACATTATTATAAAGTTAAAGCATATACTTACCATTTGACCAAGCAATTCCACTTCTAGGTATTTACCCAAGAGAAATGAAGACGTATGTCCACATTTAAAAATCTACATGCAATTATTTGTAATCACCAAAACTGGAAACAACTCAAACGTCTATCAACTGGTGAATAGATTAACAAACTGTATACATTCATACAATAGAATTCTACTTAACAGTAAAAAAATTATTGATTATTGATACATGTAACAACACAGATGGATTGTGTGATTTTCAAAAACCGCAGAAAAAAGGCCTTTAGGTTGAAAGGATTCGTAAATATTAAGCAGAAAGACAGAACAAAATTGAAATGAGAGTTACCTCCTCTGCAAAAGTCAGAGTGCCAAGAAAAAGATAGAACCCTAAAAACTTCCAGAAAAAAAATGTTACCTGCAAAAGAAAAAGGATCATGTTGTCACCTGACTTTTTTGAGCAAGGATCATATTGGCACCTGACTTTTTTGAACATATCATAACATTTTTGAGATAGAATTATATTAAATTTACATTTCTGTACCAAGCCAAAACATCAGTCAAGCTTTAGGGTAAAACAAACTAAAATAATAATTCAAGAGTATTAGGAGATAATAAACCATAGTGCACAAAGAAATCAGTAAAATTTATAGTTGGGTCTAATTCATTAATTGACTGAAAGAAAGTTAAACAAACTGGGAATAAAATCTCTACTGATAATGATACCAGAGGTGTGGGATACAGGTTGAGAAGGAGTAGGAAGTAAATAGTAGGGAGAAGATATTAATTTTAGACATTAAAAGAAAATATTATTAAGATTTTCAGAGTAAATACAAACAATTTTTTTGAGATGGGGTCTTGCTGTGTCACCCACGCTGGAGTGCAGTGGCACAATTATAGCACACTGCAGCCCTGAACTCCTGGGTTCAAGCAACCTCCTGCCTCAGCCTCCTGGGTAGCTGGGATTGCAAGTGCAAGCCACCATGCCTACCTAAATTTTTAGAAATTTTCTGTAGGGATAAGGTCTCACTATGTTGCCCAGGCTAGTCTCAAACTCCTGGCCTCAAGCTGTCTTCCCATCTCAGCCTCCCAAAGTGCTGAGATTACAGGCTTGAGCCAATGCATCCAGCACAAACAAACTTTAAAAAGGTGTTTTAACTGCCAAACCACTGGAAGAAAAACATGGATGTGAATATATAGAAAAAGCTCTAGAAGGACACACACTAAACTGACAACATGAATTCCTATAAAGAGTATGGGGGAGGGGATATGGGGTTGGTCTGAGGGACTTCAGCCGTATCTGTAGCATTTTAGCATCTACAAGAATGTATTCATTCTTGTACAGATTGTGCAGATTTGAACAATCCTTACTTTAATTGTCAAAGACAGAAAAAATATCTGGAAGGCCAAGGTGGGTGGATCACTTGAGGTCAGGAGTTCAAGACCTGCCTGACCAATATGGTGAAACCCTGTCTGTACTAAAAATGCAAAAACAATTAGCCGGGCGTGGTGGTGGGTGCCTGTAATCTCAGCTACTTGGGAGGTCGAGGCAGGAGAATTGCTAGAACCTGGGAGGCAGAGGTTTCAGTGAGCCAAGATCACACCATTGCACTCCAGTCTGGGCAACAAGAGTGAAACTCCGTCTAATATATACATATATATTATATATGTATATTTTATATATATAATCAATACTAGAGGAAATTTGAGGAAGAAGACAATTTTACTCAGTATAAAGTGGGATATAGTTTGTGAAAGTTTTGCAATAAGTATTAAATGTGGGCCAGGTACCAACATTTAATACTTATTTAGTAGTACAACATAATACTTATTTAGTAGTACAACACACTAAATATTCATTGTAATATTTAACTAAATAAAATCAAGTACTGAGAGAATGATAAATGTCATCAGTGCCCAAAAAATGATCAGCTTTACAATAGTAGTGCATTTTTATCTAGTTTTATTTACAAATATATCTAGACATAGAGATGTAAAACAGAAAGATACAAAGAGACTTGGGGCTAGCTTTATTCACAAAATAGGGATTTCTTGTGCTTTTTTCTTACTAATTTGAAACTATATTTATTAGAGTTTTGTAGTCTGTTTGTTCTCGCACACACTCATAACCTATTTGCATACCAGTAAATAGTCTTCAAAAGTATCATTCTTAATGGCTGAATAATATCTCATACTTTATATGCACCGTAATAATTTATTATATGGAGATTTAAGTAATTTCCAATTTTTGTCTAATTTAAATAAAATCACAGTGAACATCATTATACATACATATGTGTGGACATCTGTGATTCTTTAAGTAATTTCTTAAAATTGAACTGCTGGTCCAAAAAATGTACTCATTTTTAAGACTTTGTTTTGAGACAGGATCTCACTCTCTCACCCAGGCTGGAGTGCAGTGATGTGATCATAGCTGACTGCAGCCTCAACCTCCCAAGTTCAAGCAATCCTCCCACCTCACCCTCCCAAGTAGCTGAGACTATAGCTTGCGCCATCACACTCTGCTAATTTTTGTATTTTTTTGTAGAGAGAGGGTTTCCACATGTTGCCCAGGCTGGTCTGAAACTTCTGGGCTGAAGCGATCCATCCACCTTGGCCTCTGCAAGTGCTGGGATTACATGTGTGAGCTACCACAGTGCCCGGCCAACATTTAACACTTATTGCAAAACTTTCACAAAATATATCCCAGTTTATACTGAATAAAATCTTCTTCTTCAAACTTCCTCTAGCATTGATTAATAATTTTTCTGTCTTTGATAATCAAAGTAAGGATTGTTCAAATCTGCCTATCTTTGATAACTACTGAAGTTTAGCCATCTTTGAATGTTTTTATCGTCCACCTATATTTCTAATGTTAGTAATTGTCTGTTCATTCTGTTTGATAATTGGTTTTTATTTCTTATTAATCTGTAAAAGCTATTATTAAGAAATGTCATCAACCATTTGTTGTGTATATTTTAAACAATTTTCACAATTTAGTTTCCCTTTAATTTCATTTGTGATGTCATTTGAAAAACAATTTCTATTTTTATGTCCATTTTTCCCCTTTGGTTCTCTGCCTTTGACGTCATGTTACAAAGGCTGATCTCACTATCGCATCGACATTTTTCTGATTCCTACTCTTTTGTGGTTTCATTTTTTAAACTTGAATCTTTATTACACCTGTGACGATCTAACTTTATGATAAGGTTCTTTTTTCCAAATGATGAGATGGTTGTCCCAACACCATTTCTACTTTCCCCACTGACTTTTACTAAATTCCACTTAACTTCTCAAAAAGTATTTGACTATATCTTTATTGCAAAAGTCATACTATACAGACAATGCAAAAATTCTCCTTGACAAAAGCCTCATTCCATTTCTAATTGCATTCTCTTATCAGAACTAACTGTAAATCAGTTTGATGTGTGGAAATCCAGAGGTTTCTTCATAGTAAAAATAACTGGCATTTAGGAGGGCTTACCACATGTGCGGCCGTGCCTTAAGGCATGTGTCAACTTGTGTGATCTTCCCAACAGCCTACCAAGTAGGCACAACAGCTATCTCCATTTTACCATTTTACAGAACAGGAAACTGAGACACAGAGGGTACAGAACTGAGAAACCTGCTCAGGGATGCCCAGATGGCAGAATGGGGATTCAAATTCAGGAATCTAGCTTCAGGATCGGCAGAATGTTGACTGATGTCCTGCTATCTCCTAATACACCTACTTGCACTTCAGTGAAAAACACATGGCACTATTTTCTTTTAAAATGAAAGTTTGAGGCTGGGTGCAGTGGCTCACACCTGTAATCACAGCACTTTGGAACACCGAGGCAGGAGGAATGTGTCCCACCCCTTGCATGAGCCCAGGAGTTTGAGGTCGCAGTGAGCCACAATTGTGCTATTGCACTCCAGCCTGGGCAAACAGAAGGAGATCCTGTCTCTAATGAATGAATGTCTGAATTAATGAATAAATACATAAAGAAAAATAAAGTTGGGTCTATGGATTTGATATCATACTATCCAAATTATGCTATAGCCTTTTTGATCAAATATCAATATCTCTTGGTTGTCTTTCCATATGAATTCATATAAATCAATTTCAGTTTTTTTAAACTACGATACACTATGATTTACTACAGTTTACGTAACTCTTCTATTAGAGTATAGTTAGGTTGTTTCTAGCCTTTCACCATCAGTAAGGCTGCAAAGAACATCTCTAGCATGACTCCCTGTACATTTTTGTGAAAGTTTCTCTTGTTTCTCTTTTGTTTTTTCTCAGTCATGTAGTATGTGATTTTTTTGTTTGTTTGTTTGTTGTTGTTTTTGTTTTTGTTTTTTTTGAGACAAGGTCTGGCTCTGTCACCTAGGCTGGATAGGCTGGAGTACAGTGGTGCAATCACGACACAGCACACTGCAGTTTCTATCTTCTGGGCTCAAGCAATTCTCCTACCTCAGTCTCTCAAGTAGCTGAGCCTACAGGTAAGCATCACCTTGCCTGCCTGTCTTTTTTATCTTTTGTAGAGACAAGATCTCACTATGTTGCCCAGGCTGGTCTCCAACTCCAGAGCTCAAGCAATCCTCCCAAAGTGCTGGGATTACAGGCATGAGCCACACACCCAGCTTGCATTTTTAAATTTAACAAATACTGCCAAATTGCCCTCCCAACTATCTGAACCAATTTATACCCCATAAGCAAAATATGATAGTACTTGTTTCTTTATAACATCCCAACAGTTGATACTATCAAACTTATTTTCAATATAATGAGTGAAAAATGATACCTCCTTGTGCATTATTTGGGATGTTCCTCACTACTGGTGAAGTTGAGCAACTTTTTATGCTTATTTTCCATTTTGGTTCCCCTTTTATTCGTTGCCTGTTTGTATATTTTTATTATTTCCCCTTTGAATTAATGATCTTCTTCTTATTGATTTATAAATGTTTACATATATTTTGGATGCTAATCCTTTGTCTATTGCAAATGTAAATATTTTCCACCAGCATGTGTTCTTTTAATTTTGTTTATGGTGTCTTTTCTTGTTTATAGAAACTTGTGTCATAGAGAAGCTTTTAATTTTATTTGGGCAAACATCATATTTTCTTTTGTGGTTTATATGCTATATTTTCTTTCGCTCAGTTTGCAGGTTTTATTTTTGTATAACATTTAGCTCTTTAATCCATCTGGAATTTACTTTGGTGACTAGTGTAATGTTAAAAATATAATTTTGTTTTTACAAATAGTATCTAATTTTCCACACAATTTATTCTTTCCCTTACTAATATGAAATGCCGATTTTTCCCAAAATTTTATGTATATCTATAGGGATCTGTTTCTGGACTCATTACGTTGTTCTAGTTAAATTTTTAGCTTCAATACCATTCTACGTCAATTAATATAGCTTTAAAATATATATATTGATATTTAGTAAGGTAGGTGCACCTCTTGTTTTTCTTCTAAATTATCTTTGTCCTTCTTATGCATTTACTGTTTCATATGAATTCTATAATCAGCTAGTCAAGTTCCATATAAATGCTGTTGGACATGGAATTTTTACATGAGTTTGGGGAAAATATCTATCTTTACAATATTAAGCACTGTTATCCAAAATTAAGGTATATATCTCTACATATTAGTATCTATTATGCTCCTCATAAGCTGAGGTTTCTTCCTAGATATTCTATAGTTTTCATTGCTATGCGTGAATAGGGTAATTTTGCGAATTGGGTAATTTTATCTATGACTTTTTCTAATAAGATAATACTATTGTATTAAAAACTATTAGTTTTTATGTGTTTATTTTGTACTGGGCCATTTTATAATACTTTCTTATTAGCTTTAATGGTTTCTCAACTGATTATCTTATTCTTCCTAGGGAGCTTGGCTGAAAAAAACAAAATGACACTATAATCTCTTTCTCCATTATTCACATGCCTTTTTAATTTTTTCTTATTGTATAGCGTTGGCAAAGACCTCCAATACAATATTGAATATAGAAGTGATAGGAAACTTTGTCTTGCTGGTGACTGAAATGGAAATAGTCCTCATGGTTTCACCACTGCTAAGTTTCTAGTAGAAATCTTTACTTTGATAATGGAAGTTTTCTTATATATTTCATGTGCAAGAATTTTTGAGTGCCTGGGGAGGCGTTTGTTTGCTTATCATGAAAGAGTAAATTGGAAAAAAAATGTTTTCACTTCTGTTATGATTTTAATCTCAGATTTATACAAGGCTTCTAGAACGAATTGAGTAACTTCCCAATTTATAACATAAGAATTATCTATTTCTTAAAGGTGTTATAGAATGAAATATTAAAACCATCTGGTCTTGATGTTTTCCCTAAATGTATATTTGTAACTAGCTTTCTAATTTTCTCAATAGAAATAGCATATTTAGACTTTCTATTACTTCTTGAGCTAATTTTGAAAATCACGCATTTCATCTAGTTTTTTAGTTATTAGTACAAAGACACTATCTTACAAAATTTAATTCCTTCTCTATCTGTAATTACATCTTATCTCCTTTCTCATGCTGTTTATTTATGCTCTCTTTTTTCCTTAAACTTGAAGAAGTTTTTATTGACCAACTCTACTAGCTTTGTTGTTCTTGTTTATTTTATTAATGTCATTTTATCTTTATTAATTCCTCTCTTCAACTTTCTGGAGATTTGATTTTTTTGTTCTTTGTAGTCTCCTGAATATTATGCTTGGTTCATTTGATTTCAATTTTGCTCATTTTCTGATGTATGCATTTAAGTCCATAAATTTTCCTCTGATAACTGCTTTGGCCACATCTCAGAGGTTTTAATATTTAATGCTCTATTGCTTATTTCTAAATAGTTTGTAATTTCCACTTTTTATTTCCTTATTAACAGAAGACTTTTTGTAAGTGTTTTTATATTTATGAGAGTGGAGATTTATTTAATTTCTCTTTTAGTTATTTTCTCATTTGTTCAGGGAATGGAACTTACATATCCCTACTTCTTAGAATTTGCTGAGATTTTCTTTGTAATCTAACATATTATCAATTTGTGTAAGTGATTTATGTGTGTGTCAAAAGAATGTGTGCTATAAGCTTGTTAATACAAAGTTGTTCATTGTGTCATTTAAATTCTCTGTCATTATTTTTGTCTATTTGAAATATTCATTTCTTAGACAACTATGAAATTTGACCTTCTGTGATTGCAGGTTTGTCAGTTTCTCTTTATATTTCTATTAATTTTTGCTTACATTTTCCAAAGCAACATTGTGAAGGACACAAAGGTTTACAATTATATCTTCTTGGTGGCTGTTATTTTTAATATTATGAACTATTCCTCTATGTACTCTAATGTACGCCCTCTGACTTTATATGACTCATAAATCATATTATAAATTTTTAAAGCAGTTAGGCCTTCATCTTGACTCTGTTTCTTTCCATTGATTTAACTGATTATTTTGGGGTAAATACCACACTTTTGTCTATTGTGGCTTTATAAGTTAATTTTTATCTGATAGTTAAATTATTGATTACTCTAACATTATTCACTCTTCCACATTTAGGTTTATTTTGCAAAACCACCAACAGAATCCAATTTAAAATGTTGAGTGAAGTGCCAGATTCAGTGGCATATGCCTGTAGTCCTAGCTACTCAGGAGGCTGAGAAGGGAGGACTGCTTGAGCTCAGGAGTTCAAGTCCAGCCCGGGCAACGTAAAAAGATCCTGCCTCTCAACAATTTTTTAAATTTGTTTTCAATTATTGGAAAAGAATTACTTACAAATCAACTTAGGGGCATTTCTCTTTATGTAGCACTGAAGTCTACTTATATGCACCTCACAAAAAATGTATTTCCTTCATATATGACGGGTCCACTTCTTAAGTTAGGGGATTTTTTTTTTTTTGGTATTTTGTATTTTGTGTCTTCAATATAAATAGAGTATTTTTCCTTATCTTTTATCTCTAACCTTTATTCCCAGCATAATATGTGGGACATGTTTTATTTACATGTATCTGTTTTATTATTAGACATATTACTGAATTCCTTTATAAGGCATAGGAGTATTTCAGATGATGTTCTTCAGATTTTTCATATTATCATAAAATAGTAAAAATTTTGACTTGACCATTTCCATATTTATTCCCCAATTGTTTTTATTTTGACTGTCATTTTTATCATATCATTATCTAAGACTTGTTTTGTTACCATAACAATAATTCCTACAACTTTTTGTTTTATTTGTATTTTAAGTTCTGGGGTACACGTGCAGGACATGCAGGTTTGTTACATAGGTAAACGTGTGCCATGGTGGTTTGCTGCACCTATCAAAGTATTAAGCCTGGCATGCATTAGCTATTTTTCCTGATGCTCTCCCTGCTCCACCCTCCTGTGACAGGTCCCAGTGTGTGTTGTTCCCCTCCCTGTGTTCTCTTTCCCCATCAGTGATAGACTGGATAAAGAACATGTGGTACTTATACACCATGGAATACTATGCAGCCATAAAAAGGAATGAGATCATGTCCTTTGCAGGGACGTGCATGAAGCTGGAAGCCATTATCCTCAGCAAACTAATGCAGGAACAGAAAATCAAACACCACATGTTCTCACTTACAACTTTTTTATTTTTAAGTATTTGTAGGCTGTTGTTTTGAGATAGATTATCATATAAAACCAAGAAGGCTCAACATTAGTACAATCAATATGCAGGGCTGGATAATTCTTTGCTGGGGGAGGGAGAGCCCTTTCCTGAACATTGTAGGATATTTAGGAGTAACCTTAACCTCTACTTACAACATACCAGTAGCACTACCTCCAAGTCATGACAATCAAAAACGTTTCCAGGTACTGCCTCCTGAGAGGCAATGTCCTTGATTGAGAAACAGTATGCAATGCATTATCCTTCTCTTCCTATTTTAATCACAGCTTTTGGCAGGACTGATGTTGAATTTTATCGAATGTCCTTTTGGCATATGATTACATATTTCTCCCAGGTACCTATTGATGTAATAAATTTTTAATTATATATTTTCTGATTTGGTGCCATCCTTACAATAGAGGAGAAAGGCTTTATTAGTCAAGATTTATTATTTTTAATATAAGGTTAGTGTTCATTTTTTATGACTTTTACCTATATGTTTACATGTGAGGTTGACTTGTAGGTTTTGTTTGTTTGTGACGTTTGTTAGGTTTGAGCACAAAAATAATGCTTGCTTGGTAAGTAGCATGATCACTTTTTGTTCCTTAAGACATTTAAATCAATTTCCTATACAACCATCCATTTTAATGTATTTTTACATTATTCTTTTCTTATTCAACTACTCTATAGTTAAGTTTAGTAATTTGTACCACAATGAGATACCATCTCACACCAGTCAGAATGGTGATTATTAAAAAGTCAAGAAACAACAGATGCTGGCAAGTCTGTGGAGAAATAGGAATGTTCTTACACTGTTGGTAGGAATGTAAATTAGTTCAACCATTGTGAAAGACAGTGTGGTGATTCCTCAAAGACCTAGAACCAGAAATGCCATTTGACCCAGCAATCCCATTACTGGGTCAAAGGAATATAAATCATTTTATTATAAAGATACATGCACATGTATGTTCATTGCAGCACTATTCACAATAGCGAATGCATGGAATCAACCCAAATGCCCATCAATGATAGACTGAATAAAGAAAATGTGGTACATATACACCATGGAATACTACGCAGTCACAAAAAGGAATGAGATCGTGTCTTTGCAGGGACATGGATGGAGCTGAAAGCCATTATCCTCAGCAAACTGCAAACTAATGCAGGAACAGAAAACCAAACACCACATGTTCTTACTTATAAGTAGAAGCTGAACAATGAGAACACGTGGACACAGGGAGGGGAACAACACACACTGGGGCCTGTGGGGGGTGGGATGTGGGGAGGGAAAGCATCAGGTTAAATAGTTAATTCATGCAGGGCTTAATACCCAGGTGATGGGTTGATCTGTGCAGCAAACCACCATGGCACATGTTTACCTGTGTAACAAACCTGCACATCCTGCACATGTATCCCAGAACTTATAATTAAATTAAATTTTAAAAACTTAGTAATTTGAAATTTCCTAGAAAGTCATTTATTTCAACAAAATTTTCTATGATAATATATCTATATTTTCTACCACTTTTAACTTTTTGGAATACATGTATATTCTCCTTTTTTATTTCTAATGTTTTTACATGTGTTTTCTCACTCTGTTTCACTTAAGTAACTTGTCAGATGTCTTTGACAAATTCTAATTCTTAGACTTGGCAATGTACTGTCTGTTTTCTGATTTACTAAGTTATGTTGTATCTTTATCAATATCTTTCTAGTTTATTTCATTGTTGTCTTTCTAATTATTGTGAGCTAAAAGCTTAATTCATGCATTTTTATTCTACATTCAATAATGTGATATTTAAGGCTATGTGTTTTCTTCTGAATATAGCTTTGAGCATACATCATAAGGTTGATATATGGTATTCTCATTGTAATTATTTTCTAAATAGTCTCCAAATATAGTTTTGATGTCCTCTTTGATCTAAAAGATAATTCAGAGCGGTCTTAATAATTTTAGAAATTGCCCATCAAAATTGTAGTTACCCTTCTTTGTTGATTGTATAAAATAAGGGATCTGCCCACTTTTTGATTCTTTGACTATATCCAACCTTTTTTATAGCCAATATATACTATTTAGTGAATATTTCATAGGCTTTAATATAGTCTCTCATTTAGAAAAAAATCTCGATTTAAGAAACAACTTTATTATTTGAAATCATCTAAATCCTTGGATTCCTTGCCTACTAGATCTGCCAAATACCAAAAGAGATGTCTTAAAGTTTTTCATTACAACTGTGAATCTCTCCACTTCTTCTTGTACTCCTAACAATCTTGCTTGCTACATCTTACTGCAATGCTATTTGGCATATTGGGAGCCATGACTAGTTCAGTCTACTAGCCTGTAAGCCCAGCAAAGACAGGAATCACATCTGACTTGCCTAACGTTGAGTCCCAGCCCCTGGCCCAATATTTACTAAATAATTGTGGGAATCAATTGACAAGTGATAGAGATTCAGTGTTGAGTATATGACCTTCAACAAAAATACTTTACTATTATATCTAATTTTTTTACCCTCAATTCTACTTTGTCTGATGCCTAGATAGACAGATAGACAGACAGACAGATAGATGGAATTTTTGGAGATAGGATTTTGCTCTGTTGTCCAAGCTAGAGTACAGCAGCATGATCACAGCTCACTGCAGCCTCAACCTCCTGGGCTCAATGGATCCTCCCACCTCAACCTCCTAAGTAGCTGGGACCACAAGCATGCACCTCCATGCCCGGCTAATTTCTTTTTGCTTTTTATAGAGATGGGGTCTCGCTACATTGTCTAGGCTGGTTTGGAATTCCTGGGCTCAAGTGATCCTCCTGCCTTGGCTTCCTAAAGTGCTAGGATTACAGGCGTGAGCCACTACGCCTTGTCAATGATGTCAGTATTTGTCCCTGTATTTTGCTGGTTTGTTTTACTTGACATATATTATATATCTTGTTGTTGGGTTTTGGTGGGTTTTTCTGTTTTTGTTTTTGTTTTGCTTTGCTTTTTTGTGTTTCTTTATCTGCTCCATCCTTAGTTCTATGAAATCTATTTTCTTTGTGATTGTCTTCAATATACAGAGATACAGTTTAGAATTCAAGTCATAAATGGTTTCAAGTGTTTCCAATGTATTACTTAACCTCTATATTTAACTCCTATGTTTTTCTAATTTTCAGGTCAGAGAGGCAATTGAATCTTTTAGTTCTTTTTTTTAACACAATGTAGTTAATACATTTTTATTCTCCTCTTCCAGACCCCATGCTACTATTTCTTTTCCAAGTACTCCTCAGACACTTATTAAATAAACTAGGACTTTATAGGTTGATTATTACTAATTTTTACACAATAGGACTTTGAAAGTGAATTTTTAACACTTGAATTCAGTTTTTCAAATAAAGTCTCAATTTTTTTTTTTTTTTTTTTTTTGAGACGGAGTCTCGCTTTGTCGCCCAGGCTGGAGTGCAGTGGCATGATTTTGGCTCACTGCAAGCTCTGCCTACCGGGTTCACGCTATTCTCCTGCCTCCCGAGTAACTGGGACTAGAGGCGCCCGCCACCACGCCCAGCTAATTTTTTGTATTTTTAGTACAGACGGGGTTTCACCGTGTTACCCAGGATGGTCTCGACCTCCTGGCCTCGTGACCCGCCTGCCTTGGCCTCGCAAAGTGCTGGGATTACGGGCGTGAGCCACCACATCTGGCCCTGAAGTCTCAATTACTTAGACAGCATTTTTTAAAAGTATAAGTGAGGTTTGTCCTTCTTCTTCTAGGCAAAGCTGCACCTCTCACCCCCTATACCAGACAGTCCTTTGCTATGGACACACAGGGTGGTAGGACACACAGGATTCTCATAGGCAGTTCTGGTTCTCCTATGGACCAAGTAGCACCAGTGCCCAAAGGCAGCCCTCTGCCAATGGTTGTAGGTGAGGAAGCTAAGAGCAAAGCATCCGTTGGAAGCTGGTAGAAGCCAGGCTTGGTGGCTCACACTGTAATCCCAGCACTTTGCGAGGCTGAAACAGGAGGATTGCTTGAGCCCCAGAGTACAAGACCAGCCTGGGCAGTGTAAAGAAACCACCCCCTCCCCCGCCCCCATAAAAAAATTAAAAACATAGCTGGGTGTGGTGCTGCACACCTGTAATTCCAGCTACTCTGGAGGCTGAGGCTGGAGGATCACTTGAGGCCAGGAGCTTGAGACCAACATGGGCAACATAGCAAGATCCTGTCTCTACAAAAAATTTAAAAATTTTTAGCTGGGCATGGTGGTGCATACCTGTAGTCCCAGCTACTAGAGAGGCTGAAGCAGGAGGATTTCTTGAGCCCAGGAGTTCAAGGATACAGTGAGCTATGATCACACCACTGCACTCCAGCCTGGGTGACAGAGCAAGACCCTGTCTCAAAGAGAAGAAGAAAAGGAAGAAGAAGAAGAAGAGGAGGAGGAGGAGGAGGAGGAAGAAGAAGAAGAAGAGGAGGAGGAGGAGGAAGAAGAAGAGGAAGAAGAAGAGGAAGAGGAGGAGGAGGAGGAGGAAGAGGAAGAGGAAGAAGCAGCTGGTAGAAAAATTGGAGGGTCTGGACAGGGCACCAGGGATGTCTGCTACACCAGCACACCAGTGCAAGCAGCAGGCGGGGGCAGTGTCCCCAAAGACCCCCCACTGGGCTAGGCTTGAGCTGCAGCTGCACCTGCTGCAGGTGACATGCTCAGCCTGCCCTTCTCACCTGGCCATCACACGTGGACTTACTCCCATCTTCAGACTTTGTGTCAATTGCATCTCAGCCAAGGTTTCCATTAATGGGTTATTATATTATATCACCTGCAAAACAGAGAAAAGGAGGGCTGTTCTAAAATTCTAACGTGAAAAGTGAGCGTGTCAAATGCAGAATGTGCAGACACAGTGACCATGGAGTTTACCACTTTATTAAAATTGTGATTGTTCACATAAAGACTCAAACAGGTCACATATTAATAATTATCACTGACAATCTTTAACATCAGCCGAAGCCCACAAGTGAAGCAATATTACATCTCCCGGTCTCATTTATCTTACTGCTTATGGCCCCTCTGTGGTCAGCACGCTGTGAGCTTTGTGGACATTTAATTATGAGCACATCATAAATGGAGCTGACAGGGCAGAGGCTGCCCAGGGATGCTCCTGGCAAGGGGGTCACGGTGGAAAGTAGTTAGTTGATGCACCCTCCCGAACAGGGCGTGGCAGAGACTGCTTCTCCACGTGGCCCCGCTACCGTTCCCTGTTGCCCACTGCAGAGGCAGTAGGCCGGAATGTGTTCAGTTATTGACAGCCCTCTAACTTTCAGAAGCGTCAGCCCAGTTGCCTTAAAACCTAAGACCAGCCCCACAGTCTCTCCTGTCCCGCTTAGCTCTGAGAGTCCCTTGGCTTGCCTCTCTGTGTGTCTTCGGCTGTTTACAGAGCTCTCTAAATGTGGGCTTCACTCTGATGCACATGAAGAGGGTGGACTTTCTTCCCATACCCCAGGGGTCCAGAGATCCCACTGTCCTCTCCAGCTGTCCCCAGTGTCTTCTGTGCAAACCACTCAGCTCTAACAAGGTGCAAAGGACAGTGAGGGCCCCAAGAACATCCTGGCCCCTCACCTCAATGCAGGAAATACCTTTCCACTACAGCAAAAAAAAAAGGGACTCTGCAACGCAAGTGGTGGGGTGGGGAGGGCTTTTTTGTTCGCTTCTAATTAGCCACCGCTCTGATGTGATAGCCAAGGCGTCACGCACTAATAAGGCCACGCGTGTCCCCGAGTGGACCTGGGAGAGCAGCAGGACTTCCCCATGTCATGTTTCAAAGCAACTGTCCTCGGAGGGCCGAGGTACGGATTCCTCCACTGCCCCAGCAGGCTCGATGGGGAAGACAAAGCGTATAATAAGGGGCGTGCGATGAAGGGGCTCCGAGGAGAAAGCTGAAAAGTAGCTATCATGTTGGCAGATAAATTCTACACACAATTATTCATTCCTAGCCTCTTGACATGTAGATTAATGAGTTTGATAACCCAGGCTTCTAAGAAGTAGATTCCACTCTGTTCGCAGGCTTTCTCCCCCTCTACCTACAAACAGCACACAGGTCTATGGAGAAAAAAACAAATCGATACATTTGCAGTGGCCATCACTGCTTTTTGTGGTTGGAGCCCTACGTCAAAAATATGATGTGTCTTCTCCTTCCTGGCGTGGGAGAAGCCAGTCATGGCCAGGCGGACCCTGGAGGGGACTGTGGGCTTCAGATCTTGGACTCCACTAAGTCCTGGACTCTTTTTAGTGGGCTGGGCATGGAGCATTTCCAACTCCAGTCCCGAGGGAAAAGGGCCATTTATTGACAGAGCAGCTGTAGCCTGCTATTGTGCCTTAGGTTGAAGTCCCTGCTGGCAGAGTTCCAGGTCAGCACCCAGACATCCTCGCCAAGAAAGAGCCATATGGAGGAAGGAATGACGCAGGAGCAGGACAGTCACACCTACACCCACGCCAGGTATTTCACTTAGGACCGGTGAACAGCACCAAACTCCAACCCAAGTGTAAGGAGTTCAAATCCTTGAAAAGAGAAATTGGGTTCACTGCATTCATCAAGATGATTTGGGGTTTATGTTACGATTCCATCACCCCCAACCCACAGTGATGCAGATTTTGGAGATGTATTTTGATTATCCATTCCTTTGACTTTTTAGCCATTTGGCAACAGCATTTCTAGATCTCAGCCTCATTTTATTTCCTTTTCATCACGTTGGTGTTTATGTTCTAAAGATAAAACACGTGGGGGAGGTGGAGAGGGTAGAGGGGAAGGCTTCCCACCTGATATCCTGCTAGGAGGTTTTATGGCCACCCTCCTCTGCCAGGCAAGCCCTCTGGGAAACAGAGTAGACCTCAAAAACCTAGAGTGGGGCCAGGCACGGTGGCTCATGCCTGTAATTCCAGCACTTTGGGAGGCCGAGGCAGATGGATCACTTGTGGCCAGAAGTTCGAGACCAGCCTGGCCAACATGGTGAGACCCTGTCTCTACTAAAAATACAAAAATTAGCCTGGCAAGATGGTGGGCGCCTGTAATCCCAGCTACTCAGGAGGCTGAGACAGGAGAGTCACTTGAACCTGGGAGGCATAGATTTCAGTGAGCCGAGATTGCACCACTGCACTCCAGCCTGGGTGACAAAGACTCTGAGAAAAAAAAAATCCCTAGAGGGAGTAGAGGGAGCCCTGTCTGGGTGCTGGGTGACTGAATAATTCACCTCCCCCAGTCATCACAGATTCAATGTCTGTGAAATCTGTGTGGCTGCTGGAAATAAGGGGTACAGGGAGATCATTCTTCAAGACACCTTCTTTTATCCTCCAGAAAGAGAAATGAATGGAGTGGAAATTCACCCAGCTCACAAAAGTCCAATGAGGTCTTTGATTAGCAACATGGATCAGTTCAAGCATTTGAATTTCAACACAGCTTCCATGCCAACTTCAAAAGAGACAGCCCTGAGCTACACAAAGAGGGAAAAGTCTCTTTCCCCTATTCGAGTAGTCTTGAGGAGCCAGGCTTCTCACAGAGTCTTGGGGTGAGGATCGCCAGGTTTAGCAAATAAAAATTCAGGATGCCCACTTACATTTGAATTTCAGATAAACAGGGAATCATTTTTTAGTATAAATATGTCCCAAATATGCATGGAACTAAAAAGATAATTTACCATATACTAAATACTAAGATAATATACCAAAAAATATTTTAGTATTCGTATGTCCTATGCATATTTGAGACATATTTATACTAAAAAATTATTCAATATCTGAAATTCAAATTTAAGCAGACATCTAGTATTTCATCTGACAACCCTATTCAGGGTGTCCTTGTAAAACTGCTCAGGGAAGAACCAGGGTGTGACCAAGGAGAAAAGAGCAAAAACAGGCTCAAAATTCAAGACAGCCACACCCAGGGGCCTCTTCCATCCCTCCATCTGGCCTCTCCGAAAACATCCTGCTTCCTTCTGAGCCCAAAGCTCCAACCACTGAAAGAAAACTTGGACCATTGTTCCTGAGTAGATGAGAAGCCTCCATCTCCGGCTTCCAGGGCTCTGTATATAAGACCCTAAACTGGAGGGTATGGGGCTGGGAGGACACCAAGGTAGACCTCAAGAAACCAGAGCCCATGGGACTGTCCTTGACAGCTGCCTTCCTGCTCCCCGAATACAGAACCTCCTACCTCACCACGGCCCAGTTGGGCTTTTTCTAGAAGACAGCGGAGGTTTGGAGGTCCTACTCTCCCACCTGGCCTGGCAGAAATCCCAGAACAGAACTACAGAATGCAATTGGGGCAGGGAGTGGGGAGAAAATCCAGCACTGCTTCCTTTTTCAAATCAATTATGGCCAGACTGACTCATCTTCTCTCATAGACCAGAAAGTCCCACATCTTGTTGTTTCTTAATCATATGGAAACCTAAATATAGACATATCTGCAGAAGGACAAGCTGAGAAAACCAGTATCCTTGTTCTCCCAGGGGAAAGCTCGATTCTCACTCTTTTCTCCTGGGTTTTAGTTTTGGGACTGTGTTCCCAGTAGTGCACAGAGCATGCGCCTGTTGGGGCAATGGCAGCAACTCAGACCTACTTCCAGGTCTGCTGCTGCGCCTGGGTCCCCATCACATACCGCTTGATCTTGCCTCTGGAAAGACCTCCATCTTCCATCCCACCGTGAGAGCAATATGATGAGAAGGAAGCCAGGCACCTCAGTCACATCTCAGCAGAGGGCCTTTGTGAATGGAACCCTCACTGATGTCTGGCCTTGAGCAGACACCCAAGGCTGCAGGCTCCAGAGATGATCTCAGCAGAAGAGTCCCACTGAGCACCAGGCCAGGCATAGTGGAGTCAATCAGGCACCCAGGAGGAAGCAGGACCCCTGCAATGCTTTGCGTCCCAGTCCTTCTTCCCTTCACTCATTTCTGGGAAACAGCACAAAGGATGGCTTTATTGGGAAATAGCTTATTACCCTTCTGGAAGGGTCTTGAGGCCCCAAGTTTCAGAAAGCTGGGGCCACGGAGAAAATGTAGCTGTGCTGCACAGAACAGAGATGCAAATGAGATAGCCAATCCTATGATCCTAACAAAAGTCAGTTTGTCCGGAAAAAGCATTTTAGAGGAGATCAAAGTCATGTCAGAGTAGCCACGAAAAAGCTTTAGCAAAGCACAGTGGTCAGATTTAGCAATGAGAATAATGAGACCAGGGAAGAGCGGCCAGTAGCCTGGGATTCTTTGGTGCAACATGAATGAGGACAAAATCAGGATGTCATTGACAGCCAACCAACAGCCCAGGCTTCATGCAGCAGGCAACCTGGGCAGCAGGACCTGGACTTCAAGGCTAAAGGAGCGTCTGTCAGCTAACTCTCCTGCTGTCTCCACGCCATGCCCAAAGCACAATCTAATATCTTCCTGGCATCCCTAGACAAGAGGTGGAAACCTGGCAGCTCATAAGCCACAATACAGCCCACAATCTTGCTCAGTTCAAACAGTAGTGGGTAAATATTTGAATTAATTGCTAATATTTTAAAAGCAGATTTGGGACTCGGTGCAGTGGCTCACGTCTGTAGTCCCAGTACCCTGGGAGGCTGAGGTGGGCAGATCACTTGAGGTGAGGAGTTCGGGACCAGCCTGGCCTACATGGTGAAACCCCCTCTCTATTAAAATACAAAACTAGCTAGGTGTGGTGGCTCATGCCTGTAGTCCCAGCTACTTGAGGGGCTGAGGCAGGAGAATCACTTGAACCTGGGAGGCAGAGGTTGCAGTGCACCGAGATTGTACCGCTGCACTCCAGCCTGGGCAACAGAGCGATACTCTCTCTCAAAAAAAAAAAAAGAAAAAAGAAAAAAAATTAGCCAGGCATGGTGGTGGGCATCTGTAATCCCGGCTACTCAGGAGGCTGAGGCAAGAGAATTGCTTGAACCTGGGAGGCAGAGGTTGCAGTGAACCAAGATCATGCCACTGCACTCCAGCCTGGGCAAGAGATGGAGATTTGGTCTCAAAAAAAAAAAAAAGAAAAAATGAAAAAAATCAGATTTCGCAGGAAAATCCAGATTTCAGGTTTCTTTTGAAAAATCAGAAGATCTGACAACACTGGGCCTGTGTCTGATTGACAGGAGCCAAGGGACAGCCTCCCTTAGATACGGCACATCCTTGCCAGTTCTCCGCAGTCCCCAGCACTCCCTATTGCCTAACCTCTGCTCCGTGGGTCGGTGCACTGTGAAGGCCCTGCCCTTGGCACCAAAGGACCACAACAGGAACACAAGCACCTCTACCCTCCCCAGAAGCCTTTTCCCACTGGTCCCCTCCCATCTCTCAGAAGAACCATTATTCTAGGCACCTTCCCTCCTATAACTTCAGGTCCCCAAGGGCCTGTGATCTGCCATCTACCACCCCAATAGAGGCATACGTGCATAAGACAAAAACCCCAGTGTCTTGGAAACTGTCTAGAAAATAATTTAAATAACAGACATCGCAGCATTTTTAGACCAAAAAAAAAATGTAACAAAGTCATGCCCAAGGCCCAGGGTTAAATGCAACCCACATGGCAAGAATGACATGCCCATTTCACAGACTGTGGCATCAGAGGTCAAAGTCCTATTTCCCCTGACTCTATTCCCTTTAATTTTCAGGATGAATGGCTCACCCGTGGGGGTGGAGGGGCAGGAAGTTTCATCAATGTATTAAGTGTTGAAGGGGGAAAAAGTTCTGATGGGCTGATTCAGGAATTGGGATTCTGGGCAGAGCTTTACAAAAGGATAATGTATCTTTAAGCCTAGGTGCCCTTCAGGGAATGTATTGGATAAATGTCTTCTGAAAAGCCTGTAAATATTCCATCGCCTCACTGTCATTACTACCATGAAATGAAAATGAAGCATGAAAGAAATATAATTCCATATTCAGATGACAGCATTAGCCTCCATAAGCAAACTGAAATATTTATTAGTAAAATGTTCAGTATCTACGCCTGTAATCTAAAAAAAGGACAAAAATGTTTTATAATAAAAAAGAGATTGAATGCAGAGGTAAAATCTGGTTGGCTGATTTTATTGCTTATTATTAAATCCTGGCAAAACAATTATTTTTTTCTTTTCATTAGTAAGACACCCAAATTAAAACTCTGCCCTCCGGCTGCAAGGTTTACAGTAGTGATTAAAAACAAGGAATTGTGATGCATGGGGCTTTTGACAATGGCATAATCAAATTCATTCATATTGTTCAATCTTTCACTGACAAATATTTTTACAGTGAAATATACCAAACAAAGAATCACATAGAACAACTATCAATACAGAGAAATTAGGAAAACCTTGTTATTATTTAAATAGTGAACTGATACCACGTTGTCATAATCTTGAATACAAACATTATACTGTAGTTAATTAGGGTAATTATTGTCTAGATTGTGCTTAATTGTCTTATGCTGAATAGGACGTATGAATGATGCTTTTTGAGCTTTCTATAATACCTAAGTGCCGCCAAACTATTTCTTTATAATTTAATAGGTTTTGATGGTATTTCCTATAAGTCCCAAAATACATCTGAATACAAGCTAAGAGATAAACATGAACCATAGGCCTTGACCTCTGTTTCACCTTATTGAAAAGGAGGCGTAAGAGAGTCATTTAGTATACCAGCGTCACAGAGCATTCCCGCACCCTGAGCACATTCCTTAAAGGAAAGGGAAAAGGAAAAAAAAAAAAAAAAACAGAGTCTTTGAAGTGAATGAAAAATTAGAAATTCAAGTGACCACGATCAATTCTGAAACACTGCACAAAATTAATTACAGTTTGGCATCAGAAGCAAGAATGTAGATTTCAGACAGTCGGTGTCATTTATCTCGAGCCGCACAATATACAAAGCGATTAAAAGCCAAATCTGTCCCCACCTCCCAAGTCTAAGGCCTCTCAGAGGCTGTGAAGTACAAATGATTAACTCCAAATTATGCGAGGGACTGGGCAGCCGCTTCAGCTTGAATGGAGTGTGTGGCAAGTCGCAGACGCTGGAGAAGGACAGATTTGCGGCTTTTTATCAAAATCCAGTCTGGCCAACCATTGACGGACTCCAGATAAATTACCCAGGGATCTGACAGTGGCTGCAGAAAGCTGGCTCGGCAAAATCCAAATCTCTAATTTCTATCTGTTTTTAATTGCTTGCCTTAAATTTGCATTTGGTTTAAAGGATTTATTCTATTCTATAGGCTACTCTGACCAAATTGCTTTCTATTTCACATAGAGTTGCAGGAACCTGTCTTAGGAGGCGGGGAAAGATGTGGCTTTTTAATCACTTTTAATATGCAAGTTCAGTGTCTTGAATACACCTAGGCTAGGGAGATCCCCTGCCCTCTCTAAATCCTGGGATTAGTCCAAGAAGCTATCAGTGCCCAGGTGCTACTCAGACGTCCTCGGCCTCTCCTACCCAGAAAAACCCCACAGAGAAACCCAGCCATACCCTCCTTCCTTCATCTGGGGCCCCATTCTCATTAGCCCCCGTTAGAAAAGGCAGGACATGCGTGTGTTCAAAATACATCTTATTCTGTTGTCAAAACTCACTCAGTATTAAAAAGGCTGACAGATTTTCCCTACACCAAGAAACCACACATGCAGTGTCACACACACACACACACACACACACACAAGCTGGGTGCCTGCTTCATTTAACCTTGCATTTGTAACCAGTTTATTAACACGAGGATTGCCAAGTGAAAAACTGTCATTTTAAGATTTGCAAATTGAGCCTCACCTCACAAACCCTTAGATTCTGAGCAATTGGCTTCGGGTTTCTGGGTGAAACCAGGGCTGCCCTCACCAGCTGTGATTGACTGAGCTGTACCTGACTTAACCCAGGTTCTCTCCCACCTGCCCCTACTGAATACTCTCCACCCTTTCACTGGGGATTTCTTAAACACAGCTGGAGATATCGCATTGCAGAAGCTTCCCTATGGCCCAGTGCTTCAGCTAAGCAAGTCTATTTATCCCATTGGTCTCAGACACAAATGGCTACTGATCCAGGGAGGTTGCACAGGACGGAGAAAGACTGAGCTTGAGGAAGGTCCATCTCCCATTTCCCTCCATTTCATGGAAACAGACATTTCTTCATTTCCTGCAGCAAAAAAACAACGTAAGCACAATAGAAACAGCAACTGGGCTGGGCGTAGTGGCTCATGCCTATAATCCCAGCACTTTGGGAGGCCAAAGCAGGTAGATCACTTGAGGTCAGGAGTTCGAGACCAGCCTGGCCAACATGGTGAAACCCTGTCTCTACTAAAATACAAAAATTAGCCAGGCATGGTGGTGGGTGCCTGTAACCCCAGCTACTAGGGAGGCTGAGGCAGAAGAATTGCTTGAACCCGGGAGGCAGAGGTTGCAGTGAGCTGAGATCAAACCACTGCACTCCAGCCTGGGCAACAGAGCAACACACTGTCTCAAAAAAAAAGAAGCAGCAACTGGCCCTCTGCCCAGTGTCAGAGACACTAGGGAGTGGTGGGGACTGTGGCTAACTTTAAACGCCTGATCCTTCTGAAGGAGGCAGCTGCGTTTCTACTCACATACATGTTACCGTAACGAAAAGAAGGTCCACGTTGCCAGATACTCTGAATTTTCAGCAAAATCTGGATTCTTTCCAAAAATTTAAATGTTGATTCACATTTTAAAGGCAAATAGAAGAACACTCTACTGGGCAAATATAAACACTTCTGATGGCCACATCCAATCCGGAGCCCCCAATTTATGACCTCAGGTCCTTATTTTTGGTGATTGTCATTGTCAAATGGCTGCAAAGAGACATCTCAGGATTCCAAAGGGCAGATTACCCCCTTCAACACTTATGATAGAAGCATGCCGTAACAGCGGTGCCTGAATTCCTCCTTGTCTTATGCTTACTGCCCCCAATGGCCTCATCTTGGAGTGACCCCTGGTGCCATAACCTTGAACAACTTAAGGGCTTTGGTCCAGCTCAGGGTCTATCTCCATGGCACTTTCAGTCTCTGGAAGCAGCCTTGACTCACTTTTTTTTTTAATCCTTGGACTTTTAGAGAAGTTACACAAATGCCTAAAAATTGTGAGTCCAGGATGTGCAGGCAAAGGCCAGGCATGGTGACTCACACCTGTAATCCCAGCACTTTGGGAGGCCAAAGTGGGTGGATCACCTGAGGTCAGGAGCTCGAGACCAGACTGGCCAACATGGTGAAACCCCATCTCTACTAAAAATACAAAAAATTAGCCAGGCATAGTGGCACATGCCTGTAATCCCAGCTACTCGGGAAGCTGAGGCAGGAGAAACACTTGAACCTGGGAGGTGGAGGTTGCAGTGAGCCAAGATCGCACGATTGCACTCCTGCTTGGGCAACAAAGGCGAAACCCAGTCTCAAAAAAAAAAAAAAAAAGATATGCAGGCAAGTTTGCTGGTCCCAGCCCACCCTGCTTTCTGCAGCTCCAGGCTGGATCATCTCCAGCTGAGTGCAAACATCAGCTTCCACCCACACAGTCCCCCTGCTCATGGGTCCTGGGCTGCATTTTTCTCCAGACCGACTTCCCACTGCTGTGATCAGCTCAGTGGCATCTATTAGAGAGAGAAAGATGTGCTCTGCTACTGTAGGGTACCCTCAAGCTGCATCCTGCCAATGCCCATCAGTAAGCCTTACAGAGCGAGGAGGAAAGAGAGAAGGCACTACGCTGGGGCCCCAACCAAATGCCTCCCCAAAGCAACCAATAACTCACCACTGATTACTAGCCAAGGAAACACTCAGCTCCCATACTGTGGCAGCTCCCTGTCTTGGCTCTCCTGACTGCAAATGCCATGACAGTGACCACTGCATCCCTTTATAGCACCCTGGGCTTGCACTGGATTATTTATGCTGAGGAAGTGTGGCCAGGTGGAGGGTGCAATGGATGTAAAATCAGAAGCGCGCAGAGGCTGTAGCACGTTCAGTAAGTCATAGGAACTCAGAGCTTCTGTTTAAGCATCTAGAAATAGAGTTTATATCACCCGCCTTACAGGTGCTAGATGAAGTTTTTTTCTTTTAGACAAGGTTTCACTCTAGAGTGCCATGGTATGATCATAGCTCATTGCAACCTCGAACTCCTGGACTGAAACAATCCTCCTGCCTCAGCTTCCCTAGTAGCTGGAACCACAGGTGCTCACTACCATAGTTGGCTAATTTATTTTTGTTTTTAGTAGAGACAGTGTCTTGCTTTGTTGCCCAGGCTGGTCTCTAACTCCTGGGCTCAAGCAATCCTCCTGTCAGCCTCCCAAAGTGCTAGGATTAAAGGTGTGAGCCACCGTGCCTGGCTGATGCTGGAAGAATTAAATTTGCAGTTTATATATGTCAAATCATCATGTAAACACTATGAATGAGTCTCTTTTTTCAGGGTTATGTGGCTGCTCTGTGCACAATGCACAGTGACTGGTGTCAGCCCTGCGTCTCAAAACTCCCACCCCACGGCAGCAACATCTTTTGAAATAAAATTGGTGGAATATTGTTTCTAGGAAACTCGGTTTATAATAGTTTCAAGATGCATTTATTCAACCATGGGAAAAACATAAGAAAATAAGAGTGCATGGTTCCTACCCTCAAGGAGCTTCCAATCTATTTGCAAGGCAGAGATGGTGGTGGAATAAAGTAGGTAGTTGTAGTGAGGTCCAGACATCTGAAAAGTTGAGTCCCACAGGCCAGGCCAAAGTCATAACCTGGTTTGTCTTCCCCAGCCCTGAGAAACAGTTTTCTGACTGCTCATACCAGAATCAAAACATACAGAATTTGAATCCCCCTGAAAATAAACACTCACCTTCCTAAAAACAGAGACTTGAGCAGGAGGTCTCTCTTGCTATCACATCCCAAGGTGTGGGGAAAAAATGCAGGTGGTTTTCCTGCCCTACAGTGAGTCCCCCACCAGGGTCAGGAAATGAGATGACATTTGAGAAAGGGTCTTATCAGCCGTCATCTTTATTCCAGCATTGTCTTCATCAAAAGTATTAAATTCAATAAGCTCAAAGTATTAGAGAGAAAACAGAAGGGTTGGCTTTGGGCATCTATGAAGCAGAAAGCTTCAGGTTTAGCAACTTAGGAAATTATCTTTGTAAAATATCAGAACTTTGAGGAGTTCAGGCAATATTTATCAATAGCATTTTTTCACTCTGCATTCGTGATTCGAGCTGCAAGACTCCACCATGTGAAGTTAGCAGAATGTCTGTCTTGCTGTTCTGAACACAAAATTGGAGTCACAGACATTCACATCGACACCTCGAAACTACCACTCCTGAGAGGCCAGGATGCCACAAATCAACCTGAATAACCAAATCCTCCGAGAGAGCAAAAAACAACCTTCCCCTGCCTCAGAAGAGACCAGCGCCCAGTTCACCCTCTTCAGAAATACCATTTGTACTTTTCAGAATCAGAATGTGACCTTACAATGAGGAAACAAAGGATCAGAGAGGTGAAACCACTTGCAGAAAGACTCACAGCAAGTTAGCGACCAACCTGAGACCAGGATGCCAATCTAGGGCTCCCTCTCTGCTCCTGCAAGGTAGGGGAACTCCTCTATTGACTCTTGAATATCTCCACGTTCATAGGGGGCTGTTGGAGACCTTGGAGAAGGACAAGTTCAGCTGTCCTCAGGCCTGAGAGCAGAACCTGCTCAATTGTCATTCCTGAGCTTCCCCCATGAGCTCACGCTACAGATGGGTGCACATCAGAACCGCACATCAGAGGCATGCAAAGTCATCCACTGAGGCTAGCAGGGGTAAACACATAAAAAATGTTCACAGGGCCTTCAGGAAGGCACGGATGAAACAAATCTCAAATTGCAGGAGAACTTTCCAAAGCATAACCATCCAAAGGATGTGGTGTGTACATGGCCATCTCAGAAAATTTCAACAGAAAAGGAGGTATCATTTAAATTAGAAGGGGGTACCCAAAGAAAATGTTCACAGGGCATGTTTCATTGACTCTGTACTTGGCAGTGGACCTTAGAGAGACTCTGACAATAACAATGCACATTGCATGGTTTTCATTTCAGATTAGCTATTGGATACCTCACAACCCAAAGCTTAGTCTTCTCAGAGAACCTCCATAGCCAACAGCAATGCATCATATTGTTAAATGAAAGCCAAATAAGTTTCATTAGAAAAGGCAATGAGGGAGCTGGGCACAGTGCTCCCACCTGTAATCCCAGCACTTTGGGAGGCCAAGGCAGGAAGATTGCTTGAGCCCAGGGGTT
Source organism: Homo sapiens (assembly GCF_000001405.40). Taxonomy (NCBI): domain Eukaryota; kingdom Metazoa; phylum Chordata; class Mammalia; order Primates; family Hominidae; genus Homo; species Homo sapiens. The sequence goes on from NC_000019.10 coordinate 32,177,354, forward strand.
CCAGGCCAGTCTGGGAAACAAAGTGAGGTCCTGTCTCTACAAAAAGAATTAAAAATTAGCCAGGCATGGTGGTGTGCACCTGTAGTCCTAGCTACTTGGGAGGATGGCTTGAGCCCAGGAGGTGGAGGCTGCAGTGACCTATGATTGAGCCACTGCACTCCAGCCTAGGCAAAGGAGCAAGATCCTGTCTCAAAAAAGAAGGAAAGGAAGGCAGGGAGGAAGGCAGGCAGGAAGGCAGGCAGGAGGGAGGGAGGAAGGGAGGAAAGGCAGGAAGGCAGGAAGGCAGGAAGGCAGGAAGGAAGGAAGGAAGGAAGGAAGGAAGGAAGGAAGGAAGGAAGGAAGGAAGGAAGGAAGGAAAATGATCTAAGGGTCACAGTGGGCCACCACTAATAATAAGTCAGGATTGTGAGGCAAGGTGGTACAGTGGAAAGAGGGAAGGCAAAAGTCCCTATTCTGCAACTAACACTAGACAAGCTTCTCCTTAGATCTCAATCCTCCCAGCCATAAAATGGGGGAGGAAATAATACCCCTTCTATCATTCTTAGAAGGTTGGTTTATAGGCTCAAAAGAAGGGATACAATGCACATGCATAAGGCTTTACTGCTGAGATGCTGGCCCTAGGGACTAGCAAATGTATGGACTTGACCCTCCCATGATGTGAGTCTTTTTTTAGTTGTTGGAGTCTCACTGTGTTGCCCAAGCTGGAATGCAGTGGCTACTCAGAGGCATACTCACAACTCACTGTGGCCTTCAACTCCTGGGTGCAAGCAATCCTCCCACCTCAGCCTCCCAAGTAGCTGGGACTACAGAAATGGACCACCACAGCCAACTAGTTTTTTTATGAATATTTTTTGTAGAGATGGGGTCTTGCTATGTTGCCCAGGCCGGTCTGGAACTGCTGGCCTCATGCAATCCTCCCGCCTCAGCCTCCTGAGTAACTGGGACCACTGGGACCACAGGCACATGCCACTGCATTCTGCTTAAAACAGTAACGACATGTATAACTGACTTCAATAATAACAACAGCTAATATTATTATTAAAGAGCTCACTCCAAGCCCACATGTGGAGAGAGAGAATTTCTGCAAGTCAGGGCAAATAAAGGGTTGGGTCAGAGGCCTCGCTGATGGCTGGAACGGAGGAAGGAGAGAGTTGGTGGGCGCTATCTTACCCATTTCTCTCTCCTACCCTGGAAGACGAAAGCCCTCATAGAGAAAAGCCAAGATGCCCCAGCTGACTGCCTGCCAGCCAATCCCAGACGTGCCAGGGAAGCCAACCTAGATCACCCAGCTGCCCATTAACCTGCCAGCTGAATGCACAGCAAGCCCAGCAGAAACCAGCCAAAGGGCCCAGACAGTAGCAGTGTCCAGCCAAACTCAGAGTGGTAGTTCCTTTAAGTCCCTAAGCCTTGAGCTGGTTTGTTATGCAGCAGTAGCTAAGACACCAATCAAACAACCTCCTTGTACAGATAACAAGACCAAGGCCCAGGAACATCTCCTGCTGTTCCCTCTGCAGCCTCAGCCTATCTGATCCATCCCTCTCTCTGCCTCCAGAGCGACAGTTCCAAATGCAAATTTCATCAAGTCTCTGCCCTCCCAGGACCCCTACGTGGCTCCCCAGGGTCCCACAGAACTGCTCAAACTCCTCCTCACCTGGCAGCCCCAGGCCAGCCTTCCACCCACACCTTTCCATATGGATTCTCTGGCACTCCCCAGAAGTTTGTCGTGGTGCTGCCCAAAAAGAGCAAAGTCCCCCAGAACACCAAGCCAGCTATCCCTGCTCTCAGCTGGCAGCACCTCTCCCTGGACCGGAATGCCAGTCCTCCGGCCACCCTTGCCCTGGCTCACGGCTTCTGAGTATCTTCCTGAGCATCCACTCTGCCCTGGAGCTCAGTCCCCTGAGATCTGGGGCTCTTACTCACCTTGGAGTAGTCCGCAGAGCTTGGCATGGGCCCTGGATTCCCTGGGCGCTGCTAAGTCTCCACCATGGCTGCTGCAGCCACTGCTGGTGAGGCATGGTCACCCCAGCCTCACCCCAGGGGGAGAGTTCAGGTCGCGTGATGAGACGGAAGGAGCACTGGGTTCAAGACATGCCCCTTCTACTTGCCACCATGTGACCAAGAGGCAGGTGATCTAAACGGCTCAGAGGCTTGGTTTCCTCATTTGCAAAATGAAGCTGATAATTCCTGCCCCATTCACAGGGACGCTGACTGTGAAAGCCAAAATTCACTGGAGACTCATCTGTGCCAGGTGACCTCTTAGTATGCCAGCCACCCCTTTCACTAAATGGCAGGAATGTCCGACCCTTGCATGGCATATCCACCCAAAGCCATTTCTGCCACTGTGCAACTTGTGTTATACCATAAACATTGTTCTCTCTCTCTCTCTCCCACTGGGAAAGGCCATCCCAGCATCTTTGAAGTCCCCACTGCACTGGGCAGGATATCTGGGGAAATCAGGGGTTCTGTCAAATTGGCCCATTTCACAGATTTCAGAAATCTTTAAAACCACACCTCTGGTCATAGGGAGTGTGTGTAGTGATCCTAAAAAATTTAAAAAAAAAAAAAAAAAAAAAGGTCTGGAAGCAGTGGCTCACACCTGTAATCCCAGCACTTTGGGAGGCCAAGGCAGGATGATCACTTGAGCCCAAGAGTTTGAGACCAGCCTGGGCAATGTAGCGAGACCCCATATATGAAAAATAAAAGAAAAAATTAGCTGGGCATGGTGATGTGTACCTATAATTCCAGTTTCTCTGGAGGCCAAGGCAGGAGGATCACTTGAACCCAGGAGGTTAAGGCTGAAGAGGGCTATGATAAAACCACTGCGTTCCAGCCTGGGCAACATAGCAAGACCCTATCTCTAAAAAATAATTGGTCGAGCATGGTGGCTCAAGCCTGTAATCCCAGCACTTTGGGAGGCCAGGGCAGGTGGATCACCTGAGGTCAGGAGTTCGAGACCAGCCTGGCCAACATGGCGAAAACCCTTCTCTACTACAAATACAAAAATTAGCCGGGCATGGTGATGCATGCCTGTAGTCCCAGCCACCCGGGAGGCTAAGGCAGGAGAATCGCTTGAACCTGGGAGGTGAAAGTCGCAGTGAGCCAAGATCGTGCCATTGCACTCCAGCTTCAGGGACCGAGCTAGACTCTGTCTGAAAATAATAATAATAATAAAAATAATTTTAAAACTACCTGGGCATGCTTGCATGCACCTATAGTCCTAGCTACCTCTTAGCTAGTCAGGAGGCTAAGGCACAAGGAATACTTGAGCCCAGGAGTTCAAGGCTGCAGTGAGCTATGATCACACCACTGTACTCCAGCCTGGGTGACACAGTAAGACCCTGTCTCTAAAAAATAAAAATAAAATTTAAAAGATGACCTGCGCTAGGCACAGCCTGCCAACCTGAGTGGCTCAGATGACAGCCCTCCCTAGGAAGTGAAGGTTGAAAGCAGAGGCCCCCAGACCCCACCTGCATGGCCTGTGTAGTCTCTACACCTAAGCTTCACTTCCTCACCTTCGACCACATGCTTGGTGAAATGGGAAATAGGAGAAGCTGCTTTATAAAAATAAAAATGAAAATGCAATTGTCTGACCAATAAAAAGCATTCCTGTATGTAATCCCAGTAATAGATTTTTTAATCCTCGGCTGACACACTGTTATGTGTTCACAGTTATTATCTGTCCACTTCCAAACCTTAAGAGGTTAGATTGTTTAAAGATTTGTTAGCTATGAACTGCTTAAAGAAGGCGAAGTATAAACTTCTAGCTAATTGAAAAATAGCATTTTATCAGATTTTCCTCTGATATTATATTGTAATGGTTGTACTTAGAGCACTCTCAATACTTCAATAAGTGGAGAAATTTAAAAAATAACATCTTCAGGGCTTTGCAGAAAATGTGGCTGTTACCAATTTATACTGCTTTTTTAACCATTATTTTCTTATATTTCCCACAATGCTTTGGATCAGAAGCAAACAGAAACTGAGTGATTACCCCAAAGTGTGCTAGATGAACTGGAAAAAGTCTATTCAAACAAAGCTCATTAGTTCTGATACCTCCAGGGCTATGACAAATTAAGCGGCTGGTGAGTGCGCTTGCACACAAAAGAATGGTGCCGAAAACTAGGGCTGAGCTAGGCGCTGTGTCAATAAATTCCCCTGAAAAAGGTAAAAATTACAATTGGAGTTAAAATGGAATCCCTTTAAGGAGCATGTACAAAATAGATCATCCCTTCTTTCTTAAGTACATTTGTGAACCCGCCCGTGATGAATTATTGCAGCCCGGGAAGTGGCCACTCAAGAGGGGTTGCTTGGCCAGGTGCACATCGGAGTCGTGGGCTGCTCCAGGCTTCCACCTCACTCCTCTGCAAAGACTTGGCCCTGCTGGGAGGAAAGTGTTTTAGAGCCCAACAAGCAGAGCGTACATGCTCAAAGACGGAAGTCCCGGTCTGCAGCTTTGCCTACTGGGCTCCAGGTGAGGGGCTGCGCTATTCCCAAAGCCAGGTGGGCAGCCTCCCAGCTTTGAAGTGCTCCATGACCTTGAGATCACCTTGTTTTCTCAGCCAAAGGAGGACTGTGCATTGTAACCATGGGATCTCTTTTTCCTGGTTTGGGAATCAGTGTCTATGAGGGTTCATAGAAAATTCTTAAAAGTAGTTGTGCTTTTAACAAATCTGTCGCCTAGAAGCTTAAATAAATATTACAGCATTGGATAATGTCTTTTAATAACGAATAAATATTATTATTAGACACTGGAGACTAGGAAAGGTAAGAGGGTGGGAAGGTGGGAGGCGGTGAGGGATGAGAAATTACCTGCTAGATACAAATGTTCACAATTCAGGTGATGGTTACACTAACAGCCCAGACTTCACCACTAGGCAATATATCCCTGCAACGTAACTGCACCTTCTAAATCTAAATCTTTGTTTCGTTTTCTTGTTTTTTGTTTTTTGTTTTTTGTTTTTTTGTTTTTTTGTTGTTTTTTTTTTGAGATGGAGTCTCGCTCTGTCACCCAGGCTGGAGTCCAGTGGCACGATCTCGGCTCACTGCAAGCTCCGCCTCCCAGGTTCACGCCATTCTCCTGCCTCAGCCTCCTGAGTAGCTGGGACTACAGGCACCCGCCACCACGCCCTGCTAATTTTTTGTATTTTTAGTAGAGATGGGGTTTCACCGTGTTAGCCAGGATGGTCTCGATCCCCTGACCTCATGATCCGCCCGCCTCAGCCTCCCAAAGTGCTGGGATTACAGGCATGAGCCGCCGCGCCAGGCCTCTAAATCTATTTTTTAACATTTTAAATGTTGAATTAATGAGCAAGGCTTTAGGGTAAGATCACAATATGAGGGAAGGAGGGTATCAGGACTGGATGCAGATTCTACAGATGGTCCTTGGGTTCTCTGGAAGACATGGTGGCCACACATGCCCACCAGACTAAGGCATCTGTGGGTGCCTCACAGTGCTCCGTGACCTCAATGGCAGAATTTCTGTGCCACAGAGAATCTTGACTTAACAATGATTCCCTGGCTATCCAAGTGGGGAAAACCCTCTGAGAGCACCCAGTCCCTAGAGGAACAAGGGCCAAATTGAACCCACAGAATTTTTGCCCCATACAGTGTTGTTTTTCCTCTTTAATGGAAATATTTGCCACTTAGAAATCAGAAATTTCCCACAAATGTTCAGATTCCCAGCTCCTTTGGGAACTTGAAAGATGTAGCCAAAATGGACCCATATTGCCACACAGCAGAAATGTCCAGGCAGCATCGCAGATGCCCCATTTAACAAACACACACACTCCAGCCTCGGGGGGCCACTCCCAGCCCACAGCACACAGGTATTCTAACATCCTGGCCCCTGAAGGTATCTGAGTTCACAGCCTCTGATCTGGTCAATCATCAGTCTAGTAGACATGGAGAAAATAAGACCCAGAAAGCAGGGGTAGCTTGCAGGGGCTACAGTGGGAGCACAGCTTCAGGACTAGACTTCAAGTCTTGGCATCCCCAGTGCCATGTTCACTGAAGCTCTCCACCATCCTAGCCCCAGTGGAGTGAATTCCTCTCTCGTTTGTGTCTACTTCTCTGCCATGTTCAGATTTCTCTCAATCCCCCTATCTGGCCATTCACCCATCCAGGTGAGGTACCAGACTTTGGGCTAGACTCTGTCATGTAATCATCTGCTTAGAGTCCATCTCCACCACTGTCTATGAGCAATTTGAGGATGGGAGGGATGTGGTAATGATCTCTATCTGCAGTGCCTAGCACACAGTAGGTCTAGCAAAATCCTGCCTCCTTTTCATCAAGCAATCTCATGGCATCCTTCAGACTCTGCATCCTGAATCTTGATGGCCATATACAATAACTAAGCCCAAGACCACCATGACCACCAGTCTCTTCTTCAACACGTGACCAATCAGCCATCTCAGACCACACATTTCTGACACAGGCCTCTATATTCTGGCCTTCCTTAGGTCCGCTGAGGTCACTGAGAACACCTGGTGGCCCCAGAAGGTTCATTCCCTCCAGGTAGGTAGGGAAAGGACATTCTTTGTGGACCCTTCTGCTTTATGTTTATATTTTATTTTATTTATTTTATTTTATTTTTTGAGATGGAGTCTCACTCTGTCGCCAGGCTGGAGTGCAGTGGCACGATCTTGGCTCACTGCAACCTCCAACTCCCTGGTTCATGCATTTCTCCTGCCTCAGCCTCCCGAGCAGCTGGGATTACAGGCATGTGCCAACACGCCCAGCTAATTTTTGTATTTTTAGTAGAGACATGGGTTCACCATGTTGGCCAGGATGGTCTCGATCTCCTGACCTCGTGATCCGCCTGTCTCGGCCTCCCAAAGTTCTGGGATTACAGGCGTGAGCCACCACTTTATGTTTATTTTTACTTACATTTCCGGAACCAGTGACATGGAGGGACAATTCTTCCCACGTTGATGCATGCTGTCGCCTAAACATGAACTGTTTTTGCAATCCCGCCTCAGGGAGTCATAGCTGTTGCATGGAGGCATGCGATTCCAAGGTCCAAGGACCACAGGGGAGGCGAGGGTCAGGGGCTGCAAAGCCCATGAAGGAAAACAGCAGGTCCGGACCTCTGTGCTCCCCCAAAGCCCAACCGCCTTTCACTGCGCAGGTAGCTCCAGGCATGGCATCCGCTGCTGTAGAGAAGTTACAAACAAGAGCACAAAGGCATCAAGTTTTTTACTTTTGTCTTTCTTCCTTTTTTTTTTTTTTTCAACAGAGTCTCACTGTCTTGCCCAGACTGGATTGCAGTGGTGCAATCATGGCTCACTGCAGCCTCAGCCTCCCAGGCTCAAGCGAACCTCCCGCCTCAGCCTCTGGGACTACAGGCACACGCCACCACACTCAGCTCATTTTTTTATTTTTTATAAAGATGAGGTCTCACTATGTTGCCCGGGGTTGGCCTCAAACTCCTGGCCTCAAAGAATCCTCCCACCTTGGCCTCCCGAAATGCTAGGATTACAGGTGTGAGCCACCACACCCAGCCATCTTTCAAAAGTTGAGAAGCGGGTGGGAAAACATTAGGAGTCACATACAACCCAGGTGCTCCCATCACTCAATCAATACTGATTGATCAAAGGGGAGAACAGTACAAAGTGTGAGGCTGGTAGGGCTGTCTGAGGACACCTGGGTCCCATCCCCCAACTTAGCAGGATCCAACATTATATTAGTTCATTTTCATGCTGCTGATAATGACATACCCGAGACTGCATAATTTATAAAGAAAAAGAGGTTTATAGACTCACAGTTTCATGTGGCTGGGGAGGCCTCACAATCATGGCAGAAGGCAAAAAGGTATGTCTTACATGGTGGCAGGCAAGAAAGAGATTGTGCAGGGAAATTCCCCTTTGTAAAGCCATCAGATCTTGTGAGACTTATCCACTATCACGAGAACAGTATAAGGGAAACCACCTCCATGATTCAATTATCTCCCACTGGGTCCCTCCCACAACACTTGGGAATTATGGGAGCTAAAATTCAAGTTGAGATTTGGGTGGGGACACAGCCAGACCATATCTAACATCCTGCGGAACTCCCTGCACCACTAGGCTGGGAGGGAAAGGACATGTTTGATCACGTGGGGAACAGGTAGGTCTGAATCAGCCCCTCTCAGTTACCCCATGCTCCAGAGCTGTCCAGGAAAACAACCAACCTTTCCCCTACACCTGGGAAGAAGGTGCAATTGGATGGGAGAGAAAGCATATGGAGCTGGGGCGCCAGGCTTCAAGATGCGGGCCAGGCTCATCTTGTATATTTATTGCAGCACTATTTACAATAGCAAAGACTTGGAACCAACCCAAATGCCCATCAGTGATAGACTGGATAAAGAAAATGTGGCACATATACACCATGGAATACTATGCAGCCATAAAAAAGAATGAGTTCATGTCCTTTGCAGGGACATGCATGAAGCTGGAAACCATAATTCTCAGCAAACTAACACAGGAACAGAAAACCAAACACTGCATGTTCTCACTCATAAGTGGGAGCTGAATAATGAGAACACATGGACACAGGGAGAGAAGCAACACACACTGAGGCCTGTCAGGGGTTGGGGGACAAGGGGAGGGAGAGCATTAGGACAAATACCTAATGCATGTGGGGCTTAAAACCTAGATGACAGGTTGATAGGTACAGCAAACCACCATGGCACATGTATACCTATGTAACCTGCACATTCTGCACATATATCCAAGAACTTGAAGTAAAATTAAAAAAAAAAAAAAGATGAGGGCCAGGCAGGGGCAGACATGTCATGGATGTGGGAAGTCATAGGCAGCAGCACTGAAGGACCCCTGGCTGGCCCTAGTGCCTGTGCACAAGCCACGCCCTCCATCCCACGGAGAAGAGGGGTGGGGAATCCTCACCTCAACTGAGGAACCTCCAATTAACTGTGTTTCCCCAGAACGGATTAGATTGAGCCTCTACCACTGAGCACACAGGGGTTTGAAACAGAGACTCATCTGATTTACAGAAGCATAAAGAAAGTTGCAGTATTTCCGCACCTGGTACCTCTGACTTTGTCACCGCCACACAGTATGCTGGAAAGCAGCTTCCCCAGGAGTATCCCCCCTCCCCTGCTCAACCCTGGGGGGTTTAGAGGAAGAAGGAGAACAGGTCCAGCTGCTGCCTAAAAATTCCTGGGCATACAGAGGTCAGTGTAGGGGGAAGAGGGCATCCTGAGGGCAGGGCGGCAGTGGGGCAACTGAAAGGCTGTTTTCTGGTTTGTCCACAGGCAGGGAGTAGGAAGATCCTAGTGGCAGAAGCCTGCTGGCATCAACAGCCTGGCAGGGGCTCTCTGAAGCCTAGCCCACCCTTAGTCAGAAGCGCAGGAATGGCTGTGATGGGACTGAAGCATTCATGATGGCCCCAGGCCAGAGACATCCCGGAGCTGAGCTCCCCAGGGCTACTCCAGGCCTGGGCCAGGTAAGCAGATGAGTAGACTCAGGGGTCAGCAGGCACACAGCAAAACAGGGGTCCCTCTCCTCTATTGCACAGTGCTTCCTCCTCTCCACCCCCAATGCCCCTCAAGCCCTTGCCATCTCAATTCTCCTTCTCGTTGGATTCTGGGGTCCTTCTCCTCTACTTCCCCCTTACCCCTTCTCCTGACAATCCCTTCTCATGCCTCCTAAATGTAGAATTTCCTGAGGTTCTGAGCTCACCTGTCCTCTCTCTCATGTCTCTTCCCAGTGACCTTGTGCTCACACCTCCAGGGAAGTGACCTCCACGTGTCCAGTTCCCACCCCAGCCCCTATCCCAGGCTCAGCTTCCCACTCAGGGGCCCACTCACACTCTGATGCAGTCTCAGTGTCTCCAATCTATTCCCAAGAACAACTCATCTCTGTCATGGTCCCCCCACTGCCCCAAGGAGGTAAGGCCAGGAGGGAAGGCACCTGCGTTGGGGTGTTGGGGAGTGTGTTGTGGTTGGGGTGTTGGGGAGTGAGCCTTCTCCACACATCCTGCCGTGGTGTTTTCACAATCTTTTGCTAATGTTTCATTCATATATATATATACATATATATATATACACACACACACACATATATATATATATACACACACATATGTATATATACATATATATATATATATTTTTTTTTTTTTTTTGGGAGACAGAGTCTCACTCTGTCACCCAGGCTGAAGTGCAGTGGTGCGATATCGGCTCACTGCAAGCTCCGCCTCCCGGGTTCACGTCATTCTCCTGCCTCAGCCTCCTGAGTAGCTGAGACTACAGGCGTCCGCCACTACGCCCTGTTAATTTTTTGTATTTTTAGTAGAGACGGGGTTTCACCATGTTAGCCAGGATGGTCTTGATCTCCTGATCTCATGATCCACCTGCCTCAGCCTCCCAAAGTGCTGGGATTACAGGCATGAGCCGCCGTGCCTGGCATTTTTTTTTTTTTTTGAGATGGAGTCTCACTCTGTCACCCAGGCTGGAGTGCAGTGGCATGATCTTGGCTCCCTGCAACCTCTGTCTCCCAGGTTCAAGTGATCCTCATTCCTCAGCCTCCAGAGTAACCAGGATTACAGGCACCTGCCACCACGCCCAGCTAATTTTTTGTATTTTTAGTAGAGATGGGGTTTTACCATGTTGGCCAGGCTAGCCTCGAACTCCTGACCTCAGGTGATCCACCCACCTCAGCCTCCCAAAGTGCTGGGATTACAGGCATGAGCCACCACGCCTGGCGTTTCTTCAGTATATTATCACCATGCCAACATGGTACCCTTAAAAAGGGGCCCTACCATTGCAAACAGGGGTCTCTGTTGGAGGGTGTGCTTAGGAGAACGTCGCTCCCTCCCGGTGTGCCTCTCTGTCACCTGCCACATCCTACTCATCCTTCTTGCATCTGCTTTAGGCCCCTCCTTCAGAGGAGCCTGCCCTGACCACTGAGACCAGGTCAGTCTCTCTGCTATGTGCTCTCTTTCCTCAAAATATTTATCATAATTCAATTAACGATCTGTGCGATAATTAATCTAATGTATTCCTTCTCTCCTGCTGGATTGCAGGTTTCATAGCAGAAGCGATAGGAGGCTCTCTTACTAGCATGGTGCTTGTACACAGTAGGCACTCAACAAATGCTTGAAATGAGAGGGCACATTTCTTCATTTTTAATAGATGCTTGGTGGGAACTAGCCACATGTGATTGGAATTTTTATTATACACCATTGTGATAAATTTGTACCCAAATTACCTATTCAGTAATCTAACAGGGTAAACATATAGTCCCTACAGCTTCTAGAAAGATGCCTGTGCCCCTCACCAAGGAAAACAGTTAAGCCGTCCCCCTGCTCAACCCCCACCCCCAAAGAAGAGCCCACCAAAGGCCAAGCCTCCTAATCGAATTTAGCTCTTGTACCCATAATCCCAGCACTTTGAGAGGTGGAGGAGGTAGGAGTTCAAGACCAACCTGGGCAATATAGCAAGACGCCACCTCTATGAAGAAAATTTAAAAAAAATTAGCTGGGCGCAGTGGAGCACATCTGTAGTCCCAGCTACTCAGGAGGCTGAGGTGGGAGAATCTTGTGAGCCCAAGAGTTGAAGGCTGCAGTGAGCTGTGATCACATCACTGCACTCCAGCCTGGGTGAGATATAGTAAGATAATGTTGAAAGGTAGAGGGAGGGGGGAGAGAGAGAGAGGGGAGGAAGGACAAACACTAGTAAATAGAGAGAGAGAAAAGAGAAGGAAGGAAAGAAAGAAGGAGGGAAGGAAGGAAGGAAGGAAAGGGAAGGAAGGGGAAGTGAAGGGAAGGGAAGGAAGGAAGGAAGGAAGGAAGGAAGAAGGAAGAAGGAAGGAAGGAAGGACAAACACTAGTAAATAGTCCAGAACCGTTGCCCCTGAGCTTCAAGATACCTGAGTGCTTGAAATATAGCAAATCCACTCTACTGCCCATCACTGGTAAAATGCGGAGAATGACCCAGCTGGCCCCAGAGAGCCCCACATGGCTGGCACTGAGCACTTCCTAATAAGCCTGTCCTTCTGATCAGCTCCTTCCCTGCACATCCACCCATCGACATGACAGTATCTTGGAAATGTGGAGAGTTTTTTCATGGCACAAGTAATAGATGCTTATTCTTGAGAAATGTGTACATATGGATAAGCAAAATGAAACCACCCACAATTTCACCTTTCACCTAAAACACCATGACTGTTGGCATTTTGGTGGACTCCCTTCCCACTTTCCTATCTGTAGCCTCTCAATTGGCTCCTTCTCAATAAGCTCTACATTTTGAGGTGCAGGGGGTTCATCTCTTCTCTAGCTGCACTCATGCCCTTGGCACCTGCCCGATCCCCTTGCTTCAGCTATTAGCTCCCTGTTGCCAGTTCCCAGGTCTACATCTCAGCCCAGCCTCCCTCCCTAATTCCAGGCTCTAAGCTCCCAGTCATCGCCACCTGGATGCCTACTCCATGTCTCAAACTCAGTATGTCCAAAAATGTTCCTCCAAAGCTGCATAAAATAAAAAGTCCAGGATAAACAAAACAGCAAAATTTTAAATCAAGACAAGACCCAGCCCTGCACTGGCACGTCACTCTCTTCATTTTAATCCCCACCCTTTTGGATTCTGTCTTTATTTAGAATGTTGATATTTTGTTCATCAAGAGTTTTTGCATTAATTTTCACTTTTTAAAATATTGCATTAAAATATGATTCAGCTTTATGGCTGAGTTTTCTGGCACACCTTTAAATGGTGCACCTGAAGTGAGTGTCTCACTCCCCAACTTCTAATCCCAAACTCGCCCCCCCACTTCTTGGCCACCACTGTACAACCAACAGCCCAGGCACACACCTAGTGTCTCTGGCATCTCAAGTCACTTCTAGACTTACAGGAAGCACCTCATCTCTGAGTATGGAGCCGATGTTCTGAGAAGCTGCCAAAAGTGATACCCAGAAGATGCAATGCAAAAATGTGGGGAAGGTACTCCCCACAGAGTGAACTGTGACCAGGGGGAAAGGAGAAAAGGGAAGGAGCCAGGCACACTAATTTCTCTTCCCTGTCACCCACCGACTACTTAGAGACAGAGTTTCTGCACACACCCGATCTGGAGAAGATGGAGACGCCAAGCAGAGGCACCTGCTAAGCCACCTGCTGTGTCTCTCCCCAGCCAGCATGGGGCAGGACCATACACATTTCTTCCCATCCCTCTATGCTTCATGCCTCCTCTCTCTTTCCCCCTTCTCTCTCTCTCTCTCTGTCTCTCTCTCTCTCTCTCTCTCTCTCTCTCTGCCTGCAGTTTGCACCTCCCAAATGAAGCATCAGCCCTTTAATCCTTGCCTCAAGCTCTGTTTTCCAGAGAGCCTGAGCTATGGCAGGTCTGCTTCTGGATTTTTTGTGTTTCGTCATCTTGATCTATTTTGTGCCTTTAAAATGCATTTTCATATCTAATACAAATTCTTCATCATTCTTCCCCGCCCCCCCCAAATTCCCTTGCCTATTATTACTCATTTAATCATCCAAATGAACTTTCCTACAGTTAAATTCTGGGAGAAAGAAATCGCTTTCTATTTTTCAAGTCATCTTCGCATTTATTATCTTTTTTCCATGCAACACAAATACTTCTTAACAGTTTGGATGTTAGATCGGCCCTGGGCTCTATGTGACCCCAAGGGAATTGCAATGTAGCTGGGGAATTAAAGAGAATAGTAAATAACCTTGATTTAAGCCGTCAGGGTAGGTGTCCCTATTCCCAGTTGGTATAGAACTACACAGCTGGGAGAGGCTGAGTTGAGATTAGAGTCCTGGTCTCTGTGATCCCCAAAGCCCATCCTCTGTCCATTCACCAGCCTGGAACACTGAAGACCACAAAGATCATGAGCACTGGATGAACTCAGATGAAGGAGAACTCGTGGGTGGTGGGGGCAAGGTAGAGGGTGACATGCCAGAGAGGTCTTCAGGAAGCTTTTTTTTTTTTTTCTTTGAGATGGAGTCTCACTCTGTTGCCCAGACTGGAGTGCAGTAGTGTGATCTTGGCTCACTGCAACCTCTGCCTCCCAGGTTCAAGTGATTCTCCTCCCTCAGCCTCCTGAGTAGCTGGGATTATAGTCATGCACCACCACGCCTGGCTAATTTTTTGTATATTTAGTAGAGACGGGGTTTCACCATGTTGGCCAGGCTGGTCTTGAACTCCTGACCTCAGGTAAACCACCCGACTTGGCCTCCCAAAGTGCTGGGATTATAGGCGAGAGCCACCACGCCTGGCCAATCTTCAGGAAGCTTTAAGCTTCTAGCTAGGATTTAAGGAAATGAAGAAAGAGAATATTACTCCAAGGAGAGAGAACAATACCTGTGAAAGATCCCAGAAGCAATTGGAATTGGAGTCCAAGAAGAACCCTAAAGCAGCCAGACCCCACAGGGCAGGGAGAGCACACGGCAGTGGGCTGGGGTCACCTGTGGCTTCCTCGTGCCTGTGCAATGCTCACTGGTGTACCTGAGAACTTTCCTCTTGACAGCGTAAGAGGCCTCAACCTGTCCCACAAACTTAGCTTGGCAGCCTGTGTTTCCTGGCCAAAGGCATCCAAGGAGATGACCCAAGACCAGGACAGTGATGCCCCACCCTTGTTTTCTAGGATTTTAAAAATTGTCTTCAAATGTTCAATTGTTCTTGAAATTCTCAAAAGAAAATTTGGCTTGGAAGTAATGGTAGTGGTCTTTGTGCTTCTTAAAGATTCTTCAACCAAAGTCAGGCACAGTGGCTCAGCGCTTTGGGAGGCCAAGGCAGGAGGATCACTTGAGGCCAGGATTTCAAGACAAGCCTGGGCAACATAGCAAGACCCCAAAATTTTTTAAAAATTAGCTGGGTGTGGTGGCTCATGCTTGCAGTCTCAGCTACTTGGGAGGCTAAGGCAAGAGGATCACTTGAGCCCAGGAGGTCGAGGCTGCAGTGAGCTGACTGCACCGTTGTGCTCCAGCCTAAGTGACAGAGTGAGACCCCATCTTAAATAAATAAATAAATAAATAATATTGTTTTTCTGGAAAACTGCTCTTTCAGCTTTTTCTTTTTTTATTTTTTTTTTATTATTATACTTTAAGTTTTAGGGTACATGTGCACAATGTGCAGGTTAGTTACATATGTATACATGTGCCATGCTGGTGCGCTGCACCCACTAACTCATCATCTAGCATTAGGTATATCTCCCAATGCTATCCCTCCCCCCTCCCCCCTCCCCACAACAGGCCCCAGTGTGTGATGTTCCCCTCCCTGGGTCCATGTGTTCTCATTGTTCAACTCCCACTTATGAGTGAGAACATGTGGTGTTTGGTTTTCTGTTCCTGTGTTAGTTTGCTGAGGATGATGGCTTCCAGCTTCATCCACATCCCTGCAAAGAACATGATCTCATTCTTTATGTCTGTGTAGTATTCCATGGTGAATATGTACCACATTTTCTTTATCCAGTCTATCATTGATGGGCATTTGGGTTGGTTCCATGTCTTTGCTAGTGTATATAGTGCTGCAATAAACATATGTGTGCATGTGTCTTTATAGCAGAATGATTTATATTCCTTTGGATATATACCCAGTAATGGGATTGCTGGGTCAAATGGTATTTCTGGTTCTAGATCCTTGAGGAATCACCACACTGTCTTCCACAATGGTTGAACTAATTTACATTCCACGAACAGTGTAAAAGCATTCCTATTTCTCCACAGTCTCGCCAGCATCTGTTGTTTCTTGACTTTTTAATAAACGTCATTCTGACTGGTGTAAGATGGTATCTCATTGTGGTTTTTATTCGCATTTCTCTAATGATCAGTGATGATGAGCTTTTTTTATATGTTTGCTGGCTGCATTAATGTCTTCTACCTGACTTGAAACTATACTACAAGGCCACAGTAACCAAAACAGCATGGTACTAGTACCAAACAGACATACAGACCAATGGAATAGAACAGAACCGTCACGAGTAACACCACAGTTCTAGAATCATCTGATCTTCAAAAAACCGGACAAAAACAAGCAGTGGGGAAAGGATTCTGCATTTAATAAATGCTGCTGGGAAAACTGGCTAGCCATATGCAAAAAACTGAAACTGGACCCCTTCTTTACACCTTATACAAAGATTAACTCAAGATGGATTAAAGACTTAAATGTAAAACCCAAAGCCATAAAAATTCTAAAAGAAAACCTAGGCAATACCATTCAAGACATAAGCATGGGCAAAGACTTCATGATGAAAACACCAAAAGCAATAGCAACAAAAGCCAAAATTGACAAATGGGATCTAATTAAGCTAAAGAGCTTCTGCACAGCAAAAGAAAGTAGCATGAGAGTGAACAGGCAACCTACAGAATGGGAGAAAAATTTTGCCATCTACCCGTCTGACAAAGGTCTAATACCAAGAATCTACAAGTAACTTAAACAAATTTACAAGAAAAAAACAAACAACCCCATCAAAAAGTGGGCAAAAGATATGGTTAGGGCCTTATTCTAATGCAATGGAAAGCTGCCATGGAAGGGTTTTAGGCAGGGTAGTGGCCGGACCAGATTTCTGTTTAAAAAATCACTCTGGGTGCTTTGTTGCAAACATTCTGCAGTGGAATCAGGGAGATGCACAAGGAGGCTGATGGAGCAGTTCAGGTGAGAGATTACAGCAGCTTGGACCAGGGGGCAGTGGAGGTGGAGACACCGACTGAGTTAGCATCTGTTTTGGAGGCAGAGTCAACACAGTTACAGGTTCAGAAGTTAAGGGAAGGAAAGAAAATTAAGAATGACTCCTGGTTCAACCAGTACCTTCTGTGTGCAATACCCTAAATGCCCTGCCCATAGTCACCCAACACACCTAATGCGCTGGTGGCACTACTGGCCTCTGGGCTCTGGGGTTGCTATGAACTGAATTCTCCCCCTCCTAAAATTCATATGTTGAAGCCCTAACTTCCAATGTGACTGTCTTTGGAGATAGTGTCTTCAGGAGGTGTATTAGTCCATTCTCATGCTACTAATAAAGATATACCTAGGATTGAGTAATTTATAAAGGGAAGAGGTTTAATTGACTCATAGCTCAGCATGGCTGGGGAGGCCTCGGAAAATTTATAATCATGGCAGAAGGGGAAGTAAACATGTCCTTCTTCACATGGCAGCAGCAAGAAGTGTAGAGCAAAAGAGGGGAAGCCCCTTATAAAACCATGCTCTTCACAAGAACAGCATGGAAGTAAACGCCCTCATGATTCAATTACCTCCCACAGGGTCCCTCCGCAACATGTGGTGATTATGTGAACTGCAATTCACTATGAGATTTGGGTGGGGACACAGCCAAACCATATCAGGAGGTAATTAAGGCTCAATGAAGCCAAAAGAGTGAGGTCCTAATCCCATAGGATAGAAGGGAGGGGGGTCACCAGAACCCCACCATGTTGGCTCCCTGATCTTGGACTTCTGATCTTGGACAGTTCTGAGGCTTGGACTTCCAGGCTCAGAACTGTGAATTTCTGCTGTTCTGTTGTTCAAGTGGTGCAGTCTATAGTATTTTGTTATGGTAGCTGACTAAGATGGGGTCCTACTGCCGTGTTGAGGTTTGCCCTCCCCTTCCATCTTCCATAGCATGGAGTGTTGGGGGCCAAGGAGAGGCTAATTTTAATAGAATGGAAGTCCCCCAGAAGCCAACAGCCCTGGCCTATACTCTCCACCTTGCAGAGGGGACCCTCTCACCCCTCCTGGTTCTATTGCCAGCTGGCCCATGTGTCTACTTATAAGCCCCATCACTTATGCTTACAAAGCATCCAATGTTCCCAGGAGTATCTTCACTACCCATCGAAAAAAGAAAAAGAAAAAACTCCTATGCCAAAGAACCTGGAAGAAGGTATTAGTGGTATGAAATATTCTGGATTAAGACAGTAACTCTTGCAACTTTGAGTCATCCTATAACCTGACCCTGCACACTGTGCAGGTGGTTGGAATACTGCTTTGTTGTTGATAAGGCAATCCATAAACTTGTGTGTCCACATGCATAAGACACATGAGTAAAAGACAAAAGCCAAAACAACCATGTAGGAGAGTACCTCTGCCTCAGTCTTTTTTCTTTTTTTTTTTTTTTTTTTGAGACAAAGTCTCGCTCTGTTGCCAAGCTGGAGTGCAATGGCATGATCTTGGCTCACTGCAACCTCCACCTCCTGGGTTCAAGCAATTCTCCTGCCTCAGCCTCCTAAGTAGCTGGGATTACAGGTGCCCGCCGCCACACCCAGCTAATTTTTGTATTTTTAGTAGAGATGGGGTTTTACCATGTTGGTCAGGATGGTCTCAATCTCTTGACCTCATGATCCACCCACCTCAGCCTCTCAAAGTGCTGGGATTACAGGCATCAGCCACTGCACCTGACCCTCTGCCTCAGTCTTTAGACTTGAAAAGGTGGTCTCACATCACTGGCCAAGCTAACTCAGGCCAGTTCACCATCCTGGTGCAAGATCCAAAAACTTCCTCAGTGTTTTATTGTCCAGGTTTCGGCACGATGCAAGGCTTTGCTGTATCTCGCTACCTGGGTCTAGCTTTGTCCCAGCTGGGGATGTGGGGATGCTGCAGGATGTCTAATGCAGGAGTGTTGGCACCCTGTCCCCAGGAGGGGACCCCACTTTTGTCCCCTTCTCCTCCGTGTCCTTGCCAGCTCCTAAGAGCAAGGACCACAGTTGACTCAGACATGGCCTTGACTGACTCAGACAGACAGCAAAAACGAAACATGAGCTAAAGGCAAGAACACAGCCCTGGGACCCAAATAAAGACACAATTAGCAAGAGGAATACAAGACCTCGTAGAGGGAATACCTTGTGTGCCGGGGCTTGAAGATCAAGGTGGATTTCTACAGGCAGAAAATTAACCTGTGTCCCTTTTCTTTGGGTCTGCCTGGTGAATGGAGGCTGTGGTCACTTGAACCCATCACCTTTTCAGTATTTGCCAACATGCATGAGCTGAGAGCCATCCACTCCAGGATCTCCCGTGATGAGTCTGCCCAAAGTCCTGGGCTTCCCTCTCCACGTGTGCAACTGCTGTAAGCCGCTCTGCTACTTGAAGAGCCGGGTCTCTCTCCTGACCAGCAGACCCCTCAGCAGCTGTGCACCATCACAGCACCAGCCCCCTCCCCATTGTCACTGCCAAGCTCTCCCTGAGGGCTTGCCTGGAGCCACACTGCACCTCTCAACCCTAGGTACCTGATGTCCAAGCAGGCAACTGTAAGGGAACACTGCAAAGAGAGAGAAAGTGGAGACTCCAGTCTGTCCCCGACGCTGCCCAAGGGAAGGGACATCTGGAGACTGGCACAGGGACATCTGGAGACTGACACAGACTGGCCCCTGCACAGAGCGCCCTGAGCCCTACAGCTTCAGAGCCTCAGCATGATTCTACGAAGCAGATGCATTTTCATATTCATTTTACCAGGAGAAAACCATGGTTCAGAGAGTCAGCATAAATCCCCAAAGAGGCCACACAGCCATAACACGTCCAAGTTGATGTTTGGCTCCAAGCTCCTCATGGTTTTCAGGCACCCAGTGAGGAATGTACACCCTGACATTCACTCATGCATGTGCACCGAGCACCCGCGTCAGCTAGTGGGGCTGCACGGAGGGCTGTGCCCTGTCGCGCTCCATCCTGCTCTCGCCCTCAGAAGCTAGGGTGAACCAAGAGTGCGACTGTGATTGGAAGAAGCATTTGGGCATGACTACTGCTACAATGATATTACACACACCTATGTAGGACGACGTCACAGTGTCACCTGTGCTGGGGAAGCATAGGGAACACACTGTGTGTTCATCACAGTCACAGGGTGGCTGCCTCTTCTGTGCACTTTCTCCTCGAACCCAGACCATCTCCCACCCTCATCACAGATTTCAGACCCTGACCACCCCTCTGGCCCCAGGTAGGGTGATCAACCACCCAGCTTGCCCAGGACTAAGGGGGTTCCCAGGATACAAGCTTTCAGTGTTAAAACCCAGAAAGCCCTGGCAAACCAGGACAAGTTTGACAATGCTAAAGGCACCATATTGGAGAAGCCCACAGTCCTAGCCCAGGGGCCTCATCCAGGACAGAATAAGAGTTGCCTCACCCTGCAGATCTCCACTTCTGCCTGCAGCTTACCAGCAATGGCCAATGCCTCATCCTTAGGGCCAAGCATGCTCTACTGAGCTACTTTTCAGCTTCATGGGATTTCTCAGCCTCCCCCACAAGCCTTTCCTTTTTGGTTTTTGGGGCTTTTTTTGCTTTTTGGTTTTGGGGGTTTGTTGGGTTTTTGTTTTGTCTTTTGTTTTTTTGGTTTTTTGGTTTTTTGGTGTTTTTTTTCCTTGAGACAGGGTCTCACTCTGTTACCCAGGCTGGAGTGCAGTGGCACAATTGTAGCTCACTGCAGCCTCGAACTCCTGGGCTCAGGAAATCCTCCCACCTTGGCCCCTCGAGTAGCTGAGACTACAGGAGTACACTACCATAATCGGCTAATTTCTTAGCTTTTTATAGGGATGGGGTCTCGCTATGTTGCCCAGGCTGGTCTTGAACTCCTAGGCTCAAACAATCCTTCCACTTTGGCCTCCCAAAGTGCTGGAATTACAGGCATGAGCCACGGCATCTGGCCCACCCTTTATTTAATTCAATTCAAACACTCAATCGGCTACTGGATGACCAGTTAATAAAGTAGATCCAAATGTTAGGTTGTTCCCTTAATCTGACACTGTGGCAGCTAGTCCCCAGGTTCTTGCATTCACCATTTTTCTATTAATAAGAAAACTTTTTCTCTGCCTGGCAAGAATGCGAAAGCAAGTTAAAACCTGCTAGGAAACAGAGGCCCACCCATAGGATGGCACGAGAGACCAAGTGAGTTCTAAGAGATGTATTCTTATCCGAGAGCCCAAAGACAAGAAGCAGACACAGCCACAAGCTCCCAGGTACCCAGCATCCTTGACTTTGCATTTTGACTCACAGACCTACGAACGTCCAAGACAAAGCAGGAGGGTGGATCCCACAGGGCATAGGTTCTGCTCAGGGTGACCATAGCAGCTGGCTCAGCTGCCCTCCCTCAGCGGGGGTCTCAGGAAACACTCTTGCCCTACCAGCCTCCTCCCAGAGAAGCCACGGCTGTCTCTGCCCTTGCAGCCACTGCCAGCCAGGAAGACAAGTTCTGGGCAGAGAGTGAGCTGGACCCTAGGGAAATGACCCTAGGGAGATTGAGGCTTCATTCCTTTCCAAAGGGTCCAGGGATGCCCTATGACAACGTGTTCCTGCTGTAGGTTATCAATCCTAGGGCACAGGTTGCCCAGAGGAGAGAAACAGGGTCCAGGGAATGTTGTTTTCAAAGAAAAGATCATGACATTGCAAACTCATGTTTCAGCAAGGGCAGCTTGCAGAATACTTAGATCAGCTAACCACCGTCCTCTCTCTTGAACCCCTTCTCTGTCCACGGGGAGGCAATGCCCCCACGTTGCTGTTTAACATTAATGTTTAACATTAGCATCTTACTGTTAATAGCAGTAAGAAATTTCTGGGCCAGGCACAGTAGTTCATGGCTAGTAATCCCAGCACTTTGGGAAGCCAAGGTGGGAAGATTGCTTGAGGCCAGGAGTTCGAGACTAGCCAGGGCAACACAGCCAGACCCTGTCTCTACAAAAATTAAATTAAATTTAAAATTAGCCAGGCATGGTGGCACGCACCTGTAGTCCCAGCTACTTGGGAGGCTGAGGTGGGAGAATCACTTGAGCACAGGAGTTTGAGGCTGCTGTGAGCCATGATCATACATTGCACTCCAGCCTGAACAACAGAGCGAGACGCTGTCTCAAAAAAAAAAATTTAAAAGAAAAATTTCTGGCCCAATAACTTGATCATCTGTGTACATCAAGTATGTTCACAGGGTTCAAGGATTCAAGGACAGAGGCAGGAATAGATGACATGGATGCTTCCTCCCAGTCTCTATCCCTCTGAACTTCTAAGCCAGGAAACAAAAGGTGAGATGCCCACAGGAATCAGGCAGGCAACATAAATGCATGATGTTAGTTACATGTAACAGTGCAAATCAAAGATCTGCAGTGACAGCCAATCAGCACAGGCCTGGGAAGGGTGTGTGGAGAGATAGTTATGACTGCAAATTAACAGCATAGCCACATCTAAAAGGAGTAGCCTGACTTCACACCTCTCAATTGCGGTCAAGAAGAAACGCCCAGGTTTTTCTAAGAGATGCCCAGAATTTGGATGTTTATGTGCAATCTTCTGACTTTGAAATGCTGGCATTTAATTCAGGTTTTGTTAAAACTCTAAATAGATCCCAAAACCCACCTGGGCCTGAAGACAGCCTATGTGTCGTCTGTCTGCAGCCTCTCCTCGAAATGTTTCACTAGCACCCAGAGAAAGCTGACCTGGCTGCAGGGGCCCCGGGCAGGCTCACCGCTGTCACATCCCGGGAGATTCCCTGCAGGGACCAGGGCTCCCCTTCTGCCAGGAAAGTGGCCTATACACATGCAGCACAAGCCAGTGGAGATGGGCGTGGGGCCCCCACTTGGTGGCCCTGCTGTCACCCCAATTGAAATAGGTGTTCGAACAAATTAAACTCCACACCAAAGTTCTGTTTCCCTGTCGAGTCAGCACCCAGTTCCAAATGTCTATGATTAACACAACTCTTAATGTATCTTTCTAAATGTGAAACCATTTTGTGTGCAAATATTGCAGGAACAAGAATTCCTTGGTCCAGCGAGCTCGAGGCTTCCTCTACTGGTTAGAGGCCCTGAGATGAAATTACCCTGAATGCAATCCTCTTCTCCTATTCTTTTTATCTTGAGTTCCAAATGAAATACATTGGGAAAATAAGATGTGCTGCCAGCTTCTGGGCCAGGGGCCTGAATTCTTGCAAACAGGCATTTGGCTGAGGGGGCATGGAGCAACCCAGTCTGCCTGTAAATGGTTTGCTTTGGAAGAAATGGCTTTAATTTACTGCAAAGTTTAGGGTGGCCCTGCAGGTATGGGGTGCTGGCCCCCCAAGGTGTCCAGGAAGGGATGGGGCAGCAAGGTGATGTCAAGTACAACCTCCCAGCTCTGCAGCAACTCAGGACCATGAGTTAATGACAGAGAAGTGTGGAGAGCCTCCTCCCATGTGCCCTGGAGCCTCAGCTGCTGCAGAGCCTACACAGAGGTCCTGGCATTCCGACTAATCGGGCATTCTTCCCAGTTCTGCTGCCAGCTTGCCCGGTCAGAGCTGAGGCCACAGAGGACCCAGTATTGTCACCAGAGGCACCCTGCCCCAACTCTGAGTCTCTTCTCTCTGACTCTGGAGCTGAGCCAGCGTCTTGAGCCCATGACCTGTGCAGTACTCAGGCCCCACATTCCTAAATCCAGGCCCTGCCCTGGATTTAGATGCTCCGCTGTCCTGTCTTGAAATTCCTAATTCATTTTTTAATGAGGAACTTTGTGTTTTCATTTTTATTTTACCCTGGGACCTGCCATGGCTTGGAGAAATCACACTCTGATTGCCATACTGCTGTGGGGCTCAGGTCTCGAGGCAGCGCCTCACCCCAGGAGACACCGGGGGAAGGTGAGCTGACTTGGAGCCACCTTCCCGGCTGAGGAAGCTGTATGGTTTGAATGTCCCCTCCAAAACTCAAGTTGAACCTTAATCCCAAATGCAACAGTATTGAGAGGTGAGGCTTTTAAGAGGTGACTGGATCCTGAGGGTTCTGCCTTTATGAATGGATAAAAGGGCTACTGGATTAATGCAAGGGGAACTGGTGGCTTTAGAAGAAGGGAGACCTGAGCATAGCACATTTGACACACTCAGCCCCTCACCATGGGACACTCTGTGCCACCTGAAGACTCTGCTGAGAGTCCCCACCAGCAAGAAGGCTCTCACCAGATGCAGCCCTTCAACCTTGGACTTCTCATCCTCTAGAACTGTAAGAGACAATTCCCTTTTCTTTATAAATTACCCAGTTATTCTGTTCTAAGCAACCAAAGACAGATCAATACAGAAACCTCATCTCAAGCTGTTCATGCATGGCTGCAGAGAACTCATCGAGGGCCTAGCTGGAGCCAGAAATGCAGGGAGAGCCCAGAGCCTGCAAGGAGGGAGAAAGGCACTCTCCAGCACAGGCAGACACAGAGCTGAAAGAGCGGAGTAGCCAGGGGCTGGGTGCCATGGGCTTCCTGGAGGAGGAGGCTCCCAGATCTAGGACAGAACTGAACAAGTAAACAGGGTTTGGAGAAGCCAGGGAGGCTGGGGTGGGGGGGCCAGGGGGTGGGCAGGGAAGCAAAAGGAGAATCAGCAGGGTGGAGGGCCCTAGATTGTGCCAGACAGGGGCCACTCCAGCTGCTGCAGGAGTGACTTCACTCACCCTCCCGGGGTTATGCACCTGCCACCTCCCAGACATCCCCAGCCCCGCATCTCCCTGCACAATGCCTGCTCTGATTCTCCTTGCAGCCAGGGTGAGAGGCAGTCAGCGAACAATGCTATCTGCACGTGGTGGCGCCCAAAATACGGCTGTCATTTATTTCGTTATATGAAATTAGAGCACGCCTTGTAGCCATAATGAATCATTTCCTTCCTGCCTGGGCCACGGTGTCAGGCAGGAGCTCGGCATCCCCCATTCAGGGCCTTTCACTTCATCGCAGGCTAATAATAACCCACGCGGGTGAACACACATCTTCCCGAGACAATGGAGGGCCTGGATGGGCATTGGGGTCATGAGTGCAGTGCCCACAGCAGGAGGGGAGAAGGGCCGGGATGGGGCCTGGGCTGGACACTGTGGCTGAAGGAAGACAGTGCCCATGGGGAGGGGAAGGAAGGCATCTGGGTGGGCACCCCAAGTGGGAGCTGGGGCACCCAGGTCCCTTTTCTAGCTGATCCCCTCAACAAGGACAGGAAATAGCTCCCTCCCCCAACCCCCAGCTATTCTACCAGGATTTTTTCCCAATCATGCCTAGGTCCAGCTCAGAGGCCCTAACCAGAGCCCTCCACAGCTGGCCTCACTCTTCACTCAGCCCCCAATTTTCAAAGCACTGGCTCCTTCCACAGCTTCATCCCAGCCCCATCCTGGCCTGGGGATCCCAGGAGCCACCCCCTGCAGCACTGTCTCACCTCACATCCCTGCCTCATGCAGGCTCTGCAGTAGCAGGTGCTCAGCAAATGGATGAGTGTGTCCTGATGGAGCCAAGTCCCCGGGTAGCTCCCGCTGGGGCTATGACCTGGGAGCTTCATCCGGCCCTGGACAGCAGATGCAGACCCAGGTCCTGCCCTATAGGGCCCGCCCCACCCCCTAGGTTAAAGGCAAGTCCAGACCATGGGAAAACCATCCTCCCAGACCCTGTGATTATTGTTCGTCTCTTATCCTGAGTATAACCCATAAGGCATTTTATTTTATTTTATTGAGACAAGCTCTCAATTCATCTCCCAGGGTGGAGAGCAGTGGCACACTCAAAGCTCACTGCAGCCTCCAATTCCTGGGCTCAGGTGATCCTCCTGCCTCAGCCTCCCTAGTAGCTGTGACTACAGGTGCTCACCGCCACCACACCTGGCTAATTTTTTATTATTATTTATAGAGACAGGGTCTCACTATGCTGCCCAGGCTGGTCTCAAACTGCTGGCCTCAAGTGATCCTCCTGCCTCGGCTTCCCAAAATACTGGGGTTACAGGCGTACATGCCCTGCCTCATAAGGCCTTTTCATCACCATCTCCCCAGGAGTAAGCACACTATCTGTCAGTTTTTCTGAATGAAAGAATAAATGAATGAGGGTCAAAGGCCATATGCTAAATGGTATGGAGGAAACTCCAGGATGAGAGTGACCAGAGAAGGGAGGCTGGTCCCGGGGGAGGTGAGTAGAGGGAATGGCAGGCACACCTGGCCCAGGAGCCTTTGCCTTTCCTCTTCTGGTTTCAGGCGGCTATGAGCAGCATTGCCTCTTCCCCATGGATGCCTGGTGCGTACAACCCCACTAAACGGCACTTGTGCACCTTGCAGCCTCCAATTCCTGGGCTCAGGCGATCCTCCTGCCTCAGCCTCCCAAGTAGCTGTGACTCATCTCTGCACCCTAGCCTACTCCGTGCTGTGTCTCTGAAGAATTCTGCCCATTCCTGCCTCAGGGCCCACTTAAGAGGCTGTTCCCTCTGCCCAGAACTGCTTTCTCCTTCCCTTCTCCTCCTGATCCCCACCACGCAGCCCATGTCCTTCTGTGGGGAAGCCTCCTGACTTTCCATCCTACTGAGTCCCCAATTACATGACCTCACAGCTCCCAGCACTTATCCTGCACCTGACTACACACACCAGGCAGTGACTAGTTCCTGCTGGGAGATCCCATCTTGTCAATTTCCCTGGAAGGATCAGCCCCGTAGAAGGTGGCCCTGTGTCTGTTTTGCTCACCACTGCCCCTCTTACACCAACCACAATACCAGATGCACAGGATGTCCTCATTAAATGTTTTCTGATTAAGAAAATGAATTAATCCCATAACAAGAAACTCATCAAATCCCAAGGCAGCCCACTCTACTTTGTTAATAGCCTGTGTTGTTTGTCTTTGTGAACCATGGACAAAAAAAATGAAAAAAAAAATTCATTCCTATTATTTAAATTCATTCCTATTATTTAAACATTAAAATTAAAATGCAGATAACTGTATTAATATTTTTGTGTATTTCCATCCAGTTTTCTATATGAACTTTTTACATAATTGAGATCCTATGTAAGAAGGGATTTTCTATCCTCTTTATCCTACAATATAATAAGTGCTTGTGAATAAAATAATGTCTTTTGCAGCAACTTGGATGGAGCTGGAGGCCATTATTCCAAGTGAAGTCACTCAGGAATGGAAAACCAAATATCACAGCTTCTCAGTCATAAGTGGAAGTTAAACTATGAGGATGCAAAGGCATAAGAATGATATAATGGGCCAGTTGCGGTGGCTCACACCTGAAATCCCAGCACTTTGGGAGGCCAAGGCGAGTGGATCACGAGGTCAGGAGATCAAGACTATCCTGGCTAACACGGTGAAACTCTGCCTCTACAAAAAATACAAAAAATTAGCCGGGTGTGGCGGGCACCTGTAATCCCAGCTACTCGGGAGGCTGAGGTAGGAGAAACGCTTGAACCCGGGAGGCAGAGGTTGCAGTGAGCCAAGATTGCGACACTGCACTCCAGCCTGGGTGACAGAGTGAGACTCCGTCTCAAAAAAAAAAAAAAAAAAAAAGATATAATGGACTTTGGGGACTTGGAGCGGGGAAAGGGGTAAGAGATAAAAGACTACACATTGGGTACAGTGTACCCTGCTGGGGTGATGGGTGTACTAAAATCTTAGAAATCATCACTACATAACTTATCTATGCAACCAAAAACCACTTGTACCCCAAAAACTATTGAACAAAAAGGAAGCTTTAAAAAAAGTGTTTATGAAAGTTGGCAAAACTTAATAAATATTATTTTACTGTATCATACTTTATTCTTTTCTTAATGATTCCCCTATAAAACACTTAAGTGTTTTTTCAGTATTTTAAGCAATATTGCAATGAACATCTGTGTAGAAAATGTTCCCATTTTTTAAATTGTCTTCTTAGATTCCATTTTTGACGTGGACACATTGGGTGAAAGCTGATGAACATTTTAAATTTCTTGATAGTATTTCTAACGCACTCTTTCAGAAATTCTGAACCAATTCACAATCCTATCAACAAAGTACAAGTGCCTAGTTTATCACAAGCCTGTCAGCACTGACTTTTTTTTTTTTTTTTTTTTTTTGAGACAGGGTCTCGCTCTGTCGCCCAGGCTGGAGTGCAGTGGCGCTATCTCGGCTCACTGCAACCTCAACCTCCCAAGCTTAGGTGATCCTCCCACCTCAGCCTCCCGAGTAGCTGGGACTACACGCATATACCACCACAACCACCTAATTTTTGTTTATTTTGTAGAAATGAGGTCTCACTATGTTGCCCGGGCTGGTCTTGAACTCCTGGGCTCAAGCAATCCACCTGCCTTGGCCTCCCAAAGTGCTAGGATTACAGGCATGAGGCATCATGCCCAGCCAACTTTTGATTTTTAATCTTTCCTGATTTGTCAGGGAAACAAAGAAGTATTACTTAGTTTCACACTCCTTTTTTGTGTGTTTGTGAATTACCTATATACATGTTTTCCCAACTTCATTAGATAGCCTATTCCATCAGAGAGCTCTGTCTGAAGAGCTTTAAGCTGAGCCATGAAGGAAGAGAAGCATATTCATAGAAACACAAAAGAAGATGGCATTTTTGGCAGCAAACTTTGTCATTAAAAGGTACTTTCCTGGCCAGGCATGGTGGCTCACACCTGTAATCTCAGCACTTTGGGAGGCTGAGACAGGCAATCACCTGAGGCCAGGAGTTCAAGACCAACCTAGCCAACGTGGTGAAACCCCGTCTCTTAATAAAAATACAAAAATTAGCCAGGCGGTGGCAGGCACCTGTAATCCCAGCTACTCGGGAGGCAGCGGCACGAGAATTGCTTGAACCTGGGAGGCAGACATTGCAGTGAGCTGAGATCACACCACTGCACTCCAGCCTGGGTGGCAGAGTAAGACTCCACCAGAAGGAAAAGAAAAAAAGAAAAGAAAAGAAAAGGAGAAACACCCTTTTTGACAATCTCTTGAACCCAGGCAGCGGAGGTTGCATTGAGCCTAGATCATGACACTGCACTCTAGCCTGGGTGACAGAGCAAGACTCTGTCTCAAACAAAACAAAACAAAACAAAACAAAGATGCTTCCTTTGATAATATACCTCTCCCCACATTTTCCTTTCTTTGTCATAGACGAGCCTGACCTCACAGCCATCTGACAACAAGAGAGCCAGGAAACAGTCGACCCTATGGCTCCTAAGTCCATAGGTTCTGGGCAGGCAAAGCCACTCAGTAGACCAAGCCTCAGTATGAAATGACAGCCTGGAAGACCCTGACTTCTGTTCCTGCAGGCAGTCTTCCACCTTCACATCTGCCTGGGACACTGCAGAGGCATCTCTCACCCATAGATGGGGCACTCAGTGCTGAAGCAGACGTCTGTCCCAAAGATCCAGATCCCACCCCTGCACATTTTGGCTGAATCACTTCCCGTCATTCCAAGCAGAGGAAGATCCAAAAATTCTCACCTCCATAGTTTGAACAGCTAATTTGCTTTTTGTTCTTGTTGCAGTGAGTACATTGTCACGGGCAGAAATGCTAGCTCATACACCAAAAGGAAGAAAATGTAAGTAATCCCTAATTCTAGCCTTTGTTCTACATATAGGTAACAGAGATCATATTTTTAAATCATTGTTCAATATATTCGCATGCTCTGTAAGCCATGGTTTAGGAGGCAGGAAGATTGATGTTTTAGGAGAACAGATCCCACCAAAACTGGGGTTTCCAAAACACGTGCCAGAGCCCTGGGGCATCACCATGGGCTGTTTTAACATTTTTATTTTTTTTTTTGAGATGGAGTTTCACTCTTGTTGCCCAGGCTGGAGCGCAGTGGCACAATCTCAGCTCACTGCAACCTCCGCCTCCCGGGTTTAAGAGATTCTCCTGCCTCAGCCTCCCGAGTAGCTGGGATTACAGGCGCCCGCAACAACGCCTGGCTAGTTTTTTGTATTTTCAGTAGAGACGAGGTTTTGCCATGTTGGCAGGCTGGTCTCGAACTCCTGACCTCAGGTGATCCACCTGCCTCGGCCTCCCAAAGTGCTGGGATTACAGGCGTGAGCCACCGCACCCACCCTGTTTAAACTTTTTGAAAGAAACCAGCAACACCAGTCAGACACCACGCAAACTATTACTGTTATGTCGTTTAGACCTAACTAATGAAATGTTAGGCTTTGGGGGAATTTGTTTTGTGTATACAATGTTTCCATTTTTTAAATTATCTTCTTAGATTACATTTTTGAAGTGGATACACTAAGTCAAAGTAGATGAACATTTTTTAATTTCTTGATACTAGTTCTAAAGCACTTTTTCAGAAACTAAGTGCTGTGCGGGGGAGAAAAAAAAAGCTACTAAGAATGCTGTGAGAAAAAAAAAAACTGCTTGAGACATTAAGGGACACCATGAACTGAGAAAGTTGGAGAACTTCTACACCACAACAAGGCTCAGCAGTGACTTCCAAATTAGATTTGGAAGATCAGTAGACTTAACTCCAGGCTTCGTTGGCGAAAAAATGTTCTAGATTTCCCTCACGATACCTGGAGCATAGAGTTCCATCCAGGCAGGAAGTGGAAGAAGGAAGAGCCCACCTTTTTTTGGCCCAAGGGATTTGTGGGTAGAAGGAAGGCGGAGGAAGGAGACACACAGGAGGCATGTGAGTGCCCACGCTCCTCTCCAGATTTGACCAAGAGTAGGAGACACATGCACCAAGTTTAGGGGGATGCTGAGGACTCAGGGAGTCTCATGCCTCATGTTTAGGAACTGGAAAGAAATGCCTTTCCAGGCTGTACCACTAATCTAAGAGGAAGTGGCCATTACTGTGCAAATTCAGCAGCTCTGCATGGGTTTGCAAGTGGGATGGAAATTTACTTTCTCAAACTGCTCTCAGTTTCCATATGGCTTGAAAAGGGCAAAGAAGTTCTCGAGGCCCCAGAGAGAGGAAAGGAAGGTGACCAAGCTGAATTCCAGAGACCTCCCATAAAGTTATCTGAGGCAAGGACCAAAAGCCCAGGATCCAATGGCAGCACACTGAGAAACACGGCGTGGTCTGTGAGCACCAGCAGAGACAAAACGAAGCCAGATCAGCCAAGGAGCATCCACGGGTCTTGCCCCACCAGGAAGTTCAGACTATGTATGTCTAGGCTCAGTTATGCTGCAGTAACAAGCAACCCTGGGTTCCAGGTCTGTGTGCTATCCCCACTCTACATCCACTGAAGGGTGGCTGGAGGTTCTGCCCAATGTTGCCCTCACTGAGGGACACAGGAGCAGCCCCCATCTAAATCATAACTAGTCACCTTGGCAGGGGGAAGGGAATCAGGAGGGTCATGGACCAGCACTCAAAGACTTCCACAGAAATGTGGGTCATCATCTCAGCTCAGGCTTCACTGGCCAAAGTGTGTCACGTGGCCATGCCTAACTCCACACTAATGCAAAAGTGCAGTCCTAGCCTGTGGCTAGATGGAAGAAGCCAGAAATATTGGGGAGCAACAAGTTTCAGTAAATGTCAGCAGGTGCTAGATGGGACAGTCATGTTGGACCAGCCACTCTGCCTCAGAGAAAGCAGGGATTCAAATATTTCATCTTTTCCCCTTTGTCACTGAGTCCTGTGAGCCCCCTACCCCCACACAGACAGTCATCTTCTTGAAGAAAGTCCAGTGAAAAGGACCCAAGTGCCTGCCTTATATTCCACTTTCCAGATTAGACTAAAATTTAGGAGTTTTATTCCCCATGGGTCTTGAAGAAGACAGAGCAGTTTGAGAAATGAAGAAGTCATGTGTTTCTTACACATTGAAGTGTAGTGTTAGCAAATTTGCAAACTCACTACACAGACTTTTTTTACAAAATAGGATCATACTATTTATTTGCACTATTTTACCTGCTTTGTTCCATTATTAATAGACAGAGAATTTTTTTCCACTAATATTCTTGAATATTTCCACAGCTTCCCATTGACTGTATATGCCAGGGGTCTCTAAGCATGACCTTCTTGTAGGGACTCCGGAGTCATATTCATAGCAAAAACTCAAATTTCATTGACTCTTACACCCATGTGCTGGTGCA
Source organism: Homo sapiens (assembly GCF_000001405.40). Taxonomy (NCBI): domain Eukaryota; kingdom Metazoa; phylum Chordata; class Mammalia; order Primates; family Hominidae; genus Homo; species Homo sapiens. The sequence continues at coordinate 32,208,991 of NC_000019.10, forward strand.
TATGACTCTTACACCCATATGCTGTTGCCATCATTTTTAACTTATTATTTAATATTTGGGTGGTTTCTAATTTTTTATGTTAAAAAATTATGTCACAATATCTGGTAAAATGACATATGCATTTACCTTTTGACACAGCAATTTCACTTCTAGGAATCTAACAAAAGATATAGGAGCAAAAATGCAAAATGTTGAAACACAGTGTTATTCGTTGCAACACATTTGTGCTAGCAAAAGACTGGAAACAACTCAAGTGTCTCTCAATAATGAGCTAGTTGGATAAACTATGGTATATGCAAAAAAAGTAGACTGCTGTGCCACTTTAGAAAGGAATAAAAATCTCTCTATATACTGATATGGAGTTACCTCCCAGGTATATTATTAAACAAAAAGCAAGGTGGAGGAAAGTGATTTTTGTATGGTTTCATTTATCTAAGAAAGGAAGCAATACACACACACACACACACACACACACACACACAGTTACTTATATTTTTAAAATTAAAAACCAAACCAATACTTTAAAAAATAATTGTCTGTAGATTCAGAAGGAACAGAATGGAGAACAAAGGGATAGAAGTGAACATCTCTGAACATTATTAGTGTTATTGATTTGACTTTGAACCCATGAAATATTTTACATAATTTTAAACAAAATTAGGTTTTTTAATCCTTTCCAGAAAGATGAAACAGGCAATACTTTTTCCTATTCCTCCCACTAAATACAATCAAAAATCCTGAACATTGTATATAAAACAAACATAATAATTCTCTGAATATAAAACAGACATAAGAATTTTCTGAAAAATGGAAAAACTATGGCAGAGTGGTTGGGGACCTCAAGACCCAAGGAATAACATAGGAGTCAGCTCCTTGGGTTTTCTTTTTGCTTCATATATGCTGAACCTACAACTGAAGAAATTAGAAATCTGGAAACAACAATAGACACAGATGACAAAAACAAAAAACAAAATAAAACAAAATGCTCTCTCTAGCCAAAGGAGCAGAAAAGAAGCAGCCTAGAAAGTCAGAAAACTTTTAGACAGTAACCACACTACTCCAGCCAAATACCACAGAAAAAAAGCCTTGTGGTCCCACTCCATTAAAGGCCTGATGAAGAGTCTAGACTCTCACCCTCGCAAGGAAACCCAACATCCATGCTGAGCTGATGTCAGAAAAGGCCAAGTGTGGAGTCTCCTTCCCCACTGGCCTCCATCCCCCAACAGTATCAGTGGAGGAGTAGCAGGATCATATTCTCTCAGATGTCAACTGAGGCAAAGTGGGGAACCTGGAGGAAGATTGTATTTGTATCAGATAAAATAGAATTCAGGGAAAATAAAATTCCCAGATACAGAGAGAGACATCGTAATAATGATAAAAGGGTTAATCCATCAAGAAGACATACCAATCCTAAATGTGTGTGCACCAAACAAAAAAGCTGCAAAATGCATGAAGCCAAAACTGATGGGAAGCACCTCCCTTACCCTACCAGAGTAGTAGCAGAAAAAAACCATCTAGACCACAAGCTCTAAGTAAGATTCAAAGTCTCATAATATAACACAAGTTCCCGTTTCAATTTAAAAATCACTCATGCTGTAAAAAGGAAGGTCACAAACTGCATAAAAATGACAATCAGATGCTAACATCAATATGACAGAATTACGTTAGAATTATCTAACAAATATTTTAAAGTAGTCATAATAAAAGTGCTTGAGTGAGAAATTACAAACACACTTGAAACAAATGGAGTAGAAAAGAGTCTCGACAAAGAAATAAATGACATAGAGAAGAGCCAAATGGAAATTTTAGAACTCAAAAATACAATAACCAAATTTTAACTCAGTGACTGAGCCAAAAAGCATAATGAAGGAGACAGAAGAAAATATCAGTGAAGTGGAAGAGAAAATAATGGAAATTATCCATTTGAACAACAGAGAGAAAAAACAGACTGAAAAAAATAACACCACCTCAGGGACCTGTGGGATTACAACAAAAAACATAAGATTTATTTTATCAGAGCCTTGAAATGAGAGGAGAAAGAGGATGGGACTGAAAAGTACTCAACCAAAGAGTGGCTGAAAATGTCTCTGAGTTATTGAGACATAAATCTACAGATTCAAAGAGCTGAGTTCACCCAAACAAGATAAATGCAAAAAATTCCATACAAAGACACATCATAATTAAATTTTTGGAAACTAAAGACAAATACAAAAACATACAAAAAGAAAAAAAAGAGAGAGAACATGCTAGTACATGGGGAAAGCAATTAGAATAACAGTAGATTTCTCATCAGAAATCATGGAGACCAGCAGAAGTGGCAATGTGTTTTTCAAGTACTGAAAGAACTGCCTACCCGGAATCCTATATCCAGCAAAAACATACTTTAGTAATTAAGGGAAAAGCAAGACATTGGCCAATGAAGGAAAACTAAGAGAAGTTGTCTCTAGCAGACCTACTCTAAAAGAATGTCTAAAGGGAGTTCTATAAACAGAAAGGATGTGAGAAAAAGTCTTGGAAGAGAAAAAGAGAGAGAGAGGAGAGGTAGGAAGGAGAGGAGGGGAGGGGAGGGAAGGCAGGCAGACAAGAAACAAAAATATGGGTAAATTAAAAAGGCTCCCCTTCTTTTGAGTTGTCCAAATTATGTTTGATGGTTGAAGTAAAAATTATAACACTTTTTATGTGGTTCTAAATGTATGCAGAAAAATATTAAAGACAATGACATTAAAAGTGAGGAAGATAAAAATACTTAAAGGGAGATAATGTTTCTATACTTCATTCAAATTGATGAGATGACAACAGCAGGATTCTGATAAGTTATGTATAAATAACACAATACCTAGAGCAACCACTAAAAAAAATTATACAAAGAGCTGACTCTTAAAAATACTACAGATAAAAATGAATTCTAAAGAAAAGTTCAAGTAACCCACAGGAAGATAGGAAAATAACAGAGAAGCAAACCGCAGAACGAAAACAAACAAAAAGCAATGGCTGAATTAATATCTAACATTTCAATAATTCTATTAAATGTAAATGTCCTAATTATACCAATTTAAAAATATGGCAGAGATGGATTTAAAAATAAGACCCAGCTACATGCTTTCTCAAATAAACTCACTTCAAATATAACAATATAAGCAGGTTCAAAGCAAAAGGATGGGAAAGATAAATCACACAAACATTGATCAAAGGAAAGCAGTACTTATATTAATATCAGATAAAATAGACTTTGGAACAAAGAAAATTACCAGAGTCAGAGAAAGAAGATATATAATGATAAAATGGTTAATACACCAGAAAGAAGTAGCAACTCTAAATGTCTATACACCAAACAAAGGAGCTGAAAACATCACAAGCAAAAACTGACAGAGCTGAAAGGAGAAGCACACAAATCCACAGTTATACACAGTTGGGTATTTTAAGTTCCTTCTCTCAACAATTAGAAAAATCAACAAGGCCACAGAATAGTTCAACAACACTATCCACCAGCAAGAATTAATCAACATTTATAAAGTAGTTCACCCAACAACAGAAGAATACATATTCTTTTCATCTGTCTATGGAATATATATAAAAATAGATTATGCCCTGGTTTATAAAACAAACCTCAGCAAATTTGAAAGAATTTAAATTATACAGAGTGTGCTCTCCAACCACAATGGAATCAAATGGAAATAATAACAGAAAGATAACCAAAAAATCTCCAAACACTTGGAAACTAAACAACACACTTCTAAATAATCCATGGGCTGAGCAGGAAGTCTTAGAAGAAATAAAAGCAAAAATACATTGAACTGATTAAAATAAAAATACAACATAACAGAAGTGACAGAACACAGCTAAAGCAGTGCTGAGAGGGAAATTCATTGTATTAAGTGTGTACATTAGAAAAGAAGAAATTTCTTAGTTCAATAATCTAAGCTCTCACCTCGAGAACCTAGAAAAGAGCAAAATAAACCCAAAGCAAGCAAAATGAAGGAAGTAATAAAGAGTAGAAATAAACGAAATTGAAAACAGAAAAACCACAGAGAAAATCAACAAAACAAAATCTTTCTTTGGAAGGATTAATAAAATTGACAAACTTCTAGCAAAACCAGCAAATTAGAAAGAGAAAAAAATACAAATTACCAATATCAAGACTAAAAGAGATAATATCACCACAAAGCCTGCTGACATCAAAAGAATAATAGGGAAATATAATACTGTGAACAACTTTATACATGTAAATTTGACAACTGAAACAAAATGGATCAATTCCTTAAAAACACAAGTTACCATAACTCACCCAATATGAAAAAGATAATGTAAATAGCCCTATACTGATTAAGAACTATGAATTTGTAATTTTAAAGCTCCCAAAAAGGAAATCTCCAGGCCCAGATGGTGTCACTGCTGAATTCTATCAAACGTTTAAAGAAGATTAGCACCATTCTATACAATCTTTTCCAGAAAATACAAAAGCAGAACACTTCTTAATTTATATTATGAAGTTAGTGTTACCTCGATAACAAAAGTAAATGACTGTGCAAATAGAAAAAAAAACAAAGCTACATGAATATAGATGCAAAAATCCTTCACAAACATTAGCAAATAGAATTCTGCCATATATAAAAAGAGTTACACAAAACCACATGTGGTTTATTTCATGAATGCAAGACTTGTTCAATATTAGAAAATCAACCAATGTAATCCACCATTTTAGCAGGCTCAAAAATAAAATCATATGATGATATTATTTCTCTGTACAAGCAGTATACATGTACAGACAATTACACAATGCTGATGAAATAAATCAAAATAAATGGGGATATGTACCATGTTCATGAAATAGAAGATTTAATATAATAAAGAAGTCTATTCTCAAACTGATATACAGGTTTAATGCAATTCTATCAAAAGCCCAGAATGTTTTTTGTCTGTATATATAGACAATATTGTTCCAAAATTTATTTTGAAAACAAAGGATCTAGCATAGCTAAAATGGTTTTGGAAAGGGGGAATAAAATGGAAGAAATCAGTCTACCCACTATCAAGACTTACTATGTTACCATGGTTATCAAGGCTGGGTGGTCCTGGCAAAGGAAAAGACATATAGATGAAGGGAACACAAAAGAGAACACAGAAATAGACCCACACAAAATACCCAACAAATTTTTTACAAAGGCACAAAAGCAACTTAATGAAGGAAAGATAGAGCCTTTTTAACCAATGGTGCTGGAGCAATTGTACGTCCATAGGTTAAAAAAAAATGAAACTTGATCTATGTTTCACACTTTATAAAATAATTAACTCAAATTGATCACTGGCTTAAATGTAAAACTCTAAAACTTCTAGTAGAAAACATTGGAGAAAATCTTCAGCATCTAAGACTAGGCAAAGAGTTCTTAGACTTGACACAAAAAGCATGATCCCTAAATGGAAAATTTGATTAAAATGCACTTCACCAAAATTAAAAGGTTTTGCTTTTCAAAAGACCATGGTAAGAGAGTAAAAAGCAAGCTACACACCAACAGAAAATATTTGCAATCACGTATCTGACAAAGGACTAGTATCTAGACTAGAGAAAACTCTAAACACTCAACAATTTAAAAAATTTTTAAACAACAATTCAACTAGAAAATAGGCAAAATAAAAAAAACATGAATAGACATTTCACCACAGGGGAAATATAGATGCTAAATAAACACAAGAAAAGTTATCATCATTAGCCATTAGGGAAATGCAGATTAAAGCCACAATGGATATTGCTACCCACATGCCAAAATGTCTTTTGAGTGACATCACCAAATGCTAATGAGGATGCAGAGAAATTAGATCACTTTTACACTGTTGGTAGGAAATTAAAACGGTAAGCCATTCTGAAAAACAGTTTGGCAATTTCTTAAATAACTAAATATGCAAATACCATCTAACACAACAATTGCAACACCTGGGCACGTATCTCAGAGAAATGAAAACTTAGGTTCACAGAAGAACCTTTACACAAATGCTTAGCTTTATTCACGATAGCCAAAAACTGGAAACAACCTAGATGTCCTTCAGTGAGTGAATCATTAGGCAAACCGTGGTCCGTCCGTGCTATAGAATACTACGCAGCAATGAAAAGCAACAGCTTGAATCATGTTCCTGAGAATGATGCTTAGGGGAAAAAGCCAATCCCAAAAAGTTACAGACTATGTGATTCCATTTATTTAACATTCTTGAAATGATAAAATTATAGAAATAGAGAACAGATTGGTGGTTGCCAGGGGTTAAGGAGTGATTTGGGAGGAAATAGTTGTGGCTATAAAAGAGCAACATAAGACATCCTCCTGGTGAAGGAAGTTTTCTGTATTCTGCCTATAGCAATGTCAACATTCTGATTCTGACAGAGTACTGTAGTTTGGCATGGTGTTACCATTGGGGGAAACTGGGTAAAGGGTACATGGGATCTCTCTGTACTATTTCTTACAACTGTACATGGATTTCCAATTATCACAAAATAAAAAGATTGATTTTTTTAAAATAAAGATCAAGGTAACCAAATAGTTAACGATGGGAAACTCCTCTTTAAGAACTATTCCGGCTAATGAGTTAAGAAGGGGTGATAGAATATAACCATGTTGCAGCCTTAATAAAATAATAGATCTAGATTAGATTTTATTCCTTGAGACCAATGGGCCTTCTGGTCATCTGAAGAGTATGGACCCCCTCTAAAAATAATGAAATGAAGTAAAATGAAATACGTAAGTTACAAACTCTTGAAGTATGATTATCAAAATATTTCACAAAAAACAAATTTGTGACATAACAATAGATGTGCATCCTTATGTACTTATCAATAACAAATTCTAGTGGAGGGTTTAATAATTTTAAAGTGGAGAGGAGCACAAATTATATTTCAAGATGCCTGCAATAGCTATAATGCTATATGGAAATATCTGTGACTTCTACTGGTGACATAGTCGCAGGATATGCAAGATACAGAGGAACATGTTAAATGGCACAAAAACAATACAATCAGCAAAATCAAGTCTGTGGGAAACCCAACGGTGCAATTCATCCAGCCCCTTCAACAAATTCCAAGGGAAAAAGAGAGTGGGGGAGGAAAACAGAGATTAAAAGAGATGAGATGCATCAACCAGTTGCCAAGGGTGGACTTTATCTCATTCAAACAAAAGAAAAAAAGAAAGATTATGAGACAAGTAGGAGAAATTAAATATCAACTGAATATTTGACAATATTAAGGAATTTTTGTTTATTTTAAAGTGAGATAAAGGTATTGTGACTTGCTTTCTTAAGGAGCCCTTATCTTTTAGAGATGCCTTCTGAATTATTGATGGATGAAATAATGCGATATCTGAGACCTGCTTCCAATCACCTGGGAGAGAGGAGGGGACCCAGGAGTTGACAACCATTGAAGCTGAGTAACAGGGTACAGGAGTCCATTTTTCTGTTCATGCTACTTTTACGCAATTTTTCACTTTTCTATAATAAAAAGCCAAAAACAAACCTGTAATGAGCATCATTGTATGTGAATCTTTGTTTTCATCCAGGATTAATTACCTACAGACATTTCCTAATAGTGGAATTGTGGGTTTTAAGGATGTGAACATCTTAAAGTTTTTGAAATGCATTGCTTGAGTGAGCTAGTGGAACAGGGAAAAATAGAGTAGCTCAAGGACTCTCCTAGCAGGAAACAAGGGAACTTAAAAAAAAAAAAAAAAAAAAAAAGACATGGTCTGGCTCTGTCCCGCACGCTGGTGTGCAGTGGCACAATCATAGCTCATTGCAGCCTCGAACTCCTGGGCTCAAGCAATCCCTCCCACCTCAGCCTCCTGAGTAGCTGGGACTACAGGCACATGATAATTTTTTTTTATTTTTTGTAGCGACGGGATCTCACTATGTTACCCAGGATGGTTTCAAACTCCTGGCCTCAAGTGATTCTTCCACCTCAGCCTCCCAAAGTGCTAGGGTTACAGGCATGAGCCAGGAATGTTTCTAGAGGTAAGGCTTGTCTTCCTCCACCCTACCTCTCCTCCTCTTTGCCCAGATGTACCCTTCCTCTATGGAAGAAACCAAATTTTAGCCAGCACTCAAATCCTGGTTCTCACTATTCAAATTTCTCTGTCTCTGGCACCCATCTGCTGGATGTAAAATCATGTATTCACCTAATTTTGGTGGTGGGATATCTGCATTTTGTCTGTTTCTTTCTTTTATACAAGATGTTGTAACAACACATCTGTAGTAAATTGCTGCGGTCATTTATTATTACGTCCTTGGGATAAATTCCTAGAAGAATCTACCCAGGTCAAAAGAAAGTGTATTTTGCCCTCCTAGAAACTGTTTCTGGTTAATCCCATCAGTGCCCAGTGGCTGGTTCCTGGCTTTTACCAGGTACCATCAAATTTACCTGCTTAAGACCTTCAGCCAGAGATGGGTCAAATTTACAAACAAACATCAGCCAATTTGGTGGGTTAAAATAAGGTCACCTTGGGGCAGGCACAGTGGCTCACGGCTGTAATCCCAACACCTTGGGAGGCCAAGGTGGGAGGATCGCTTGAGGCCAAGAGTTCAAGACTGACCTGGGCAACATGGAGAGACCCCTCTCTACAAAAGAAACTTTTAAAACTTAGTTAGGTATGGAGGCACGTTCCTGTAGTCCCAGCTACTCAGGAGGCTGAGATGGGAGGATCACTTAAGCCCAGGAGGTTGAGGCTGCAGTGAGCTTTGATGATCACTATTACACTTCAGCCCCTCTGTCTCTTAAAAAAAATTTTAAATAAGGTCATCTTGCTGCTAACATGAGCATCTTTTTATTACTAGGGGGTTGAATGCTGTAATCTGGTCAACTGTCAGGAGCAAGTTTAATTCCTTGGACTCCCTTGGAAAATGAGATCTGGCATTAAACTTTCTTAGAAGAACGGGTGTTCAGCTTCCAACATGCCCCACAGCCAAAGCTCAGGCTCTCCCCGAGCCATGATTCTCAGTGTGACCAGAAGATGCTGGCATCAGAACCACCTGCAGAGATGGCCTCTTGGCAAATTCCAGTTCACAGGCCCATCCCAGACCTACAGAATCAGAGTCTCTGGGAGCAGAGACTGGGCATCCCTGTGGAATTCCACTAAGACCCCTGACCTAGAGAGAGCTGTGCCAGTTCCTCATCTTTCAAAACTGAGCTGGATTATTCACAATAGCCAAGATTTGGAATCAACCTAAGTGTTTATCAACAGATGAATGGAAAAAGAAATGTGGCACATATATACAATGAAATACTATTCAGCCTTAAACAAAAGATAGAAATCCAGCACTTTGGGAGGCCGAGGCGGGCAGATTACCTGAGGTCAGGAGTTCAAGACCAGCCTGGCCAACATGGCGAAACCACATCTTTACTAAAAATACAAAAATTAGCCAGGAGTGGTGGTGGGCACCTGTAATCCCAGCTACTTGGGAGGCTGAGGCAGGAGAATCTCTTGAACCTGGGAGGCAGAGGCTGCAGTGAGCCGAGATCAAGCCACTGTACTCCAGCCTGGGTGACAGAGAGAGAGTCCATCTCAAAAAAAAAAAAAAAAAAAGATAGAAATGTTGTCATTTGCAACAACACATGTGAACTTGAAAGACGCTATGTTAAGTGAAATAAACCAGGTACAGAAAGACAAATATGGCATGATGTCACTTATAGGTGGAATCTAAACAAGTAGAACTCATAGAAGCAGAGAGTAGAATGGTGGTTACCAGAGGCTGGGAAGATGGAAAATTAGAAAGATGTTGGTCAAAGGATATAAAATCTCAGATAGGAAGAATCAGTTCAAGAGATCTATTGGGCATCATGGTGGTGACTATAGTTAATAATAATATATTGAATACTTGAAAATCACTAAGAGAGTAGATTTTAAGTGTTCTCACCACAAAAAAAAAGTACTAAATGCATAAGGTAATGCATATGCTAATTAGCTTGATGTAGTCATTCCACAATGTATGCGTATATCAGAACATCATGTTGTGCACCATACAGATATACAATTTGTATTTATCAATTTTTTTTTAAACTGGTCTGGTCAGCAGTTGAAATTCTTTCTTAGGAGGCACCAGAAACGCCTGCTGAATGAACCAATGATGAATGAATGAATAAATGAAGGAAGGAAGAAAGGAATAAATTGCTTAATTAACTGACCAATGAATTCATGAATGAACAGATGAGCAAACGTGTCAATAAATGAAAAGACGAGTGAGTGGGTGGGTTAATAAGTGAGTGCCTATGTGCAGAAAAGGAGTGTTGGTATCTGGCTTTTTATAGATACCATCAAATTTACAAACAAACATCAGCCAATTTGGTGGGTTAAAATAATGTCACCTTGGTCCCGGCATGGTGGCTCACGCCTGTAATCCCAGCACTTTGGAAGGCCGAGGCAGGAGGATCACATGAGTCCAAGAGTTCGAGACTGACCTGGGCAACATAGAGAGACCCCCTCTCTACCAAAAAAAAAAAAATTTAAACTTAGCCAGGTGGGGAATTGGGGGACACAGCAGAGAAGGAAGCCTGCCAGCCTGCTTTGCTGTCCTTCTGCCACCCAGGTTGCACACAGCCTTAGGAGGAAGAGACACAATCAACTTCCCACACCCACCTCCCAGGACAGCGCATCCCAGGACAGGAGCACCGAACTGCCCCCATGATGACCTCCCCAGACAGAAAATAACAGATTTTATGCTTTCTACACATTTTTTCAAAGAATTTTTATATGTGCCCTCTACCTACAAACAAAATAATTATTTGTGGGAAGAGGAAGCCTTTCAGCATCTGAAAGAAAACCACACAAGCTGCTGGGTAAATGAACACTTGCCTTCTGAGTAAGCAGAATGTGTTTTGGAAATCTCCAGCAGTGACCAGGGATGTGCACAGCTTGAGAAGTGGAAGCTCTTTTTTCCCTCTTCGCCTCTCTCTCCTTCCTCCCCTTCCCACCTTTTCTTTCTTATCCTCTCTTCTGCTCTCAAATCCTTTTCCTAAGAAGGGGTAGGGTCCCAAGGAGCAGTGGAGAAAAAGAAAGCAGCTCACCACACCCCTGCACTCTGCACCGGCTGGTGTCTCTGCCTCGGTCCTACCAGTCACATAATTTGCAGGAACAATCCCTGCACTGCCTTGCACCACTGCCCCTCTCTACCAGTCCTTGCCCATAGGTCAGAGGAACAAGAGTGGTCCACAGGTGCTGCACAAAGACCTCCGTTCTGAGGTCTGTACTATCTGGCTCAAGCTGTGCTCAAACTTTGTCCCCAGCTTCTTGGGAGATCCACAGGCAACTGGGGTTAGACAAGACCTCTAATTCAGAACTCAAGCCTCAGCTGCTGGAGACAATGTACTTTCACAAGTCAGGGGATGGGCCACCAGCCAGGGGCACAGATGGGACACATTGCTATACTGGAGTGATGCTTCATCTTTGCAACAGGACACACCCAACCCTAGGCTAGGGGAGAATTTTCTCCAGAGGAAACCCAGGAATTACTAATTATCATTACTTGTTTTTATACTTTTTTTTTTTTTTTCTGAGACAGAGTCTCGCTCTGTCACCCAGGCTGGAGTGCAATGGCGAGATCTCCACTCACTGCAAGCTCCGCCTCCCGGGTTCACGCCATTCACCTGCCTCAGCCTCCCAAGTAGCTGGGACTACAGGCACCTGCCACCACGCCCGGCTAATTTTTTGTATTTTTAGTAGAGATGGGGTTTCTTCGTGTTAGCCAGGATGGTCTCGATCTCCTGACCTCATGATCCGCCCACCTCAGCCTCCCAAAGTCCTGGGATTAGAGGCGTGAGTCACTGCGCCCGGCCTCTACAATATTATTGTAAATAGATGACCCAAAATGTGGGCAGGTTTTTCCAAGGGGTTTCTGCTCTGACAGCCTTCTAGAATACCCCTCCCAGCCTGGCCACACACCTGGGGCCTCTGAACCCTGGCAAGGCAGGGAATGTTCAGGACTGGGAACTCTGTTGATTTTATTTCTATTTTAATAGTCTGAGCATTGCCACCTTTGTATATTACATTTTCTAATTTTGTAATTCTATGGCTAAGAAACTGTGGTTACACCTGTGGCTGTCCCCATGGCAGAAGGCAAGCCAGGGCGGCAAAGATACAGACTTTCCCCCTTCAGGCCCCAGCCTGCAGCTCGCATCTCAGCTAAATTGCCACTGGTTCCCGGCCTCTCTCTGTCTTCCAGCCAGTCCTGTTTCTTCACCTTCACGGAACACGATCGGGCCGGGTTTCTCTTCTCTCCAATGTTACTTCAACTTCTCGTCATAAAATGGAATGATTCCAGTGTTTATGCTGTTAGCTACATTTATCTTTAAGAGCAAGATGTTGAGTTTAGCTTTAATGATGAAAAAAGCCTTTCAAAGGATAACTCATTGAAACTCATTATGCACTATAAGGCCACTATTTAAAGATTCGGTAATTCCAGTGATGATCTTTTTAAAGCAGATTTATAGCAGAAAATAGTTACATTCTTTGACTTCAGTTATAATTTTCTATTTTGTAATTTAATACTCCTTTAGTTTATATTTGCACATTAAAAATATAGCATCTAAAAGTCCATCATTAAATACTTTTAATAAGTGCAATAAATAAGTTTTACAGTGTGCATAAATCTAAAAACAAAACCCAACATAAATTGTTAATCTTACACTTTTTCTCATTAATTGCAATACATAAACATATGTTTTATACAAAGATATTTGCTACGAAATAAGTATAATAAATACAGTTTACCACATGTATTAATCTTAATAGTTACAAACTGTTAATCTTATATATTAGGTAATAATTTGCAATAAATAATTGTTTATTATCTTGATGTTTGCTTGTCTTGGGTTCTAGCAATATGCAATAAAGAAATGCAATTTTGAATAATTTGATTGTAAGACTGCTGGGAAAATACTGTATGTTATAATTAGCTGGGAGAGGATTCTAGTCACAAAAGCAAGCATGGAGACAGGGTTCAATAACCCAAACATACGTTATTGAGTCCATAAATAATTTTAAAAGTTAAGTTCAGTTTCAAACAAAACAGAATTTTTTAACCTTAAATGCAATTAAAGAAACATTTCACATTCTTTAGTGCTTTCATTATTATACATTCAAAAGGAGATGAAGAAAGCTGGAAGCCCCATCAAAACTGCCAGCCTCCAAGCTGAGACGGGAACATGGCTGCCTTTGGGAGAAAGAGTGGCCTGACAGCTCATGCCCATCAGCCAAGGGCTCCCCTTGGCCTGGAATACACCCTCCGGAACAGCCAGCAGGTGCACCCACAAACGCAGCACCCTCCATACCTCACCTTCAAGCTGGCACTTGCTGAACTGCACACACATTTTTCTAAGAGAGGTTGTCACCTATACTGAGCTTAATAGAAATTGTTAATCTTATATGTAAAGGTAATAATTTGTCATAAATAATTGTTCATTATCTGGGCCTTTGCTTGTCTTGGAGTTGAGCTGTATGCAATAAAGCAGTGCAATTTTGAGTAATTCGATTGTAAGGCTGCTGGGGAAACATGGTGGATTGTAATGAGCCTAGGAAGGGTCCCGTGGGCCAGAGACCCCAAAGAACCAACCTACCAGCTCTGGCACATGCAAAGCCCAGGTCCTCACCAGCAATTGCACAGGTTCTTTAAATAGTCTCTCCAAGACAGAGAGTGAACCAGTTTCCCCTTCTCATGTTTCTGCCAGAGTAAACATCACTTAGAGGAAACCAGTCCTAGACGAAGTGAACCTCGGTCCCTGGGAAAGGCTGAGGTGGCCCCAGGGCAATTTAGTCCCACCAAGCCGGCTGATTGGCACCAAAGGCTCACCTGTCTGCCTGGAACAGGTAGGGCCAGGGGGTCACTTCCTCCAAAGTGACCCTGACACTGCTCCCGGCAGCAGCAGCATCCTGGCACATCCCTGCAGGCAGAGAGCTAGAGCAGTCCTGGCTAAGAGGTGGCTGTGAGGCCAGGGAGCAAGGACCCTGTGCACTTTGGCTTCCTAGAATCCCACGGGCACAAAGACCCACTTCAAGGAAACCTCCCCCAAGCTGGGAAAGGAAGGGAGGGAGGGTGGGAAGGAAGAAGGGAGGGAAGGAAAAAGAGAAGGAAATAAAGAAGAAGGGAAGGAGGAGGAGAAAGACAGAGGAAGAATGAATTTTAAAAAAAGAGAAAGAAAGAGAAAAGAGGAGGAGAAAGGGAGGGAAAGAGAGAGGAAGAATGAATGAAAAAAAGAGAAAGAAAGTGAGAAAGAGAGAAAAGAGGGGGAGGAAGGGAGAGAAGAGAGAAAGAAAGCAAGGAAGGAGGGAGGGAGGAAGGATGGAGGAAAACAGAAAGAAGAGCAAGGGAGGAGAGAGGGAAGGAAGAAGGGAAGAAAAAAGAGAGAAAAAGGAAAGAAGGAAGGAGGAAGGGATTAAAGGAGGGTAGAAGGAAGGATAGAGGGAAGGAGGGAGGGAAGCGGGAAGGAAGGAGAAAAAAAGGGAGAGGAAGAAAGAGAGGATGGAAGGAAGGAAGGAAAAAGAAAGAAAGAAGGGAGAATCCTAGATCCATTATAACCATGAACAGCTCTTCCTAATATAAAGATGATCAGCACCCCACAAAAACACACACATACATGCCCTGACGTGCATCCAATGACATGAGTCTCCATATCAAAGCCCACTTGCAGTGTGTTCCTGGCAGTCGCTGCGGTTTGTGGTTTTAATATCTCGCTTCTTCTACGCTCCTGGCACCTGCTAGAGTGGGCCTGGCTTCCCCTCTTTAGGCACAGCTCACACCGGGAGGGTAAGCCCCCAGCCTGCTCTCTGCCTAGGCTGGGCACGGCACAGTCCACAGCCTGGGAGGGAGCCGTTCATCAGGGTGACATAACGGTTCAGTTCCAGAAGAAAGTTCCTGCCTAGGGCTGAGCTTCAGGCAGGGTAGGTTCCCAGGAGCAAGTGCTGTGAGCCTGAGGCCCCAGGCGTCTGAAGACACCACAGGTCTCCCCCTCGTCTCCTCCATCCCAGCAAGCACCTGCGGTCCAATCGCGCTAAGCCAGGGGCCCTGCTTTCAGCCGGGTTGGAAAGGGATAGAAGCTCCCCCATCTCCTGCCCTTTTCTAAAGACAGGCAGCTCCAGCAAAACCCTCAGCCCTCAGGCGTCCCTTTCGTGGGGTCCCCGCCCCTGTTCTGGAAATGAGACCCCAGGTCCCAGGATGCAGCTGGCATCGCAGGGGAAGGGACTTGCCCCCACCCTCCACCCGCTACCATGACCCGGGAGAGGCCTTCCCGAGGGTCTGAAGGTCCGCAGAGCCCTGCCCCACCCTAGTCCAACAAGGGGACCGCGTTTTAGGGACATCCCTGGATTGTCAAGAAACGCTGGCTCATCCGGACCCCCGGGGAGCGCAGCATGAACCCAGGAGCACCCTGACACCCCGAAAACAGGGAACCTGGGGCCCTTCTCAAACTCAAGGGGAAGGAAAGGGAGCCTGCCAAGTTCTGCTTCTGCGAGGCAGCTGCCACCAAAACCCGCTCCGAGGGCCCCGCCGGGCCGCCCTGGCAGCTGGAAAAGCGCATTCCTGCTCGCCCGAGGATGCAGAAGGCAACCGAGTCCCCGGGCGGCGGCGGGGCAACTGCGGAAATCACGCAGCCAGATGAAGCTCATAAATTTCCCCTATGAACAATTGTTTTCATTTCCCTCCCATGCCACTAGATATTATAAGTGGAAAGCAAAACACAAGTAAATATGTTCATTCCGCTCTTGCGATCGGTGATAAACCGGAGGCGGCCGAGGCCGACAGAGGTCAGCAGGCCGCTCGCCACGGGTCTGCGAGCGGACACTGCCACCCTCCGGCCGCGCGCGGGACTGCACCGGCCCCACCGCCCGGCTCTCCCGCCCGCTCGCTGCCCGCCAATGTTCGCTTTGCGCCCTTCGCTCAATGTGCGTGCAAATTACAGGGACATTCGAAAGGACAGAGAGCTCCCATATTTAAAATAATCATTTTTGTTCATCATAACCTCTCTTCCAGAGATAACCGCTCTTATTAACGTTTTCGTACAATTATCTCCAGTCTTTATGTGCATTCTACGATGTCTTCTGTGTACCTATGAAATACAAAGCTTTTCCTACAATATTAAACCTTGATTTCCTAGGTATCACTTAAACGAAAGTTATTGTCACACAAGATAGCCTCACAGATATCTTTTTAGGGGCTGTGTAATATTTCAACTTGGGACTGCACCAAAAGTTACTGAACCATCTCCCAATTGCTCATTTAAAGAGTTTCTAATGTTTTCATCCTTGTGCATAATGCTATAACTGAAACCTCTATTCAGAAACTTTTGTTTATATTGTTAAGATCCATCAATAAAGGCAGAATTATTAAATGAAAAGAAATTAACTTTTTTTTTAATGGATTCTGGCTCCATGCCCCAGGCTGGAGTGCAGTGGAGCAATCTCGGCTCACTGCAACATTCGCCTCCCTGGCTCAAGCAATTCCCCTGCCTCAGCCCCCTCAGTAGCTGGGACTACAGGCACGCACCACCACACCCGACTAATTTTTGTATTGTTAGTAGAGACGGGGTTTCACTGTGTTAGCCAGGTTGGTCTCGAACTCCTGACCTCAGGTGATCTGCCCATCTCAGTCTCCCAAAGTGCTCGGATTACAGGTGTGAGCCACTGCGCCCAGCTGAGAATTAACATTTTTAAAGCTCTTAGTAGCATTACTATTTTCTAGATGTATAATACCTATGTGGAGAATATTATTTAAAATGATGAGTGAATATAAAATAGTGCTCAAATGAGTGGTCAGAAAAACTGTATCACCAACATATCAGTCCCCACTCATCTCATCTTTCACTTGAATGCAAGGCCAATAAAAATTCCATCAAAGCTTTTTTGATATTTTGTCACATTGATTCCAAATTCCATGTGAAAGAGTAAATAAGGAAAAATCTCCAAAAAACATGTTTGTGAAAAAAGAGAGGAGACTTCCTCAACAAAGATATTAACATATATCACAGAAAGCTACAATAATTTAAACAGTGAAGCACAAAATAGAGAGCACAAAAGGGAGCAAATAGGCAATAACTTACATTTTAACATAAAGCCATTTTATATCAGTGGGAAAAGGATGGCTGATTGATGAAGTTATAGGTACAATCTGCCACTCATTCAGAAAACAAGAAAAGTTAGTGTCCTACCTCATACCACATATTCAAATGAATGCTATAAGGATTAAAGATTTAAATTTTTAAGTGAAACTATAAAAGTGATATTTACATATATGGTAATAGAGAAGTTCTAAGTCCAATTGCAAAGGCAGAAGCTAAAAACTTTAAAATGCCCAGATTTGAGGTGCACAAATTTAAAATACCCACATGTGAAAAATATAATTTTGAAATTGAAAGGTAAACCAACACTAGGAGAAAAAAACACTTTCAATATACATAACAGAAAGAAGGTTAATGCCCCAGGTGTGTAGAGCTTTCTCACAAATGAAGAACAGACAAATACTTCAATAGAATTGGGGACATGAATAGCAATTCACCAAAAGAAATACAAATGATAGACATATAAAAGATGTTTAGTCTTATTAATAATCAAAAGACATGCAAATTAAAACAAAAATGAGAAAATTTTGTCCCTATATTGATAAACACAAAAACAATGATTGTATTGTCAAGGATGGATAAACGAATCCTTTCAACACCACAGGTGATAGGGTAAATCAGGTAACTGGTAAACTTTATAAAGGGTAATTTCACAATATGATCAAAATTCTTACAACACGTGACCCAAAGATTCTACTTCCAAAGGAATCTATCATGGGTATGTACAAAGATTCACCTGTAAGATTGTTCATTGCTATCAGAAACAAACCAAATGTCCAACAATAGGCAACCAGATTTTACATAGATTATATAATATCATAAGATAATACAATCAAGTCCTCAATAGTAATGTTGTAGAAATTAACATTTAAGGATGTCTTAACATTTAATATTCAAGAAGGTCTCATAAAATACTGCTTTATAGCAAAAAGCAAGTTACATTGTAACCATGCTTTCTACACACATAGGAAAAAAAAACCTATAAGGTATTCCTTTAAATAATAATAATGGCAGGTGGACTACAAGTAATTTTTAATATTCTTTTGGCTGCTTTAATATTCTTTTTTCTTTATATATTTAACAATTTTTTATCAATTGTTTAGAAGAAAAATAGTTTTAGTGGTTTTCTAGAAATATTGTATTTTACGTTCCCACCAGCATTACTTGAGAGTGTTTGTTCAGGCCAGGCAAAGGGGGCTCATGCCTGTAATCCCAGCACTGTGGGAGGCCAAAGCGGGAGGATCACATGAGGCCAGGAGTTCGAGACCAGCCTCCATTCTACCAAAAAAAAAGTAAAGAAAAAAAAAGACAATGCTCATTCATTTGCTCATTTTTTAAATCCAATACTCTCAAAACACACATTCAGAGCAAAGCACGTTCAAGCCTGGCAACAGCTGTAAACAAGACAAAGCCCTGCCCTTGTAGAGCAGTCGATAAGCTCCACGGTTAGGAAAACTGAAAAGGAACAAACCAAGAAAGCAGCCCCGTGGGGATGTTCCATGGCCTGCTGTGGAGGGAAGCAGGGCGAGGGTCACCGACCGGCTGGGGAAGGAGCTATGCTAGGGAGGGGTTCCGGGAGGGCCACTCAGAGGAGGTGACGGTGAGGAGACCTGAGTGTGGTGAGCAGCGAGTCACCTGTGAATCTGGGACAAGCATTTCCCCGCAGAGGGAACAGCCGAGGCGAAGGCCCGAGGAGGGGAGGGGCTTGGTGTGCCTGCGGAACAGTTGCGCGGAGCCCCGTGTGGCTGAAAAGGAGAAGGCGAAGGAGAGGCGTAGGGGAGGGGACAGGTGGCAAGAGCCCAGAGAACCTTCTGGGGCACAGGAGGGAGTGTGGATTTTCTTTTGTGTATGATGGGAGCCGTTGGAGACTTTGTGCGTGAGAGCGACGAGACCTGATTTCATTTTCCCAGGATATCGCCAGCTCCCGGTTGAGAATGGAACCCAGTGTGCCAGAACTGCAGCAGGGAGGCCGATTCAGGAGGTCACTGCACGAGCTGTGCCTGGCCTGGAGTGGCCTGGTGCGGGGAACCTGGCGGCACTGGCGGTTCACACTTGCTAACTGAGTAAGCAACCGTCGTGGGGGTGGAATCTTGATGTGTTTCTTTTCTGAGCCCCTTGTCAGCTGGAATGCTCTGGTAGCTCATCCCTCAGGAGATCTGGATGTCCCTGAAAATAGAGAATCAGGCTAAGGGGATTGCCCTCAGGATACACCACCCCCCATTCTCCCCAGCCCAGAAATCATCTTGTGCATTGGCCTTGAGTCCAACCAAAACGCTGGACAGTCAGTGGCTAAACAAAGAAAGAAGAGCGTTCTGTTGAATCATGATCGTCATCTACACTTTCAGGAGCTTTCATGTCCACCTTCACAGGTGTCAGCATAGAAATCACACTTCTCCCAAAAATGCACATGCAAAGTTTTCCTGCATCCAATGCACCATGTCATGGAAGGAAGCACAAAATCTATGTGGTCTTACACATTTTTTTCAGGGTTTGGAGATTAACTAATAGATTTCCAGGATTTATTTCCTCCTGGGTTCTAATGTCATCCCACTATATTTATATGGGAGGAAAATGATGTCTTTCCTCCTCAATCATTTTAAAGTCATTATCATCTCTTGCATGATAAAAATTAATCAAACTATTTTCTTAAGATAATTCTTATAAAATTGAGGTGCCTATTACAGGCCTGCACATCTTATGTCCCAGAAATTACACTCATCTTTGCCTCTCCTGTTTCCATAGTCCCATTTCTTCCAGTATTAACTATTTTTTTCTTTAATGAGACAGGGTCTTTGTCTGTTGCCCAGGCTGGAGTGCAGTGATGTGATTGATCACAGCTCACTACAGCCTCGACCTTCTGGGCTCAAGCCATCCTCCTGCCTTAGCCTCCCAAGTACCTGGGATCACAGGTGCATGCCACCACACCTAGCTACATTTTTTTTATTTTTATTTTTTGTAGAGAAGGGGGTCTCATTACGTTGCCTAGGCTGGTCTCAAACACTCAAGTGATCCTTCCATCTTGGCCTCCCAAAGTGCCGGGATTACAGGCGTGAGCCACGCTACCCAGCCCATAATCCCATTTTACCATGCACTTGGTCCCCAGTTTCTCAAGAGATCTGTGTCTGCCCTTGCCCAGTCCCTCCCTTGGGGAAGTTGCTTCTTTGTAGCCAGAAAAAGCCCTTGGGGTGGTGGAGGATGGAGGAACTGTGGGCTGGGCCCTGAGGACACAGTCCGAGGCAGGTCCTGTGCCATCTGGGGGCTGAGACACTGGGGTCAAATATGTCAGAGGTAAATTCGCAACTTCCATTATCCTTGCCCAAACCTGGAGGGGGCTGCTCTGTGTGCACCAGGGGGACCATAGGCTCAGGATGGGGCTCTTCTGTGCAAGGCAATTTGGGGATTCAGCCGGTGTCCTAATGCCTGGGGTGCCACCTGGATGAATGAATACAAAGGCACCAGAGGAGGAGGTACTTGTGTGGATAGAGGTATCTGGGACTCCAGGTGGGGGTCACTGAACTGAAAACCCATCTGTCCCAAGTAAGGCATGTGATAAGAGAAGGGCATCTCCAAAAGAATACCTTGGGCACGGTGCTACTGCAAAAGCTAACTCAAGACTCCCCCCGCCCCTAGTATTGGCATGGAAAAGTCTCCATGCCAGCAAGTGATACCCAGCACGGACCAAGGACATCTTAGTACCAGCAGTCTCTGACACACATGCCAGACCACCAAGGTATCACAACTGGCCACAGCCCATCCCAGAGACAGCCGCACCACAGCAAGGCAGCCACAGCATAAAGTCGGAAGGTCCTTCCACCCCGACTGCTGCAACAAAGGCACTTGCTTACAGGAAGCAGTGAGAACATACATGGTTACACATACGGACACGCACATCGGTGAGCATCTCTCCTCTGGACTTGAATGCCTCTGCTCTGCGCTGGCACTCAGCGTGATACCTGGCACTTGGTAGGCACTTAATGAGTGTTTTCTAAATATAGGAAGGAACAGGGGGAATGGAAGGACTGTGTAGACATCGTCCAGTGGCTTGTTTCTCTACCAGTTTCATATCCAGAAAGCAGCATGGCATTTCAGGGTGGCGCTCAGGCCATGCTGTCAGTTTCATACCGAGCATCAGCTGTGGGGGAAAAGAAGGACACGCATGCCCAGGGGGCTGGGTGGTTTTACCTCCGTTAAAAAAAATCACCTTCCAAGAGACACTCCCCAAGTTCTGCCGAGGAAGGACACAGCACAGGGGATCCACCTGCCTTCAAGGCGACCAAAGGAGCAGATGCCAGCAGGCTTGAAGCAGAGCCCTTGGCAGGCAGGTAAAGTTGGACAAACCCTGGTCTCTGTTGCCCCATCTGTAAGATGGCACTAATTACCTAAGCTTGTCCCCAGACTCTAATGACATAATGAGCATGAAAGCCCCTCATTAGGGGGGCGAAAGGCATCGTTATCCCATGTTTAAAGGACGTCATTTGCCACTGGGCAGAGCAGAGGAAGAGGAACAGGAAGGAGCCAGAAGCCTGATGCTCTTGGCCCATCGCCTATCAGCATCACATCTGAGCCTGGGATCTCCAGCCCTGGGCTCCTGCCTCTCCTCACGGGACCCAGAGCTGCCTGGAGGGCAAGACCCCAGTGAGTGCTCAGAGCAAAGGAGCCACTGAAGACACTCAGACTGGCAGCCCTATGTGTAAGGGTGTGACTGCCTTTTACCCGGTGCAAGGAGCAAGGACATGGTGGGTGGAAAGTGGGCAGTGAGGCCTCTCCATTTCAAAAGGCTTCCCCCAGTGGCCGGAACGGAACCCCATGGAGGGCCTCTCCATGCTCTTCATCAGAGAGCAGACATCTCCACCACCACCAGACATAGAAATCGTCTCCAACAAAAGCTGCTCAATTCCCTCCATCTCGGAACAGAGTGGCAAAGGCATGAGAGTTGCTACACATTCGGAGGTAGACAAGCACATCTAATAAACACAGAGACAATCTGCCCATTTTTGGACCCCTGCATTAGATTCCCAAGCAGATGCTCCACCACACTCAGGCTGCAAGATTAGTGTGGGAGGGACTGGAGGAAGGGCTCAGACACCCAGACCCGCTCTCTCCCCACCAGGCTGCGCGTCTAGGAATTGTCTGTGTCACGTTGCTGCTGTCACCAAGGGAGGGCCCACGGGGATGAGATCCTGCCCCAAAAGCAAGCCCTGCCTATGTTAAAGACAGAGCCTGCATGAGTCAAATCCGACTCCTGCATCCCATGGTCTGTTTGGGAGGCTGCCCTGTCCCCACCAAGGGTGCCTTCTCAGTCACCTTCACCGCACTCAGGCTTACCCTAGCACACTTTAAACCAGGAACGCTCTCCCTTGAGCTATCTTTTTTTTTTTTTTTTTTTGAGATAGAGTCTCGCTCTGTCACCCAGACTGGAGTGCAGTGGCACGATCTCGGCTCACTTCAAGCTCCGCCTCCTGGGTTCACACCATTCTCCTGCCTCAGCCTCCTGAGTAGCTGGGACTACAGGCTCCCGTCACCACGCCCGGCTAATTTTTTGTATTTTTAGTAGAGACGGGGTTTCACCGTGTTAGCCAGGATGGTCTCAATCTCCTGACCTCATGATCCGCCTGCCTCAGCCTCCCAAAGTGCTCGGCTCTTGAGCTATCTTTTAAGGGACCTGAGGATGAAACAGTGAAACTGGAGACTGGCAGGTGTTCACTGTCAGTCTGGGGAAAGCAGATCCAAGCAGCCATGAGAAAACCCCGGAAGCAGTCAGAGAGGAATCAAAGTCCTACCGGTGTCATGTGGCCCCAACAGAGCCCCGGAGAGAGCCAACTGAGCAGAGGCCTGTGTGGCTGGGCAGGCAGGGGACATGTCCTGGAGGGAGCAAGCCTTGAACTTGTGGTCTGTAGAACTTGCCCTTCTGACCCAAGGGTGGCCGTAGAGGAATGTTAAATCAGCACCCCCAGCCCTGGACCACGCCTGATGGCCTGGAGGAGTCTGCTTAACCTCTCCAAGCTGCCCCTTGGAGAATATAAGATCACGAACCTGGACCTCGTCCCACCCAGGAGACGCCATGAGGAACACAGTCCCCACAGTTCACAGGAAGTTGCAGACCGGAGGTGAAAGAGCATTTTGCTGGAAGGTAATGAGGTATGTTAACCACCCTGAAAGTTAGGGGATTCACCCAGCCTCCAGTTCTAGACAGCTCTCACCTCACATTGAGCACCAAAAAACTCAACAATCAAGGTAAGTGCAATCTCTTTAAAAATCACAATGAATGCATTTTTCAAAATCCATAATGAGCAAGATTATCAAAATTTTAAATCAAGACAAGCTGTGACCTTGCTACCTCACTCAGCACGACCTGGCCATTTCACACTCTCATAGGACAGAGTACTCCATCCTCATTTCACTCACCACCATTGTCATTAAATATTCATCGGAGGGATGGTTGGATTCGTTTTTGCCCCTGCAAGGGCGAGGGTGGCATGCTTCACTAGTCTGTGTACCTGGCACCTAGCTCAGAGCTTGGCACATGGAAAAGTGGTGCCCAGGAAATACCCAAATGAACATCGTAGATGGAAGTTAATCCTGAATGCTGTGCTGAGAGCTCTTCTCTGCTCAGATGCCACGGCGGGCTTCTGCTCCTAGCCCTGGGGGACTCTCCACCCGACCCTATCGCTGCCACTGTACAAGCTCCTACCTTCCCAAATGTAGAAGCCAGATCTGGGTGTGTGTGTGTTTGTTTGTTTGTTTGTTTGTTTGTTTGTTTGTTTTTGAGACAGGGTTTCATTCCTGTCGTCCAGGCTGGAATACAGTGGCACAATCTCGGCTCACTACAACCTCTGCCTCCTGGGTTCAAGCCATTCTCCTGCCTCAGCCTCTCCTGCTCAAGCCAGCTGGGATTATACGTGCCCACCACCATGTCCTGGCTAAATTTTGTATTTTTAGTAGTAGAGATGGGGTTTCGCCATGTTGGCTAGGCTGGTCTCAAACTCCTGGCCTTAAGTGATCCATCTGCCTTGGCCTCCCAAAGGGCTAGAATTACAGGCGTGAGCCACTGCACCTGGCCCAGACCTGGGTTCTAATGACCCCTTTGCTTTCATTTGTGAAAAGATACTTTCAGTGCAGAGCTGATGGGATGCAGTGCAGACACAAACAATCCGGCAGGTCCCAGGACAATGTGTGACTGATTTTCTGCACCTCCTGGACTTGTCTCCACCTCACACAAGGGCCACCGCCAAATGGCTGTGGGAGGGTGTGTCCTGCCGTTTTGGGCACTTGGGCGGCTGGGCTTCCGCCCCCAGGAGCCATGTTGGATCCATTCCAAGACAGTCACTCTCTGTCCACTTCTTCACAGAGAACATCTCTATATTGAGGAAGTTTAATTTGAGGCCAGCAGGAATCATAGTGTATGGGTTTGCCTGAAACAGGCTCACATGCAGGCAATGGCTAAATAAAAATCTCCAAATAGCCATGCCCTATTTTTGCATTTTTATGAGTTCTTTGAAAGGAAAAAAGAAGGGGTGAGGAAGAAATTAAGAAATACAAGGCTGAGCACAGTGGCTAACGCCTGTCATCTCAGAGCATTGGGAGGATGGTGGGGAGGATGGCTTGAGGCCAGGAGTTCAAGATCAGCCTGGGTAACATAGTGAGACCCCATCTTTAGAAAATAAAAAGAAAAATAAAATCTTTACAGAAAGAACTACAAGATGTTTCCCTGTCCTTACCTGATCTCCCAGTTGCAGGGCACCTAGGAAGGGAGGGGAAAGTGCAGGGGGCCTCCTGCATGGGCAGCCAGGTCATGGGTCCTGCCAACAGCCTCTGCCCAGCTCCTCTTCTATAAGTGGACCTTGGCCCTGTCCTCCGTATGCACCTGTTCTGTCTCCTCTGACTTGGAGAGACAGCTTTGCCTTTCTGCCTCAGAAGATGGAAAAAGGAGGGAAGTACCCCAAGATGTCACCATTCACTCCCCCAGCTCCTGGGAAGATGCCCAGCTAAGAGGTGCCCAATGCCAGCAGGCCCAGCACTGCCAGCTCCCAGGGACCCAGGCCAAGCCAGAGACTGGCCTGGGCTCATTGTAGAGGAGAAATGGATGAGGAGAGAGAAGCAACATGCGGTTTTAATTCTTTGTTAAAAACTTGGCTGGGCACTGTGGCTCACGCCTGTGAGCACTTTGGGAGGCCAAGGCGGGCAGATCACTTGAGGTCTGGAGTTTGAGACCAGCCTGGCCAACATGGCAAAACCCTGTCTCTACTAAAAGTACAAAAATTAGCCAGGTGTGGTGGCGGACGTCTGTAGTCCCAGCTACTCAGGAAGCTGAGGAAGAAGAATCGCTTGAACCCAGGAGGCGGAGGTTGCAGTGAGCCAAGATCACGCCACTGCACCCCAGCCTGGGTGACAGAGTGAGACTGTATCTCAAAAAAAAAAAAAAAAAAAAAAATCATAAACCCTACCAAAGGGTCAATCTCTCTTTCAGAAAGGACATTAGGTGCTGTTTTCCTGCTGGAAGCCCCATAAGTCTCCACGTCTCCTCAATATACAATTCAAAAAAGCCTCCAAATTGCCGCTGCTGTCATGCTAAGCATTGGAAAGTTCTGCTTGACCTTTTATTAACATTTTTCTAAACCAATATGTTTGGTGTGGTGGTTTTGTCTTTTTTTTTTCTTTTTTTTTCTTTTTTTTTTTTTTTTTTTTTGCTACAAGCACCCTGAGGACTTATGAAAAATACTTTTTTCTGTAGTTTATCCCATATGCAGTTAATAGGCTCACAAATATAATACCATTATAAAAAAGAAAAACTGCCAACTCTGCTAAAAAAATTGTCATAACACTAAATTATTATATAAATATAAAAGGAGTGTGTCTGTAAAATATTCACTCAATGAACATCCCAAGGTGATGGTTTTGCTATGTTGTTTTTATTCCTGAGAGATCCATAACACACTCGAATATGCCACATGTCACCACATGAATCAGGCAGTTAATACATGTGCTTTTTAGAAGCACGGATGTCTTCCTGATAGAATGTGCTATAAAAAAATGTGGAGATCCGGCTGCTTTGTCTGATAGGCATAATTTAATGTCTGGCTTATAATACTGCATCTTAAGGAAAAATACCCACTGTCCTATGTAGTTATTTACAATATATTGCTAAGTCTATGCAAATATGTTTCCCCGAGCCTGGGATTATATAACAAAGGTCAACAATGTTTGAAATATTTTGAAGCATATTCCCAATATGCGTAGTGTATGGTGCTAATATCCAATATATGCACATATATCTTAATATATTTCCAGATCTTTCTGTTCATTGTTCTCTCCGTAGCTTCCCACAGAATACTATTAGAGAAATGTTTTCTTCTGAGTAAAGCCAAACGTTGCCTATCCATCTTGGAAAAATTTATTAAGGTGGCTAATTATGCGGTCCTTAATATTGCATTAGTAGGAAGGTTGCTCAATGCCACTGCGGAAGAGAAAAAGATAGAAGCCAGTTCAATAATACTGAAACCAGAGACGCAATACGTGCAAAAATCAGCACACACCTATGTCATCCTATTTTTCTGCCCCAGATTTCCAAATCAGGCAATTCCACTTAGGGATCACATGTGTGCCTATGCACCCACACGCACACACACACGCACACACATGCTTGTGATCTGGTGTGCACAAAACCAACATTACAAGCCACACATTCTGCTTCTCCCTTCCAAATATTGCAGATTTTGCCCTTATTTTTCTGAATTTTGTGATCACCTGTGCCTTTCATTCAAATCGCTTCCTTCAAGAGAAAAAGAAATGGTTTGGCTAATTGCACAAGAGTAGGGGAGAGGGTTGTGGAAACCAGACCTGCGCTATCCAAGCCACATCCAGAAAATAGCATAAAAGAGAGATTTGTTTACATCAAAGGTATATGAAATCTGAGCCCTCAATTCTGTCCCCCATTTCAAATTATATTGTTCCTCTATCATTCTCCAGTCACTGGGTTGAACCAAATTGGGAAGACTACAGTAAAACAGACACCAAAACAAGAGACTGAGGTCATTAGAAAGAGGCCGATCCCCAGAAAAGATACTCTTCCCTGGTATGTGGACCAGGCTGGACTTTGCATGTGGCTTTTCATATCTGTGCTGCTGTGACACTGTGTAGCTGTCCCAAACTCTGGTCCACAACATCACCCAGAGGTTGACTCTGGCAGCTTCAGACTGCCTTGGTATTTTGGGTCCTCGAAAACCCCAAGGCTAAAAATCCTTCCAGCCAATCCATGTTTTAAGACGCTACAAAAATCACCCATTTTCAAGGACTAATGGAGTATGTCTAGATGTGGCTATGGAACTGATGTATTTTTTTAGAATCTTTTTCCGTGTTATCAGTCCAACCAGCCACACAGCCCACCTGATGAGGATTTTTAAAAAGAGCCAAAGCTGTGAAACCTCTCTCGCCAGCAGAAATGAGTTATCTAGAAGCTTCTTGAACAGAATTCTCTCAGGAGGCGAGATTAAGTCTGTAATCCCAGCACTTTGGGAGGCCAAGGCAGGAGGATTGCTTGAGGCCAGGAGTTCAAGACCAGCCTGGGCAACCCATCTCTACAAAAAAAAAAAAAATTAATTAAAAAAATGAGTTATCTCAGGAAGGCAATCAGACACACAATGCAAGCCTCCTCATGAGAAAGTCAGCTCTGCAGTTTCCCCAGAAGAGAATGTCATTACCAGAAATTCACACCCATAATCCCCGCACTTTGGAAGGCCAAGGATGGTGAATCACTTGAGCCCAGGAGTTCAAGACCAGCCTGGGCGACATAGTGACTGAGACACCATCTCTTTAAAAAAAAAAAAAAAATTAATGACCTTCTTGCTTGACTCTGGCCATGGGGTTTCCTGAACCCCCATGATGATCCCACAAAGTGTGGGGGAAGTGGGAAAATAGAACAACACACATGTATGCTCAAGACAGCTCCTATTTCCTCCTAAGCCATAAACTGCTTCATAGAACCTTCCAGAAGGTTTTGAGGAAGGGTTTTCACAAGGGCCGAGAGAGCTGCGAGCATCTTTGTTCTCCCACTGGAAACTCAACTGTATATAAGACACAGCAAATGTTAAATCATTTAAAGAGAGCTATTTTTCATAGTTTCCAGTACATAAATGTGTTTCAGTACATGTTATTGTAAAATAGTGTTCCTACTTACGTTCTTATACATCTGTTGTTGTGTTTACTCATCCTTTCGTTCTGACTTTTAGAAATAGCAATAAATCTATTTTTTAATCCCCTCTGCTGATGACTGATTATTCATTGCTAAAAGGGGTGGAAGGAGGTCCATGTGAAGAGTGATCCGCCCTCCAGCACAAGCTCCACTTTCACAAGATAAACAGGGTCCAGGGAGATTCCTCTTTCGTCCTGGGTAGTTTATGCAAACTAAATAAGGACTTGGTGGCAGCTCAAACAAATATAAATTACCCTCCAGTGGAAACTCCAACCACTTGTTACAGTCAATTTCAGTAAGGAGGAGCCAAGGGTGACATCTACACAAACAATACAATTCATTTCTATACTGCATCCCTAATACAAAGATTGCAAAGGGCTTCGCGGGAGTCAGTCATCACTGATCTAAACCAAACAGGGTGGGAAGCCAAGAAGGCAGAAGGAGGAGAAGAGGAACTGCTGCTTCTGGACCCTGGGAAGAATCCCAGCTGTAATTGGAATCCCACCAAAGCAAGTGCCTACAGCTGTGTAAATCAGGATAAGGCAGGCTCGCACTGCTGCAACAAACAGTCCCAAAATCTCAGTAGTTTGATACAAGTGTTAATTTATTTCTTTATTTTTTTTTAAGTTTTTAGAGACAGGGTTCTGTCGCCCAGGCTGGAGGGTAGTGGCTTAATCATGGCTCACTGCAGCCTCAACCTCCTGGGCTCAAGCAGTCCTCCTGCCTCAGCCTCCCAAGTAGCTGGAATTAACAAGCACATACTGCCACACCCAGCTAATTTTTTTTTCTTTTTTTTGTAGAGATGGGGTCTCCCTCTGTTTCCCAGGCTGATCTCACACTCCTGAGTTCAAGCAATCCTCCTGCCTTGACCACTCAAAGTGCTGAGATTACAGGAGTGAGCCACTGTGCCCAGCCACAGTGTTAATTTCTTGTGCTGAGGGTCTGGAAGACTCACAAGGGCAGCTGCCTCACACTCCATGTGTCTCAATGATCAGGCTGTATTGTTCTGCAGCTCCTGTATCTCAACACAAGGCGTCTGTGGTTGCCCAGGCAGAGGAAGTGAAAGAAAGCCATAGTTAGTCACACACAGGCTCTTCTATGCTTTCACCTGGAAGCACTCTTTTGACCAGAATAAGGCACATCTTCCTATTTGCAAGGGAGCTGGGAAATGTGGGAGAAGAGAAGGTCATGTCTGGTGAACATCACTAATTCTACCCCAGGTGACAGACAATTTCACAGAGCCACTCATCGCATGGGGATTGCAGAATACATCACAAAGGACCCTCTAAGCACTTTCCCTAAACCGTATTGTGCAGTATGTTTGCCCCTCTGTCTACAACTAAACGGTGCTTTAACTGCATTCCTTGGGCTAAGTGATGGAGCAAACTTAATTTCCTCATCTGTAAAATAGGGATACCAGTGCCAGTCTAACAGGCCACCACGAAGACCTAAGACTTTATGCATCTGTAAACTGCACATCATTAATGCACACATGTGTGTTAGTGGAAGTAACAACCATAGCTACTGGGCTAGTATTTCAGCATGTGGGGCAGGGAAACCCTGGTTCAATGCCTAGAACTTAGCATCCAGAATAGTCACCGAATGGTGACCCCCATCCAGTTCCATTTGATGTCTAACTGGCTGCTTTGGTGATTGCTTCTGTTTTTAGGGCCTTTCAAATTTACTCTGCTTTAACATATCTGCTGATGATATGAATGTCTGTACTTATGTCTACCAGTTCTTACCTTAGAGTACTGGCTGGGATTTTTTTTTTCTTTTCTAAGATGGAGTCTCACTTTGTTGCCCAGGCTAGAATGCAGTGGTGCTATCTTGGCTCACTGCAGCCTCTGCCTCCACGGTTCGAGCAATTTTCCTGACTCAGTCTCCTGAGTAGCTGGGATTACAGGTATGCACCACCATACCTATCTAGTTTATGTATTTTTAGTAGAGATGATGGCCAGGCTGGTCTCAAACTCCTGACCTCAAGTGATCTGCCTGCCTTGGCCTCCCAAAGTGGCTCACAAGTGTGAGCCACTGTGCCCGGCCTACTGGCCGAGATTTTTTGATGAACTTTTTAATGGCATCTCTCCCAGATACCTTACAATGGGATTCCCTTGCAGGTGCTTCCATTTGCACTTAGCCCGTGGTCAAGCTTGTTTATTTTGCCACACTCAAAAGTGAATTCCAATGAATATTGGAAAAGGCCACAGGATCTGGTTATTTTTCCAATCATATAATGCTGATTTTCTTGTTTTGTTTTGTTTTGTTTTTGTTTTTGTTTTGTTTTTTGTTAACCACATGTATTGCAAACTCTTCTTCCTAAAACCTTCTTGGCATGTGGTCATCTCTGGGTCACATCAGAAAGGACCAATTGCAAACAAAACCACCTTGAGGCTGGACAAAAGGAAAAGAATGAGATGGACTCTTTCTTGCTGGGTTCTTTTGGAGATGGCGAGGCATAGCAGGGTGAAAGAAACTTGGCTTTGAACTTGAGTTTCAATCTCAATTCTGCCATTTGTATACGTGCCCTTAAACAGCTGGTACCTGATATAGTTTAGATATTTGTCTACATTGGAATCTCATTTTGAAATGTAATTCCCAATGTTGGAGGTGGGGCCAGGTGGGAGGTGTTTCGGTCATGGGGGTGGATCCCTCATGACTTGGTACTGTCCTGGCAATAATGAGTGAGGTCTTGCAAGATCTAATTGTTTAAGAGTGTGTGGCTCCTGCCCCTTCTCTCCTGCTCCTGCTTCCACCATGAGAGGTGCCTGCCCCCTCTTCGCCTTCTGCCATGTTTGGAAGCTTCCTGAGGCCTCACCAGAAACAGATGCAGGTGCTATGCTTCCTGTACAACCTGCAGAACTTGAGCCAATTAAACCTCTTTTCTTTATAAATTACCTAGTCTCAGGTATTTCTTTATAGCAATGCAAGAACAGCCTAATACAGTGTCCGGTCTTGGGGCCTTTCCTGGAAGGAGAGGAGGGCGGTACAGGGAGGACTCCATAAGACAACAGGCCAAGGACTATGGCTTGGTGGGTACTGAGCATTTGGTGAAGCCTAGTTCTCTTACTCAAGCTTCAGGTGACACAATCATCACGGGGCACCTGAAGTATCATAGGACTGCGCCAGTGGAGGAGTTGTGGACAAGTTGGTACAGGATGTGCATGCACATAAATAGTCTCCTCTTCATAACTTTCTGTTGAAAGAAATGGAGCCATCTCCAGCAAGGAACCATGAGACTTTCTCATGGCTTGAGCTGTGACCTCCAGAAACGTCCTCCAACAGAGCCGTCCAACAGTGGATTTTCCTGCCCAACAGCCCAACACACGAGTGCAAGTTTGATCTTCGCCACCTCCTCCAATGCTATGGTAGGTGACCCCGGCAGCAGGATTGGAATGATTATTGAAGTCATTGCTTCATTCTCAGACTACACCAACCAATGCCCAGTTCAGCTTTTCCCCACCAGTCTCTTGGCTGTTTCAACCAAATTACAAAAACGTGAAGATAAAATAATTAGAAATGCTCATTTGTCACTGAGAATCTGGCAAGCAAAACCTATATTTTGCAAGAAGTTTTAATATTGTACTTTTTTGTGCTTTCCTAAACTAATTTAGTCTACTAATTT